>NC_000013.11:53408106-54658106 GCF_000001405.40 Homo sapiens | reverse complement strand
AGATTTCACAAGCATACATTTTTAAAATTATAAATTCAGATAAATGTTCTTTTCCTTAAAACAAAGAAAAGTTAAACAATTAACAAAAATCCCCTTGTTGTTGAACATTTAATTAGATTGAGCAGAAGACTTTCTAAGTAATGATAACACTCATAATCATTTCTGACTCTCCTTAGAAGATTTGTTGAAGGTTTATTAACTGCCTATACTATTATTTATTTTTATTTCTGTCCCAACTTTATCCTCATGTGGTCCAAACCACACAAAAGTTTAACTGCATGAGTCAGAACATAACTAAGTTTGTATTGTTAGCACCTAGTGATTTGTTTCGATTTGATTATCACATGAGCCCAAGGAAAGTGAAAGAATTAAATTATGAATATAGATGTATAGGAAAAAAATTATTATGAGTTATGCATTGCACAGGCTTTAGAGTCAGAAATAACAGGTTCAGAGGCCAAGAGCCACATTTACTAACAGTTTGGACTCTGATAAGCTCCTTATTTTCTCTAAGCCTCAGTTTCTTTATATGAGAAATGGCATAAATCACACCTCAGGGTTGTACTGAGGATTAAAAGATATAACATACGTAAATCACCCTGCAAAATGTCTGGCTTATAGTAGGCATTCAAAATTTTTAGATCACTTACTGTATGATGAATTAAAAGGTTTGGGGATTATATGCTGATAAAACAAGGTCTCATTTTGGTTTTAAAAATCAATGGAGGCCCCGTGTGGTGGCTCACACCTGTAATCCCAGCAATTTGGGAAGCCGAGGCAGGGAGATTGCTTAAGCCCAGGAGTTGGAGACCAGCCTGGGCAACATAGTGAGACTCTGTCTCTACAAAAATTTTAAAAATTTAGCCCAGTGTCGTGGCACAAACCTGTAGTTCCCACTACTTGGGAGGCTGAGGTGGGAGGATCACATGAGCCTGGCAAGTCGAGGCTGCAGTTAGCCATGATTGAGCCACTGCATTCCATCCTGGGTGACACAGTGAGACCATGTCTCAAAAAAAAAAAAAAAAGGAAATTGATCATTTATCATTATGAATATCTGACAGGAAAACTAACCAACTGCATGAAGGTTGCCAGACAGCAATATCTACCCAACTCCCATTTCCCCGTATGCCCATGCATTTTGCTTTCACTCTTGTAGATAGATTAAATCTCAGAGTAATCATTTAAAGCCAGACTCTCCTCTTGAGCATAAGATCACACACCCTCTTACCTACCCAGAAGTATACCCAAGCCTTTCTACTTTCTTAGATTGTGAATTTTCTCCTTATATGCTGGATCACCCCTATTGGGCACACATCGTAAAACGTTAAAACATTGACACACCAACTTAAAACAAAATTTAAAAGCCTTCCCTTGACCATGGTGGTGTACCTAAGGTGGAACTGTGGAAGTGGTCCGTTCAGAGCTCATACAGCATTAGGAGGTGATTGTGCATAGGCAATTTTTAAAAACGTAATAAAAACAAGTAAAACTCATTATTTATTGTAATTGTCATGTCCTGGTGATTTTAATCAAGGTCAGTGAGAAAATGTTCTTCCCCAACAACAACAACAACAACAACAACAACAACAAACATTTTTGTGACATAAGTTTTAAACAATTGTTCTGGTTATTGTGGAATTTTAATACTATAATGTAGGATTGTATAATATAATATTATGTATATGTTATCTAATATATATGTGTATGTGTGGTAGAAATGAAAATATCTATAACTTTTCCTTAACAAACATTGTATTTACATGGAAGTGAATTTCTAAAATTCTAGTTATACATTCTTTACCAGACACATGAGAACTCAGGTACACATATTGATTCTGAGGATTAATAAATAAAAGTTTGGCATTGTTTGAGCTTGCTTCAGGTGAAATTCTCTTTTCATACCCCAGTGCTCTGATATATCCCTGAGTTTAAACAGGAGATTCAAAATGAACAATGAGAGGAAAGTGATTGTAAACATGAAAAACAGAACTTGAGTTACATAAATTCTGTCCTTCTATGTTATGTACAAATCATTTTTAAGCCTTGCATAAGCCTTTCTTTATCTGCTTTTTTCTTGAAAAATTGATTACAATGATTAAAGAACATTAATTCATTATTTCCCCCAACCTTTTTGTACTATAATGTTTACTTATTTATGTATTTAGTTATGGTGTTAGATACAAATTTTTCTTAGAGACCTTTTTTTGTAATTATAGCCTCAACATTATTATTTGTTTCACTTCATTATTACTGAAAATAAATTATTTTGTAGAAGAAGGGAGAGTGTTTCAAAATAATACCCGCTGAGTGTCAAATATTCTTCAGTACTCCACCGCTTGGTAACACATTTCTTTCCAGTGACAGCACTGTTTCTCTGTTCCTCATTGCTGTAAACCATTTACTTTCTCTTTCTTCTTTTCTTATACTGTATAAGTATTTAAAACTATATATTTCCTCATATGCACTGGGTTAGCTGCATCTCATACATTTTGATAGGTTGTGTTCTCTCATTCAGTTTGAATATTTCCTAAATTATATTGTTATTTCATCTTGACCTGTGAATTATTTAATAGAATTTTGTTAAGTTACCAAATATGTTCAGCTTTTCTGATTATCTTACTGTCATTGACATGTTTCATAACAGCTTTAATGAGGTACATTCACATACCATAAAGTTTACTCTTGTATGCTGGAAGTGTAGAATTCAGTGTTGTTTTTGTTTGATTTTAGTATACTCAGAGCTGTATATCCATGAAAGCTATCAAAATCCTGCTGTGGTCAAATAACATATTAAGTAAGATTAAAGTATTTTAAATAATATTTAGACATTTGTTATGCTCTGGCATAGGACTATATTGAATATCTTATGTACATAAACAATGTGTATTCTGCAGTTATTAATAGTCCTATACATTTTAATTAAAATAGGGTGTTTGATAATGTGTTTATATCTTCTAAAATTTGAAATGGTATACAGTTCTATCAAATGGTAATTCCTAGGTTATCCTCCAGGGTTTTTATAGTTTTAGGTTTTATATTTAAGTCTTTAATTTCATCTTGTGTTGATTTTCTTATATGGTATAAGGGATCCAGTTTCAATATTCTGCATATGGCTAGTCAGTTATTCTAGCATCATTTATTGAATAGGAAGTCCTTTCCTGATTGCCTATTTTTGTCAACTTTGGCAAAGATCAGATGATTGTAGATGTGTGGCATTACTTCTCGGCTCTCAATTCTGTTCTTTTGGTCTATGTTTCTGTTTTTGTGCCAGTACCATGCTGTTTTGGTTACTGGAGCACTGTAGTATACTTTGAAGTCAGGTGACATAATGCCTCCAGCTTTGTTCCTTTTGCTAAGGATTGCTTTGGCTATTTGGGCTCTCTTTTGTTTCTATATAAATTTTAAGATAGTTTTTTTCCTAATTCTGTGAAAAATGATGATGACAGCTTGGTAGGAATAACATTGACTCTATACATTGCTTTGGGCAGTATGGGCATTTTAATGATATTGATTCTTCCAATCCATGAGCATGGAATGTTTTTCCATTTATTTGTGTCATCTTCGATTTTCTTTCAACAGTGTTTTGTAGTTCTCCTTGTAGAGATCTTTCACATCCTTGGCTAGATGCAGCCCTAGGTATTTCATTTTGTGTGTGTTTTGCTATTGTAAATGTGATTGCGTTTTGATTTGACTGTCAGTTAGAACTTTATTGGTGTATAGAAATGCTACTAATTTTGTATCTTGAAACTTTCCTGAAGGCATTTATCAGTTCCAGGAGCCTTTTGGTGGAGTATTTCGGGTTTTCTAGGTATAGAATCATATTGTTCATGAAGAGAGATTGTTTGACTTCTTCTTTTCCTATTTGGATGCCTTTTATTTTTTTTCCTGCCTGATTGCTCTGGCCAGGACTTCCAGTACTATGCTGTATAGGAGTGGTGAGAGTGGGCATCCTTGTCTTGTTCCAGTCCTCAAGGTGAATAGTTCCAGCTTTTGCCTATTCAGCATGATGTTGGTTATGAGTTTGTTATAGATAGCTCTTACTATTTTGAGGTGTGTTCCTTTGATGTCTAGTTTGTTGAGGATTTCAATCATGAAAGGATGTTGGATTTTGTCAAGAGCTTTTGCTGCATCTATTAAGATAATCCTATGGTTTTTGTTTTAAATTCTGTTTTTGGGTTGAATCACATTTATTGATTTGTGTATGTTGAACCAGCCTTGCATCCCAGGAATAAAGCCTACTTGATGGTGGTGAATTAATTTAATTTATAAAGAAATTCTTTATAATTAACTCACTAAGGAAAGAGGTTTAATTGATTCATGGTTCCACAGGCTGTACAGGCTTCTACTTCTGGTGAGGCCTTAGGAAACTCACAATCATGACAGAAGGTGAAAAAGAATCAGGCACATTTTACATGGCTAAAGCAAGAGGAATAGAGTGAGAGGGGAGAGGTGCTACACACTTTTAAACAACCAGATCTTGCGATAACTCACTATCACAAGAACAGCACCAAAGGGAAATTCACTCCCATGATCTAATCACTTCCCACCAGGCCCCACCTCCAACATTAGGGATTAAAATTTGACATGAGATTTGGGTGGGAACACAGATCCAACCCATATTGCCTGATAAAATCTTAAAGACCACCATCATTTTAATGGCTAGGTACGGGAGAGTAAGCTTTAAAGGAAACAGAGTGTCAGAGAAAACAATTATAAAATGGACATGTGGTGTTATGGAAGGCAACGAAAGGAAATATCTGGAGAAGCAGTTGGTCAACAACTTCATATAAAAGGTTGAGTCAGACAAGGACTGAAAAATGATGCTTAGGTGTAGTGAATGAAGGTTACGAGGAGTTATTGTAATAGATCAATAGGAGAGGAGCCATGCTGGGAGTGAATATTCAGCAATAGTTGAGAAAGAGACAGTGCTCATTGGCCACTAATTTGACAGTGAAAAAAGAAGTCCAGGAGAGCAGTAAAGGACAGGTAGCATTAAGATTAGTAACTCTAATGAGAATTAAATATATTTTAAGTTAAAACAAAATAAAATAAAACAGTTGAGAAGACAGACTGTGTCTGGGAAGAGAGACAAAAATCAATTTATTATACTAGATTCCTAAGAAATTTCAAGGGTATAGAATTTAAATCTCATGTAGAAGTATTAACTTTAGTGGAAGAAGGGGATATTCTTATGAATCACTCAAGAGAAGAGGGTGGATGAATGCCAGAATAAAATAAATTGAGAGTTTGTGAAAGCACATGAAGCATATTTGTTGGCCAAAAAATGCATCCCACAGACACCAAGTATGGGGGGATAACTGATTAAGCATCCAGTCATTGTATTATGAAATCCATCACTGTGTTTATGGCAAAGTCATGCTCCCCATGGGCTTGACTTGAGTCAGTCTCTCCAAAGATTGAGCATAGCAGGTCTGTCACCCCAAAGACAGAGCTGTTCCTGAGAGACACAGTACTCCTCTGATGGCTGCTTTGGCTCAAGGATGCCCCACTGGCCTGGCAGTCTAGCATGCTTCCCAATAACCTTCCCTCCTTCTCTTCTTTGCTCGAGGTCTTCCAGAATAAACTACAGTTTGATGATTCTCCTGGCCTTCCCAATACCTCCTCCATTTTCTCTCACACAGATGTTTCCTCTAATAGAAGTCTTTCCTACTTAAGTCTATTCTTGTCTCTCCTCACATTAAAAAAAAATGGTACTAGGTCTGCTCCAAGAAATAGGCCTCAGTAATACAGGTATTTGGCAAAGGCTCATGTTTTATCTAGCAGGCTAAGAAGACATCATCTTCATTCGCAGGTAGGACAAAGATCTACTGTCCCAGGAGGTGCAACACGGTGGCCCAATTGCTTGAAACTTTAGTGATGGTGACTAGAGAAAATGTCCCAGGGATGGCTGGGTGCGATGGCTCACGCCTGTAATTCCAGCACATTGGGAGGCCAAGCTGGGAGGATCGCATGAGGTCAGGATTTCGAGACCAGCCTGGCCAATGTGGCAAAACCCCATCCATCTCTACTAAAAATACAAAAATTAGCTGGCCGTGGTGGCACTCGCCTGTAATCCCAGCTACTTGGGAGGCTGAGGAAGGAGAATTTCTTGAACCCTGGAGGCGGAGGTTGCAATGAGCCAAGATCATGCCACTGCACTCCAGCCTGGGCAACAGAGCGAGACTCCGTCTCAAAAAAAAAAAAAAAAAAAGAAAAGAAAAGAAGAGAAAAAAGAAAATGTCCCAGAGATACAGCTGTTGTGGCAGAGGTGATATGGGGAAAAAACCTCACAATACCTACAAAGACAGCTGGCTTCTGCTACGTTGTACTGATGTTCTACAGAAGGATAAGAGACTAAAGACTGATAGCAGGCTGTTAATGGCCAAGTGTGAGAACCAGTGGTAGCTGAAAAGCAGGCTCTTATCACTTGTAATGAAAGAGCAGACAGAGACAAGTAGCAGGCACTGAAGTCCTAATAATACCACCTGAAGATTTCATAAGCTCAGCCAAGGCAGGTGTGTTAAGCAAAGATAAGGCCTTGTAGGAAAAACTTAGGTTCCTGAAAACAGCAATATCTGAGTCAATATCCTGGAAGATGTCTCTATAAAACCCCTGTTATGAGTTGAATTATTTGCCCTAAAATATATGTTAAAGCTCTAATCAGGAGCACTGCAGAATATGACCTTATGTAGAAATAGGGTTACTTTTGATGTAATTAGTTAAGAGGAATCATACTGCAGTAGGGTGGGCTCTTAAGCTAATATGCCTGGTGTTCTTAGAAGAGAAGAGACATGGGCACATGAGGGGAGGGTGCTATGTTATGATGAAGACAGACTGAAATGCAGCTACAAGCCAAGGAACACCAAAGATTGCTGGCAAACCACTGGAAGCTAGGAAGAGGCTGGAAAGGATGATTTTCTATAGGCTTCAGCGTAAGCATGCTTCTGTTGGCACCTTCATTTAGGACTTCTAGCCTCCAGAATTGTGAGACAATATATTTCTGTTGTTTCAAGCCACCCAGTTTGTGGTACTTTACTACAACAGCCCTAGCCCTATATCTCTCTAAACTCTCTGTTTTAGATGTGGTCCATGGCTCCCTGGTAAGAGCTCGCACTTTTGTATTAGAAGATGCTGCAGAGGATGGTCCCCTACAAATTAGCAGATGCCTCCTCAAGAGCAACCTCTACTTCCTCATGGCTGTCATCCCTATATAAAGGGGCGTATGTCAGCAAAAATTGGTTGGGGACCTGCTGACATTATTAATAGAGCAACAAGATTATTTACCAAAGCAGTAGTAAGGGCGAACTAGCACATACTAGCAGGAGCAAGGTGGTACTCCTGGGATCAGATTTTAAGAGTGCTTGTTGAAAGTGTCAAAGTGTAAGACTGAGTAAAGAGAAATATATTTACTTGGGGACATTTTCTTAAGACAAGATATTTAACACCCCAGGAAGGACCCTAGATAATGGGGCAAATTCTTTGCTGGAGTTGCTTTTAGGAGTCCAGGGAAAAACATGGCTTACTTGCAGCACATAGAAATACCTGAGATGCTCTGGCAGATAATAGATAAAAGATTAGTAGGGTAAGGGAAGAGGGTATGCTGGTCTATTATGTAAGAACAGAAGACCCAGTAAAGGATCATGTTTCAAAGAAAGGCACATTAGACTCACCATTCACCAAACCCATCAGGAGAATGCTGAGAGGGCACCAACACCAAACAGAAGGTCATTGCTGGCTCTTCTCTACAGGCTATGTATAATGAAGGAGAGGCAGTCACATGCTTGGACTTGTTAATACCCAATGAGATAAAGGCACCCTGAACTAATGGAGTTAGGTTCTATGGCTGTAATGATCAGCAATGTCAACAAGACAGCCAAAGAGATATTAGACACAGGAGATTGTGTAAATGATTAAGGCATGGTGTCTCTAGGGGAAAAAGAGATGGACATTCATTGAGGATTTTATTTAATGTCTATAATTTTTTAAAGAAAAAGAATGGAGAACTGGAGGCTGAGTGCAGTCACCTTTATAAAAAATGTTTTATCTATTGCTCAGTCTCTTGGCCTGAGTCAATATTCAAATTTAGAACGCATTGATTAAAGAATTTTCCAGGCTCATAGGTGAAAGGACCCTGCAACACTCTGGGTACCATAACAATACCCTGCATTATCCTCAAAGGGAGCCATGGCTTTACTTATGTTACTGTGCACTGGGGAAAGGGGAATTAAGGAAATAACCAGATACTCTGAGGACTATTGCACACAAAGTCTGAGTTGATGTTGCTATTTGGAGACACCAAGGATCATTACAGCCCCTCTGTTCAATTGAAAGCTTATCAAGGCTCGGTAATGAATGGAATCCTAGTTAAATTCTGTCACACAATTGGCTCCTGAGTTTACAAACCCAGTTAATGGCAATTTTTCCAGTCATCAAAGGTATGATTGAATTGAAACACAGTCGTTCTTTGATATCTCTGGGGGATTGGTTCCAGGAGGCCCTATGTATAGCAAAATTTATGGATGTTCAAGTCCCTTGTATAAAATAGCAAAGTATTTGCATATAATCCAGATACCTCCTCCCACATACTTTGAATCATTTTTAGATTATTGATAAATAATACCTAATACAACATAAATGCTTTATAAATAGTTGTTAGATCAATTGTTTTGAAAATGATGACGAGAAAAAAATCTGTATATGTTCAATACAGATGCTTTTTGTTAAAAATATTTTGGTCCATATTTGGTTGAATCCATGGGTATGGATATCACAGATATTATGGGCCAACTGCACTAGGTAATTTTGAGTAATCTCTACAATTTTCTGTAGAATAAGAATATCATTGTGGGGAAAGTCAACTAGAAACTTCTGAAAATAGCCATCACTCCTGAAAGATAAATAAACAAATAAATAAAATATTATATCCAAGGGGTATGTATGCCACCATTAAAAAACTAAAGAATGCAGGATTGGTGGTCCCTACAATATCTCCATTTATATTGCTCTATTTATTTATTCATTTATTTTTGAGACATGTCCTCCCTCTGTTGCCCAGTCTGGACTGCAGTGGTGCAGTCACTGCAGGCTTGGCCTCCCAGGCTCAAACGATCCTCTTACTTCCACCTCCAGAGTATCTTAGGACGACAGGCATGCACCACCACACCCAGCTAATTTTTGTATTTTTAGCAGAGATGAGATTTCACCAAGTTTCCCAAGCTGGTCTTGAACTCCTGGGCTCAAGTGATTTGCCTGCCTTACCTCCCAAAATGATGGGATAACAGACCCAGACTGTTCTATTTAACTTAAAGAAATTGGATGAATCCCAAAGAATGAATGTAGACCACCAGGGACTCAACCAACAATTAGCCTAATTTCAGCATGACGTGTTATTATTGTCAGAACAGATTAGTTACTGCGTAGTCATTGATTTGGCAAACACACTCATTATTTACCATTTCAATTAGAAAAGAAACAGTTCACATTGACATGGATTGGACAATAATATTCGTTCATATTTTTGCCTTAAATCTATACTAATCTTCTATCATGTCATGAAACAGTCCCACAAGATCTGGACAAACTGAACATTCCATAGAATATTACAATGACCCATTACCTCAGTGGCATCATACCAATTAGACAGGAAAAGCAAGATGTAGCTTTGGTAAAATACATGTATGTGGTGTGGGAGATAAATTCTACTCTAATAAAACCTTGCAGATTTAATCCCATCTCAGTCTCTGCTTCTTGGAAGACACAAACTAACACAATGTAAAGGTTACTGTAAAATTATAAGAGAATATTATCAAGAATGTATTAAAATTTTTCTTTGGTCCCTGCTAAAATACTCTTTTCATGTTACACAGTAAGAAAAGGATATGAGAATCAAATTGGTTATCTATGTTATTGCTCATTCATCTTAACCACTTTACCTAATGTGATTGTAACTGACCACCTTCTAGGGCACTGTGACTTCACTCAGTGGCCACACAAAATAATTTCAGTCTATTGCAAGCAGTCACAAAAATACACATGTATTTATTTATTTAGTGAAACAATTAAATTGAAAAGTTATACATGAGATCGAAAAGTATGGGCAAGTTAGAGAGAATTATTCAATATTTCTTTACAACTCTATGGAAGATCGCTTTGTTCTCTTTTTAGCTGAGCAGAGTGTTTCAAACTTCACAAAGAAAGAGAACAACTAATCTTGTTAGGCCATCATTGAGAATTATGTTTGTCAGTGATGTGAGTGAACAAGTATGAATCTTCTGAAATTGTTTTACAAGTTCTGCATACAGAAAATATCTCTTGGGAGTACACTGATGATAAACTATACACTTAAGCTCTTTCATCTCTAGAAGAGTTCATTTATTCTTAGGTTTGTTAATTGATGCATTTCTGCAAGAGTGTCAGGCTGTTCCAACTATTAAAAAAAAAACTCTTACCCATAAGAGTCTTAAGAATGAGCTCAATATCTTTTCCACAAGATGACTATTTTATTCTTATCCATATTTATTATCTGGCCCTTGTACATTTTGTCACTCTAAAACATTTTGCTAGCATGATCTCATTTATCATTTATTGCCTCTCTTATCTTTTTAGCTACTGGCAGGACACTCACTGAATTGTGTACCTTTTCAAAGTAACACATGTTCCATGAGGCAAAGTGCCAAATATCACTCCCCAGGTTACCATCTCTTGCTCAAAATATTGATATCCTTCTCTGAGCTTGATCCAAGAGTTCCATGATATTGGTGGCTGTCTACTGATCTCCCCAGCTAGAGGGAGACCACTGAGGGTTCCAGCCATGGCTAACTGTCATGGCTTTAAAAACTGGCAAAAGCTCTGTCAGGAAAGAGAGATTAAAGTGTAATCTTGCTGTTTTATACTTCACTGCTATTACCATCACCATTTATTAAAAGTGCTTTTCCTTTGGAGGTGAATACTGCTGTTTATTCTATAACATTACCAGTGTGTTCCTTAAAAATCTTGCGGTGTGGAAAACTGCACACAAAATGATATGATTTGTAGGAAAAATATGACTTGACAGTACCTATGCAACTTTGTAACCAGAAGACTAGCAGCAACTTTTAAAAAACAGAGACAGTACCACAGTTAGAAATACATATTAAAAATACGTATTAAATCACCTATGATCTTCCCTTTAAAGCATCAACCTTTAAGTGATAGTTTTATGAAAGGTATAGAAAGAGAGGATTACAGTTACTGAATTAGGTAAAAAGGAATAACATGTACAAATACAGTGGAGAACCCCTGATAAGCACTTCTAGGATAGACTATGTAGCAAAAGAAGATTGCCAGATAAATAGCATCTTATGTAGCAGAGATTCTTGTATTATTTGTGGCACTAAAACTGTGGTAGATTACTATGGGTTCAGCTGTCCCTCAGTGGGGCAAAATATGAATGTGTTAGGGAAAATCATAAAAGGACCAACACACTTCATTCCTTAAGTGTTGAAATTGAGATTCCTCTGATGAACCAGAGAAAGGTAAGTGGCCCTACCTTCCTATGCCTGTCTCCATGAAGAGTTCTGTTTTCAGGAGGTACCATTATTGGAGGTAAGCAGACCATTACTGGAGATACGTGCCACTATCAATTCTCAAAAAGAAAATAGGAGAAAAATTTATAAAAATTGAATGTTTATTTTTCTTTTTGACTTATATGTATTCATTTATTTAAGTTCCATTTTTATATTATTTCACATTCAGCTCATTAATGGTCTAGTACATTGTATTTTTGATTTAAAGATGGCTGAATATGAGACATTTCTAAATTTTAGCCAAAGTCCAAATGGCTAGAATTATTAACAATGGTTTTTTAACTAAATTGAATATGTATAAATTTCAGAATTATGGATAATTTCAGTGCTAATGTTTTCTTTCCTCTTTCTGAAATATTTACAAAGCTCTCTTACAATGGAAAACAAAAGTTTGGAAGGTCAGATATCAATAACAGATAATCCCAATTAAGAGAATTTTGAGAGGCAGTAATGTTGTATTGTGGTGATTATATTTTATTTTAAAAGTCACAACTACTCTGTTCAGTATTTACTATTAGCTACATTTTACAAATGAGAAAATTGAGGCAAACGAATACTATGTAAAGCTCCTGTGTTACAGCTGGTCTAGTAAGCAGTAGATCTGTGACTGGAATGCAAGCAGTTACAGCCACATAGTATGCCTTGAGGCAATATAACAAATTAAAACATGGAACTAATTACTGATGTTGAGTGTAAATAAAATATAGGAATACAGGAATAAGCCAATGGACTGAAATAGGTCCAAAGGGAGAAGGTGACCACAGAAGTGCTCCAGAGGAAGTAGAAGGCGCGTTGCCCTAGGAAAAGAATAAATTTAGGGAGAGAAAAGAAGAGTATTGAGACCACAAAAGAAAGGAAATATGTTCTCTCTCCTGTAACACAATCAGCAAGAAATTTGGCACCATACAACCCTGAGATCCAGAATTAGCCTGATTCATTTACAATCAGTATGTCTAGGATGTGCGTAGACTGAAATCTGAGATCATCAACATATTTAACAATCTCAACAATCATATCAGAAGAACTATAGCTTGCCCATAAATTCACGAAATTTTAACTGGAAATGAATTGCATATTGGACTATCACTAGTTATAGATTACACATAATCTGGAAAAAAAGGTTAGTGATGTAGAAACCATGGTGCCTAAAACAGGCTCGTGAGATACATATGTCAATTACTAAATTAATGCTATTTTATGTTATTTAAGATATTATTTTATCCGATACGTCTCAAATTTCAAATACTCCTAGAAGTGTTAAAAAAGGAAAATATTTCAGTTACTTAGACAAATTAATATAAAGATGATTTTTGTAACTATTATACTTCATATGAGTGTCAATATTTGTATCTTCCCTGGATCAACAATTAGCTGAATCTCACTAAAAAAATTCTTGATGGCAAGACATTAAGATAAGCTATAAGAGACATGATGTGGTATTTGCATTGTTCACATAGAGAATTTCTTAGAATATACATATCACTTGTTATAAGAGTGTTATAATTTAATAACTTTCATTTTTATAAAAAATTAACTTGTTTTTCAATTTATTGATTTTAAAATGGATCTTAATTTCAGAAACATTAAAAGAAAAAGTAAGTTTTCAAAAGAGGAAATATATTAATTGAAAAACTGTTATTATTGCAATCAAGCCCATTTCAGTAATCTTATTAAAATAAAAATTTATATAAACCATCACATCATATATTTCCAAATATATAAATATGAAACAAAGCAACACAAACATTTGCAATGTTTTTTCTATAAATTAGTAGATTAAAATGCTGTAAATCATTGACGACATATGATTTTCAAATTATTTGTTCTGCTTATAAAATTGATATATATAATTTTATAAAATTTGGAAAATAAAAACAAAATATGAAGTCCAAAACAAAATTTAACCATCATCATCTCACTTAAAATTAGGTGGTCTTCTCATCACTCCTTTTTTAATGTCAATAAATGTTTTTGCACATTATATACAATTTCATAATAATAATGAATGTAATATTGTATCTTAGTTTAACTTTTTAATTATCCAAATAAAATAGTTTTGTATAAAAATGAGAAAATATATAAAGCCACAAATAATTATAAAATTAAAATTAATCAGTACATATTTAAATCACCATTAATTCCATCTTTAAGGTTTGACATTTTGTTGAGCAATCTTCTAAACACATATTGTAACATAGATGATGATGATAGATATATAGATATATAGCTAGACAGATAGATAAATGGATGGCACATTTGTATTTATCTATTGTCTGTCAGTCTCACACTCTCCCTTCTCCTGTATCTTCTTTATCAGAGGAAGCTGGAAGCCTTAAAATTGCATTTTTCAGATTCCCTTGCCATCTGAATTCTAGTTGGTATTGGCCAATAAAAACTTTGGCAATAGATAAGATGACAGAGAAAAGTCATTCTACTTCTTGCTCTAGTAGTGATGGTGGCAGCAGCAGACCAATGACTTGAACCTGACAGTGGTGGTGGCAGCAGCAGAAACCAGTAACTGAAGGTGACAGAGACCAGTGACTGAAAATAACTCCAGCACAGCTGGTTTTCCCAGCAGGGGTAGTGGGTGAGATGCCTGGCCAGTTGCAGCTGTTGCCCTGCCAGGAACTTGAACATGAGTATAGATTCCTTCTAATACAGAATAGCAAGAGTAGCAACTTTCTAATAGTTGAGCAACAGCTTTTTGATCTTGTTGCTCCTTCATTCTAAGAATGGTGCAATTGTTCAATTCCCACGTATGAGTGAGAACATGCGTTGTGTGGTTTTTTGTCCTTGTGATAGTTTACTGAGAATGATGATTTCCCATTTCATTGATGAGTTAATGGGTGCAGCACACCAGCATGGCACATGTATACATATGTAACTAACCTGCACATTGTGCACATGTACCCTAAAACTTAAAGTATAATAATAATAATAAAATAAAATAAAAATTAAAAAAAAGAATGGTGCAATTATTTCATTGTATCATTTTCCCTACTGGAAATATCAAGGGCAGATTCTATTTTCATGCCTAGACATTAACTGATGCAAATAATAGAGATGAGACAGAGAGAGAGAATGCGGGACAGAAAAGACAGAAAGGAAGAAAAAAAGAAAAAAAGGAAGAGAGAAAGAACAAAAGAAAGAGAAAGAAGAGAAAGAGAGAGAGAGAGAGGGAGGGAGGGAGGGAAAGAAAGAAAGAAAGAAGGAAAGAAAAAGAAAGAAAGAAAGAAGAGAGAAAGAAAGAAAGGAAGGAAAGAAGGGAGAGAGAGATAGAGGGAGAGAGGGAGGGGAGGGAAGGGGAGGAGAAAGAAAGAAGAGAAAGAGAGAAAGAGAGGGAAGAGGAAGCAAACATTGTTAATGGTTACTTGCGGCAGCCTTAACGTGGTTTTTTGTTTTTGTTTTTTTTTTGGTTAGTTTTTGTTTTTTGACAGTCTTACTCTGTTTCCCAGGCTGCAGGCTGGAGAGCAGTGGCACAATCTTAGCACACTGCAACCTCCACCTCCTGGGTGATTATCATGCTTCAGCCTCCCGAGTAGCTGGGATTACAGGCGCGTGCCACCACTCCTGGCTAATTTTTGTATTTTTAGTAGAGACAAGGTTTTACCATGTTGGCCAGACTGCTCTCAAACTCCTGACCTCGGGTGATCTGCTCATCTCAGCCTCCCAAAGTGCTGAGATTACAAGTATGAGCCACCGCGCCTGACCAACCTTTTCATTTTTATTTGTTTTTGTCTGTAGGCTCCTGAGACTTTCTATGTAATCCAGACTTTAGATATGAGGTAAACAGAAAATGCAAAGTTAAGTTAAATTGCCCTACATATTAAAAAGTTGAGCACAGAACATACAAGAAAGTAAAATTAAAGGGCGAACTCAGATGAGCAGGGAGAAAGACAAAAAGAAAGGTGAGAAAGTAATAGGAAACAAGGGCAAAATAGACTAGGTAGAATTTGGGAGAGGAAATGTGGAAAAAATATTGGGAGCAGCTGTTAGGTTTAATACTTTTGGCTTGAATTCTACTTTGTCTGATATCAGAATCACAAGGGTACTTTCTTTTGTTTTTTTTTTAGACAGAGTCTCCCTCTGTCGCCCAGGCTGGAGTGCAGTGGCGTGATGTCGGCTTACTGCAACCTCCGCCTCCTGGGTTCAAGCGATTCTCCTGTCTCAGCCTCCCAAACAGCCGGGACTACAGGCGCATGCAACCACGCCCCGCTAATTTCTGTACTTTCAGTAGAGACAGAGTTTCACCATATTGGCCAGGCTGGTCTGGAACTCCTGACCTTAAGTGATCCACCCGCCTTGGCCTCCCAAAGTGCTGGGATTACAGGCGTGAGCCACCGTGCCCAGCCGGCTACTTTCTCATTATTTTGATTCGTCTAGCTAAAAAAAAAAAAAAGCCTCTTAAAAAATGTTTAGCCTATGTCACTTTGTTTTTACTTATTCATTTATTTATTTTGCTAATGTACAATATATAGCTTGCTCTGGCTTTTGAAATTAGCATCATGCTTTCTTTTTAATAGGTAAATTATGTTGACTTCATTCATTGATAAAACTGTTGTATATAACTTTGTCAACTTTTTGTTATTTTTTGTATATTATTTTATATTTGCTGAGTTTGTTTAGTTCCCTTGGCATTAAAAAAAACTGCTTTGGTATTTAGAAAAGTTGTATTTTTTGCTCCTATATTAGCTTTGTGCCATCGTCATTTTTTATCCGTGTTTTTAAAGCCTTTATAATCTGCTTTTTTTAATAATTGGTTTGACAGGTTTGTTTTGTTTTGTTTTGTTTGTTTTTGTTTTGTTTTGTTTTTGAGACAGAGTCTCACTTTGTCACCCAGGCTGGAGTGCAATGGCGCGATCTCGGCTCACTGCAACCTCCGCCTCCCAGGTTCAAGCAAATCTCCCTCCTCAGCCTCCGAATAGCTGGGATTACAGGCACCTGCCATCATGCCCGGCTAATTTTTGTATTTTTACTAGAGACGGGGTTTCACCACGTTGGCCAGGGTGGTCTCGAACTCCTGACCTCAGGTGATCCGCTCGCCTCAGCCTCCCAAAGTCCTGGGATTACAGGAGTAAGCCATGGTGCCTGGCCTGTTGGACAGTTTTTATGCAAATCCTTTAATACCCACTTGTTGCTTAATCAATGGATTAATTCTTCTGTCCTCCTTCCTCCCTACATTTTTATTTCATTTCTTAAATTTAGGCTCTATCTTTCTCATTTTTAGTTATTTTTTAAAAATTATAATATTCATCTTTATTGCTATTTACATTCATATAGTATTAAGGAACTTTGAAAACATAAGAACTTTTCAGTGGCATAATTTTTTGCCACTTCACTCCTCATCAATTTGCTATACCAATTTATTATTATTATTTTATTTTCAATGAAAAATTGTATTTTAAAATAATCAAAAATAATAAACATTTATTTCACACTTACCCAGATATTTATCCTCTTCAGTTGTCTTCATTACTTTCCACACTGTGGGGAGTCTCTTTCAGTTACAAAATGTCAGGTATTTTTTGTGTTAATGAGGATCTCTCTTTGCTTTCCAATCTCACCTCCAGCTTTCTCCCATCAGGAATTCTGCCATGCCCCCCAGACACCAGCCTTTCTAAGGCAGCTGCAGTGCATTCAAAGAAGGTCTAGAGAGCCCAGGAGAGATTTTTTTCCAGCTCCCTGCTTCTAGTTTGCACTTGGTGAAGGATGGGCATGTCCTGTAAAAACTGCCCAAGTTCTGCTCCTCAGTCTTTATCTCAAATATGGTGGTGAATATACAGGATCTTGCTAGTAAATATGCTTAGAAACAAACCAGAAGAACTGCTAGATTGAGACTACTTGTATTTCAATTGGCAAATTAAGTAATCAGTCTTGCTAAGGTGGAAAAAAAAAAGGTTGACTCAAAGCTTAAAATAACACATTCTTGATTCAAGCTCAAGTTCTTTAGAGAGCAGTACTTAATTCAGAGTAGGGCCAGACAAATGCATTTTCAGGAAAAGATGCAAAAGTGATGTATAAAGCCTTATGGATGGTGTGGTTACTCTGATTTATGAGAATTTGTTGGCTAATATTGGGGTTCAGTGAACAAAAGAAGAAACATTTTCTGAACTGTTGTATCAATTTGCAGACTAGTAATTACATCTTCTTAGTATGAAATTAATTAATTAATTAATTTATTTATTTGTAGCAAGCCATTTCTTTAACGTAGTGGTTCTCAAAGGGCAATCCCCATACCCTCAGCATCAGTATCACCTGGAAATGCAAACTTTTGTGCCTCTTCTCAATGTATTGAATCAGCAACTCTAGAAGAGGAAGCTTAGGAATTGGTGTGCGAAAATGCCCTCCAGGTTATTCTGATGAACAATTAAATATTAAGACCATTGAGCTAGTATGGTTTTTTAATTCTTAAATATTTAATTTCTAATGTCATTGAAAGTATAATGTAGAAAATGAGTCACTGAAGTGTTTGGAGTTTAACTACAAGCCTTTAGGTACATAGGAAGTGCTGTTCTCTAATATTTTACCACGAATCCCTAGGAGATTAAAGAAAAATTTCTATTGAATTAGCATATTTCTATCTATATGCCACAAAAAAACTGACACATTATAACGTTTAAGTCTGACAAACAGTTCTTTCTTTTCTTGAAAGACCCAGAAAGGAATTATGTGATTTTTCAAAGACCATTGACAATATAACAATGAATTAAAAGCTTTAAGTGATAGTTTATATAAAGACATGTTTATTTCATGAATTGGAAGACTACAACTCACAGAGATTACACACACATACACACACATATTCATTAGATTTTGTTTCTTGATCTCTAGCACTTTCACCTTATATAATAAATAATTTTGTTTTTTTGTTATTTATGGATGATTTTGTGATTTGGCAAAGATTCTGAAAGTCAGTCTATTACTCCTATTCCTAGCAGTCAATACATTGCAAACAAATTGTTTTATAAATATTCAATGTTTACTCAACTTAAACAATTAATAGAAATAGCCTGAGACATGAAGTTGAAAAGTAGTTTTTTCGAACATATTTCTAAACCCATTTAAATATGATTATTAACTCATGCCAAACACAGAAATAGAGGAACAACCTTTGATATATGATGTAAACTGAATAAAATTATAGTGGTAGAGATGAATAAATAGTTTTATGAGGAGATTTTGCATTTGGAATTGCTTTGTTAGAAATTTCAGCTTATTGCAGAGACATTAAAAGATCATCAGATACAGAAAAGTTTGCTTCGTGCAAAATGAGATTTGGAAATAGATCTTAGAATACACATCAAAATCTCATTCTTCTCCACCCAAGTTCTAATTTACTGCCCAGTTTAAAACAGTATTTTTCTGTCCCATCTCATTTCATTTGCCATCCTGCTTATTTCAGGTCTCCTCCACTACCACCCTGTATTAGTCCACTCTCGCATTGTTATAAAGAAATACCTGAAACTGGGTAATTTATAAAGAAAAGAGATTTAATTAACTCATGGTCATTAAGGAGACTTCTACAGTCATCCAGGTGAGCAATGACATCAGCTTGGATGAGGATGTGATATTGTTTGAATATGTGTCCCTGCCAAATCTCATGTTGAATTGTAATCCCCAGTGTTGGAAGAGGGGCCTGGTGGGACGTGATGGATCATGGGGGCAGATTTCCCCCTTACTGTTCTCATAATAGTTACTGAGTTCTCTGAGATCTGGTTGTTTAAAAGTGTATAGTACCTCCTGCTTCACTCTCTTCTGCCTGATCCGGCTATGTAGGACGTGCTTGCTTCCCCTTCCACCGTGATTGAAAGTCTCCTGCACCCTCCCCAACCATGCTTTCTGATGTCATTGCTCACCTGGATGACTGTAGAAGTCTCCTTAATGATTCTCCCTGCCCCAGCATCCCTTCTCCACTCAAATCTACTACTCCGCTTCAACCCTACTGGCATTGTTGCTGTTCTGGGACACATCAGACATGCTCCTGCCTGAGTGCATTTCTATTTTCTGTTTCCTTTGCTTGGAATGCTTTCCTTTCAGATATTTGCATGCTTATCCCACATTTTCTTTTGATTTTTAATCAAATATTAGTTTCTCAAAAAAGCCATCTTTGGCTACTATTCAAATTGGAAAGGGCTTTAAAAAAATTCCCCTTCCAACTTGTTATGTATTAACTTATTACTATCTTACTCTAGATTTAATTTATTATTTATCTTCCTTGGTCTCCCCACACCCTGCATTCCCTACATTTACCTGAACGTAAGCGCCACGATGGAATGGGGGATATATTTCTTCTGTTCTATGCTGTATCAATGGTGCCAAGAAAATGGTGTAGCTTAGTGCATACACTAAAATAAACATCTATGGAATAAGTGAATGAAAATAGAAATAATAGTGATGTAAAACTAGAGACAGAGTATCAATATAAGCTTATGTAATTAAAAACCCTAAAGGGAAGCAGCGTATGAAATAATCCACTAACTAATATAAAAAATAAACATTTTTTAAAAAATCAGTGAGATGAATACACTTCTTGGTTGGAAAGGACTGGTGAGATTCCAATTTATGCTAAACAATAAGAAGTCATTGTTTGAAAAAGCAAATAAAACCTCGCTTTTCTTGTTAGGTGTACTTGTTTTGTAAGAGTGTTAAAGTAAATATAAAATAACCTTTTCATCCTGATATGGTCACCCAAAAGAAAAAAAAAAAGAAAAACAAACTTGAAATAGAGGATTTTTGAATTATATTCTTCATTGATTTTGGAAAATCCTCAGCATCACAGAAAACTGTAAAGCATTTGCAGAAAAAAAATAAAGAATTCATAGGGACTTAAAAGTTAACAAAGCAGCCAACAATGTGAAACAGCAGCAGAGCATTTTGCATGCTGGTGAAAACTGAGCTCATTAGTAAAGTGACGGCTCAGAGCTGACTCTAGGGGAGGATACAGCTAAACTTCATACAGTCCTTCCTGCAGAGCTGATTGTGAAACAACCTTGGTCTCACTTTGTTAGAAGCTGCTCAGCATGCTTTCTGGCCTAAGATAAGATATGAGTCATTACAAAGTCCAGTGGAGAGGGACTAGCATTTTGAAATAAACAGAATGAAAGGCCACCATAAAAGTTGGCATAGTATAAAGTAAGATCCCAAATTTTTATATGGATGCTTTGAGCATAGCATGTGCTTAGCCATTGTTGAAACACACAAAAAGTCCCAATACATAATCCTATACATATAAAGGAAATATATATCTATATATAATATAGATGTACAAGTATAATTATTGGATGCTGCTGATTCTGGAAGAAATTTTTTAAAAATAAATTATATTTATACATTTTATGATTAGATAAGAATGTAAAAGTCATCTGGTTTTAATTCTCTTAGGTTAAGTAGAAGACTATATAGTCTCAAGTTTCAAAGACAATTTTTAATAATTAGAGTAAATAAAACAAAAATTATTACTTCAATTGATTATTGTTTTCCATGTTTATAGTCATAACAGAAAGTTGCTCATAATAATAGAAATCACCTGTATATGCTAAAAAAAGAGTAGAAATTATTTATTACCTTCGAAAGTTCATTCTTTAAGTAATTATTTAATAGTTACAAATTTCCCAAGACTACCAACTCTCAGATTTCAGAAAAAATATTCTGTTGTAATTATATAATATTTGTGGGCTAATAATATTATATTTTAAAACTTGAAAATCTGTCAGACAGTACATCAAAAAAATATGACAGGAAGAGAGAGACAAGGAAAACAATGACCAGCCAGAATTCCAGTAAAGCATGGGTCCTGTTAGACACAGTGATTTGGATACCTACAAGATGTTTAGCAAAGTAGCATCACTAAGAAAGTGCTGTGTGTGCAAATCATTTTCTAATCAACTTAATAACAGAGTTTAAAAGGAATAGGGTCAGCTTCACAATCTGATCCAAAGAAAAGAAGCAAACTGGATAGAAGCTTAGGCATTAACAGGAGCATGATGCTGAGATGGTGGAACTGTATTCTAGAGCCCTGTAGAATGAGTACCGGAGCAGGAATACAGGTGACTGTGTATATTTGGGCAAGAGATAGGGGTCAAGCCCTGAGCAGCAGGAAGAAGAGCTAAGCTGAGAAGTCTACCCAAGCAGAAAATAAGCAGATTGTCAGTGAGCAAGTCAGATAGCAGGAATTTGAAAGGCAAGGTTAGCTGGATCAGTATGTAACGTAGTAGAATCCTCCTTCCCACACCTAGGCAGCCTTATAATTCAGGCAGATAAGGAACACCTCTTCTGCAATTTCCATTATTCTCCCCTTACCTCAGAAAACCTCCTTAATGTTTTACATGTGGGGATACAGGGAATTAAATGCATTGGTTATGATGGACTATTGCTTTTTGCTTGAACCACTCTCTCACGGTTAATTCACAGAGGAACAGTGCTGGGTACTAGTAAGTGCTTAAGGCATATATATATAAATTGCATTCATAGCCCATGAGGGCTGGTTCTTAGTCTGACCATTATTAGTTCCACCAGTAATCTTGATATTAAAATTTAGCACCTTCTCATTAAATTCTCTAAGAACATCAATTTTGTGACATAGCAGCTACCTTAGAGAATAGCTGTGAAACTCAGCCTGACCATGACAAATTGTGGAAGCAAGCACAAACAAATCAGATAAAGCTTGAAAAGCAGAAACATGAAGCATAGTTTTAATATTAAAACTCACTTATTTAAAAATGGTTGATCAATATATGCACATTCTTCCGTTGATTTATTAATTAACAGAGTGTGGAAGCTAAATAGCATGCTCTCCCATTGGTTTCCAGTAAACTGGTGTCACAAGACTTTTTATCTTTTAAAATGACTTGTCTGCAATTGATTGTTAATTTGCAGAAAAAAAAAATTTCTTACAAGTACAATTTCCAGTTTAGTCAAGATGTGAAACATCTTATCCCATGTGCTTTTTCAGATTGATCTGAATAAGAGCTTTCTAAATAATTTGAATTTTAAAAAATTTATTCAGAGAAATTACATGAAGTATTAAAATATGTGATTAAATAAAACCATGCATTGTACATCACCTCCTCTGAATAAAAATTATAAATATAACTTTTGCTCTATTCTCTATGAGTGTTTGTTAAAAGTTAAACACTTACTAGATCATAGGTGAAACATTGATAAGTCCTTCATTAAGAAAGATAAAATAGTCACAGAAAAGGCACTGGCATTGTAGTAATGAAAACGTGAAAATGGTTAGTCAAATTTTGGAGATGATTTTGATTAGCATTTGTTTCAGTCTTTGGGGGCAAAATTTAGTGATAATAAATAGTCAAGAACATTGTCAATGTGTCACTGACCAAAGCCCTCTGCAAGGGGTTTATATTCCTTGCGTTTTATTGACAAATAAAAATCAAATTCAGACTTAGTAAAAAGAGAATTTAGTAAAAAGTACTGGATTATTACACAAAAGGGGGCAAAGGAACTGTTGCAATGGTTGGGGAAGAGGAATTATTGCCATAAGGAGAACATGCTTTGACCATAAGCTCTGCAAGCATCTCAAGGGTTATGCCAAAAAAAAAAGTGTTTCTTTCATAAGGAGCGGTAAACCAGGCTAGAAGGAAAGGGTTGTGGGCAAGTGAGATCATCTGAAGTCTTGATCAGATAGTAGATCAGAGACTACTGACCTTGAGGCCAGCCTATTGCTAAAGGGAGGTGGTTGGGGATAGACTGTTTAAGCAGAGATTGTATGCTCTTCATTCTGTGAGTGGGTGAAAGTTCAGGGACATGGAAAAAGAAGATAATTTTAACCAAAGTTTGGTTAACAAGCATTTGTTCCAATTGATCACTGGGATCAAGCAGTTCAGCTAATCATTAATGAGAAAAAAGAATGGAAATGTAGAAGACCTCTGTCTTGGTCATGGATACACAAGAAGGGCATCCTTCAGTCTTATATAAGTCATGTGGCAAGAGTGATTCTTTTCAGTGAGATGTTTTGCAGAACACAAGAGGGTGGAGACATTTCCTAATAATCAGTGTTTTCCAGGAGCACAGGGTTTAGTTAAAATTTAATACTGTCAATACATTCAGGGTTACATTTTTTTTGTACTATCACTATTCTTGCTATCTAGCTACTACTATTTAAGATATAAAATGTATTCTTACAAAACGAACGCTTATGATTGCTTATTTATATAAATCACCTAAAATTTCTGCATCTTTTTGAGATAAAACAATTATAAACATACTATATATTTAGTTGCATTTTATAAAATCCACATGAAAACAAATAATATTATTTAGTAAAAGATTTCCATATCTTCTAACCTGTCAATATGCTAAGGTGAAATATTTTATTTCCTGACATTTCTCAAATTTAGCATGCATGAAATGGAGAGGTAGCCATGATTTACTGCTCAATATTTACCCCATCTTTATCAGGAAATCTGAAAGAGATGCAATTTAAAGTGAATACATAAACTGGTCAGTTTCATTTTTTTTTTCCCCGGGTGCAGCTTCATACCACTTCCTACAAAATACACAGTTTGGGAGAGAATAATGAAAAAGCTATATTGCTAGATAAACTTACAGGAAAAGTTATTAAAACATAATTAAATGGCTTCTTTATGAGTAAAATAATTGACAGCTTCTTTCAAATAGCAGTATATAATTTAGAAATACTTGTAATTTATTCCTTGACACTTCTCCAGTTCACTGAGAAAGTTTCCCAGTGACCACGAATGTCTGTTGGCACATATAACAAAACCAAGGGCTGGATTTGGAAAACCAGTTTGACTTTAGCAAAATGTTCCTGGGTAGCTTTCGCTCTCTTCTGGAAGAGTTCACTAACAGATGGCAACTTGTCATTGTTAATGGAGTGTTATCCTGAAAAACTTCAAGGATCCATGCAGAGTGTGACACTCTTCCCCTCCTCTTTTCAAGCCACCTCACAGAAATAGCCAATAATGACCTCTTTCTTTTCACAGATGATTCCACCTTATGTCGGCTGATTCATTCCAAGCCACATCGTGGCTGCTTTAATCCAAATATGACAAAAGACTTTTCGTTGTTTGACAGCTAATCTATGTACTAAAGAGTAGAGGCATCCTGATGCAGTAGGAAGAGGATTGTGACCCAAAGGCAGGTGTCCTGAGATATAGACCTGGCTCTGTGAGTCCTTGGCCAGATAACTTCTCCACCGTGGGTTGCACTATTCTCACTGAAACATGAGCAGCTTGTCTTACACAAACAATAGGATTGTTTAAGGTGAATTTATGAGATTCTAAATTCCTTTTACATAAACAAAGAAACCATCAGATTGTTAGCTGTGTATGTGTAACCATTTTTATGTTCAATTTACTTTATTCTACTAAAATTACATTTTCATGGAAAAATTAGCAATCTGGTTTCTAAAGTAGATAATAGTCATAAAACAACACCATTTTATCTTCCTGTATTTGTTTAGCAATACATAGATTTCAGAGCTCATTCACAGCATAATTTTTATTTGTTTCTTTAAGTCCATTAACAATTTGGCACTTTAAAGATAACAATGGAAAATGGTAAAAACTTACCCAAGATCATACAAAATGAAGAGACAAAGGCAGACTGTAACTCAGATGATATGAATCCTGGCAACCTTTGTTCACTTATTAAACCAGAAGTATCTATTTTATTTTATTAATGATCATTAATGTTCACATTCTACCTGACAGTTGGATGGTGTTTTATACTTTTAAATGTTTTACAGATAAAATTTTACTTAAATCTAGTCAATAATATCCAGAAGAAAAAAAAGTTAAAAATGTGTCCAAGGTCCCAGAGCTAATGGGTGATAGATAAGGGAGGAAATCAGTGATGGGCAGGTAGAGGGAAGTGTCCTGATTCCTACCCCACAATATTCCAAATCCCACCCCAGTGTTTAAATTTCTCTGGGAGAGGATTAGGTTCTGTACCAAATGCCTATTGAATAATAAGAAATAAATTTTTTAATCCAACGTTTTTGTACTTAAATTTGCACTGATGTTCTCTAACCAGCCTTTTTTTCCTTTCATCCTTTTTTCTTCCTTCTCTCCCTCCTTTCTTTACTCTTTTTCTTCCTTCTATGCTTCTTTTCCTTCCTTGCTTTTTTTAGTATTGTGTTCTATTCATCTTCTATCATTTTGCCCATTACTTTTCATACTGTTATTTCATGCCGTCCCATAGATAAAAATGTTGTCCCTTTAAGAATGATTACTCAGGGACCTGAACAAATGAACACAGCATTCAACTTCCTTTGAAAAGAAATACTGATACTTTTGCAGATTTTCCTTTTTTTGTAATTAGAAAAACATCAATAACATTTTCCTACAAATAAGTGTCAGTAACAATATGAGAAAATTAGCATTCTTATTGCATAGAATTTGTTACTTCCCTGAATGAATGAGAGAGTAGCTAATGCTGATATAGTTTAAAATGAAAAGGAAATATAAACAGAATTGAAGTTAATTCCTTGAAAGTATTTTTTTTAAATAAAGAAATCCTTAAAGACAATGCTTTCAGTTTTAGACAAAACATTCTACTCAAATATGAGTAGTTATAATAAAAAGTGATAAGTAGTTCAATTATATTTCACATTTGCATCATATTTTATGCTTTCCAGTACAAGAGATGTGAATTGGAATTATAAGATCAGTTTTCCTCTAGTAGTGCAAGGGATGTATTTATCGACTCCAGAGTGATTTCATCTGTTCAAAGGAATCAAAATGTTCATGTATGCAAACTGTTTTAGACTAGTGATTTCAAAGAAATAAGTTTTTTCTTCTCTTCTATACTGTAGTCAACTTCATTTTACAGACTGATTGTATAATAATCCTTAACAAATCATAAAGCCATAGAATGATGAGTAGACACCCTGAAAGCTCATTTTAACCATTCCAGTCAGGTAAACATCTATGATGTATCATTAAAGGAAGGATTAAAAAACACATGCACACACACAGTGATGAAGAAGCATCATATGATAATATACATTTCTTTTTATCCTGAGGTAGCACACAATAAAAATTAAATGTAAAATTCCAAAGTATTTTTTAATTCATATAAAATTCATTAAAATTCATGACTTCAAAGAGGTCTTGAATGTGTTACATTGTGTTAAGCATACTTTTGAAAAATGATTCTCATCCCTGATATTTTATAATATATTTTACCTATTTGAGTGAAAAGATATATTTTTTAAAGACTTACTGTGATGAGTTATTAAAGGGTGATCTTAGCATCCCAGAAAAAGAATTCTGCTTATGCAAAGCCCCAGTTACTGAGTTGTGTGTAATACAGTTAAACCTATTCTACTGCAAGGTTAGAGGCAGCCCTAATTATCAGGAAAGTGGGTGGTATGCCCTAGAATGGTGAATGCTAAAATCCTAGGGTACACCTATATCCAAGCCTCTGCCATATCATGTTTCATCATATCATAGCCCCTGATCACACCAGGGGAGGGCTAATACACCCCTAAATCCTGTAGTTCAAAGTTCCCATAACTCTAGCATTGGAACCCTTTCTTTTAAAATGTGGTATCTGGCAAATGGTGTGCATATAAATGTTTGACAAGCAGCTCTGGAGCAGAGAGTGATGTGTGTATGATTTTTAATGTGTGGTGCCAATTTCTGTGGTGTAAATATTCTCATCAAGGTTGATTTCCAGCTACCAACATGAAATCTCTGAACATGGACCTGAGAAGAGATACTCAGTAGCACATAATTACATAGTATTTCTGCCATAGAGTACAAGAGGCATAAATAACCTCAAGAACAAAGATATTAATAAAATTTAGTAGGATTATTAGGAAGTAATGAATTTTGCATATTTGTTACATTTGCATTTAAAAATTTATTAAAGTTTTTATAACTTAAGTTTTAATAATGTTTGTGCTTAACCACCAGTTAACAAAACTGAAAATTTATCAATCAAATCTAATCAACACACCACTCTATCTGCCCAAACTAGAACTTTGTGCACTACCAAAGAATTCAGTCATTACGGGAGACCTGCACACCCAATCTGCTGCTTTTTCAGTGAGTTTTCTCCAGGAACTCAGCTTTACCATGTACAGGCTGTTTGATTTTTTGCTTTGGTTGTCATGAACAATTGTGAGATAATTCTTTGTTTAAATATAATTTTATTTTGTTTTTAACTTTTTAATTGACAAAATTTGTATATATTTATTATCATGTACATGTTGTTTTTAAATATTTATACATATAAAATGATTAAATAGGTTTAATTAGCATACAAATTACCTTGTGAGAGAAATCTTACAAGGAGTCTGTCATTTTCTCATTTTTTCTTATTATCCAGAAACAAAAAGTTTAAAGAAATTTTTATTTGAACTAAAACCTATATAAATATTACAAGCATATCAATCTTAAAAACATAGGTGGCATTTGGACCTATGAAAATTCTACATGATTGAAATTAACTTTCAGTGAAAAATGCAAATACAAACATAGGCCCCAATTTTCTCACAAGAAAGATTGGTTTAAAAACTTTATTAAATATTTGGTGATTCACACTAATCCACATTTATAAATAGACATATTGAGAAAAGATCATGTCATTTATTTTCCTCTTCACTGCAGGAAATGGTAAAATATTAGAAATTGTGAATCAGATGCTGACTACATGACTATCAAAGATTACTAATATGTCTAGTATCTACTCTACATCTATGATGTGTATTGGGAAAGGTTTTTTAAAACAATTTGATTAAATGGTTCGTAAAGATACCTTTGCACAGTTTCTTCTGACTCTCATAGTATAATTAGCCACTATTGTCAACAAAATATTTCCTAGCCCATCTTTCCAAAATGTGTTTAATCTCACAGTAAAGATAATGGTTGACTACATGGGTTCTAATTCCTATACCAGTAATTGTTGGAGTACATATTTCAATTATCTGAATCTTAATTATGAAAATTTGTTCTGGGACCAGCAGCATCAATTTATTAGAAACACAAAATCTCAGGCTCCACCCTAAAGCTACTGAATCAGCATCCACACTTCACCAGGATCCTCGCATGTTTTGATTGCAAATTAAAGCTTGAGAGTCATTAATCTATACAATCTCCATGAGGGCAGAGCCAGTTTAGATAACTGTTATATTTTCAGCACCTATCAGGGACTGGCACTGACAGGCACTCATAAGTATTTTTACATGTTTATTTGTATTAAACTGAAATAGATTGTTTTCAAGTTTTCAGTCTACTTTCTTTATAAGCATTGTCATAGGTAGCTTGAAGATAGAATTCAGAAAAAGAAAAGGAAAATCCCTAACATAAAAATAAGCAAATTTCAAATTTATCTGGGATTATTATTAAAGATTTACCAATTATAACAAAATATTTTTCATAAAGTATTATTTTATTTGAATTTTATTTCTGACAGTATATTAATTTATTCTTGCTTAATTTTTGTGCTATTACTTCATGTTCTCACAAAATATTTAAGCATTAAAAAAATCACTTAGAGTCCTTCTGAAAATGCAGATTTCTGGACCTTACTCTGTACATGCTTAATAAAATCTAGGAATATGTATTTGAACACTCTTACCTTAATTAATTTCATTTTGAGTGTCAATAAAACAAAATTTCAACAAATTTTTAAAGATCAAATTGGCTTTTATTAACTGTTCATGAACCAGGCAGCATCCAGTCTACAAAACAGACAGATGCTCCATGGGTATGGCTGAACAGTTGTTTTTTATTAAGGAAAATTGAACAGTAACAAGGAAACAACATAGTGCAAAAAGAAGATGGGTTAACATCAGGTTACTTCAGGTTACTTTCTTTATACGGGTTAAAGCAGAGGGGACATCCTTATATCACTGGCTCAGGTTGACTAGGCCCTTTTATTGATTGCTATAAATCTCCTGTTTTTGTTCGTTTGTTTGTTTTACTTTTTACTGGCTTGTTTGGGGATTAGGCAATCATTTCTTTCCAGATTTCTCAGAAGGTGAAATATTACAAGTAAACAGTGCAGGTTTCACTTTAGTGATGTGAGCCCTTAGCAGGAATGATTTCATTTTGGGTTAGTCAGTTGGGGCTCAGCATGGGAGTTCAGTACAAATCAACAGGCTTCCATAAATTTTATTTAGCATGGGTAATTCCTACTGTTTGGAAATTATTTAATCTGATGTAAAAATATGACTTCTTAGCAGACATTCTTGTGATGAAATGTATGTGCAACTATTTTTTTCCTATATCTGGTGGGCTAATAGCTATAAATAAACAACTTTAATAGATACACTTTAAAGCAATAATTATTTTCAGTGCTTTCATAGACTCTGAAACCATCTCACTTCTGTTGAAAGGGAAACCCAGGTGGTTTGGCATTTGCTTAGAATGATTCGGCTGTCCAGGCTTATAAGTGAGAGTGTTTTCAGAGGAGACTGGCATCTGAATCATTGGGCTGAATGTGGAAGACTGCTGCTTAGTGTAAGTGAGCACCATCCAATCATCTGGGGGCCCAAATGGGACAAAAAGGTGGAGGAAGGGCAAATTCTTGCTCTGTCTTCTAGGACTGAGACATCTTTCTTTTCCTGACCTTGAATGTGAGAACCTCAGGTTCTCTGGCCTTGGACTTAGGACTCGGCAGCTTCCCAGGATCTTGGGCCATTAGCCTTGATCTGAGAGGTACACCACTGACTTCCTTCGTTCTGAGGTGTTTGGACTCAGACCAAGTCATGCTACAGGCTTCCCTGGTTCTCTAGCTTGCAGACAGCCTATGTGGGACTTCCCAGTATTTATAATCAAGTAAGATAATCCCCTTAATAAATCCCTCCTCATCCCTCTTTATCCTACCAGTCTTGCCTCTCTGGAGAACTCTGACTAAAACATCTAGTTATTTGGTAATGATTTGAACTTATTAGTTAAAAATCACTTGGACTTCTTTTAATTTTATTATTTTGTTATATTTCCCTGCTGTACTGATTACATATTATATTATGTTCTATATCAACACTTTCAGAGAAAATCTTTTTCACTTGCCACAAATAATATATGTATTTTAGACAACTACTTAGAAGGGTCAAAGACAAAAACATCATTTTTAGTACGTTAAACAGCAATAGCACAATTGAAATTGCAAACTGAGTATGCTTGAACTATGTTATTAGAAGCTACATTGAAAATTTTGAGATAGTAACATAAGACACAAGATACACATTTGCCTTTCTAAGTGAAACCTACTTACTATGTCTAAGATACAATATACACAGCCCATTCGTTTATTGTAAGTTAAAGACCATAGTCCTATATTTGTAGAGGCTTTGCTTATTAATAATTGCATAACATGTAATAGTCTGTAAAATACTTTCCCTTAGATCATCTCCACACTGGAAACAACTGTGATGCTATGTTCCTTTTAGTAAGGAGTAAACTAATTCCTAAAGAAGTTAAATGAATTAATTGCTCAAGATAATCCAGGTAATAACTAAAAAAAAGATTCATCTGAGATGAGATGTGGGCTTCCTAATATGAAGATTTGCATTATTGTATTGCAATACAATTTCACACATTCTATTAATCATATAGTGCAGGCAAGTTTTTGACACTGACTTTCTTTTATATATATATATATTTTTATTATACTTTAAGTTCTAGGGTACATGTGACAACTTGCAGGTTTGTTACATATGTATACATGTGCCATGTTGGTGTGCTGCACCCATTAACTCATCATTTACATTAGGTATATCTCCTAATGCTATCCCTCCCCCCTCCCCCCACCCCACAACAGGCCCTGGTGTGTGATGTTCCCCTTCCTGGGTCCAAGTGTTAATGATAGCTATTTCTACTCATGTTCTTCTTGGTTTCACTTCCTCTCAGGACACCAGAAAGAAAATTGAGACTATTACTAGAGGAGTTGCAGCTGTCTTCCAAAGCAAGTGGGGCAAAAGAAAAGATTCAGAATAGAGCCTTTGGAAGCCCATTAGAATAATCCTGCTGTAGAATAAGAGAGGAGTGGAATGGAGTGGAAAGCAGGGATTCTGGCTTTATATCCCTGCTCTTCACTTAAAAGCGGTTTATCTTTGGAGTGATCATTCCATCCCCCGTGTGGTTTTTCTCATCTGTAAAGCATGATTGAGAATATTGGGATGATTTGCTTTGCTGTTACTAATATTAAATGAGAAAAGTAATACTGAAATTATTATAAATCATGAAATGTTATAACTTGTAGTAACAATGGAACCACAATATTTGCCTAGCCAATGCTCAGTCTTCACACTCCTCTTCTCCATTTTCATTCATTCCCAAAGTGAACATTATCTACATGCTGATAATTTCCAGATAGAGATAGAGAAAAATCCTAGCTTATCAGCATGTTCCACCACACATTGACCTTTTCTTTCAATATTGCCCCCCCTCTTTCTCTCTGTACCCTTGCTTTTTGCACAACCTAGGTACTCCCCTGTCTCAGGGTCTTTGCCCTCTGCTCTGCTTCAAATGCTCTCACTCAGTTATCAACATGGCTTTTCTCTCACTTGCCTTGAATCTCCTCTCACGTGTCATTATATCAGAGAAGCATGCTTGAAAAGCCTCAATAAAATAGCACTCCCCTCCTCTTGCCCCTTTCTGTCCCTTTACCCTGCTTTATTTTCCTTCATAGCACAAATCTCCATCTCGCTGGAATATTACATATTGATTCATTTTTGTGCTCATTATTTATCTTCTTCCATTAAAATACAAAGATAAGAGGAGCAGAGCTTTGTGTCACTGCTCTATTCCCAGGAATTAATACTTAAAAGGTACTCAAGAATTATTCATTAAATGAAACATTGAACCAAAAAATATCATATGTTGACAATAGTAGATACTTAATGATTAAGAGTGGATTTATTTAATTTTATGGCAGTAACCATCTAGATATCTGTGAACTCTTTCTCTTGAATCCCAGTACTTATGGATCTGTCAGTTGTATCAAATGCTGGAAGAAGGTGAAATTGTTCACATGTATCTTTCTCAAATCTATTTACTCATTTACTAAATATTGACTGACTTCTTATTGTGTACCACATTCACAAAGAACTATGATAAGAATATCATTGAAAATTATCTTATATTACTTCTATTATATCCCCTAATAGTGTTTTATATGCATTCTGCCAAGCAATTCTGTAAGGTTCATATATCTTTCTCCATCTTACCGATGAGAAAACTGAGTTTCAAAAATCTTAAGTAATTTGGTCAAGTTAACAAAGCTCTTAGTCATTGATATTTGAATCCAGGTTTGTCTCACTTCACATGCTATATCCCCTGCCACATTGCTTATTAGTATATCTTTAAGCAGGAAATAGTAAAAGAACAAAATGATATAGTTATGCTAGAATTTTTTCACTTAGAAAATCTATTTGATGAGATTGTATTGATTCATAGGATCATTTCATTTTAGCAACTCTCACTATGTTCTTGAACCTGTCTTTTAACTGAGAATCATAACAAGTTAGATTCAGAAAAAAAAGCCTCAGTTGTTTAGTTCTGTTTTCTCATTTTATTGATCTGGAAAATCTGGCTAAGGAATGTTGCTTCACTGAAAATCACATAGCTGACCTATTGCCTAAACCCTTCTAACTCTTTGGTCAGTGTTGACTACTTTGGGCTTTTCCCAGTGCCAATTTACCATACAGGATTCCAAAATAAGTAAATAAGTAAATAATCTGTTTTCAGCCACACTTGTTATGGGTTATTTTTGGAAGAAATTTGAAAAAGACTTTCACTGGAGAATTGACTATATATACACAGTAGAAACTGTTTTTAGTCAATCAATAATACATTACCAGAGGAGAGAAAAGTGGGGTGGGTGGAAAAGCTAGGTAAAAGAGAGAGGATTACACATGGGAAAATTGGAAAGCCATTGTATGGCTAAAGTGACAGGCTGATGGCAGTGTCCCTGAATGGTGTTTATGGCTAAGGTAGCTGATAGCTCAAAGGTGTAACAAATCATGATAGCCAGTCTCTTGTATATTGTATTTGTGGTTGCAAATATATTACTTAAATATGCCAAAAATATTTATCTAACAGAGCAGTAAATGCGACAAGCTAGAAACATATATTCTCTGTTAGAAACTTAAAAACACACCACTTAAGGTAGAATGTAACATTAAAAAAACAAAATATGACATATAAACACTCCCTGTACCATTTTTTTTCCATTTAAATATAAAAAATCAGTTATCAGTATTATCTGGAAAAAAGCTACAAATAGCAATATAAATTCAGTATGTTTTTCCTATGTAAACTTACCAGTTGATTGTAACCACCTTGTACTTGATCAGAGCCCAGAATTATGTCATGCTAATAGTGTAGGCCTAGTTATTTTTCTATGTTCAATCAGTGTTTCAACAAGATATTCTATTGAAATAAGCCTTAAGTGACTGTGAAAATCTATATTATGGTCAATTTGTGTGTTGGCTTTACACACTTGCATTCCTAAAGCAAATATTTAAGCAACTTTCCAACTATTTCCATGCTAAGATTTCTTATTCTAAATGTTTTTGAAAAATAAAGAGAAAGAGGAATAAAGGATTTTGCATTAGAAAGAACCAGAAGAGTTATAAGCTAGTATTTTGGAAATAATTTTTCACCTTAGCTATTATAAAATTCAATTGTTGACTTTTTTAAATTAAAGGTTTATATTATCTATATAAATAAGTAAATGTTTTTATTGACTTATGTTTGTTTCATAGTACATAGGTGGAATACAAAATACTGAGAAGTAGAAAATAAGAAACTCAAAACTGTAAATGAATATTTTTCTTTCTGTGTTAAAGCAAAACTGATAGAAAACAAATTTAGTTTCTAGAAAACAAACACAATTCAAGATTACATTGTCCCTAAAATACTTGTTCTACATTATAAAACAAATTTTGTTCCTTTGTTGTCCTTATTTAGGATATATTTTGTTTTGAATACTAGACAGCCAATCCCTATCCCACTGGAGACAAAAGAATAAAAATAAGATCAGTAAAGTAATTTATTTAATAGTAAGATTTAAGAAAAAAGTATTTTGTAAACATTGGAACTGCTTCAAATGAAGTATTCTAAAAGCCAGTATGCATACTTTCATTGTCTAGGCATATCGTTAGATAAATAAGGTTGTTTGTGGACTAATCAGGAAACCCAATGCTCTTTTCTAACATTGTTTCTATGTGTGTGTGTTTGGCGGGGCGTGGGGAGGGGAGAGAATTCTGAGTTCAAGAAAATTAAAAAATTAAAATTCTGGTATCTTTCTGCCTTGAATCCATTCTTAATAGAACACAAACTCTGCTTTTCTGCTTTAAGTCATGATAATATTCAAAAGATATTTTTATATTACAAATTAAAAAATAATGTTACCATAGTGTTTGCAGAAAAACAAAAAACAAAAATTAAAGCACATATTACTCATTAAATCCTGCCATCTATTTTTCCCAGATATGTCATGTAAATTCTTTATTATCTCCTTTGTTTGTCCTCATGAAATTTTAACTTCTCATTTTAACTAAAAATTCCACCACAATACCTGCACATTAAAAATTTTAGAAATATTTTTAAAATGACCCTTTTCTTTTTTTTCTTACTAACCACTCTAAAGGTTTAAGGTTATTAGTTTTTTTCAATAAGCAATAAAATGAAATTCCTCGGGACTGAAAATGAATGTTTTACCTTGACAATCAGTGGGGAAATGAACAAAATCTGGGGAAATTAAAGATTCATTCTAGAATTTGAATCGACAACTAAATTTTGAATAGATACGGAGCATTTTGAAAAAGAAATCAATTCTTACTCTGCGATTTAAAGGCTGAGTGACTGAGAGAGTAGTAGTGACAGACACATAATTGAAAAGGTTAGGGGATGTCATTTGTTCAGGATTGGGAAAATAATAAGGTTGGACTTTGACATGTTGAGTTTGTCTCATCAGCAAACCAATTGGCAAATAGTTGGATGCAGCTTAAATCTCATGGGAGAGGTCAGATGTCAAGATATATGGATTGTATTCAATTTAACAAATCTTCAGTAATTGTTCTGTTTAGAGAATTTTCTGAGAAATGGTATCTAGCATCGAATAAAATGGTGGTTCTCCCTGGATTCCTCTGTCTTAAGAGGAAAAAATAGATATATAAATAGGTACTTAAAGTTACGTGGAGGTATTCATAATATACTATGAATATCCATATGAAAAAGCAATTTCATTTGCCTTGATGGCTTGGATAAAGCCACGGAAAACTATGGGGTTTCAGCCAATAAAGTTGGAAACCAAGGTAATTCATCATCCATTCCAGCCCTAGCTGTTGCTTCTCCCTAAGTTGTATCACTTTGTGAAAAGATATTTTGATGACAATAGCATCCTCTGTGTATGCTATTACCTATGACTCTATTTCTTCTGACCAATTCCTTTTATCCTTATAGACTTCGCTGCATAAGTAGTTTCTCCTTAAGGTGTTCCTTACTCTCTTGGCTTGAGTTATGTTTCTTCTTAAGAGTTCTTATGTAACTCAGTAGTCACTGCTATTATACTATTATTAAGCAGTGTTACAATTATCTGTTTGTTAGATCTCTCATTAGGTTGTGAGCTAGCTACTCAGTGAGGAGGCTGATTTTATCTCTGAATCCCTAAAGTATGGTGTAATACTTGACATCCATGAGAAGCTTGATAACCACTTGTGGGAAAAGAAATGGAAAATTGAAAAAAGAAGAAGGAAAGCAGGAGCAATGAAAAAAGGCAGAAAGGCACAGAGTAAGAAATGATCAAGGCAGAGCCTAGAATTATTAGGGTGATATAAACAGATGCCATAGAGAAATAAATGATAATGATTTAATTGTCCAGGAAATGAGTGTAAAAGGAAATTAGAGATTAATTTACAGTACATTGATTTGCAGGAATGGAAATGCCTTTGTTTTAATTCATATATACACATATTTCAATATTGTGAGAGCTAGAGGGGGCTGAACGATAAGTGTGGCCAATAAATGAAATATTTTTCAGATTTCTGGAGTGATTAGAAGACTAGATTTGTTATTAAGAAGTCATCAATAAGATGACAGTGAAAAGAGCAGAATAGGAAATTCTAAAGGCCTGAGCCTGCATAAAAACATCCAAAAGAAGAACAAAAACTTTTAGAATTAGCTCTTTTAGAATTCTGTAAGATAGTTGATATTTTACAGAAACCAAGCAAATGCTAGATCAAGAAAAAGGAAGCTTAAATGTGGAAAGAAAACTTTGTCACATTTTAACATAGGCTTTCCTCATTCATCTCCATCCTCATGATGACTGTGTTCTTGAAAATAGCAGCCTGTGTTCCCAAATGGATTACAGGGTTCCAGAGGGACCAGAACATACTGTGGGGAACTGCGAGGGAACACAGTATGTTCTGGTCCCTCTAGAACCCAGTTTGGACCTGTGTGGGAAGTCCCTAAGGCACCGATACAATGCATTTGTCTTTAGTTCTGCTAACTTGGAACTATTTTAGGGTGAAAAAGTAGCTAAGTGTAGGCATTCCTCATAAACACTAAAAGGTAAATGAAGAAGCCACTGCCCAAAGAGGCAAAAGATTACAGATGGTGACAATGTATGTGCTGAAAATCTATGAAAAAAAAAACTGGGGAGATAATTACTTTGGGGTAAAAGGGCTTTGAAAAATCTTCTGCCTATGAAAGGGAATCTAGAAAGCAAGACATGACCCAGTAAGGAGCCATGCTCAAAAAAGACCGGAGAAGTACTGACGTACCAAGTCCAGCTGACTGTTAGGCTGAGCACAAATAAGAAGTGAATGCTAAGGCAGAGTTGTAAATGTCATAACTAAGCATTGTAGTGTCCCAACACAGAGCAATTTGCAAAAAACAGGAGAGTATTATTATTATTAATATTTGGCTGTTCTTGTTGTTCCAAGAATTTAGGGAAATCTCTGCCAAAAGACTAGCTGACTGCAAGCTAAAAAGATTGAGACTTCAGAGATCACATAAAACAGACAATAAAGTCCTCAAAAAATAATTTAGAAAAGTTCTTAAACAAATGAGAAACCACAACTGACTGTAAGCCACAAAAACAAACCCTAAGGAGGAGAAATAATCTAATTTTCAGAGTTACCACAATGCAGTATTTAAAATGCCCAATTTTCAACCAAAAATTATAAAGGTACAAAGAAAAGAATGTGGACTATTCTTAGGAGAAAAAGAAATTAACAGAAACATTCCCTGGGGAAGACCATACATGAGGTTTACTATTAGGTTGGTGCAAACATAACTTGTGGTTTTTGCAATTACTTTTAATGGCAGAAATCGCAATTACTTTGCACCAAACAAATATTTAAGGATATTTAATCAACTGTCTTAAATATGCTCAAAGAGCTAAAGAAAAGCATTAATAAAGATCTAAAGGGAACCAGGCAAATGATGTCTCAGCAAATAGAAGATATCTGTAAAGAGATAATACTTTTCAAAGAATTGAACAGAAATTCTGGGCTGAAAATTACAATAACTGAAATGAAAAAATTATTACGGGAATTTGTCAACAGATTTTGGAAGAAAAGGAAAGAATCAGAAAAAATAAAAATCGACAGCAGAAGGAAAACTGAAATATTTACAAATATATGCAAATTAAACATAACATTTTTAAATAGTCAATGGGTCAAAAAATCATAGGGAATTTAGAAATTACCTTGAGGTAAAATGAAAACCAAAGCACGACACACCAAAATTTATGAGATGCTATTAAAGCAGTGCTAAGATGAAAATTTACGGCATTAAAATCCTTACATTAAAATAGAAAAAAGATCACGCATCAGAAACCTAACTTTGTCTTCCAAGGAACTAGAAAAGAAAAGAGAAAACCAAATCCAAGGTGCCAGAAGAAAGGAGATTAAAAAAAGGCTTAGAGCACAGATAAACAAAACATACAATAGAAAAATCATAGAGAAGATGAATAAAAATGACTTGGTTCTTCAAAAGACCAACAAAATTGACCAAACTTTAGCTAGATTAGTTAAGAAAAAAGAGAGCAGACTCAAATAACTAAAATCAGGAAAAACAGTGGGAGCATTAACATTGATTTTCAGAAAGAAAGAGAAGTTTATGATATAAATATACACAATTATATGCCAACAAATGTGATAACCTAGCTAAAATGGACAAATTGGTAGGAACACACATACTACCAATAATGAGTGAAAAAGAAATAGAAATCTGAATGTATGTTTAAGAAGTAAAGTGATTAAATCAGTAAACACAAATCTAGATAGTTTTATTACTAAATTTTACCTAAAATTTAAAGATAAATTAACGTAATTTCTCTTTAAACTTGTATAAATACTAGATGAGAGAAAACTTCCTAAATCATTCTGAGGTCACCATTATCCTTATACCAAAGTCAGACAAAAACTTCACAAGAAAAGAAAACTGCAGATCCGTATCAATTATTGATATATATGTCAAAATACTCAACATAGTACTCACAATCTGAATCTAGCAGCACATTAAAGAGATCGTATACACGACCAAGCAGAATTGGGTGGTTAAACATACAAAAATCAATAAATAAAATACACCACATTAATAGAATGGAAGAAAAACCTTATCATCTCAATTGATGTACAGTAGCATATAACAAAATCTAACTTTGTATTCTAACACACTGTTATCATAAAACACTCAACAAAAAATAGAAGGGAACATCCTCAACCTGATCAAGAGCATTTATTAAAAACCCACAGCTAACATCATAACCAGTGATGAAAGATTAAGAGCTTTTGTGCTTAGATCAGAAACAACACAAGGATGCACACTTTAACCACTTCTATTCAAAATTTTACTAGAAGTTCTAGCCAGGGCTATTCAGATAGAAAGAGAGAGGGTATACACCACCCAAATCATAAAAAATGAAATTATATTAATCTGCAGATAATATGATCTTTTATGTAGAAAATCCTAAAGAATTCATAAAAAGCTATTACTGCTAATAAACAAATTCAAACTTGCAGGATATAATATCAAGATATAAAAATTGGTTGCATTTCTATACACTAGCAATGAAAAATAGGAAAATAAAATGAGCAAAAAATTTCACTTATAATAGCATGAAAAAAAAGTAGGAATAAATTTCACCAAGGATGTGCAAGACTTCTAAACTAAAAATTGTAAAACATGGTTGACATAAATATATACAATAAATGGAAAGACATTTCGTGTTTATGAATTAGAAAAATTAATATTGCTAAGGTGGCAATAATACTTCCCAAAGCATTCTACCCATGCAATGCAATCTCTAGTCTTTTTTGAAAAAATGGAAAAGTTAATCCTAAAATCATATGGAATTACAAGGGACTTTGAATAGCTAAAACAATCTTGAAAATAAAAAATAAGGTTGGAAGACTCGCACTTCCCCATTTCAATATTTACTTCAAAGCTACAATAATGAATATTGTGTGTTACTGGTATAAAGATAGACATACCAAAAAAATGAAATGGGACAGAAAATCCAAAAATAAGCCTTACAATTATGTTCAGATGGTTTTTCACAAGAGTGCCAACACCATTCAACAAGGTAAAATTAGTGTCCTTAACAAATGGTGCTGGGCCTAATGAATTTTCACATGCAAAAGAATAACGTTAGACCTTACCTCATACTATATAAAGAAAAATAACTCAAATGGATCAAGGCCTAAATGTAGGAACCAAAACTAAAAAAATTCTCAGGAAAAAACAAATGGCAAACCTTCATCACCTTGCATTTGGCAATGGATTGTTAGATATGACATCAAAAGCACAAGGAACAAAAGGAAAAAAATAGATAAATTAGATTTCATCAAAATCAAAAACCATTTATCAAGGAACACTATAAATATAGTGAAAAGAAAACCATCAGAATGGAAGAAAATATTTGCATATAATATATCTTACTAGGCCCTAGCATTCAGAATATATTAACAAATCTTACAACACAACAAGAATACTAACAACCCAATTTTAAAATGGGCAAAGGTTTTGCATATACAATTCTTCAATAAAAACAATTATATGTTGCTGGTGAAAATATAAAATGGTGTAGCCACTGTGGAAAACAATTTGGATGTTTCCCAAGAAGTTAAAAAAAAGCATTACCATATAACCTAGCAATTCCATTCCTAGGTATATAACTTTGCTTTTGAAGAAGATCTGGGTAAAACAATTAGAAATTGTTGGAAAAACGTTAAATAAGTGAGAATTCAAATTGCTTCTCAAATCCCTTAAAGTCTTGCTCTAATTTGAAGAATCTGAAGCTAGAAATCATAGATACTTTCAGAAATGAATTATGAAAAATATTAGATTTCAAGCAGCTGACTCATATTTAAAGGGGCTCACTCTACATTAAATGATAAATAAATAAATATATTTACATTATTTAAGTTTAAGTAAGATGCCTAAAATACATATTTATTATCAATTTTAATGTCTTTAACTGTTTTTCGTTAACTGAGTAACTAGGTGTCCTAATTGTGTTGGATAAAAATTGCTTCTATTCTGCTAGTAACTGTCCAGCTTAAGGAAGAAGTGAGACAGTTGGTCAGTCTTGGCCTGAAGGGGCTTTGATGAAATGCTGAGAAACTTAGCACAGTGCCCACCACAGATGTGAGATCAATAAATATTTGCTGAATGAAAACATACAGAATTTGGAATTTAACTCTCAGGCCCAGGTAAGACATTAACGGGTTTTAGCAAGTGAGATTGCATTTAGATGTATCATTCCATCTTGTAGAGTGGATAATGCATTTAAGGAGCGACAAGGTGGGTGGCAGAAAATGAAAACAATTATAAATACCCTTATGAGATCCAATTAGGGCCTAAAGCCCATTAAATTTAGTCGGGGTTCATTTTACCCATCATACACTTAACTAACACTTGTTGAAGAGCTACAATTTGCCAGATTTTGGACGAGGCCTCGAGAGTTTATGAATCAGGCAGCATGGACCATGTATTTATGCAGTTTCCACCTGAGTGTGGAATACAACTAAAACAGCTGCTGTTGTATTACTGTTGCAGGTAATGATGCTGGAGATGTCATTTGCTATGAATACCCGTAGGAGTAGACTCTGATAGTGTGAAGCAAAGTCAGGGAAGGCTTCCTGGAGGAAGTGAGCTCTATAGTCAAGCCTGAAGAAGGAAATCTGATTTAACCAAGGAAAGGGAATACATGGAGAAGGATCTTCCAGGCAAGGGTTGTGTGAAAACTCAGAGATAAGAGAAAGCAAAGATGAAATAAGCAGAATGGAGTGAACAGGATTGTCAATGGGAAGTAGAAGTAATGGCAAAAGCTAGAACTGAATATATGAGCAGAGGTCAGATAATGAAAGGTCAAATTAGCTTCACTAGGTAGTTAGGGCTCTATCCTGAAGAACATCACAAGCTATTGAAGTGTTTGAAGTACTTATGTGATGTGATAAATTTCAATTTATAAAGCTCACTGGTCAGAAAGGAAAATGGAACCGAGTAGCAAGAGTACAGGCAAACATTTTAGAGGCTATTCCTACGATTAGGGCAACTAGAGATTATTAACTTTTAAACCTTAAGTTTGAGATGTCTTTTAAGTATGTAAGTAGAGATGTCAAGAAAAACATATCTGAAGTTCAGTGTGAGTTCAGCTGCAGAAAAGAAATTGAGAAGACATCATCTCATAATATTTTAATATTTAATTGAATGAAGAAAAAAACTTTGATAATTTTTAGGATGTGTATTTTTAAGAATTTCATCCTCCCTTTGTTTCAGCATCAAGTTGTTCTCGCAACAGTATACTATTCTCTTTCCCAGTGCAAACAGAATGATGTAAATGATATTAAATGATACATGGGAATAGGTAAGATATGGAAGAATCCCTATGTTAGAATAAAACAAAATCTCTATAAACATAATCAGGGTTATTGCCCAGGACAGTATATACATTATGGACATTTGACACAATTCAAATTCATCAGAGGTGAAAAAAAAAAGAGTTAAGTGTTCTGGTGCAGGAAAAGTAAAAGAATACAGTGGATTTTATGTTTTAAAAAGTTGCACAAAAGAACTCAGTCAGAAGGCGAAGAAAAAGCTAGGTTCTAACAACGAGTTGTGAAGATTCAAGCAAAATCACAATGATTTTATGCACATTGTCCTGCAATATTTACTAAAGGAGTATTGACGAGTTCCTGCAACAGAATAAAAGATGCTTATAAATCCCAACATTTTATTTTTTCAACATGTAAAAATAATACAAATGAAAATAATTTTTGGTGAATAATATGATTTTTTTAAAGTTTACAGATCATCCTGTTGCATTTTTCACAGTTACTTTGATTCTGTTGCTGTCTCCCTTCCTTGCAGCATTATTTATTCAATCTGTTTAGTTTGCTTTACAGGCTGTGGCAGCATCCACAGGGTGGACCTATTGAACCAAGCCGTAATAGATGTAATACATCAATACATTTGAGCTGAACAGCTTTAATTAGGCCTTCCTGGTCATTTCATCAATTCAGTTGAGTACCATTGGGATTTGGATAACACCGAGCCTCCTGTCGAGCATGAGAATTACAGCACTCCAGCCAGGCTCCACCAGTCACATTGCAAGGTTAGGCAATCAACGATAATTCACCCAGGGAAGTGCCCCCGGGCGCCCAACCCATAAACTTAACCTTACAGTAATATCTTTGAAATCCTAAAACCTTTAAACTCAAGTGCCAATTTGGAATGAAAACTGCCTTAAAACCCCTCAAACAGACATATAAAGCTCTTTTCCTGCTCAATAGGAGAGCAGGAGTTTACTCTGTTGCTGCTGACATACATGTATAATCAAGCTACTGTTTCTGTAGCAGTTAGGTTGATGGACATGATCTATGAAGATGGAAAAACTGTGCTAGGTGTAAAATTTTATGTTTACCATTTCAAGTTTCCATAACACAATTGGTTTAGATCTTGTCTAAATTGGTTTAGATCTGTCACATACAGCCCAGAATACATATGCTTAAAGTAACCTGCTATAGAAAATCTATACAAATGAAGATTATAGCAGGACAAACCTACCTATATTTGGAAAAGGATAGACTATTTTACAGACAATTCTGGCATGCCGTGTGACTACTTTCCACATTCAAAATAACCAGTGGCTAGTATGGTTGGCCTAAATCCAGATAACAAAGACATTTATATTTATGCAGAAAGGCATCCAAATAACAGTTTGATTTCCTTCTTAAACAATATGAAGATACAAATTAGGAAAACCCAATGATGGTAGAATGGGGAAAGGCCAGAATATACATCAGGTTCGGCCAGCCCAGAAAAGGGACTTTCAGTGCCCGACAGAACCCACATCAAGAAAGTGATTAGATTTTCAGAACAGAGCCAAGGGGATTAGACTGAGATTTCCAATTCCTCAATGCCAAGAAGCAAATCAACAGATTAACTGGGGATAAAACATCCTAGGAAAGATCATAAGAGGTCTTTACCAGGTGGTCTAACAAGGCTTTCCTCATTCTTTTTTATCCATATGGAATCTTTCAGCCAGCATAAATATACTGGAAGCCTGACTATGCTGTAGCCACAGCTGCTAAAACTCAGAAGCAGAGACTGCTCATTTTCTAGGACAATGAGTCAAATGGCAACCAGGCCAATTTATTCTGACTATGGAAGTTTTAAATTATCTATGTTTACTTAAAGGACAAAAGGAAGGCACTGTTTCTTTAACAAATGTAATCTTGTTTAAACTGTTTTAGCAAAAAAGGAAAAAATACATTATACAATTAGAACACAGGCAAAAATATAAGTGTTTTTCTTACTTCAAAAAAATTAGCCACATAGCCAGGAGCTAAAAAGAATATGCCTTTTACATTGTAAAATAATACTACATGACATATTTGAAACCCTCTTCCTCTCAGCTGCAAACAAAACAATTATTCTTAATTGTGTCACATTTAACTTGACCATTTAGAGATTCTTTGGTGATCTAGATGCTTTTATAGTTATGTCTTTTTGAATGGAACTATTTTTCTTATTTGACTTCTTTAAGCCGTGGAATGTTTTCAACTGGGCATTTTTACCTTTGGAAATACTCAGAGTGATGCAATCATTACACTTAAGGGATTCTGTGAATACATGAGTGTCGACAATGTTCAGCTCCACAATATTGACAATTTTTGTCCATGTACACTAGCAGCAAACATCGATAGTTCATTTGTTTTAATATAAGATAAAATGATAAGGTTGGGTTATAGAAAGGGAATATAAATCTAATAGATATGAATTGTCAAAATTATAGAAAATCTTGTTTCGGAGGCCAATAAATAACTACAATAATGAATATATTTTATGGTATTATAATAACGACATGTTATAAATTTAGTAATGAGGCCAGGCGCAGGGGTTCACACCTGTAATCCTAGCACTTTGAGAGGCCGAGGAGGGCAGATCACCTGAGGTCAGGAGTTTGAGATCAACCTGGGCAACATGACGAAACCCCGTCTTTACTAAAAGTACAAAAAATAGCCGAGGGTGGTGGCAGGCACCTGTAATCCCAGCTACTTGGGAGGCTGAGGCAGGAGAATCGCTGAAACCCAGGAGGTAGAGGTTGCAGTGAGCCGAGATCATGCCACTGCACTCCAGCCTGGGCGTGAAGAGTGAGACTCTGTCTCAAAAAAAAAAATTAGTAATGATATATACGTTCTTTATTCTTATTTGTATGGAAATTACATATAATATATAAATATATAATACATATTCTGTTATGGCCTTTATAATTTATATAAATGCTTAGCCCTTATACTCTATCAAAACAGTATGTGACTCATAGTGTATTAGAAAAAACACTGTAGTGACAGTCAAAAACTTAATTATTTCTCAAACTTCTAGCACATGAATTAATGTAGAAAATTTTTCTTAAAATAATTAAAAGTTTACCCTCTTAAATCCATGCCAATAGAGATAATCACTGCTAGCAGCTTAGCGTATATCCTTTTAGATATTTAAAATGCATAATGTAGGTCGGGTGCGGTGGCTTATGCCTGTAATCGCAGCACTTTGGGAGGCCAAGGTGGGTGGATCACCTGAGGTCAGGAGTTCGAGATTACCCCTACCAATGTGGCAAAACCTCGTCTCTACTAAAAATACAAAAATTAGCTGGGTGTGATGGCATGCACTTGTAGTCCCAGCTACTCAGGAGGTTGAGACAGGAGAATTGCTTGAATTTTATGTATATATTATATATATATTTATATATTTTATTTTTATTTCTTTATATTTATTTTTCTATTACAAACAGAGATAGAGTATATATCTTTGAATACATAATTGTGCATTCATGAAAATATCTCTATGTGTGAAATTTTTATATTCCTATAGGTCTAGCTTTTATTTAATAGATTTTCTTTTATACATTAATAGCTTTCCTAATTGTTTCAAAAATATTGCTAATTAAAATTACTACAAAATTGCAGGAGAGTCTCCTTTCTTCCAACTTTGTAAACATTATATATTAATAATGTACCTGTAAAATATATTGCAAATTTTTTCAGCACATACTACTCTGGTTCATTTATTGTCTTTTCTCATACCAATTAATTATTTCCTGTTCAAGTAAGTGATCATTTTATTTATGTCTTTGGAGTTTTTTGAAATTCCTTTCATTCAACTTTATAAATTTGCTCTTTAATTCCAATCATCTAGAGGCAGAATTCGAAAGAGGGTTTCTAGTACAAGTGATTTATTAAGATCTCTCTGAAGGAAACTTCTAAGCAGATGACAGAAACAGGATAGGGACAGGGGAGAAACTGAGTAAGAAGTGGCTTCAGATGATGCTTACTTCGTCCCATATAGAGCTCTGAAATATAAATTACACCAAAAATCTTTCCTGTTTTGAAACACGTGAGTAGAGCCTTTGTACTCCAACATCGGTGTTTGGTTTCTAGCCCCTCAGCTGGGGAAGGGGCATAAATCCAAGGAATTCCTGGTCAACTGACACCGTTCCACAAAGAAGGGTAATTCTTTAGAGAAGGCTGCAGACGTGAGCCATTAGCAGCAGCAGGCAGTACAAGAAGTCATCCCCTCTGGGTAGGGCACCAGCATCTTTTGCCACAAGTTCACTCACTCTTGCATTTTCTTCAACTATTTACACAGATTTTTGAAACTGTAGTTATATTTTTTAAAAGAATTTTTAAGAGCCATTTTAAGTTCCAGAAAAAAAATGAGCAGAAAGTACAGAGTTCCCAGATACTTCCTTCCTCCACATTTGCATAGTGTCTCCCATTATCAACTTCCACCCCCAGAGCAGCCCATTTGTTATAATTGTTGAAGCTACATTTACACATCATCATCACCCAAAGTTCATAATTTACATTAGACTCCACTCTTGCTGTTGTATGGGTTCAGACAAATTTATAATGACAATTATCCACCATTATAGTATTACACATAATACTGCCTTACAAGCTTCTGTACTCTACCCACTTTCCTGCCCCTCCCCTTATCACACCTGCAATCCCTGGCAACCACTGATCTTTTTACTGTCTTCGCAGTTTTGCCCTTCCTAGAATGTCATATAATTGAAATCAAACAGTATGTAGCCTTTTTAGATTGGCTTCTTTCACTTAGTGATGTGCATTTAATGCTCCTTCTTGTCTTTTCGTGGGTTAATATCTCTGAATAATATTTCATTGTCCAGGTATAACATAGAACAGTAGCTTTTTAAGAAAGTTTTGCTGTTTGGAACATTTTAAGATGTAATGTGAGATATTATGAGGTATAAACATTTGCTTCTTTTCCCCCAGAGATAAGCATGTGTATCAATAGCATTAATTAAATTACCCATACTTTCCCTCAAATTCAAAATGTGACACTCACTATATATTAAATTCTCATTATACACAATTAAGTTTCTAGATTCTACATATTGTAGGGGTTTACTTATCTGTGCATTACTGTGCCCATTGCATATTGCCTCAATTATGTAGCTTTTAAACTTGTAGGAAAAGTGCCCCTTAATTGTTCTTTTTATCCACATCTGGACACTATATTTATTTTATATATATATATATTTATAGTATATATATAAAATATTATATATATTCTGGAATAATATATATCTTGCAATTGAAATATTTATTTAGATTAAACTTGATTTATTGCTTACATTTAGATTAGAAATGAATCAGCTTACTCAGGGAACAAGCAAGATTAAAATTATATCTATATACTTTTTAAATAAGGTCAGGTGTATGTGGTGCTAGGACCAAACATTTGATATCTAGCCATGCTGAAAGCCCACATTTACATTAACATGCCTATTTCCAAGTTTGTAAATATTAGACTTCAAAACAGCACATTACACTGTAGTATAAGTCCCAACCCAGGATAGAAGTACTAATTCACAGGTAATTTGAACAATAACTGGGAAAAATTTCTATGAAATAATGCCATGGACAAGAATTATAAAATATATGAGGAAGACCAATGCCATGAAAGATACTCTACACAGAAAACAATGTGCAGGATTCCCATCTTCAACAGAACCTTTAAAATGTGTTTAAATATTCCCAGAAAAAATGACAGAACAAATCTCATAAACAAGATTACTAAATTATGAACCGAAAAAGAGAGCTAAGAGAATAAGATAAAAATTAAAAAATCACAAAGATTAAAATTTTAATCATTAGGGAAAAAATCCCCAAATGATTAGTTAAATATTTCACTAGGCACTATTATAGAGGGAACTGTAAACTAGAAGAAAAAGGAGAAATATTAAAATATATCACAGTCAGATTTTTTTTAAGAAAATCACAATAGGAAAGAACATTTAAGAGCTGTCCATTTAAGATGAAATATGAAGCTCCAATATTCTAGTAGCATTTGATCCACAAGAAGTACAGAGAAAGATTGGATGACAGACAATATTAAAATAATTAATGCTGATAAATTTCCAGAGATAAGGTATGAGCTATCAGATTAAATAGTTCCTCCTTGTGCTAGTAATAATGATATGTGTAAATTCATACCTGGCCAAATCACAATGAAAAAAATACATAAAGGATAAGAGGAAAATCCTAAAAGTAATAGAAAAAAAACATGAGTATCAACAAAGAATGAATTACTAGGAGACACAGCCTTAGCCACTACCGTTAACAGAAGAAACTTGAAAAGTACCTTAAGCTTGCTGAAAAGATCCTTAGAAAAATCATATGTAACCAAATTATAAGGATGAAATAAAGATTATATTTAGAATAATAATAATTTGTACATTTTATAGTTCCCAGAACCTCAATGTCAAACACGCTATGTCCTTCAGCTGGACAGAAATAAAATAAAAGAGGAATAGGAAGTGGACGGAAAAAAAAGAGAGTGTGTATGCAAAGCAGAAATCAGTAAAAGATGATGGTATATCAAAGTAAGTTTTATCATAAATAATTGATTCACATTAACAGTAATTATGGAGTGTGTTTAATACAATTAATAATGGGAATGATATTAACATTAATTTTGGGGTGCATTTAAAAATTAAGATGAAAATAAACTAAGACAGTAACAAGGAATGTTAAGGGGCATCTAATAAGATGTGTGATAAAGACCTTACATAGTTTGAGAGGAGGCTACAGATAATTTTCAGATTAGGTAATGTTAGAAAATATAAATTTATATATTAATAGGTGCCACTAAAATAATAAATACGAAGTTTATAATTTCTATCCAAGAGAATAAAATAAAAGAAATGACAAAAAACTTGACCAAACCAACTAAAAGACAATTAAAGAAACAAAAAGAAGACATAGCAAATAAAAGTCACAAAATATGACAAAAATATATTAAACAAATAAGAAGTCAAAATATTATAAAAGAAAATGTCTATAACTTGCTAATTTAAAACCGCTTCTAGGGGAGTAGTAGGGTCACTTATTCCTCACTCTTGATGTTTCCTTCTATTTGAAGGGACATTTATTAATCTTACACTTCTGGACTCTCTCCATACCTTTGTTCATTCTGTTTGAGGAGCTGTAGTCAGGTTCCTAGAGGTTTGCAGCTCAGCCATGTCTTATTTTCTTTGATTTTGTAATCCAGCTTTCTCTAGGATTTATGTTTTCTGGTCTGTTGCTTCAGAGTGAAGTTATACAGTGGTGAAGTTATACAGAAATAACACAGGAAAGCCTGTGGTTGTCTAGTATTACCTGTGATTGGGTAGATATGATGGTTCAACTCTGAGTTTCAGTATTATGATCTCATTGCCGGTGCCCATCTGGGTCACATTGCCAGCATCAACTTTATAGCTAGTAAGTATTTTATTATATTTATTTGCATTTTGATATTTTTGTTTCCAAACTCATTAATATTCTTTTTGTCTAAATTAATGTTTTTAAATCCCATACTATAGGAAAAATCAGAATTCAAATTATTAAAGAGCTTAAATATTTTAATATTTAATAGCAAATTAGTATTATGATATATGCATATTTCTGTAAGAAAAATTCTCAAGTTTAACCAAACTTCCTTCACTTCACCTTTCCTTTAAATATAACTCCCATGCTGAGTTTCTGATTTTGGAATAGGAATATTAGGACAAACTTTATATAAAGTGCTATGCAATTGAAAGTGGTCACATGATAGATATTTATGGAATGAGATGGGTATCCTGCTGTGCTTATAACTTTTTCAAAAGCTGTTTACTTTCTAATACACAAAGAAGCTATTTTGTCTTTTAAATATCACATTATCTTTTGAGAATGATGCGTAGTTCACTCTAAAAAAAAGTCATCAACTTTAAAGTAGTAGTTTACAAAAAAAAAGAAAAGCAAAAGCATATCCTCATAATTTAGCTTTTTTGCAAGTGGAACATATGGTCAAGTTTATTGGAAATTAAAAAGGAAACATCTGAATTTGGCCACATATTATGGGAAATTTTACATTATACTCACTGGTTGGCTGAATCCACTACTTGTCAACTCTAATTTATTCTAAAAAAGTCACCTTGCCAAATGCCTGGGTTTTAATTGTGCACACATTTAGTAATGGGATTCCAACAACAGGCAGTGAAATTGTACCATCAAATATAAATGTTGTTTATGACATATGCATTTGTCTATTCTTTCTTCTGTTTTGCTTGTACTATATTCTCTTTATCTGTTTTTGTATTAGTAGAATAAATGTGGATTGAGCCTGAGGAAACTTTGGGTTAATAATATTTTAAGTTATCAAAAAGCAGTTGCATACACCAGAAGAGTAGCATTGCATTTAATAGTGGAAATTCTTTAGCAAGACACTGATAGTAGATTTGGCAGCTGAATGATGTATTTCTGGAAATAGGAGGATGTCCTAGAAGTAACTTGTGGCTGTTTCTAAAGATTTATTAAAACTAAGCTGACACTTGCATCAATGATAGAGGTAATTTTAAAGCTCTTGAAATTCTACTGACCCTAAGATAATGAAACCACCACCTCATACACATTTATATTCTGTGGTGTGGAATGTGGCTAGTGGTATGGAATTTGAAATGCTATCATTATCTTCCAGAAGAATTCACGAAAGTAACTGAGGGCAAATGCATGGACTCAGACACTGCAGAGAAAGGTAGATACAGTGCTGAGTACCTGATGAGTGGTTATGTATAAAACCAAAAAATAATGATAAGGGATTATTTAGGCAGTTAATAAATCATGAGGCTCGATGGTGCATATAGCCTCATAACCAACACGGATTTCTTAAAAACTGTTTTCTTTATCATGTATCACAGCAGAGAATTTATATTATGCCCTAAAACAAATCAAATCCAATGCATATAAAAAGTACCATGAAATGTACTTAGAAAAGTCTTGCTGAGGCAAAGATATGTGCATATTTATGGCACAGACTGCCACGGGCTCCACAAATGAAAGCTCTGCTTATAATCCAAATAACATTTCTAACAGTATTTTCAGATAAGGAGAACGTGTGTTAAACTCTACTCAGAAGCTTCAAATCTTTAGGCTCATTCGAAATGCGGATTGTCCATATGAAATGGGATGATTGCTTTATATTGAAATTCTGCAGAAATATTAATGAAAATCTATAGGGATGGCTAACATTCAACTGCTTTCAGAGATTCAGCAGTAAACTATGATTTATTAATCATAGTTCCATGTTCATGGAAATAGTTTATTACATTGTTCTAGTCCTTCCCTTCCAATACTGATATTCACCAGCGCTGGGTAAAAAGATGAACTTTCAGAAAACAATGCAAGAGAGGAGTGGAGTGTGAGGAGGAGGAGGATGCATAAAGACAGACAATATTATGCACAGATGACTTTAGTAGAAGTTGCAAGTTAAACATGTGAAGCAGCCTCTACGCTCAGAATTTCACTTATTCTTCGGCAGCTTTATTACCACTGTTATGCACAATTCTCCTTTGTTCCCCTGGTCAGATCCCTCCCTCATTGTCTAGGATGAATATTGTATCCATTCCCCTATAATCAAATTTCCTGTTTTATTACATACATGTATGCATGCACACACACACACACACACACACACACACACACAGTGTTTTCAGTAGATGACTTTATCTACAAATTCACAAAGACAAGTACTGCCTTAGTTAACTGTAACAATGCTATACAATAGCCGAGTTCATAATTATTATTTCCTCAAATATAAATGGTATTTCTCTAGTCTTGTAGGTTTGTTTTTTGTTTTGTTTTGATTTGTTTGTTTGTTTTTTCTTTTTTGTGACAGAGTTTCACTCTGTTGCCCATGCTGGGGTGCAGTGGCATGATCTCAGCTCACTGCAACCTCTGCTTCCCGGGCTCAAGCAATTCTCATGCTTCACCCTCCTGAGTAGCTGGGACTACAAGCAAGCACCCACCATGTCTGGCTAAACTTTGTATTTTAGTAGAGATGGGGTTTTGCCATGTTGCCCAGGCTGCTCTCGAACTCCTGAGCTGAAACAATCTACCTACCTAAGCCTCTTAAAGTGCTAGGATTACAGGCATGTGCCACCACACCTGGCCTTGTAGGTATGATCCCACTTCCCATTGCTCCGTTCATTATCTATAATCTATACATTTCTATCTTTTGACTGCATTTCTTGTTCTATCAAATGACCATTCTGTTTCTATTTTTTTCTGTCTCCTAACTTATTTCCATTAATATTTGGCTTTTATAAGTCTCCCAGATATATTTAAATTTATTTTGAGCTCTTTTCCTTCCTATAATTGTAATTTTTCTCTCCATCATCATCCCATCCCTTGCTCTTTCACAGTCAAACTTCTGGGAAAACTCTTTTTCATTTTCCAGCAATCCCTTTATGTTTCTGTCTCCTGCCATCTGATGCTCTAACTAATCCATTAAAACTATTAGCCCCAGTGGACACAGTTCAGGAAAAATTCTGCTTATATCTCTCCTCTGCTTTTCCAAATAGTGTCTTTCCTTTTCTTGCAGATATGATATGGTCCTCATTATTTTTTCTTTTTCTATGTCAGAGTTTCTCAGCTTTAGAACTATTGACACTTTGGACTACATGCTTCTTTGTTGTTGGGTGTTGTGCTGTGCACTGCAGGATGTTTAGCAGCATTCTTGACCCATTTCTGGCCTCTATCCCTTAGATTTCAGTAGTATGCTTCATCTGTGCCCCTTGCTTGAGTCATGAAAATTTAAAAAATGATTCCAGACATTGACAGTGATTCCAGACATTTAAAAAGATTCCATGGAGTGCAATATTGCCCTCTTTTTACTGATTGAGAACCAATGGGCTGCGGTGACTACTTCTTTTTCTCTCTCTCTTCCTTCACTTACCTCTTAAATATTGATGTTTGTTGGGTCCTACTCTAATACTCTGATAACTTCACATATTATCTGTATGTGTGTGGCTTACAAATATAATTTTCATGTCAGAATGTTGCTTTCATTCAATTTAGTCTCACCGGTAATATATTAGGACAGCTCACAAGTGCCTGTAACTCAGAACTTATGAAACTGAACTCATTGCTTCTCATGTCTATCCACCACAACCTGAGTATTCCCCTGTATTCTCATGGTGAAACAAGTAGCTATCGAATGAATCTCCAAGGCAGAAATATGGAAGTGACCCTTGACTCCTCCCTCTCTCATATCCAGTCAACAATATTTCAAAACTATCTATTTCATTTTCACTATTATTTCCCCATGTCAGGAATCCATAATTTCTAATACACAATACTGCAATATTTTTGTCTGTTTCCTGATTTAGATATCTTCACACTTAAGGGATCCTGTGTGTCACATGGTGAAAGGAAGGGACGAGAGAGAGGAGTGGGCTGGACATGGTAGCTCATGCCTGTAATCCCAGTACTTGGGAAGGCCAAGGCAGACAAATAGCCTGAGCTCAGGAGTTAGAAGCCACCATGGACAACATGGCAAAATGTCATCTCTACTAAAAATACAAAAATTAACCAGGTGTGGTGGCACGTGCCTGTAGTCCCAGCTACTCGGGAGGTTGAGGCATGAGAATCACTTGAACCTGGGAGGTGGAGGTTGCAGTGAGCCAAGCTCACGCAACTGCCCTACAGCCTAGGTGACAGCGAGACTTCATCTCAAAAAAAAAAGAGAGAGGACGGGTGCCAAGCTCTTCTAAACAACTCTCGCATAACCGCTCATCACTGCATACCTTCCACTAGGTCTCAGCTACGCTAGGATCAAATCACAATATGAAATTTGGAGGGAACAAATGTGCAAACTGTATCAATTTTCCAATCCTATGTCTTGTTGGTGTTATTCATACTGAATTACTTGTAATTTCCTGAAAGATATCATTTCATCCTATTGGTAATCTTTTGCATGTGCTAATTTTTTTCCTCTTGAAACACCTTTATTTTATGATTTGCTGTAGCTTTAATCACTACTTGCAGGTCAGATCTAAGCTATCAAGATGCTTATTCAAGAACCTTTCTTTAGGGTTTGAGCTTTTATGAAACATAACCTCAATATTTTCATGAAACACTATAGACCACCACATTATTACATGGTATTGAGATTGTGTCTTTTTTCCTTTCCTTTTTTTTCTTTTCTTTTTTTTAAATTATACTTTAAGTTCTGGGATACATGTGCAGAATGTGCAGGTTTGTTACATAGGTATACACATGCCATAGTGGTTTGCTACACCCATCAACCCATCATCTACATTAGGTATTTCTCCTAATGCTATTCCTCCTCTAGCCCCCCACCCCCCAACAGGCCCCAGTGTGTGATGTTCCCCTCCCTGTGTCCATGTGTTCTCATTGTTCAACTCCCACTAATGAGTGAAAACATACGGTGTTTGGTTTTCTGTTCCTGTGTTAGTTTGCTGAGAATGATGGTTACCAGCTTCATCCACGTCCCTGCAAAGGATATGAACTTATCCTTTTTATGGCTGCATAGTATTCCATGGTGTATATGTTCCGCATTTTCTTTATCCTGTCTATCATTGATGGGCATTTGTGTTAGTTCCAAGTCTTTGCTATTGTAAATAGTGCTGCAATAAACACACGTGTACATGTGTCTTTATAGTAGAATGATTTATAATCCTTTGTGTTTATACCCAGTACTGGGATTGCTGGGTAAAATGGTATTTCTGGTTCTAGATCCTTGAGGAATTGCCACACTGTCCTCTACAATGATTGAACTAATTTACACTTCCACCAATAGTGTAAAAGTGTTCCTATTTCTCCACATCCTCTCCAGCATCTGTTGTTTCCTGACTTTTTAATGATCATCATTCTAACTGGCATGAGATGGTATCTCATTGTGGTTTTGATTTGCATTTCTGTAGTGATGATGAGCTTTTTTTCATATGTTTGCTGGCCACATAAATGTCTTCTTTTGAGAAGTGTCTGTTCATTTCCTTTGCCCACTTTTTGATGGGGTTGTTTGTTTTTTTCTTATAAATTTGTTTCTGGATAGAAACGGGGCTAATAACCAGAATCCAGATATTAGCTCTACAACAAACCATAAAACATAAGAAAACAGACCAGAAAACATAAATCCTAGAGATGGGTAGATTCTGGATATTAGCCGTTTGTCAGATTGACAGATTGCAAAACTTTTCTCTCATTCTGTAGGTTGCCTGTTCATTCTAAAGATAGTTTCTTTTGCTGTGCAGAAGCTCTTTAGTCTAATTAGATCCTGTCTGTCAATTTTGGCTTTTGTTATCATTGCTTTTGGTGTTTTAGTCATGAAGACTTTGCCCATGCCTATGTCCTGAATGGTGTTGTCTAGGTTTTCTTCTAGGGTTTTTGTGGTTAGGTCTTGCATTTAAGTTTTTAATCCACCTTGAGTTAATTTTTGCATAAAGTGTAAGAAAGGGGTCCAGTTTTGGTTTTCTGCATATGGCCAGCCAGTTTCCCCAACACCATTTATTAAACAGGGAATCCTTTCCCCATTTCTTGTTTTTGTCAGGTTTGTCAAAGATCAGATGGTTGTAGATATGTGGCATTATATCTGAGGCCTCTGTTCTGTTTCATTGATCTATATGTCTGTTTTGGTACCAGTGCCATGCTGTTTTGGTTACTGTAGCCTTGTAGTATAGTTTGAAGTCAGGTAGCATGATGCCTCCAGCTTTGTTCTTTTTACTTAGGATTGTCTTTGTTATGCAGGCTCTTTTTTGGTTCCATATGAAATTTAACATAGCTTTTTTCTAATTCTCTGAAGAAAGTCAATGGTAGCTTGATGGGGATAGCACTGAATCTATAAATTACTTTGGGCAGTATGGCCATTTTCAAGATATTGATTCTTCCTATCCATGAGCATGGAATGTTTTTCCATTTGTTTGTGTCCTCTCTTATTTCCTTGAGCAGTGGTTTGTAGTTCTTCTTGAAGAGGTCCTTCACATCCCTTGTAAGTTGTATTCCTATGTATTTTATTCTCTTAGTAGCAATTGTAAATGGAAGTTCACTCATGATTTGACTCTCTGTTTGTCTGTTATTCGTGTATAGGAATGTTTGTGATTTTTGCACATTGATTTTGTATCCTGAGACTTTGCTGAAGTTGTTTATCAGCTTAAGGAGATTTTTGGCTGAGATGATGGGGTTTTTTAAATATGCAATCATGTCATCTGCAATCAGAGACAATTTAACTTCCTCTCTTTCTAAATTAATACACTTTATGTCTTTCTCTTGCCTGATTGCCCTGGCCAGAACTTCCAATACTATGTTGACTAGGAGTGGTGAGAGAGGGCATCTTTGTTTTGTGCTGGTTTTAAAGGGAATGCTTCCAGCTTTTGCCCATTCAGTATGATATTGGCTGTGGATCTGTCATAAATAGCTCTTATTATTTTGAGATACATTCCATCAATACCTAGTTTATTGAGAGTTTTTATCATGAAGGGTGTCGAATTTTATTGAAGGTCTTTTCTGCACCTATTGAGATAATCATGTGGTTTTTGTCATTGGCTCATCACAGATAGGAAAAATTTAGAAATACCTGATACTTTTAACAAATGCTTGATTAATTCTATCTAGAAATCAGCTTCTAGTGGACAAATTGGGAAAGAAGGAAGAGAAATAAAAATAAAACAGAGCATGCTATAGAAACAGGAACAAAAACTTGAATAACAACACAGGTACATGATCTAGAAAGCAGGAGTTGGATCTTTGATAGAATATAAACAAAATGGTGTAATGTGGGAAATAGACGTATATTTCCAAAGGAATCCCAGATATGAAAAAGTCACAGCCAAATAGAAACTGCAAATAAACTCTTCACAGAAGGATAGGAACACCTGGTTAATGGTGGCTCTCAGTCTTTAGGGGATGCAGTTACATAGTTTAAGGGGAACTTGGCATCACCAGTTCTTCTCAGTCTCTCATACAGCACGGCAAAATGTGTGACCTGGAGTAAGTTTATTAACAACTCTGCTTCAGTTTTCTTATCTGTAAAATGCGGATAAGCCTGTTCATGGAAACGATGTCAGTATTAAGCACTAAAATTATGCTTTGGCTATTAAGCATTTACATCAAGTGTTCAACCATTATCAATACAAAATGTGATATGCAAAATAATACACAATAAGTTCTAAAAAGTTATGATTTATTTATCAAAGTTTAAAAAATATACTAAAACTCTTTTCTGGCAGTTGATTCTTATTAATTTTTAGGTAGAACTAAAATAAAAATTGCTAGGAGTTGGAAATCTAATATCTAAGGAGCTGAAATCGGTCTTGGCAATGTTAGAGCATAAGAGAATGTGTAGAGTCTCTATATTTAAAGGATTTCATAGTAATCTCATAAAGAGCAATGTTAAATAAATAATAAGCTACATAAAATGTGTTTCATTCTCTTTTGGCGATATCTTGAGAAAACAAATCTTCTATTTGCCATGAAAGAATAATAACCAGCCGGGCGTGGTGGCTCAGGCCTGTAATCCCAGCGCTTTGGGAGGCTGAGGCGGGCATATCACCTGAGGTTAGGAGTTCGAGACCAGCTGGACTAATATGGAGAAACCCCGTCTCTACTAAAAATACAAAATTAGCCAGGTGTGGTAGCGCATGCCTGTAATCCCAGCTACTCAGCAGGCTGAGGCAGGAGAATCACTTCAAGCAGGGAAGCAAAGGTTGCAGACAGCAGAGATGGTGCCATTGCACTCCAGCCTGGGCAGCAAGAGCGAAACTCCATCTAAAAAAAAATGTTAGTGCATAATAGGCAAAAGTTGAACATCTTTGTTAAATGATCTCCTTTGGTTCATCCTCTATCTAATAAGTTTTTTCATGGTTCGTATATAGAGATAAAAGACTTACATTTGTGATGTAGTAAGTTAACTGAGGGCTTCTCACTCAGTGGATTGTTAGAAATCTCATTTTTTAATGTAATCAAGATGGTTTAAGGGTCTTCTTATCTTAACTAAACTTTACACAGGCTTCTTCTTGATTGGCTCCTGACCTCCCTTTTCTTAGAGCATTTATTTTAGAAAATTTATAATTGCAAATTCTTTCTCTGCCCTTTGTAGATGTTAATCTTCCCTCAGTCTCTTGACAGATTTACAACATAGCAATGTTTTTCTCAAGGACTCGGGAGCCATCTTTTTGAAATGTAATTATTCAAGAAGGCTATCACTCCTCTCTCTCAGTCTCTGTGAGGGGGTAAGAGCCTAACTTAATAAGTTACAATTGGCAAGTACAGATTTCCTAATCACATTGATGCCCCACCTCTATCCCATAGAACTTACCCCATGCTTTAAAAATTCTACCCCCAACTGTTTTTAATTAATTCAGTCTTTCTTCCTTATTGAAATAGTCTTGAAGAAAATCTTCCCCGCTTCTTTAACTCTATTTGATAAAGTTTTTCTTTAACAACTGAGAATGGTAAATTGTTGACATATTCAAAGATTATGTCACAAAAGCCAATACTGGAATATAACTGAAGAGATACACTATTTTAACATTTCATTTTCGGCATTAAGGATTTGAGTTATAACATATATTATCTAAGAATTTCTTATTTGGAAATGAATTTAAAATCTGGTTTGATGGCTATTTAATTCATAACTTGAATCCTTAATGTGGAAAATGAAACTTGAAAACATTTAGTCTATTAATGTCTTCAAATATGGTTATTTGTGACATTATTTGAAATATCGGGGGTAAATTCTAAACTGATTTATCATCCTGCTTGTAAATGATTATTTTATTTAGAAAGAATGTTTAGGAATTGTTCTATTATCTGTTTAGAAGTATATTAACTTTCACAAAACCTCAACATGTTTACCAAAGTTCATTGTAAATTTATGTTGGAGTTGTCTAAGCTCAGAAATTGCTGCTCAACAAAAACAGAGGTATTAAAAATGTCACACTTCCAGGTGTCAATCCTACCGGGTTGTTATTAGAAAACTTATGTGTAGTTGAAACTTGGACTAAACTTCCATGTGCCACATAAATATAGAAAAAAATTAGTTTTGATAAAATTAAAGTACAATTTCAGTCTAAATCAGATATTAAAATAGTGTAGGAAAGTATATATTAGATCCTTTTGTAGCTTGTATATAATTATATATGTAATGATTTACAAGGCACAAAAAATATGAGCTAAACATCTATACTCTAAAAAGACAAGTTGTCCAACAAAACCATAAAAAAATCTTGTGTTCACTTCTTCATAATCTTAACAATATTTTCAGTAATAATGATCTCAATTTCAATTGTATATTGTTTATATATTAAAGTATATATTTATATAATAGTTTGTAGCTAAGGCATATACTTTCCTTTTTTTTTAACTTTTATTTTAAGTTCAGGGGTACATGTACAGGTTTGGTATATAGGCAAATTGTGTCTCACAGGGGTTTGGTGTACAGACTATTTCATCATCCAGGTAAGAAGCAGAGAATCTGATAGTAGTTTATCAATCCTCACCCTCCTCTCACCTTTCACCCTCAAGTAGAACCCACTACCTGTTGTTCCCTTCTTTGTGTCCTTATGTATTTAATATTTAGCTCTCTCTATAAGAGGGAGTTATAAAGTCAAAACATGCAGTATTTGGTTTTCTGTTGCTGTGTTAGTCTGAATAATACAATGGCCTCCAGCTTCATCCATATAGCTGCAAAGAATACAATCTCACTTTTTTTTTACGGCCCCATGATATTCCATTCTGTATATGTACCACATTTTCTTTATGCAGTCTACTGTGTGTGGACATTTAGGTTGACTCCATGTCTTTTTTATTGTGAATAGTGCTGCAAAGAACATACATATGCATGTGTTTTTAATGTAAAGTGATTTACATTCCTTTGGGTATATACCTAATAATAGAATTGTTGGGCCGAATGTTAATTCTGTTTTGAGTTCTTTTAGAAATCACCAAACTGTTTTCCACAATAGCTGAACTAATTTACACTCTCACCAGCAGTGTGTAAGTGTTCCCTTTTCTCTGTATCCTCACCAGCATCTGTTATCTATTATACTAGCCATTCTGACTGGTTTGAGATGGTATCTCATTGTGGTTTTCATTTGCATTTCTTTAATGATCAGTGATATTGAGCTTTTTTTTTCATATGCTTGTTGGCCGTGCGTATGTCTTCTTTTGAGAAGTGTCTGTTCATGTCCTTTGCCCACTTTTTAATGAGGCTGTTTGTGTTTTTCTTGTAAATTTGTTTAAGTTCCTTATGGATGCTGGATATTGGACCTTTGTCAGATGCATAGTTTTCAAATATTTTCTCCCCTTCTACAGGCTGTCTGTTTACTCTGCTGATAGTTTCTTTTGCTGTGCAGAAGTTCTTCAGCTTAATTAGGTCCTATTTGTCAATTTCTGTTTTTGTTGCAGTTGATTTTGGCATCTTTGTCATGAAATCTTTGTCAAGTCCTATGTCCAGAATGGTGTTTCCTAGGCTATCTTCTATGATTTTTATAGTTTTAGGTTTTACATGTAAGTCTTCAACCCATCTTGGGTTGATTTTTGTATATTGTGTAAGGAAGAGGTCTAGTTTCAATCTTCTAGTTATGGCTAGACAGTTACTGCATCACCATTTATTGAATAGGAAGAACTTTTCCCACTATTTGTTTTTGTCAACTTAGTTGAAGATTAGATGGATGTAGGTGTGTGTATTATTTATGGGCTCTCTATTCTGTTCCATTGTTCTATGTGTCTGTTTTTGCACCAATACCATGCTGTCTTGGTTACTGTAAACTTGTAATATAATTTGAAGTTGAGTAACGTGAGGCCCCCACTCTGTTCTTTTTGCTTAGGATTGCCTTACCTATTTTGGGTGTTTGTTTGGTTCCATATGATTTGAAAATAGTTTTTTTTTCTAATTATGCGAAGAATGCCTTTAGTACTTTGATAGGAATAACACTAAATCTCACAATTACTTTGGGCAATATGGCGATTTTAATAAGATTTACTCTTCCTATGAATGAGCATGGATGGTTTTCCATTTGTTGCATCATCTCTGATTTCTTTGAGCAGTGTTTTGTAACTCTCGTTGTAGAGATCTTTTGCCTCCCTGGTTAGTTGTAGTCCTAGGTATTTTATTCTTACAGTCTCTATGTGTTCATGGTAGGTTTTTTATGTTTTTGTAGGGTTGTTGAAAATGTTCCCTTTGTCATTTCTGATTGTGGGTTTTTAAAATTTTTTTCTTTATTATTCTAGCTAGTGGTCTATCTTACTTATTCTTTCAAAGAAGCAACTCCTGGATTCTTTGATCTTTTGTATGTTTCTTTTGGGGGGGGTTCGTTTTCCTTCAACTAAGATTTTAGTTATTATTTGTCTTCTGCTAACTGTGGGACTGGTTTGCTTTAGTTCCTCTAGGTGTAATGTTAGGTTGTTAATTTGAGATTGTTCTAACTTTTTGATGTAGGTATTTAAAATTGTAAACTTTCCTCTTAACACTGCCTTAGCTATGTCCCAGAGATTTTGGTATGTTGAATATTTATTCTCAATTAAATAATAATTTAATTATTTCTGCCTTAATTTCATGGTTTATCCAAAAGTTATTCAGGAGCAGGATGTTTAATTTCCATGTAATTGTATGGTTTTGAGTGATTTTCTTAGTATTGATTTCTATTTTTATTGTGTTGTGTTACAAGAGAGTAGTTGGTATGATTTTGATTTCATTGAATTTGCTGAGGATATTTTATGGCCAGTTGTGTGGTCGACTTTAGAATATGTGCCATGTGCAAAGTGGGTTCATTTGGTCAAGAGTCAAGTTCAGGTGCCAAACATCTTTGTTAATTTTATGTCTTGATTTTCTGTCTAATAGTGTCAGTGATGTGTTAAAGTCTCTCACTATTATTATTCAATTATCTAAGTAAGTCTCTTACCAGGCATCTAAGAACTTGCTTTATGAATCTGGGGGTTCCTTTGTTGTCTGGATATATATTTTTGATAGTTAGGTCTTCTTGTTGAATTGAACCCTTTACCATTATATATTGTCTTTTTTTTTTAATCTTTGTTTGTTTAAAGTACATTTTGTCTGAAATTAGAATCGTGACCCATGCTTTTTTCCATTTTCTAACTGCTTGGTAGATTTTTCTCCATCCCTTTACTTCGATCCTCTTGGTGTCATTGCATGTGAGATGGGTCTTCAGAAGACAGCACACCATTGTCAGCTAACTTGACACTCTGTTCCTTTTAATTATGGCATTTAGCCGTTTACATTTAAGGTTACTATTCATATATGCAGATTTGAACACGTCATGTTGTTAGCTGGCTATTATGCAGACTTGTTTCTGTGGTTACTTCACAGTGTCAATGGTCTATGTACTTAAATGTGTTTTGTAGTGGCTGGTAATGGTCTTTCCTTTCCATATTTAGTGCTCTCTTAAGGAATTCTTGTCAGACAGGTCTGGTGGTAACAATTCCCTTAGCATTTGCTGGTCTGTAAAGCATCTTCCTTCTTTGTTTATGAAGTTTAGTTTGGCTGAATATATTTTTGGTTGGACTTTCATTTCTTTAAGAATGATGAAAATAAGCCCCCAGTCTCTTCTGGCTTGTAGTTTTTGCTGAAATGCCTGCTTCTAGTCTGAATGGAGGTCCCTTTGTAAGTGACCCATCCCTTCTCTCTAGCTTCATTTAGCATTTTTTTCTTTCATTTAGGCCTTTGAGAATCTGATAACTATGTGTCTTACAAATGATCGTCTTGTGTAGTATCTTGAAGGAGTTTCTCTGCATTTCCTGAATCTGAATGTTGTCCTCTCTAGCAAGGTTGGGGAAATATTCATGGACAATATCCTGAAATATGTTTTCTAAACTGTTTGGTTTTTTTACCCCCTCTCTTTCAGGAACAATAATGAGTTATAAATTTTGTCTTTTTACATAATCTCATATTTTTCAGAGGTTTAGTTCATTCTTCTTTTTTTTTTAATTTATTTATTTACTTTAAGTTCTAGGATACATGTGCTGAACATACAGGTTTGTTACATAGGTATGCATGTGCCATGGTGGTTTGCTGCACCTATCATCCCATCATCTAGGTTTTAAGCCCGGCATGCATTAGGTATTTGTCATAATGCTCTCCCTCCCCTTCCCCAACCCACTGACAGGCCCCGGTGTGTGATGTTCCCCTCTCTGTGTCCATGTGTTCTCATTGTTCAACTCCCACTTACGAGTGAGAACATATGGTGTTTGGTTTTCATTCTTCTTTAATATATTTTCTTTATTTTTGTCTGAATTATTTCAGAGACCCATTCTTCAAGCTCTGAGATTCTTTTCTCAACTTTTTCAGTTCTGCTCTTAATACTTAGAATTGTATTCTGTAATTCTTGAGGTGAGTTTTTCAGCTCTATTTAATCAGTTTGGTTCTTTCTTAAAATAGCCACCATTTTTGTCTTCTATCCCTTGTATTGTTTTATTGTATTTATTAAAATCCTTGGATTTGGCTTCAACTTTCTGCTGAATCTTGATCATCTTCATTTTTTTTTCATATTCTGAATTCCATTTCTGTAATTTCTGCCATTTCAGCCTGGCTAAGAAGCATTTCTGGAGAACTAACTAGTGCAGGCATTCATTGTTAAGACACTCTGGCTTTTTGATTTGCCAGAGTTCTGGCTTATTCTTTCTCATCTGTGTGTGCCAATATTCCTTAAGTCTTTAAAGTTGTTGTCTTTTTTGCTTTTATCTTGTTTTTATGCTCTTCGGGGTTTCATTGTGGTATAAGGTGGCTTCAGTCAGCTGGCTTCATTTCTGGAAGATTTTAGGGAGCCAAGGCTCAGCTCAGCACTCTTGGGATTTATGCCATAACTCTGGAAGGTTGGTATCAGGCCCCTGGCTTTGTCAACTGGCCACTTGAGTTTAGGAACCTGCTGTGCTAGATGGGTCACAGCAGCTGGTCACAATACTTCAACAGATGGTGCCAGCCAAAGTGCTTCACTGCAGCAGTGGCAATGGGAACTGTGCTCATGTGCATGTACCAATAGCAGGCAGTATGGCAGGGTGCACTCTCGCCAGCTCGAGTGGGGCACCGGTGGTTGCCAGGCTGCCAACCTTTGTATGCATGTTTGTGTCAGTGGTGATGTCAGCTCTGGGCAGAGCTCTGGTGGGTGCAGGGCTTCTGGAACCATGCATTCATTTGGGCCAGCAGAGGTGGTGGTACACAATGAAGGGTGGGGCCACTGGCCTCCATATACATGTTCAAAATGGCAATGGCTATGCAGTTGGTTGGGGGTACACTCACATTGGCAGCAGTGGCATGGTGGGGTACATTGATTTGCATACGTTGAACCAACCTTGTAACCCAGAGATAAAGCCTACTTGATTGTGGTGGATGGCCTCAGCTGGAGAAGGAAGGGAAGGTCCCCTGCACCTGCAAGCTGGCTAAGCAATGTGCGGAGGGGTTTGGGAGGGCTATGACAAGTGCATGGCAAAGTGGCATAGGGGATGCAGTGGTGGGAGGGTTCAGGTGGACTGGTGAGAGTCATCAAGGGCCACTCTGCTGGAGCTCTCTGATGGTCAGGCATAGTCAACCAGTGAAAAGACTATGATGTGGCTTCCAGGAGGCACCCAGTTGGTCATCCAAGGCTGCATTGCAAGTGGGTTCAGCCAGGCCAGGGCCCTGGGAGATTCCACCAGATGGAGTAGGGGGTGGCAGAGAGGGCACATTGAGATCAAATTGGCCTGTCCTGCTCTGTTTAGGTCTGTCAGTTCCCCTAAGGCTAAAGTCTCCTAGGAGAGCATGGCAGGCTGCTTTGGGAAGTGGGCACCCCTGGCTATGCTCCTCTGCAGATGTCCCACACTCAACATTCCGTGTTCTGTACAGGCTGGAGTTCTGCCCCTACCAACTCTCTAAGCATCTCTCCCTGCCAGTTCAAGTGTCCATGGGGTTTGTGGGGTCTCCTGATGCCAGGATTCCAGAAGTTTGTAGGAAGAGCAGGTCATGCCTTACCTTTTAGCGCACCCTTTTCCCATGAGTCACTGGGGGCCCAGAGCCAGTTCCAGTAGGTGATAGCCCTGTGCAGCGTTCCCAGCTTCCTCCCCTTTCAGCCCAGGGTGATCTATCCACTCCATCCATCTCTCTATCCACTCTGCATGCCTTCCTCTATAGATCTGCTTAAAGTGCAGATCTTCCCGATGTCATGGTCCCTTGGTGGCAGATGTTCCTCCTGGCTGCATCTAGTAGGCCATCTTAACATTCGCTTCTTCTAATACTCTTTAAAACAATAAAAATCTTTTCCCAGCTTTGGCATCCTCCCTATGGCTCCCCCAGTGCCTGTAGATCACAGGGTGACAGAGGCTGCAGTAAAGCCACCTGGTACCTCCTGAAGCCAAGGAGAGGAAGCAGTGGAGATGAGACCTAGAGCTGGAAAACAAGCCAGAGTTGTTTTCCTATAAATTGCCAAAATTGTATTTACAGATCAAATCTTAGAGCACCATTAAAGTAGTGCTGTCTCTGTAACTGTGCATTGCAAAGTAGAAGAATTCTTAGGTAAATTAGTTTTCAGGAAATACAGCCTTTGAGTCTACAAAACTCCTCATTGAAAATAAAATTTTAAGGAAATAATGAAAAGGGAATGCAATAATAATAAAATAATATTTTCACTTTGATTTACCAAATTATATCAATAAAACTTGAATATTACAAGACGAATGTTTTTCTGAGAACTCTTAAAAAGATGAACATTTGTAAAATTAACCATATTTTAAAAGCAGTAAGGTTGTGCCTTGCTTAATGGCAGTCTTATGAAAGCTTCTGAAAGCAGACAGCACTTCAGTAATGGGAAAAAATCACCAGCTAAAATTATTTGGTTTGAGTTAAAGATAAAAACTAAATGGAAAGTGATATATTTAGGTTGAAAATCCTTAGCATATGCATGGAGTGGCAGAATGATAACCTGGGGGTGTAGGTAGTATTAAGTATTTCAGTTGACACAAGCACAATGTCAGTATGACATTTTGCAAAAATTTGAAGAAGCAAACAAAAAGACATGTTGAGTCGAACACTGATGAATGATAAAGGAAAGTTACGGCCCCCAACATTCTTTTCAATGTAGACTATACTTGAAGATTATGATAATTTCACAGTCATAAGTGCAACGTTTCCAAGGTTATTATGAGTCTTGAAAGCACACAGAACTGCTGTTTCCCAATAATTTAAATGTATGTATTAAGGCTAAACCTAAAGAAATTAGGAGGATATTAGAGTAGGAAACTGTTTTTGAATAAAGTTGCTCGATAAAACACAGAATTCCAAGATAAATTTGTATTTTAGAAAAGCCATATTATAATTTTGTAGTATAAATTTGCCCAAAGTTGCATGGGAAAATGCATAGGATATATCTATTGTAAAAGTTACTTGTTGTTTATCTGAAAATCACATTTAAATGGATGTCTTTTATTTTTATTTGCTAAATCTGATAGCTCTTTGTTTTGAAAGGCCTTTATGTGGATAAACGGTTTTGACTTAGTCTACATACTTTCAGTAAGTAGAATAAGAAATAGCTAAGCAGGCATTATAGGGAGGCATAATTGGCTCTAAAAATCAATAAAATGTACAAATTTCACAAACTGAGAAAACATATTAAACTAAACAAAACTAAACAAGAAAACAAAAAACAAAGATTTCTAACTTAAGAAATATTCAAGAAGTAATCGTTAGTGACATAGAAAAGATTTTCCTTCAGATGAACTATTGACTATGAAGATGACCCTAAAGTTTCTTCTAATTAAAGGATTCTATAAATCAACTTTGAAATGTTATCAGATTTGGTAATGCAGCCCTGTTTAGCAACATTATTTAGGATTCAGCCATATTTCTTGTACAAAGTATTTTCAACAAGTTTCACATAATAATTTTTTAACTCTCATTATTTTTAAGGTAAATGAAATAGTTCAGTGTGAAAATAAGGATAATATTCATTGTGGAATTCAAGTATTTTACCATTCACTCAGTAAATTTTGTTCATTTTTGTTCATAAAAAATGTTCTGAAACTTTTTTTACAGCTGTTGTTACATATTTGATTTCCTATTTGAACACTTTTCTATACTAAGGTTTTTAAGAAATGCATCAATATTTTTTAGGATATTCATAAATTCTATCTTAGAGTATTATTTGCTTATCTAAATAGCTTTAAATTTTAGATTGTTTCTCTAAACAGCTTTAGATATAATAAGGTAAACACAGGAATTTTATATTTTAAATAAAAAATTGTAAAATTAAAATAATATTTTAAATCTATGCATAAAATCATAAAATTAAGTGATTTTACTGACACACTTATATTCTAGGGCAAAATGAAAGTCTTTTAAGCATTAAGGAATGAATGTTATTATAACATTTTGTGTATTTCTAAAATGAGAGCCCAGATTGGATAGAGCCTAATTCCATGAGCAATAAATTATATATAAAATTAATAACAGCCATGAATGGTGGCTCATGCCTGTAATACCAGCACTTTGTAAAGCCGAGGTAGGAGGATGGCTTAAGGCCAGGTTTTTAAGACCAGTCTGAGCATCCTGGTGAGACCTCATCTCTACAAAAAACAATGAAAATTAGCCAGGAGTGGTGTGGACGCATAGTCCTAGCTACTCAGGAGGCTGAGGCAGGAGGATCCTTTGAGTCCAGGAGTTTGAGGCTGCAGTGAGCTATGATCATGCCACTGACCTCCAGCCTGCTCGACAGAGTAAGACTGTGTCTCAGGAAAAAAAAAAAAAGTAAGAAAAAGAAGGAATAACTGTGGGAATGTGTTATTTAGAGTGTATAAAATTATTTACTATGCTTGTGGTATTTAGAGAAAAAGTGTTTGTGGAGATTGAAGGAGGTGGTATCTTAAATCCTAATGTCATTTTATTTTTCATTGCACTAGGTAATTGTGTCCTACTTCAATTATACTGATTATTGTTTCACAACATGCATTATAGCACTTTATACTTGAAAAGCACTTGGCAATCATTTGTTAATGAAAAGTATTTATGAAAACTATTCTTTCAGTTGTCATGTTGAAAATAAAAACTCAAAATCTCTTATGAAAGAAAAAAACAATTAGAAAAAGATCTTAAAATCAGAAATACCAATACTTAAGAAGAAAACCATATCTTCTAATGGAAAACCAGGAATAAAAAGTTTATTGAGTAAAATCAATTCAGGTCAAGAAGCATTTACTGAATTCCCATGCATGTTAGACAAAGAGCAGAGATGGAAATATAGACGGAAAAAAAAAGCCAGGTTTCTTATTGTCAAAAAACAGAAAATGTAGTTAAGAAGATAGAAAAGAGATGCAAAGCATATTTTTAAAAGATGAAATTGATCAATCCTACTTTGGCATAATAGGGTATACTTCCTAGAAGAAGTCTCATTTGAAGTGTAACTTTAATGAAAGCATGTTTTCAACAGGTAGAGATGAGGAGAAGGGTATGAAAAATGGAGAAATATGAGCATGAGGATGAAACATAGATAAACAGATGTAAAAGGAGAGGAAGTAGGTTTCTTAGATATTCTCAGCAGGTAATTAAATCATCTCCTGGGAGAAGGGGAACAGCAATGGGTTCTCCTCTTCTATAATAATTGCTACTACTTCTATGTTACAACTTTCTACAAATGTTTTGATATGCTGGGCCAGAATGACAGTGAAGTTTTTGGGAGAGGATCTGAAAATTTGAGGAGAAATTTCCACCAAGCAGAAGGTGAAAATGCAGTAAAAGGGAACTGATAATCCATGTACAATTAATCAGACAATTAACCTACCAGAGACAAAGGGAAAAATTAAATTCTTTAGGTCTCAAATAGTGAGAAACTTTTGGTAAAAATGACTAAAGATTTCTAAAATGTAACTATAAAAAACTTATTACTTAGAATGTAGAGCAGTTAAATTGTTATATGCATGATCAAAAAGACAAAAGACATGCAGAGAAACATTGAGTTAGTTATCTATATCAATTTTACCTTAAGAGATAATTTTACACTTATTTTCACACTGACCAAATATAAGCAAATGCTAATTTGAATTATTAACGTAAATTTTATTTGACATATAAGTAATTGTTGGTATATTTCTCTGTTGATATGAATTCAATGAGACACTAATCTCATGATATGATCTGTAGATAAGAATTTGTAAGGTAAAATAATTTTTGTAAACATTAACCTCAAATAGAGTTGTAGAAAACAACTGTAAACACTGGCATCTTAAGGTTTCTTAGATATTTACAGTAAAAGGAGTATTTCTTTTGATCCACCATTTCCAAGATAAATGCAACTAAGAAATCTCAGTTTTTAGGTAACTAACATTTATTAATATTCAGTGGAACTTCTGGTCCTCTGAACATAATTTGTGAAATACTAGTAAATTGAATTCAGGTGCTTCAATCTAATACTTATGAAAATAAAAGTTGTACGTTTCAGCAACTCTATGTATACAGAAAGTATGTCCACAATTAAAAATAAACTGAAAAATCACCACTCGTCCATAGAAACAAAAATAAACACATTACCTCCCACCACAAAACCTTTTCCTTAGAGGGTAATATATTTCAAACAGTCTTTTAAATGGATTCTTCTTTTCAAAAGGAGGAAGATGGCTTGTCTAGGACATTTCAACTACCCAGTGTTCTTGAAGACAGTAAGAAGAAACATGTTTTGGTAGTAAATTCCACATTATTTTTCTTTTCGTTTGTGATAATAAGACTTGTTTTCCATGAATTTTTGGAGAAAATAAATGTCAAAGGCTTTCTACTGTCTTTTATTTCTAATCATCGTAATAAAGAATAGAGAGAAAAAGAGGAAGAGAAAAGGAGAAAGAAAAAGAGCAGAGGAGGAAATAGCAAGAGAAAAGGGCTAGCAGATTCCAGGTGTATTACCTACGATGAATAAATGGTATATTTATTTAGACCTTTTTACTATTGCATATCAATTACTGAAATTCTCCCATAAGTTTTCTTTTTGACAGTGTTTCTTCCCATTCTTGTTTATTTTCTAACTACCTTCTATCAAATACCTTTTATCAAAGCATGTACACACAACACACTTACATACTTACACACACACACGAAATCTATGAACACCTTCTATCCTCAGTATTCATAGACTTTGTGTGTGTGTGTAAGTATGTAAGTGTGTGTACATGTGTTTTCATATGTGTATTGACCATATTTCTCTCTTCATCTACATTAAATTTTAAGTTTGTATTGCCCTTAACAGCTAAGTTTCTAGAAAGGTTTGCCTAGACACACTGTCTATTGCTTACTTCCCATTCACTTTTTGAGTCTCTGCAATATGTCTCCTATACCAAATAAACTGCTGTTTGTAGAACATTGGTTTTTGGTTGCATGGCTTCCATATTGGGCCTTTTTGTCAATTCATTTAACTTATTCTTCTGAATTGATGTCCTCTTACATGGTGCTTTGAATTAATGCTTATAGATCAAAAACGCTTCTGTTTTACATCTATCCTGAATAGCGAGTCTGACTTCAGCATCCATTTTTCTCAGGATGAAATCTTAGTTGACAAGGCCTCACTAACTCATTAACAATACTGAACTTGCTTTTGTTTACTTCCAGACTCCTGATAATTTCTGGGTATGTAGTACTTCTCTACTCTCTAATTGTGTGCTAATTTCTATCCTTCCTTCATTAGTGAAGTAATGAAAATCCCTCCTTCTAGATATTTCTAACCCCCACCACCCCAAGGCTCCTTTGCTGCATTTTGCCATCATAACACCTATAAGCTCCATTATACCCATCTGTCTCCCTGAAAGAATGTGTCCCTTCTTGTGACAGGAAAGAATTTCCATATACCTTATGCTTACACCAGTTCCTGGCATATAGTAGGCACTCAATATTATTGGTTGAATATATCCACAAATAGCCAAATGTGTTAAAAGATAACGTTGTTTCTGTGTATCTCCATTTCAAAGGCACTGCTGTAATGTGGCCCTTCAGGAGTAGATTCCTTCTGTGAAATCATCCTACTCAGTGAAAATTCTAGTTCTGCCAATGTTTTCAACTACATCCTGGGTCAAAGGAGAAAAGGCAGTAAAAAAAAAAAAAATGCACACACACACACACACACACACACACAAAGAAGAAGAAGAATGAGTGAATGAAAGCTTGAAATGTAAGACAATGAGAAGAGTAATCAGGAAATGACAAGTCATTTACCTCAAAGCAGGGCAGTAAACTCATCTAGCATTCACTAGGGAACATGTGATAGATAGTCTATCATTACTCAAAATGAGAAGGAAAAAAGAGGTATTGATCTGGGAAGGGGAAAAGTGAAGAAGCAACCAAAGTATTTAGTTTCATGAACAAATACTTGGGAAAATCTGTCATTTATTTCATTGTCACAGGCTGTAAAGTAATACGATAGTCATATAAAGCATTAATTGGTAAAAAAAAAAAAAACTTTAAAATCTTAAAACAGTGCCTTGCTTTTTAAAAAAGAAGCTCTTTAAATTTTGCAAATTGTTTATATGTAACTCAACTAAAGCCTAAAGAACAAAACATTTTAAATACTATAATCCTCAACTAATCCTCGAAAATTTTCTAAATTAGATAACAAGGAATTTGTATTTGAAGACAAGAGAAACCACAAAGGGAGAGTCTAGCAGAGAGTGGACAAATATCACTAATGACCAGAAGGGAATGACTGTGCTTTATTCATACCAAGCAGAATGAAAAATCAATTCAACATTTCACCAGAAAGCACAGGAGTTTTTTTCATGCAGCAGAAAAGTAATCAGAAATGTGGGTTCCCAGGAGCATTTGGGCATCACAGGTCTATAGAATGTGCAAACAATTGTAAAATGTGGAAGGGAGACTAGAATTGAGAAAATTATAGAAGCAGGAGAAAATAGTAAAAGGCTTATCACAGAAGGGGTCTTATGCTGATTGCTAAAATTCACCCCAAGTAATTGCAGCATAGCACAATACATTTGAAACTTCAAAACTTATCAAATGATTTTGTTGAGAAAGCACATTGCAACTATTTTCTCTTAAACTAATGATAAGAAGAAGGCAGGAAAAAAATGTAATACAGGTAATAGAACTGAGAGTCATAGACTGTTGAAGTTTGAAGGAAGCTTGAAGATAAATACTAACAAGTAGGCTGAGAGTTGAGACATTTCCTCTAAACACGTTTCTGAACACAATAAATGAAACAAGGCCTGAACTTAGGTAAGTCACCATATTCCTATGCACTTCATTGTTCTTTACAAAGTGAGAGGTTCAAATGAAATGAATTCCAAATTCCCTTTCAGCAAAAACTTTCTTCATTTAGGGGTTGAGCATTTTGCTCACTTGTTTTACCCTGAAACCCACTGATTGATTACATATTTACTGAGTGCCTATTATGTGTGAGGCATTGTGCTTGATTTTAGGGATGCCAAATTGAACAATGAAGTTTAGAGTCCCTGCACTGATGAATCCCATATTCTATTTGCTATCTCCTTACTACCAGTTTCATATTTACCCTCTGTTTCTATTTCATTTTGTTGTTGAAATTGATTACTACAGAATATGGTAATCTGTGTACTATTTTTTTTCTCTTTAACCTGTGTATTAGCCTGTTCTCACACTGCTGTAAAGATACTACCCAAGACTGGGTAATTTATAAAGGAAAGAGACTCACATTTCCTCATGGCTGGGGAGGCCACAGGAAACTTATAATCATGGCGGAAAGTGAAGCAGGCAACTTCACAAGGCGGCAGGATGGAGTGAGTGCTATGCAAAGAGGGAAGAGCCCCTTATAAAACCATCAGATCTTGTGAGAACTCAATATCACAACAGCATAGGGGAAACCACTGCGTTGATTCAATTACCTCCACGTAGTCTCTCCCTTGACACATGGAGATTATGGGGATTACAATTCAAGATGAGATTTGGGTGCAGACACAAAGCCTAACCATATAAATCTGCTATTATTTATAGTTTAACTTCTGCCACTCCCCTCTCCTCTTTAGGATATACTAGCATCTGAACTGATATTGTAGTTTATCTTTACATATTAACTGAGCATATTGGAACTTAACAAATGCAATTTGTTTGCAACAGTAAAATAAGTGATATTATTATATAATATAAATTAAAATTACATTTTTTGAAGTCTGGCAGCACTGGAAAAAAAAACACTGCTTCTACCTCTTAATAATAACACCTAACATTTATTGAGTTCTTACAATATGCAAATTGTTCCAGTTATCTATTACAACCTAATAAACAACCTCAAAACTTATTGACTTAAAACAACATTTCTTTTGTTCCCCAATCTGTGATCTGGGCAGTACCCAGCAGGAGCAGTTTGTCTGTGCTCTATGCAGTGTCATCTGGTGTAGCTCAAAGTCTGGAGGCCAGAATCATCTGAAGGTTTGCTCGCTTATATACCTGGAGGTAAATGCTGACTGTCATCTGGGACAATTGTAATAAAGACCTACTCATGGCATGGGCTTTTTCAAGACCTATAGGTTGTGTTCCAAGGACAAGCATCCCAAATGAGAGATTCAGGAAGAAGCCACAGCAGCTTTTTTCACCTGGCTTCAAAAGTCAGGCAGCATCACTCTTGAGACAATCTATTGCTCAAGGCATTCACAAAGGCTGCCCAATTTGAATTGAAAGGAAATAGAATTCTTCTGTTGATGGAGGAGTGACAAGTTTCTGGAAGAACATATGGCCCAAAAATATTGCCATATCTTCTTTTGGGAAATACAATCTGCCAGTCCTATGCCACATTCCTGTAACATGCAAAATACATTTGTCCACCTCCCTTAACCCCTCACAAAGCCTCCTTTCATGAAGGCATTAGGCAAAAACTCCAGATCCAGGATCTCTTTATTTAGATAACACCCACTTGTGGAAGAGGGACTTTGGTGTATTTCTTCATGTATTGCTTTGATTTGAAGAGCTGTGAACTGAAGGGACAAATGTTCTGCCCAAAACACCCTACCCAAATGTATTAGGCCATTCTTGCATTGCTATAAAGAAATATCTGAGACTGAGTAACTTATAAGACAAGAGGTTTAATTGGCTCACTGTTCTACAAGCTCTACAGGAAGCATGGCGCCAGTATCTGCTCAGCTTCTGCGGAGACCTCAGGGAGCTTCTACTCATGGCAAAAAGCAAAGCAGGAGCTTGCATGCACGTGGTGAAAGCAGAAGCAAGAGAGAGTGAGGAGGGAGATGCCACACACTTTTAAACAACTGGATCTCACAAGAACTCACTTACTACTGTGAGGACAGCACCAAGCCACAAGGGACCTGCTGCCATGACTCATATACCTCCCACCAGGCTTCACCTCCAACACTGGGGATTACAATTCAACATGAAATTTGGCAGGTACATAAATTCAAACAATATCACCAACACACAATGGTGGGACAGGCTTTCATAAAGGGTAATAACAGAAGGCACATTGCAAATATGAAATCAAACTGGCACAAGGTTTTGCCTCCTCTATTAGGACTCAATCGTATTATGGGAAAATAAATTATCATAATCTTTGGTTCCACTCTTTGTATCACCATTTCTTTTCCATAGGACATTGCCTATCTCAGCTGCCTAGCAGTTTTTCAATCAGTATTCACTCAGAGTAGTTTACAGATCAAAAAACTTTTTATAAAAAAATAATAATAATAATTTGTTCCTTCTCAATCCTTTTCAGTACAAGTTGGTGGTATTTCTACCAATATCATTTTCTCAAAATTTTGTGAGTTTCCTATCAATGTTATTGGTTTTCACACCATTAGACAAAATTCATACCCACAAATCCCCTTGAAAAAGCCTTTCTTTCTCGTGGGCTTTCTGAAAGGCTGTTGAGAGACAATGTGCTTACAATTCTTACACCTTCATTGTTTAGCAAAGAAGAATTAAAGGCCCACTTAATATGCTTTAAAAGCTTTTATTCTAAATGAATGATGGAAGAATCATCTTAGAGTTTTCTGAGATCTTATCAAAAGGTCTTATATTACCACCTTGAAGTTTTCTTCTGAATCTCTCTTAATGTAAGCAACATGGAGAGGACAGGAATGATGTTTCTAACACAACACATCCTGTGTTCTTCATATTTTCTCTGCACTTTACTTGAAAAATGAACAATTTCTTTGTTAAGTTTATCTCCCCTCCTCTCACATTTTATCATAAGTATGAGAAAGACAGGTGGAACTTTCCGTAGTCTGCCTGAAAATCTGCTGAACTAGAAAATTCAGTACATTTGGTAAATTATCTATTTTCACATCACTACAAGCAACAGTGCGCCTGAATTTTCAGCCACTATATAACAAATGCGTGCTTTCAGTCAGATTCCTACACTTGATCTTAGCCAAAAGGCTGAGAAGCGATTCAGTCAGATTCCAATAACATTTTCCTCATTTTTCTTTACTTCCTCATTAGTAGATTTCTTGAGGACTATTGGCATAATCTAAGAATTCTTTATGGCCTCTCTGGCCTCTCTGGCCTCTTATTAGCAGTTTTCTTAAGATTTGCCCAATGTTTTCCCATCACTGTGTCCAAAAGCCACTCCCACGTATTATTTTTTATTGTTTGTTGCTCCAGCACCTTGAATTCAGTCATCAAAAGCTGTTCCAGCTGGGTGACATGGCTCACACATGTAAACCCAGCACTTTGGGAGGCTAAGGTGAGAGGATTGCCTGAGCCCAGGGGTTTAAGACCAGCCTGGGCAACATAATGAGCCTTCATCTCTACAAAAAAATTATAAAAAATGGGCATGGTGGCATATGACTGTGGTCGTAGCTACATGGGAGGCTGAAGTGGTAGTATTGCTTGTGCCTGGGAGGTAAAGGCTGCAGTGAGCCATGGTCATGTCACTGCATACCAGTCTGAACGATAGAGTGAGACTCTGCTCAAAAAATAGAAAAAATAAAAAATTTTAAAAAGCTATTCCACTGATCTCTTATTGTCTTATAAATCATCCCAAGACATTTCTGCTTAACAACAAAAGCACTTATCTTACTTACAAGATGCAGTTCAGCAAAAGCTGGGCCAAGTCAAATGTCTGATGCTGGAATCATCATAAGGCCCTTCTCATTCGTCTGGCAGTGATGTTGTGTGCAAGCTGGGCCTTTCAGCTGGGACTGTCTGTTGTACACCTACATTGGCCTCTCCATTTGAACCAGGCTTCCTCACGATAAGGTAGGTTGGTTTCAAGTTTGAGTATCCTAAAGGAAACAGATGGAAGCTTTATCGCCATTTATAATTGAGTTTGAGAAGCCATGCAGCATCACTTCTGCTGCATTTTGTTTGCTGAAAAAGTCACAAAGATCCGCTCAATTTCAAGTAATGGGAAAGTGGACTCTTCCTCTAGATTGTGGAGTGTCAAAGTTCTGCATGAGTCTATAGGACCAAAAATATTGCTATGTCCAGTTCTGGAAAATTCAATCTGCCATACTCAAATTTTACACATTTGTACAATTTAATCCTCATAAATTTCGAAGAGTCTTTACTATCACCATATTACAAATGAGAAAACTGAAACACAGAGAAGTCAAATAACTTGTACAAGTAAATACATCTTGCAAGTGTCAACACCAGGATACAAACCTAGTCCATCTGGACCCTGTACACTTAGTCACTACTCATCATACCTCTCTAGGCACTCATTAGCATTGCCACTTTGGACAAATTAATGAATCTGGCTACATCTCTGTACCTACGTCTGTAAATTGTGAATAATAACATTTAGCCCTTAGTTTGGCTTATAAATGCTCAACAAATTATAGATATCACTGCTACTATTGTCAAAAGCATCTTGAGGTTTGTTTTTAAATATCTGAGGGATCTGTTTTAAAAATCCATCTCTGAAATATAGCATAACTGGTATAAACAATATTTATAAATTACAAATATTATTTTAAAGGATTGACTAATGATTGCAAGAGAAAATAAGAGGGAATATTGCCATATTTTGAAGAATATGAAGAAATCTGAAATCTAGATCTTATTATAATTTGAGGTAGATTGTTTTTGATTCACCTCTAGTCTGAAAAGAATGCTAATAACACTGAAACAGTAATTTTATGGGTGACTCTGGATATGTACATTTAGATTATTTTTTTTTTTTTTGGAGACAGAGTCTTGCTCTGTTGCCCACACTGGAGTGCAATGGCATGGTCTTGGCTCACTGAAATCTCCACCTACTGAGTTCAAGCAATTCTCCTGCCTCAGCCTCCCAAGTAGCTGGGATTACAGGTGCACAACACCACACCCAGCTAATTTTTTTGTATTTTTAGTAGAGACGCGGTTTCACCATGTTGGCCAAGGTGGTCTCGATCTCCTGACCTTGTAATCTGCCCTCCTTGGCCTCCCAAAGTGCTGGGATTACAGGCGTGAGCCACTGCACCTGGCCTACATTTTATTTTTAATTGTTATCCTTTAACAGTAAACTTTGAGCAAAAGTATTATCACCAGACTTTAGTAAAATTGTTGAGAAGAACCTTTCAATTACAGCAGCCCCCTTCTATCCATAGTTTGGCTTTCCCAGGTTTCATTTACCTGCGGTCTACTGTTGTCCAAAAATGTTGCAGTATTTTGAGAGAGAAAGAGAGAAGTAGGGAGACTACACTCATGTAACTTTTATTACAGTATATTGTTATGATTGTTCTATTTTACTATTATTTATGATTGCTAATCTCTTATGTACTTAACTTATACATTAAACTTTATAAAAAGTATGTATTTACAGGAAAAGATACAGTATATATAGAGATTGATACTATCTACTCTGGTTTTAGGCATTCACTGGGGGCCTTGGAATGTATCCCCTGCAGATAAGGGAGGATTATTGTATGAGATATGAAATGTATGATAATGAAAAATTACACCTCTCACTAAAATCCATAATGTTGATAGGGGATCTATAATCAAATTGCATGGCCTTACATAGTATTTTCCTCTAAACATCCAAACAATACTCCAAGAATATTATTTGAGCTCATGAATTTTGAGTACTTTCATGGTTTTATATAAAGTACTCAAATATATATATATATTATATATATATATATATCTGTGTGCATGTGTGTGTGTGTGTGTGTGTATGTGTGTGTGTGTTGCGTATGTATTTCTCTTTCTAGATCTATTCTTGATGTTTGTCAACCTTACTTTGCACCCAGGGAAACTGATTCCAATGGACTGCATCAAGACTCTTTCCTACTGCTTTTGATTGTCCTAAAATATGTCAAAAGCACCAGGGAGAAATAGGAGGGAAATTGAGGGAAGTCATGTATTTATTGCCCCTGCTGCCTCACAAAGCCAGGTCTCTGTAGATTTGCTGCATGTGTTTAACATCACTTAGCAACATCCAAGGACCCTCTCCATATAGCTGTCTTCTTAGGATTTTAGTAATTGCTACCTCTCCCTGTTTTTTCTGTCCTATCAAGGGCAGAACATTACTAGTAATAGGAGCCTTTAATATGCAGGTTTCCCTCAGTATCCTCAGGGGATTTGTTTTAGGACCCCCACAAATACTAAAATCCAGAAATGCTCAAGTTCCCCAGTGGCCTTCCATCTCTGTGGATTCTTCATCTGCAGATTTTGATTGTACTTGAATCCACAGATGCAAAACCTGAGGATGTAGAGGACTGACTGTACTCTGTTAGACATGAAGATAACTAAGGGATACAGTTTCCAATCTAATGTGGAAAACCAGCAGATAAATAATTAGCAATAATATAAGCCCCACAGAATTAATTCCTTCTGAGAGGAACACATGAAGGATTCAGAATAGAAGTGGCTTTTAATTGAGTCTTAAACATAGGTAGGATTTTAACAGCACTTAAAATAATTAGCTATATTTCCTAAATTCTAATAAAAAAATCACATGGCAAAATGTAAAATTATATGTAGCTGATAATATAATATTATCAAATTTTAAAGAAAGGCATTTTAGGTAGGAGTACTAAAGTGAAAAAGAAATTAGCATATTCTAAAAAAGTGACTGTGACACAAGCGTAAAATGGATTGTGGAATTTTATGGAACATAAAGCTGGAATGGTAAAAATAAAGGGGGACAGCTTCATGGCATCATGTCATTCTTCACATCATTATTTTTTGTCACCTTCTCGTGCAGACTTTTCTGACCATTTAATCTAAATTCTATTCTCCCATCCATGGTCCTCTCTATATCTATTTTCTATTTCAGTATCTTTACGTAGCATTCATTGTGATCTAACCTACAATATATTTACTTAATTATTTTGCTGATTGTCTATTTCCCTATCCAATTTGTTTGGAAACAGAACCTGTAAGAAAATACTTTTTGTTGACTTGTATATTTTATCTCCAAATGCCTGAAAAATAAAATAGTTTTAGAGAACAAATAGACCCTCAATAAATATTTCTTACATAAATTAATTGAGATATTGTATTTGTTATTACATTAAATATATGTATACAAAATTAGCTTTCAGGTTGTAATAAAAAATTTAAGTATTTCTAACTGAGATCCTCTCAAATGAGTGTATGAATTATCTTCTTTAATGATTTCCCTCACTTTTCTATATTTTTAATATGTATTGTTGACATTTTTGAACTTGTTTCATTGGTACATATACAATGTTGTAACATTTAGAGTCTCAGACACTAACACAGATTAGTTCAAACTCTTTCCTTCCATTTAATGGTCTTAGATATTCTCCATCACTATCAATCCCTCATTTGTTTTGATTTTAAATTTATTATTTAGTTTCTTTGAAAATTTTAAGATAGCCCTCTCATGAAAATGTACATTCTAGAAAACATTATTCTCACAAGGTTCTTCTGTCTTTTAAATTGACCATCATAAACAAGAGGTAGGATTAGTTTTAGATGGGATAAGTGATCCTAGAATAAGTATTCACAATCTTAGCCTGAATTTTTATTTTTTCACCACTTTGATCATAATTCTCCAATGTAATCTATTATCTGTGGTTGCAATAAGAAGCATATTGTCAATAAAGCCTATTGTGAATCAAGCGATTTAAATGTGAAGCCTTCTCTGGCTCTGCTGTTTGAAGACTCTGACCATCTTCTCTATTACACCCTGGCACCCTTTTTTGCCCTTCGCTGCTTCATGGATTCTCCATGTCATTCATCAGTTTTATTATATTTTAACTGTGCATGTAATTCTAGGTCAGCTTTTCATTTTTCTCAGTTGTTTAAAGCCTTTTTTTTTTTTAATCATCTGTGGATACTCATGAGACATGCAGCCTGTCAGATCATTGTTTCCTTGTGGGTTACCTATCTTTTCTCTTTGGTAGCTTTTAAAGCTTTTATATTATTGTCCTTGATGTGTCGAGTACTTTTTATTTGTTTTCTAAAAAATATTTATTTTACTTTATTATTATTATTATTATTATTATTATTATTATTATTATTATTTGAGACGAAGTTTCACTCTTGTTGCCCAGGCTGGAGTGCAATCGTGCAATCTCGGTTCACTGCAACCTCCGCCTCCTGGGTTCAAGTGACTCTCCTGCTTCAGCCTCCTGAGTAGCTGGGATTACAGGCATGTGTCACCACACCCGACTAATTTTGTAGTTTTAGCAGAGACGAGGTTTCTCCATGTTGGTTAGGCTGGTCTCAAACTGCCGACCTCAGGTGATCCGCCTTCCTTGGCCTCCCAAATTGCTGAGATTACAGGCGTGAACCACTGCGTCCGTCCAAAAAATTGTTTTATTGTTCTTTCTTGCTCCTTGGAATTAATGTTAAATCTGATAATTTATGTCTACCTTTAGTTTTGGAAAAGTGTCACCTATTACATTTATGTATGTTTCCCTCAGTATCCCAGCTATTTTCCCCCTTTAAAATATCTCATTGGCCTATGTTGTTTTTTCAAATTATTCTTCAAGTTTCTTAGTTTTTAAAAATATTTTTGTTAATCTTTTTAATCTGTTTATATTGTAATATGGGTGAATTCCTCAACACAATATTCTAAATTATTTATTATTTGACTACATTAAACCTAGAATTTTTAATTTCAGTGGCTATATTTTTTATTTCTAAGCTCTCTCAAGTATAATTCAGTTGTACTTTTTTAAGGTATATATACTCATGTTTAGCAATGTATTTGACCATGTCCATCCTAGAGTTTAAATTTCAATAACTATTTTTTATCTCCAAGATTTCTATTTTTTTATGTTTGTCTTTTGTATGTAATGTCTACCAGGGTTTTTTTGCTAATTTATTTTATTATGAATATCATTTCCTCATTTATGTCTCTGGAGCTTACACATATTATTTTTAAGTGTTTTAGATGCTTTCATTATTTTTCTTTCATTTAAAGGAGTTAATTTTCAATCAATGCTTTTTTAGCATTGATTAGTTTTATGTTCATTTTTTCATATTTGAAAATTTGCTCGGCAAGATCATTTTAAGGACAATATTTTTATCTTTAATTTTTCCTCTTTTACTTTTTGGTCTCTCTTTTCTATTTATTGGCTTCATGCTTTTTTTCTAAAGTCTGTAATCCAGAATCAAGTTATGGGCCAGGTGTGGTGGCTCACGCCTGTAATCCCAGTACTTTGGGAGGCTGAAGCAGGTGGATCACTAGGTCAGGAGATCAAGACCATCCTGGCCAACATGGTGAAGCCCCATCTCTACTAAAAATACAAAAATTAGCTAGGCATGGTGGTGCATCCCCGTAATTTCAGCTACTTGGGAGGCTGAGGCAGGAGAATCACTTGAACCCAGGAGTCGGTGGTTGCAGTGAGCCGAGATGGTGCCACGGCACTCCGGCCTGGCCACAGAGCAAGACTCCGTCTCAAAAAAAAAAAAAAAAGCTAAACAGAATCAAGTTATGTATTGGTTGCTGGGGGAGCCTGACCCCCAAACACTGGGGACATTTCAGATATGTCCATCATCCATATGCCTAATGGAAACTTGACTCAAACTGTCCTCAGGAGGTACTGTGTGCTCCTTTCCTCTCCGTAGGCATACAGCTGCCAATAAACTATAGCCCAGGCAAATATGAACAGCAACCTATTTCAAAACTTTTTATCACAAATGGGCAGTCTCACCTCGACAGAAAGCTTGATGCCAGTTCATCATTTTATTTGGAAAGCAAAAAGCATACTTTCCAGTCTGTCTCTGCCTTTTATAAAACTAAGAACCAGTAGACTGTTCATGTCCACTATGCTCACTATGCTGCTTATATTTCATATTTGGTTCATAGAAATATTTAATGTAGTAAGCATAATGTTTTATTTTAATATTCTCTCTTTGTATTCTTAGTGATATGCATCTAACCAAAGGCAAGACAGTGTGGTCTTCAAACCATTTAATCAGAATGTCATCCGGATCACAACTCATCCCTTATTTCAATATTTCATTTATAAAATCAATATTATAATAAAAGTGTGTCAATAAGATAATTATTTCTTATTTATATTATAATGGAGGCAAAGCCCAAGCCAATAGAAGTATCGACCATGAAATAAAATGGCTACGCCTAAGGAATTCTTAGAAAGAATTCCTTAATTAGCTAACTCTTTTAAGAACAAAGAGAGTGATGGTCTTGGAGTATCAGTAGGAATTTTCCAGGTGAATAATCAACAGTAACAGATTCAAGGAAAAGAGCATTATGTATAGAGAAATAAAGCTGTTAGAAGCTACAGTCATACTAGCCTAAGAGTCACATCGGCTCTAGAGGCCAGTAACTTCATGAAAATAAAACGTCCTCTTCAAAAGGTCTGGCAGATTCGTCATATTGAAGACTGCATTTGTTTATGTAAACATCCATGAATCAGCTACTGAGACTGGTGATTACTCTATACTCTGGGTCTAAAGTCCACATCTATAATATGGAGACATGGACTAATGCCCACGCAAAGCATGCAAATGAAAAATGAGATAACTTTACTGGAAAGAAGAACAGATGGAGATGTAGCCAACACTACAAATATTTATTAAGAGGAGAGGGAGGGTTGTTAAATGTGGCCATAAATACATGTTGATTAAACAAAAAATAAACACCATTCATTGTCAAAATAAGACTACAAATGAAGTTCTATGTACATACACATATTTGTAATATATACACATTTTTGCACCTGCCTATCTATTGAGCCATGTTTTTAAACACTTTGTACATAGCTGTCTCAAGTGGTTTAATATAAGTTGTGTATTTATCTATTTGTAAATCCTTAATTTCTATATTGAACTTCTTGAGGAAATCTTAGCTTTATTCAGCCTTCTATGTGCACATAACGTATATACTTCAATAAATATCAGATAAATCACTAGTTAATAGTATTAACATACACACGTCTCTAAATTATGTATAGCATATATATAAATAATATATATATACACGCACAGAGAGAAGCCCATATGCTAACCTGTTTCCAGATTTTGCTGAAATAGAACTTCCCATAATGAGTACTACATATTAGCTCTTTCAATTAATAATGCTTTAAAGGCATTAATTTCAGGAACAAAGGCACCAATTATGAGGATATTCAATGACCTAATTAAGAATGCATTTTTGGAACAATAATATTAAGTTGGAAGGTTTAATCATTAAATTTAAGGACATAATTTTATTTTATGATGTATTATTTTAATCTGTAACCTTACTTCTATATTTTGTAAATGTTTTCCAATACATTAATCCAACATTATGAGCTCTTTCTCAATCCTGTTGACCAAAAACCTCTGAAATTTCTACTTCAATTATTTTCTTGTTAATTTACCCTCTTCAGAGATTGCTCTCTACTCTTTTCACATTAACAAGTGATGGCTCTCCTTTGTTATATACTTTATATGGGGACTGCTTGTCTTCCACTTCCCTTAGGGGAAAATGAAGTAATGCCGTGTTCTTCTGTCACCATGGTCTCTCAAAAAACGCTTTTTGTGTTTTAGCCTCATGAGTAAAACTTTGTGATTTTGTTGTTAATTCCAACTAATGAAATTACCGTTGTCTTATTGCCCTTTTTATTGTTACAATTTATCTCTGGTCAGACACTTATGTCCTTTATGAGTTGGATTATATTTACCTCCACCTCAATTATTGACATCATCCTTCTCGACGCTTCCTTTGTTCTTAACACTATCCATGGTAGCATTGAAGAAGGGTCTCCAATACTCAATGTCTGCCTAGCTCAACACTGCCTAAGGCAAGATAGAAGGGGGCCTCACAGAGCTCCTCATCCTTACTTAGAAGCACTCTTCCCATGGACTCAACAATATTCACAATGGACTATATAAAGGGTATAAGAATCTTTGCTTTAGCTGGACAGATTAATTATTCCACAATGCGAATACTTAAAACCAATGTATTTGGTGAGGGGAAACCTATATTATTACTTGTCTTTTTTTTTCAGACGGAATCTGGCTCTGTCTCTCAGCATGGAGTGCAGTGGCGCCACCTGGGCTCACTGCAACCTCCGCCTCCTGGTTTCAAACCATTCCGGTGCCTCAGCCTCCCCAGTAGCTAGGATTACAGGCACATGCCACCAAACCTGGCTAAATTTTGTATTTTTAGTAGAGATGGGGTTTCACCATGTTGGTCAGTTTGGTCTCGAACTCCTGACCTCAAGTGATCTGCCCCTCTTGGCCTCCCAAAGTGCTGGGATTACAGGCATGAGCCACTGTATCTGGCATATTATTGCTTGTTATTGGGTAGACCACTTATCCTTGATGATGGTGATGTACAGATGGGTTTTTGGTGTGGATGTCCTTTCTGTTTGTTAGTTTTCCTTCTAACAGAGAGGACCCTCAGCTGCAGGTCTGTTGGAATACCCTGCCCTGTGAGGTGTCAGTGTGCCCCTGCTGGGGGGTGCCTCCCAGTTAGGCTGCTCGGGGGTCAGGGGTCAGGGACCCACTTGAGGAGGCAGTCTGCCCGTTCTCAGATCTCCAGCTGCGTGCTGGGAGAACCACTGCTCTCTTCAAAGCTGTCAGACAGGGACATTTAAGTCTGCAGAGGTTACTGCTGTCTTTTTGTTTGTCTGTGCCCTGCCCCCAGAGGTGGAGCCTACAGAGGCACGCAGGCCTCCTTGAGCTGTGGTGGGCTCCACCCAGTTCGAGCTTCCCGGCTGCTTTGTTTACCTAAGCAAGCCTGGGCAATGGCGGGCGCCCCTCCCCCAGCCTCGCTGCCGCCTTGCAGTTTGATCTCAGACTGCTGTGCTAGCAATCAGCGAGACTCCGTGGGCGTAGGACCCTTGGAGCCAGGTGCGGGATATAATCTCGTGATGCACCGTTTTTTAAGCCCGTCGGAAAAGCGCAGTATTCGGGTGGGAGTGACCCGATTTTCCAGGTGCCGTCCCGTCACCCCTTTCTTTGACTCAGAAAGGGAACTCCCTGACCCCTTGCGCTTCCCAAGTGAGGCAATGCCTCGCCCTGCTTCAGCTCGCGCACAGTGCACGCACCCACTGACCTGCGTGCGCCCACTGTCTGGCACTCCCTAGTGAGATGAACCCGGTACCTCAGATGGAAATGCAGAAATCACCCGTCTTCTGCGTCGCTCACGCTGGGAGCTGTAGACCGGAGCTGTTCCTATTCGGCCATCTTGGCTCCTCCCCACTTATCCTTACTATCTCATCTGGCCCATACACATATGATTCCTGCCTCACTGTTATAAGATCAGGCTATCATTGGCATTATCTTTTTTCCCTGTGAGGCCAATAATACTAATTTCATTATGTTCTAGTTTTTGGTATCTAAGGCAACATGAAGAATATAAGGACTCCATGTCATCCCTTTGTCACCAAGATTGTTACCCCTATATGGTTCGGTACATAGCATTCATGATCCATTGTGTCTCTAGAAGTTACTCGGTAACAAAATTTCCTGTATTCTGAATTTATTTTCTGAGTGCTCTTGAGATAGGAATTCTTGTGCAGTCCTATCACATAATTTTTCTCCCTGAAACCTGGTGGCACAGGATATGAGGGTAAGATAGGTTTTCTACTTATACATTATACAACTTCAAGACTATTGTTCTTCTATCCTAGTTAAAATATTAAAACAAAAACAGTAACAAAAATAACTGAGCTTTTTTGAATACCTAATAGCCTATAAATCACTAGCTTCTATATTACCATAATCTACCATTCCTCTAATCACTCATTCTTACTCATTTTATTATATGGTTTATTTATTCTCTTTTTTTTATATCTCTCCTACTACTCTTGCCATCCTTTTATGTTTATCTCAGGTCCATATAGAGGATTCATCCAACAATCTAACTTGTTATTTTCAATGCCTGTATCCTCCTTATCTCAATTACTTTCTACCATGCACACAGCCCAGAGCTTGGATTAACAACAGCTGTACCTTTTTCAACATAAAAATGTAAATAATTTCACCTTTTCTTTAATCTTTCCTCTTTCTTGTAAAATCTCTATAGCACATCTACCCCAACAATTATTCAATTGCATTGTGGCCTCTGAACAGTTGATCTTAATTTCTTTATTCTCAAGTGTCTTGGCTCTGTTCAGGGATTTCTTCTTTTTCTACATTTGCTCATTTGCTAAGTGATCTCAGCCAGTCTCCACATATGATGATAACTAATAAATTTGCATCTACAGCCCTGACATCCCCTCTGAGCTCAAGACCCAAATATTCTGATATCTTCACTTAGATGTCTAATATGCATCTCAAGCTTAGCATGACCAAAACAAAACCCCGTACTACCCCTGCCATAAAAATGTGATTTTGCTTTCAATGTTTTTCATCTTAACAAATGATACTACTACTCACAACGGGTCAAACAAGAAATCCTTGAGTCACCTTTGACTCCTCTTTCACACACTCCACATATATTATCCATGAGCATATGATGTATAATTTATTATTTAAAACAGAGGTACCCAACTCCCAGGCCGTGAACCAGTACTCGTCTGTGGCCTGTTAGGAACCAGGCAGCACAGCTGGAGGTGAGGAGAGGGCAAGCGATCATTACTACTTGAGCTCTGCCTCCTGTCACATTAGTAGTGGCATTAGATTCTCAAAGGAGCATAACCCCTAATGTAAACCACACGTGTAAGAGATCTCAATTGCATGCTTCTTATAAGAATCTAATTAATGCCTGATGATCTAGGTGGAACAGTTTTAGCCCCAAATCATCCCTCCCCACACTGGTGCCAAAAAGTTTGAGGGATCACTGATTTAAAACATTTTAAAATAGACAATACTATACAAATCTTATCCCATCTCACTTATTCTATTGCAATTACTCAGGCCAGCATCTGCTTCTAATACATTGGCTTTTATTATACCTTACTAATCAGTTTTCCTATAGCCTTCTTTCTTTCCTCTACCCCATTCATTTATATGACAAATTATATTCTCCTCTTTTCTCAACACTTCAATGGTTTTTTCTTAATATTTACAATAAAACTCTTACTATGTCCTAGAAAATTTAATATAATAGCTGTGTTTTCTGTACTGAAATTGTGAGTAGGTCCAATGATGAAAGATAAAATGAAATGGAAAACTAACTCTTTTAAAAAAATATGATGTAGCGAGAAATGGAGATTCTAGAATATGAAATTTAGGGCTAGACAACTTGTGCTGTTGTGCCCGATCCCCTTGTTCTTCCTTCTACTTGCTTACTCTAAGTGTGTGTAAAAAGCAATAAAGCCAATGTTATGGGTCCTTCTGACCTGGTGGATTCTTCCACAGACTTGGATCACTGAAGACATAGAATTTTGGACATATGCCAGTGAAGAATGCATATGGTACCAAGGAGCTGTGTCCAATTGCACTGTCATGTATCTTTGAGATCACATACCTCCTTTTTATTACTGTGGTTAGTGTGGGAGTCAGACAAAATTATTAATATCATGGGCTGAGTCCAAGTTATTGTTATTCTTATCAACCCATAATGCTGGATCAGCTTTCCATGTTTTCATCTGTTTTTGGTCTGTTCTTTTAAGACACCAAACATGCCTATCCCTGGGCTTTGTACTTGCTACAGCCATGATCATGAACGTTCTTGCTCCAAATAGTCATATGTTTTATTATTTTTAACTTCATTAAGTTCTCTTCCCAATTGCTTACTTTGCAGATATGCTTTCCCTGGATATTGAGGAAATTCTCATGGCTGCTGTACTGTCCTTGCCCTGATAGATTTACTAACTAAAATTACATTAACATTTTACTTGTTTTGTGGCTGAGTTTATCACTAAGGCCCGTGCTTAAAAATGTTGTGTCAATTTTTTCTCAGTATTGCCTCCTAGTTCTCAAAATTGTTTCTATTACATTTTAACAAAAAAATGTGTTGAATAAGTCTGAAGTTATCTAAATATAAACTCAACATAACTCAGTCTTTTAGTCCCTTGCACTTCGAGGCTCCAATGATTTTTATGTCTGCTCTAATTTGTTAATACCTCAGATTAGTGTTTTCTTTGCAAACATCTATAGACTTGAATTCTGACCACAACTACTTATCTCCCTATTTGTCTCATGCTTTCATTCCCAATAATCCTGATCTGCTACTTTATCTAGTCCTTAAATCTCTTAATACCCACTTTCATCTTTTTCTTGGCTAATACACCACCTCAATTCACCACCAACCCATGCTCAGATATTTATAAATTTCTGGGCCTTCCCACCATCATTTTTCACTTGAATTTCTCATATTTTTTTCTCTCAACTCCTTCAATATGTCAAGTTCCACATGTACCCTTTCTAAAATTCCCATTGAGTACATTTCTCCTTTTCAGCAAAGCAGTCTCCAAGTGAAATAAAAGAACCATCTGAGCAGTGGAGTTTCAATAAATGTACATTAAATTCCAATCTCAATGGAGGTATCAATATGGCTCAGAGAACTATTTCTGTCTTGCTCATCTCCTTTTATTACCATTAGCAGATATAGTGAAGTATAGAGAGCAATATCAAGCTATACATCTATCTCAAACACCCCCACTCTTGGCATATTATTTCACTTATTCCTTTACAGATGGGAAATAACAGATGAGGGTCTGTAATTCCTGTGTGTTACAACCAAATCACCTAATCATCTCTATACATAGCTCTTCTGTTTTCTTTCAATTTTAGAGACAGTAATGTTCCCTGTTTCTCTCTTCATTTTACTTTGCTTTTCTTTTTAAGCCAAAACTCCTCAAATTTGATGTCATATTTTCCTTCCTCTATAATACTATGATTACCAATTTTCCTCTCTCTTTTAAATATTTGGCTTTCCCTCCCAGCCTATTGGGTCTTTCCTACTTGCTTATTTTTCCACAAAACTCAAAGTCTAATACCATATTTTGATAAAACTTTTCTGATCTTACCTGGGTAGTTTATTCCTAACTCTGTATCACCATGTGGAAATTATATAGTCTTAGACCAAAAAGCTGGCTCTATCAGCAGCCATGTAAACAAGTAGCACAATTAAAATCTCTTCTGATCTTTGATTTGCATAATAGTTCTGCTGTGAAAAACAGATTATAATTAGAAGAATTTTTCCCCTGTATATAACTTCCCTTAACACATTGTGAAGCATCTCAAGGAAGAGCTTTGCTTTGTCCATGTGCCATTTTCCAGCCGTGTTGTTGGAGTAATTTCTTAAAACTATATATAGCATAAGAAAGAATAAATGAATAAATTTGTAAAATCTCTGGGAAGGCCAAAATTGTTTCTATCCACCCAAATCCCCTATGCATCCTTTATGTTTAGGGTAATGCTTATAAAAATGAGTCCTTGTAACAGAATATCCTTGACAAGCTTTTAACTTACAAAATATAGTGATGGAGACTTTCTCCCAAGATAACAAACTAAAAAAAATTATCATTCCTGCTAAAACTGTTCTAGTGTTTAGTAAATTAAATATATAATCTGTAATTTAGGAGCCATGAAGGGCTCCTTACACTTACCTCTGTCCTGGGCACCAGTCTCAATGCATTACCTCTTTCCCACACTGTAATTAATGAGAATTAGTTTTCTACTTTATATGCTTGCAAAAAGCAAACACAAAAGTAAGTGTCCGAAGACATATAAATTAAAATAAAGATATGGTAACTTTTAACTCAAATATATATTATACGGTAGAACTAGTAACACAGATGCCAATCTGATGCTTCAGGGCTTTGGAAATGCCTTCTCTTCCATTGCTGTCTTACTGTCATCCTTGGTTCAGCAGACGGACTTTAGGCAATGCCGAGAAAGGAACCCACAAGTTAGCATTCTGCTTGAGAGGTGACATATGTTTCCTCACCCACAACAATTCTACCAGATGTATTTTTCTGCTGAATTATTGCTCACTCTCAGAATAGTCACTATCCATCCCTTTGTTCCCATACTCTCCATTCTCACCCTGACCCTATTCTGGGTCTTAGTAGCATTTCTCTTCCATTATTTAGTAAACAAATAATGGGAACAAAAAGAGTGATTGGTTTGGCTGTCAAAAGTGAAAAAGTCATGGAAATGTTGCTGTCAGTACAATCAAGATGAATAACATATGACAATTAAAATCAAGGCTTTTTCATATGTTAGGTGGAATTGTCAACCAGAAATAACACGTATAAATCAAGGCCAAATAATGTGAAATGTTTGAATCATGTAAAAGTAAGTTTAGTTACACATAGGACAGTAATTGTGACTTCAGTAACATAAAAATTTAATTTTCTCACAAATAAAAGACCCTGAAGGAAGACAATTGAGGGCTGGTCTGATGGCTTCATAGCATCAGTGTCCTAAGCCCCCTCTGTTGTATCATTCTCACATCCATCTTCACCTGAGATCAGCACATGGTCCAAAATACTGCTAGAGCTCCAGCCATCATATCTGACTCCTAGCAGGAGGAATGAAGATGGGTCAAATATTTTGCCCACTTTGAAATTAGACGGACAGGTCCCAAAGTAACAGAAGTTTTACATTTCGTGATTTTATAATTATTGCATCAAATGTAATCAAAGATATCTTCTTTAATATGTAATACTTTAAAGATTATTGTTCCCAATGATGAATCATTAAAAATGATCTGGGTATATAACAGTAGTCATGTTTTAGATTTATATTTTCTTTGATACAAATGTAGTTTGCTTTTAATACATGATCTAGCAATGCTATTTCTCTAAGCATCCTAGCATCTATGCGTATATTAATAGTAAAAATTTAAAGAACTAGTGAGCTACAGCTATATAATTTCATGTTGAATTTAATGATCCATAAAACCACCTAAGGTTTCATCCTTTTCATATTTAGGCAAATTCAAATGTGTGGTTATTCTGAATTAATGAAATGTAATTAAAATGTTCTGAGAAATGCCAAAGACACATTAGCTTATATTTTAAATGACTTGTCATATATTTAGTAACTGTTTCTAAAGGACTACGGAAACCAACATTAATTCAGGCTCTGGAATTCAAACTTTAAGTTCCACTAAAAATAAGCAAATTAAAGATAGGTAAACAAGATTTTCAATTAAAATAGGAAACATATTCTGCTTAACTTGAAGCTATCACTCAATACATTCTTAGCATTTTGGATCTTACAAGGACTTATAACTTACTAGACTTCTTTAGACTTTTATACAAGGTTAAAGTTTTGAAACAAACATTACATTTTGTTATAAAGTTATTTGGAAGGCAATTTCAGGTGTTTCTCTCAAATAAACCCCAGTGCAAACATTCTACTATGCCTCTTGAGAATCTTTGTTTTGGAAACATTCATAAACTGCACCGATGTTGCAAGATGTTACAATGGGCATATCTATTAGGAAGAGATACACTTGGATTTTCTTTGAGTTTTATAAGATAAATTAATTAATTAGTGATTCAAATTTTAAATATAATATTATTTGTTATGTTTTTAATGTTTATCAAATGGATTGGAAAACAATGACAGTCAACGAAGTAAACATTGATAGTCAACAAAGTTAAAGATTTTTCGAATATTTTGTTGTTGAAAGAATCCAGTGAAAAAATTATAATGAGGTATTCAAAAACCCTACTAAAGGGCTCTGAAGTATAACAAATGTTTTTGCTTAAGTTCAAAACAGTATCATTTAAATGGTCTATAATTAATCTAATCCATGACATTAATTGTCAAATGTACTTCACAATGGAAGAGCTGCGACAGCTTAATTATTATATTTTAGGTAGTACTATCTTCTTCACATATTAACTTCAGTGGATTTAATAAGAAAAAAGATACTGCAAAGCATAAATGATCAAGTCATCCTCACATTCCTTTGCTTGATTACTCTCTCTCAAAAATCAGTGAATCCAGAAAATATGGCTCATGAGAGCTTTAAAGGCAAAATGTATCTAGAATCCACCCTTTCAAATTTGTGCATGTGCCTAGCCTTGTGTTTTCTGGTGCTTTCTATCAGGCTCCCAGTTGTTCCTTGCACTAGTTCTCCAGATTGTTCCCACTGGCTCTCTACTTGGGCTCCAGACATTTTCTTAATCCACCTCTGGCCTTTTCTCCAACTCCTCTATAAAATCACTAGTGATCTTAGAAATAATGGAGCTAGCTTAATAAACTAATATAAAGTGTTAATGATTTATATAGGTTTTAATTTTTTATGTTTTTTTTTCTGTGAAATTTATCATTTAATGGAAGGCACCAGACAAGGAAAATAGAGAAAAAAAGAAGACATTGGGGCAAATGACTATTTCAGTTACACTAACTTAAACCACAGAAGTATTCGCCTACCTCATTTGAGCCTAAAGCTGATCTAGCCAAATATTTTAAAGTCACTTTTTCAAAGTTAATTGGATCATACCTTAACATAGAGAACTTTTTTTACATTGAAGTTCTGTAATTTCCTTTTGTAGGTAATGATAGATAAATTTTCCACCTTACCTAGTTTTACAGAAAATAAAATGATTAAGATTATTCTGAGGACTTGGAATGAATGTTCATAACTGGGCAAACACAATATATACAATATGTAATTTTTAAACAACACGGTATGTGGAAAGGATAGGTAAAGCTGCTTCTCTAGCAAAGCAGCTCTCTCAAGATTGTATATATTGCCTCCCTATTCAAAATGATCCCACATAACTGTTCAATCCTAGTGGATATGTGGGATAAGATGTCTCCGTCTAGACAAGAGCTGTAAGTGCCGTGCCTAATTCAGCTTTTTCTAAGAGGTAATAAATTCATGCTTTTCCTCCTAAGTAAAAATGAATACCCACTCTCGTTCACTACCTTGTTTAAAAACATCCCTGAAAGTGTATACTTCTATGTATAATGATGTAGGAAGCAGCAAAAGCAAGATATCTTATGCCTTGTATATAAAAGTGATAACGGTAGTAAGAGCAAAATAAAACAGGAAGAGACACATTTTATTCAGAATACCTTCACATCTCACTTATAAATAGCCAGTCCTAGTCTCAGTTTGGGCACTGATTGTTGGCTTAGAAAACCTCCGGATGACCATGGCACTTTAATAGACATGGAAGTGGCCTTCTGAGCGTACCCGCTGTGTTCCGGTCAGAAGATGTCAATATATAACTAGCTCAGTGTTTGACAAAAAGGCTTAACCTCACCACCTGTCATTGCAGTTAGTTAATTGCTGCAACTTCTAGCACTGTAACCATCAATGATATTTTCTCTTTAGAAAATAAAGAAAATGGCTAATGAAAGATATTTTTATGAATGGTTATGAGACAAAAAATATAGTTCAAATTGAGAACACCATCATTTTCAGAAGTTGCACTTTACAAGGCAGCCTGTGGAAGTGATTTTCTCAGGCTCCCTTCTGGCCAATTCATGGAAAAGCAGTAATCAATCACAATTGTTTTATAGAATTGAGTTGCTGGTACCATGTCACAACAAACTGATTAAACCCTCCCAGAAGAAATCACCAACTTCATTGGGACTAATGGTATCTAAGATCTTAAGTTAGGAAGCTGTTTTCATTTACCCTTCAAGGAAAAATCTTGCTTCTGAAAACTCAGCAAATCTGATTTAATTTTTTTTCAGAATAGACCTTATCCAAGTAGCACACTACACCATTTTTCACATTTCAGGATATCAAAGGATATTGTGTTTTTGGTATAATAGTGACAATTAATCTTCCTTTCAAAATGTTTTACTAATTAACCCATCTTGATACAGTGTGTCAAGTTATTGTCTGCTTTTTCTAACACATGTTTACTTATCTTTCTTAATATATGTATTAATAATATAACTGTTAGCCAGCTCTTTGTTCTTTATTATATAACTTGAAAATCACATATGTGGTTTCAAAATGTAAGTATTATTGAATTTTGTTCCTCCGTGATACTCAATAAATGTTATTTAACAACAATGCCTCAGTATGCTGTTAACCTCAAGGAATGAGTCAGATTTTCTCATTCACTGTAATAAAGAGAAGATCAGGGACTTACTTGGCATTAGACCAATAGAACGATTTTTACATTTTTGTCTTCCTTCTTTCCTGTCTCCCTTCCCTTGCCCCACCCCTCCTGCTTACCCCCTTCCCTTCTTTTCCCTTTCCCCCTCTTATTCTACAAACATGCTTTATCATAATACAAGCTGCACAGGCAGGCCATCTGAGTCCTAGAATCTAAATTAGCTTGTAAAAATTATGCATTTCATGTTTTAAAATGTAAATGTAATATATGTTATTATCTCCTTACCAGTGAAATTTTATTTTTTTGTAACTTTTTAGGAACAACAAATCTCAAGTACCTAACACTCCAAAACAAGGGGCTAGCAGTTTACTCCCAAATGAAGATAATCAACTTCCTATTTAAAATGACAAGAGCAGTTAAATAGGGAGGAAAAGGGATTATCTTTGCTTTTCAGAATAATATATCAAACATTTCTTCTAGTGAAAGGAGTAACGACTAGGCACTAAAAGATTATTGAGACTATTGCAATAACCTTTTTCTGATACAATAAAGACTATAGCTATGACTATAGGTCAAGAAAGAAGGTACAATTTTCAAGAGACTTTTCTGAGGTATACTCAGTAAAGCTATAGAAACTCCATAAATATATACACTTACTATGTATCCACAAAATTTGAAATGAAAAGCTAAAAAAAAAAGAGAAAAAACCACAGTGAATAAACATACAAGATGGTACTATCAGAGAGGATTTTGAAGAAGAGATAGTGGTGAGAGGTTGAAAGTGCAATGTGTAAGTCCTAGATCCTGAGAAATAAAAATATGCATTGGGTATAATCATTGATGGTGATAGACATGAGATTATAATACATTGAAATAGGGAAGACACTGACAAAGTTAAAATAAATTGTGTGACACATTTATGACCTTACACATAAAGAGAAGAGGCTTAGAGAGGTTTTCTTTTATTGTTGTTTGGTTTTTACTGGCTAGCATGTAAGAACTCAGTTACTACTGTCACCTGATCTTACGACTCAAAGTCTGTGGTCTTTTCTACTAATAAACTGCATTCAGTATTGAAAACAAGACAAGTTATTCTAAACCTTTCAGGTGTGAAACTTGCTAATATATAACTTAAATAATTATAATGTAAGCATGAGACGACAAAACTCACTTGGAAATCAGCTTATCAGCGGATCCAGAAGAAATGTAAAGAAATTTCTGCTGGACACCGTGGCTCACGCCTGTAATCCCAACACTTTGGGAGGCAGAGGCATGTGGATCACTTGAGGTCAGGAGTTCAAGACCAGCCTGGCCAACATGGTCAAACCACATGTTTACTAAAAATACAAAAATTAGCCGGGCATGGTGGCACAGCCTGTAATCCTAGCTACTCGGGAAGCTGAGGCAGGAGAATGGCTTGAGGCCAAGAGGCGGAGGTTCCAATGAGCCAAGATTGTGCCACTGCACTCCAGCCTGGGAGACAGAGCAAGACTCAGTTTCAAAAACAAGAAAAAAAAATGTTACATGTTCTATAAAATAACAGTATGTGGCCGGGTGCCGTGGCTCACGCTTGTATCCCAACACTTTGGGAGGATGAGGAGGGCAGATCACGAGGTCAGTAGATCGAGACCATCCTGGCTAATGAGGTGAAACCCCATCTCTACTAAAAATACAAAAAATTAGGTGGTGGGTGCCTGTAGTCCCAGCTACTCGGGAGGCTGAGGGAGGAGAATGGTGTGAACCCAGGAGGCAGAGCTTGCAGTGAGCAGAGATCGCACCACTGCACTCCAACCTGCGTGACAGAGCGAGACTCTGCTTCAAAAACAAACAGACAAAAAACAATATGTATCATTGAGTTTTAACTGTAGAAGTAGAGAAACTGTGGTGGCAAATTAACTTCACATGCAAAAGCAAGATTGACTTTAAGAAATATATATATAGGCAGGGCGCGGTGGCTCATGCCTGTAATCCCAGCACTTTGGGAGGCCGAGGCGGGCGGATCATGAGGTCAGGAGATCGAGACCATCCTGGCTAACATGGTGAAACCCCGTCTTTACTAAAAAAATACAAAAAATTAGCCGGGCATGGTGGCGGGCGCCTGTAGTCCCAGCTACCCAGGAGGCTGAGGCAGGAGAATGGCGTCAACTCGGGAGGCGGAGCTTGCAGTGAGCCGAGATCGCGCCACTGCGCTCCAGCCGAGGGGACAGAGCGAGACTCCGTCTCCAAAAAAAAAAAAAAAAAAAAAAGTTATATATATATATATATATGTGTGTATATATGTATATATGTGTATATGTGTGTATATATATGTGTATATATGTGTGTGTATATATATGTGTGTGTATATATATATGTTCAACCATGAAGCAAAAAAAAAGATTAATTTCACAAAATAGATTCCAAATATGCAAAAGTACATCTCAATTGTACAGAGAATACTAAAAATATATCATACAAGATTTGTTTATGTCCTATTCATAGACAAAAACAATAATAGAAAATATCCTAATTGTCACATATATAAGAAGAAGAATAGAAAGTGATATGTACATTGTAGTTACATTACAAAGCATTTTCACTTATATTTTTATAATCTCCCACAACGTATGACTAGTAGATTTGTTACTTTCCCCATTTTTCAAATATTAAAGAAAGAAAGAGATAAATTCATTTTTCTCTGGTTACATAACTATTGTGATCTCAGGACTTAATGGCCACAATGGTGGCCATTAAGTTTCAATGCCTGAATTTTGAAGAAGACACATTCATCCCATAGCAGCTAGTGATCATAATAGCAACAGTAAAGCTAAAATAATAATATTTTACACTTATTGGGAACTTATTATTTGCCAGACACTATTCTGAGTGCTATACACAGGCTAATTTAATCCTTACAAAAAGTCTAAGAATTAGGCAAGATAATATCATTATTATACAGATGAAGAAATTAGTATTTTAAGAGTAATACATTTAAAGGGACAAGTTGATAAGTTTTTTAAAAAAAGAAATTGTCTCAAGTATAAATGCATTTATCAGGATTTCAGAAGATTGAAAACTTTCAGTGTTGAAGTATCAGGCACTTTGGTAAGTGAGGAGTGTTATTTTGGAAAAGAATTTAAGGACCTACAATGTGTGCCTCACACATGTTTTATAAGTGACCACATATTTAAGCTCTTGATAAGAATTTTTTTCTATTTATACACAAGTATGAGGGGCAGTGTGGTAAGATGTTCTTCATAAAACAAAGTCTTAAATGTTATCTGAAACTATCCAAGAAAGAAAACCTTAGACATCCTCCTTGAGGTTATGGTGTGCACCTTAAAGCCTTTTATGTCTCCAGCAACTTACAAAAGACAGGAATTTGTTGTTCATACTCATTATGAGGATGATGATTTCATGACTTTGTAAATCCACAACTTTGTATGCAGATAGCAATCTCCTTGAAAGACTGATTGCTAATGTTCAAATTGCCTTTTTTGTGCAAAGCTGACAAATTTTAGACCAAATTGCTGTTGGCTATGTTTTCAGAAAGGTAGATCTTAATAATGACATTTAATTTTTCTTTTTGAACAAATGAATGAGTTTCAAGAATGTTTCTACAAAGACAGAGTCCTATCTAAATTCCACATGAAAGCAAACCCTAATTTAAAAAATAATACCCTAATGATGTCTAATTACTTCCTTGAGAATAAGCAGCAACCTAATTAGTCACCTTTATCTTCATATGCACCTGGAATTGCTATTGTGAATAAAGCATACAAAGCACAGTCCATTTTTAAAACAATACTCTGCAGTATAGGAAACTGAAAAGGTTTGGGTTAGGAAGGCAAGGTAATTTATGACAAATCATTAGTTTCTAATGGCATTTGATCCAGTTTTTGAGGGAATTGATAAAATAATTAACAGAGTTTGGAAAACTTTCCATTGCAAATAACATAGAATTATGGTCATGAGCCACTTAGCGACATTTTGGTCAATGATGGACTGCATATACAATAATGGTCTTATAAGATTATAATATCGTATTTTTACTGTATCTTCTCTATGTTTAGATACACAAATACCACTGTGTTAGACTTACCTACAGTATTCAATACAGTAACATGTACAGGTTTATAGCCAGGAGCAATAGGTTATATTATATAGCCTAGGAGTGTTGTAGGCTACACCATCTAGGTTTGTTAAGTACACGCTATTATGTTCACACGATGACGAAATCACCTAAGGAAGCATATATCAGAACATATTCCCATAGTTAAACAATGCATGACTATATTTTAGAGCTAAATAGAAAGCATTTCCCATAAGGCTAGATAAAATGCAGTTTGAGAAGACAGTCTCTGTATACGTCAGACAGTTCACTGCTATAGTAAATGGCAACTATTAACTCCAAACTTTGAGATTTTATCAGAAAGAACTTGGAAATCTCTTCTCTGTTAGATAATGTCTTCCAAGAAATGGGTTGTGGACAGGATAGACTAACCCAGCTGACAACCACTCAAATGAATTCCTGGAAGTGAGCCTTTTCAGACAGAAAGGAAAATAAAAGTTTCTATCTCTTTACCACTGGCTGCCATGTGAAGACTTCAAAAATCAGATTGTACCATCTTCTATAAAACTCAAACTGAGAACGCAAGGTATATTTTCTCTTCAATAGCTGCAGAAGAGCCAGTTCTTACTTGTATTATCAATACTGACTAATGCTGTAAATCTTTAGGAATATTCAAAGTAGTCATTCTAACCCTGTGGAAACAATTCTATTACATGATAATTAGCAAATAAGTTACCATGGGAGGTAGGGACAATGTTTCTGATTGTAATTGAGTTTTTCTGGTAGTTATTTTAGAGATTTTTTATTAATTGTTGTATAGCAACTTACCACAAATTTAGCAACTTACAGCAACATGCATTTCTTACTGCAGTCTCTGTGACAGTGGAGTCTGGCTATTGCTTAGCTGGTTTCTACTATACACTCTCAGGCTGTAATCAGAGTCAGCCAAGACTAAGTTTTCATCTGGCAGTTCTACTAAGAAAGGATCTTCTTCCATGCTCCATCAGGTTGTTGGGCAGAATTTATTTTCTTGTAACCACAGGAATGAGAGCAGTTAGTTTTTTGTTGGCTGGAGGCTGAAAGGCTGCCTTCTGAGGGTCCTAGGGGGTGCTGCAGTTTCTTGAGGCCACCTGCAGTTCTTTGCCATGTGGGCTTCCCCAAATTGAATATTTATTTCATCACGTCTGCAAACAGAGTATTTAGAGCAAGTGGGCTAGCAAGAGAGTATTGTGTAAAATAGCTTACTTATGGAGGTGACCTTCCATATCCCTTGCAATATTATACTGATTAAAGCAAATCACAGGCTCCTCCCTCACTTAAGAGGAGGAGAGTACACAAGGCCATAAAGTCCAACTGGCAGGAATCTTGCTTGGGGGGTACCCTAGAAACTATTCACGCTTGTTACCAATTTATCATGTGATTTTGTTTTCTCTCTCCCTATAAACATGTTTTTGTAGTTTGTTAACCTAAGACACCAACTTCTGGAGATGTGCTTTGTTAAAAGAAGATGTTTTTGTTCTAAATTTTTATTTTTGGGGGAGTACATGTGAAGGTTGTTACACACGTAAATAACTCTCATGGCGGTTTGTTGTACACTTTATTTCATCACCCAGGTATTAAGCACAGTACCCAATAGTTATCTTTTCTGCTTCTCTCCCTTCTCCTACCCTCCCTGTTCAAGGAGACCCCAGTCTCTCTTGTTTCCTTCTTTGTGTTAATAAGTTATTGTTTGGCTCCTATTTATAAGTGAGAATATGTGGTATTTAGTTTTCTATTCTTGTGTTAGTTTGTTAAGGATAATAGCCTCCAACTCCAACCATGTTCCCACATGGATGGTCCCATGATCTCATAACTTTTTATTGCTGCATAGTATTCCATGGTATATATGTACCACATTTTCTTTATCCAATCTGTCATTGATGGGCATTTAGATTGATTCCATGTCATTGCTATTGTGAACAGTGCTGCAGTGAACATGCACACACATGTGTCTTTATGGTAGAATGATTTATATTCCTCTGGGTATAGACCCAGCAATGGCATTGTTGGGTCAAATGACAGTTCTGCTACTAGTTTTGAGGAATCGCCATACTGCTTTCCTCAATGTTTGAACCAATTTACTCCCACCCACAGTGCATAAGAATTCCCTTTTCTCTGCAACCTCGCCAGCATCTGTTATATTTTGACTTTTTAATAATAGCCATTTTGACTGGTGTGAAATGGTATCTCATTGTGATTTTAATTTGTATTTTTCTAATGATCAGTGACATTGAGCTTTTTTTTTTCATATGATCATTGGCCACATGTATGTCTTGAGAAGTGTCTATTCATGTCCTTTGCCCACTTTTTAATGGAGTTATTTGTTTTTCTCTTGTAAATTTGTTTAAGTAAGTTCCTTGTAGATGCTGGATGGTAGGCCTTTGTCAGATGCATAGTTTGCAAATATTTTCTCCCATTCTGTATACTGTCTATTCACTCTGTTGATAGTTTCTTTTGCTGTGCAGAAGCTCTTAAGTTTAATTAGATCACACTTGTCAATTGTTTGCTTTGTTGTGATTACTTTTGGTGTCTTTGTCATGAAATCTTTTCCTGTTTCTATGTCCAAGATGGTATTGCCTAGGTTGTCTTCCAAGGTTTTTATAGTTTGGGGGTTTACATTTAAGTCTTTAATCCATCTTGAGTTGATTTCTGGGTCTGTATAAGGAAGGGGTCCAGCTTCAATCTTCTGTGTATGGCTAGACAGTTATCCCAGCACGATTTATTGAATGGGGAGTCTTTTCCCATTGCTTGCTATTGTCAGCTTTGTCAAAGATCAGATGGTTTTAGGAGTGTGGCCTTATTTCTGGGCTCTCTATTCTGTTCCATTGGTCTATGTGCCTGTTTTTGTACTGTACCATGTGATTTTGGTTCTTGTCGAAGGTTTTCCTGTTTGTTTTTGTTTTGTTTTGTTTCAAAATGTTTGCACCTAAGTCCTCAATTTTTCCTGATAACTGTTATATTCCATTGTTCAATAGTCTTCCATCTTGTTCACTAGAACAAGGTGGACACATTGTCAATTCAAAAAAGTGTGTTACATCAGTTTCAGGTTCCTAACAACTATGTTTATTTGAGATACATGAAAGTCCAAAGGGCCCAGTTAGGTGGGCATGGCCCTTAAGCTTGAATTAGTCTCTCAATTATGATGATCAGATCATTTATTTTTATTACTTTTATTTTAGTATAGCCTGTCCTGCTACATTTCTTTGGACTACTAGATTTTTGCCCTTCCTTTAGTAACTGGAGAGAGAATGCCTTTTCTAATCTGGTACCTGAAATGGATTAGCTATCTAAGAAAAGGCTTCAGTACTGGCAGTTTACCCCAAACTCCTGAGTTTTATTTATTATTATTATTTTTTGACTAGCATATTTAGCTTTCTAAATAATTTGATGTGCAAATTTGTATACCTGTCACCATACCTGCCATCTAGAGATGCCCTGCTGAATGCTCACAAAGAAATTCCTGTCTTCTCTTTAGGTAATCCACAGATGACTAGAAATTATTTAGTGAGCTATATCTTTAGAAATATATAAAACAGTCGGGCGCGGTGGCTCACGCCTGTAATCCCAGCACTTTGGGAGGCCAAGGCAGGCAGATCACGAGGTCAGGAGATCGAGACCATCCTAGCTAACACGGTGAAACCCCGTCTCTACTAAAAATAAAAAATATTAGCCGGGCATGGTGGCAGGCGCCTATAGTCCCAGCTACTCAGGAGGCTGAGGCGGGAAATGGCGTGAACCTGGGAGGTGGAGCTTGCAGTGAGCTGAGATTGTGCCACTGCACTCCAGCCTGGGGGACAGAGCGAGACTCCGTCTCAAAAAAAAAAAAAAAATATATATATATATATATAAAAACATTGTTTTCTGGATTTTTCTGATTGCTAAGAAAGTTACTTTGACTTCTGGAACAAAATATATTAGTATTGCTTCAATTGCTGTAATTATCACAGAAAAAAATTGCTTTCTGGTCTATTCTTAGATATGTAACTTCAGGTAATATTTTATGCCTCCAGGAAGCACTGAACTTCATTCTGAAAAACATACTGGCCCTACCTTCTGAGAGAAAAGATTCACTTATGATTATTCACAATGTACTTGTTTGGGTTTTTGACACTTTGGCTCTTACTTCACAATAACCTCCACTAATGTTCTCCTCTTCAGACCTGTCCAAGTTATCTAAGCAGGTCTTACATATATCTCAAACATTCATTTTATTTCTTGCTTTCTTTTTTTGTGAAGCATTCATTTTCTGACTTTAAAAGGTGATCCTATTCCTCTACATCATCTTTTCTTTCTCTGAATTTCTGAGAAAATAGCTAGGTGGCATTTCTCCAAAGATGAAAAAATTCCCATGGTGGGCTTCATCTTTACTTGGAGACGCTCTGTTTAACACCAATATTCTTAAATCAATGCAAGTAGATATCTTTTTTCCAAAGACTAGCCCTTATGATTGTGGCTACCTAATGGGGAATAAAACTCCTAAGAAATATTTGTGAAGTTCATAGTCCAAGGCATAAGATCACACACAAAAAAAGAAAAAAAACCTAAAACATAATTATAGAACTATAGAATGCTTTTCTTCTCCCCACATCTTGCCACCATTATTAAAGGCCCATTTAAAGCAATTTCTTTTTTCTAGTACATCATGACTGGCTATCAAGAAAAAATAACAAGGTATACCAAAAAGAAAAAAAAAATACCCCACACAATTTGAAGAGACAGAGCAAGCAAGCATTTGAACCAGATGTCACAAAAGCCAGCATTATGCTGAATGGAGAAAAGTTGAAACTATCCCCACTGAGAACTGAAATAAGACAAGGATATCCATTTTCAACCCTACTATTCAACATAGTACTGGAAGTCCTAATCAGAGCAATCACACAAGAGACAGAAATAAAGGGTATCCAAACTGGAAAAGAGGAAGTCAAACTATCACTGTTCATTGACGATATGATCATATACCTAGAAAACGCTAAAGACTCATCTAAAATGAAAAGATAAATGAAAAGTTTCAGGACACAAAATTAATCTACATGAATCAGTTGCACTGCTAAACACCAACAATGACCAAGCTGAGACTTAAATCAAGAACTCAGTACCTTTTACAACAGATACAAAAATGAAATAAAATACTTAGAAATATACCTAAGCAAGGAGGTGAAAGATCTCTACAAGGAAAACTACAAAACATTGCTGAAAGAAATCATAGATGACACAAACAAATCAAAACACATCCCATGCTCACGGAGAGGCAGAATCAATGTTGTCACAATGTCTATACTGCCAAAAGCAATCTACAGATTTGATGTAATTCCCATCAAAAATCATCATCATTTTTACAGAACTAGAAAAAACAATCCTAAAATTCATATGGAACTAAAAAAGAGCCTGCCTAGCCAAAGCAAGACTAAGCAAAAACACAATACTGGCTGTATCACATTACCCAACTTCAAATTAAACTGCAAGGCTATAGTTACCCAGCATGGTACTGGTATAAAAATAGGACTGTAGACCAATGGAGCAGAATAGAGAACCCAGAAATAAAATCAAATACAACCAACTGATCTTCATCAAAACAAGCAAAAACATGAAGTGGGGAAAGGCCACCCTGTTCAACAAATGGTGAACAAATGGATAATTGGCAAGCCACATGTAGAAGAATGAAACTGGATGCTCATCTCTCACCTTATACAAAAGTAAATTCAAGATGGATCAAATACTTAAATCTAAGACATAATACCATAAAAATTCTAGAAGATAATATCAGGAAAACTCTTTTAGACATTGGCTTGGGCAAAGAATATATGACTAAGAACCCCAAAGCAAATGCAACAAAAACAAAAATAAATGAATGAGACCTAACTAAATTAAAAAGTTTCTGCACAGTAAAAAGAAATAATCAGCAGAATGAACAGACAACCCACAGAGTGGGAGAAAATATTCACAAACTGGGCATCCAACATAGGACTAATATCCAGAATCTACAAGGAACTCAAACACATCAGCAAGAAAAAATAAATAATCCCATCAAAAAGTGAGCAAAGGATATGAATAGAAAATTCTCAAAAGAAGATATACAAGCAGCCAACAAACATATGATAAAATGGTCAGAATCACTAATTATCAGGGAAATACAAATTAAAACCACAATGAGATATCACCTTACTCCTACAAGAATGGTCATAATTAAAGAGTCAAAAAATAATAGACGTTGACATGGGTGTAGTGAAAAGGGAATGCTTTTACACTGCTGGTGGAAATGAAAACTAGTACTATTGCTGTGGAAAACAGTATAGAGATTCCATAAAGAACTAAAAGTAAAACTACCATTAAATCCAGCAATTAATTCCATTACTGGATCTCTGCCTAAAGGAAAATAAGTCATTATATGAAAAAGACACATGCACATGCCGGTTTATAGTAGAACAATTTGCAATTGCAAAAATATAGAACTGACCCAAAGCCCCATCAACCAACGAGTGGACAAAGAAAATGTGGTGTATATGTACACCATGGAATACTGCTAACCATATAACAAAACAAAATAATGGCCTTTTACAGCAACTTGGATGTCGCTTGAGGCCGTTATTCTAAGTGAAGTAACTGAGGAATGGAAAAGCAAATATCATATATTCTCACTGACAAGTGGAAGCTAAGCTATGAGGATGCAAAGACATAAGAATTATATAATAGATGTTTGGGACTTGTGGGGAAGTGAGAGAGAGGGGGGAGGGATAAAAGACTACATATTGAGTACAGTGTACACTGCTTGGATGATGGGTACACCAAAATCTCAGAAATTACCACTAAAGAACTTAACCATGTAACCAAAACCCATCTGTACTCCAAAAACTACTGCAAAAATCAATCAATCAATCAATCAACCAGATGCAACAAGGATGTTGGAATTATCAAACTGGAATTATTTTTTAAAAACTATAATATGCCAAAGACTAATGGATAAAGTAGACAGTATGAAAGAGCATACTGACAATGTTACCAGAGAGATAGAAATCCTATGAACCCAAAATAAATGCTAGATCAAAAGCACTGTAACCGAAATGAGAAATGCCTTTCATGGGCTCAAGAGTAGAGGGGACGTGGTTCTGAGCTTAAAGATGTATCAATAGAAACTTTGAAACTGAAAATTAAAGAGAACTAAGATTAAAAACATAGAACAGAATATCTAAGTACTGTGGGACAACTACAAAGGTATAACATAAATATGATAGGATTTCCAGAAGGAGAGAAAGGAACAGAAGAAATAGTTGAAACAATGACTGACAATTTTCCCCAAAATAATGCCAAATACAAAACCTCAGATTCAACAAGTCCAGAGAACAACAGGTAGGTTAAACAAAACAAACCCAAAACACCCTACACCAAGACATAGCATTTTCAAACTACACAAAAAAGCAATGATAAAGCAAAACATCCTGAAAGAAGACAGGAAGAAAAAAAAAATCCTTATCTATAGAGGAACGAAGAATTACCTTCAACTTCTCAGAAACCATGCTAACAAAACAGTGGACTAAAATGTTTAAAAGGTTCAGAGAAAATCCCTTCATGAATCTAGAATTCTATACTCTGCAGAATTATCCTTGAAAGGTAAAGGAGAAATACTTTCTCAGACAAACAAAAATTGAAGAAATTTGTTGCCAGTAGATCTGCCTTGCAAGAAAAGTTCTTTAGAGAGAAGGAAAATAATGTAGGTCAGAAAATTGGATCTACTTAAAGAAATAAAGAGCAACCTACTTCTGGTAATTGCTAATTCTTAATTAAAAATGCACAAATTACATGAGCACTGGGCTGAGGCTACCACCATGCTGGATGTAAATACAATGAGTAGCAAGTTCTGCAGAACTATGCAACATGCAACATGGTAATACTGCCTAAGCAGTGTCCAGAATGTTTTTTAATTGATTGAATTCTCAGTACATCTGGATGGAGACTTTAATAAATTATTATTTTTTTTCATGTGTCTTGGCTCCACTAACTGGCTAGTTTTCTCTAATTTTTTACTTAGTCATTCCTTCAACTTGACTAGGAAGGTGAATGTCAGCTAATGTTTCTGTACACAGACTTAAAATATTCAGCTGTTAATATAGAAGGCAGTATAGTTATATATAATTTGATGAAATTAAGAATACCAAAAATAATCAATAAGAATTAATTACTTTTAGAATCTGGATATATTGCATGTTAACAAAGAAAATTAAAGTCTGTATTACTATTTATAAACATTCATATATATGTATGTATTTGTGAGATTAAGATAGGAAATCTTATATATATATAAAATTAGAATTTCCTATTTAATATATAGTTTCATATATATATATATATAAATTTCCTATCTTTCTTAGTCTTACAGATTCATCAGCTATCAAATCTAAAGGTGCTGGACTTCATTAACCTTTTTTCTGATATGAATAGCTCTTCACAAAGAGTAAAAAGTTGGCGACTATGTGAATCCTTTGTAGTATTGGGTCCCCATGGTAACAGAGATTTGTATCCTGACATCAGAATCTAAGAGGCCACAGAGCTACAGAGCATTTCAATTTGTGGTAAGGGGAAAAAAATTAAAAAGACAAATGCACAGTCCTAAAATGATACCATAAAAATGGCTAATGACCTTTAGGTATAAGTCTATGCTGATATGTTTTCACATATCATTTATCAACTTTCCTATTTTGATTTATATTCTCTTGTCAATCAAATGGCTCTTAATATGTTTCCTATTGAAGTAAACTGTTCAAAAATCATGTCTATACATTTTTGCATGTTTTGATAAATAATTATAAAATATGTAATTCAAGATTTACTAGATAATATTTCCCTACTGGGTACTTAATTTTCTTCTAAATTAATATAAAGAAAGAGTAGTAGGTTCAGCCTTCTAAGGTTGACACTAACCTCCTTTCAATGTATGATTTTGGAGTGGAAGTACATTTTCCTCCATTTCTGGCTTCCATGAGAAGGAATTTCTCCTTAAACTCATTTCAGGCCATTCTATTTATCTGTTTACTCACATGACCAGTGAAGAGGGGGACTGACTTCTTCAAGGCAAATTTGGGAAAAAATAACTCAGAATGCAAAGCTGAACTTTGCCTGACTTATTTCTCTTAGGAAGTAGATGTTCACAGGGAGTCCAAGTTCTTCTCAACTCCTCCAGCTTTCAGGTTTTTCACGGGCCTACCTTCCAACACTCTCCAGGATTGTTGAATCCCACTTTTGGTAATTACTTATTACTGAATTACAAGTGCACTCAGCACTGGGCTGAGTCTAACATGTTAGATAATTCCATTATTTTATAATCTAATCTTTACCCTCCTTTCAATGCTGACTTGACTACATTAATGACATTATGTAAAATAATGTAGAATAGAAATATGAGAATGAGCATCTTGACATTTTCTGGATTTTAAAGTAAATATTTTAACATTTTGTAATTGAATAGGGTAGTTGCAGTAGGCCTTCGGTGGACACATGTCATGTAAGTATGTTCCTTTCTGTTTATCACTTGTTAAGGGTTTTTTTTTTTTTTAGTAAGAAAATAACACTGCATTTTGTCAAATGATTTTCTGCATCTAATGAGGTTATTAGTATTTTTCCATTTTTCAAAATAAGCTAACATGTTAAATTGCATTTATAGTTTTCCTTTTCTTTTCTTTTTTTTTTCTTTTGATGGGAAGTACATTTAAAACATACCTAGCATACTTGGAATAAACTCAAATGCGTCATAATATAAACTCTCTCCCCATCTGCCCCCTGTTTTTTTGTTTTTTGTTTGTTTGTTTGGCTCTACTAGCTTACATTAATAATTTTAAAATTTATATTTGGTAGTAAAATGGATCGGTTGTTTTTCTTTCTCATACTTTTTTTTTGTTTGTTTTTAGACAGAGTCTCACTCTGTCGCCTAGGCTGGAGGGCAATGGTGTGATTTTGGCTTACTGCAACCTCTGCCCCCCAAGTTCAAGCAATTCTCCTGCCTCAGCCTCCCTAGTAGCTGGAATTACAGGCATATGCTACCATGCAATGCCTGGCTCAGTTTTGTATTTTTAGTAGAGGTGGTGTTTCGCCATGTTGTTCAGGCTGGTTTTGAACTCCTGACCCCAAGTGATCCTCCTGCCTTGGCCTCCCAAAGTGCCTTTCTCATACTGTTTTAGTTGTTGTTTAGAATTATGTATCTCTTTAATGGTGTGGTGGAAATCACCTGTAAAACTTAGTGTGGACCAGAAGTAATCCTTGTGTAAAGTTATAAACTAGTGATTCAATTACTGCAATCAATGTCAAATATATGATAATTTCTGTTTCTTCCCGAATTAACACTGTAAATGCAAACTGTTTTTATGTTTTTTTCTATTTTTCCCAGGTTTTCCTTTTTTTTTTTTCAAAATGTGGTCCACATATCATTTCATTATCATTGTATTTTTCCCTGCATCCATAATTTTTTTTCATTTAGCTTAATATTGTTTATTTACACCTCCACACTCTTTTTCTAGATATATCTACCATGTTTGGTCAATTATATTAGTATTTTCAAGAAACCAACCTTAGGTTCTGTTAATTATCTTTATTATATTTTTATGTTCTATATTATTAACATGTATCTATATATATGTTCTGAGCATTCTTCTCTCTCTTTTTCCTTTCTTTTCTTTCTTATTTTTTCATTTGAGTGCTTAGTTCATTTATTTCAGTTTTCTATTACAAATGAAGCATTTAAAATAAAATAAATATCCCTCTTATTTTTGCTTTAGCTTTGTCTTAAATATTTGATATTAGCATTTTTTATTCAGTTTGAAAGATGTTATACATCCCATTAAAATCTATTCTTAGAAATATATAATCTGTTTATTACAAACTTGGCTTATTATGTACAATGGTGAATTAAACTTCCTATCATTATATGATCATTCTTTTTTCTATAGTTTTATTTCTTAGAGCTTGTTGCTTCTATTGATATTGCTACACTCTTATTTTTCTATTTGCCTAGCATGTTTTCTCATAATTTTGCTTTCATTATTTTGTGTATTTATGTTAAAAGTATATCACCTACAGATATAAAAAAGTTGGATTATTTTTTAATCAAGCCTAAAAAGTTTTGACTCTCAGAAAGTTCACTATTTGTGACTGCTAATATATTTTAACTCATTTTAAACTTTCTTTTATGATCTCAGAATTTGTGCATATGTGTGTGTGTATAGTCACTATCATTCTTTTATATTAATTGTTTTTCAGAAGTTCCTTTAGTAAAGTTTTATTTGTACTATATTCTTAGGTTTTTAATTTTTGAAAGAGTTTTAAAATCCTCATTTTCACAACACAATACCTACAACATAATTTTTGTTTTGTAATTATTGTAAGATGGTATTTTGAGGATATTATTCCACAGTCTCATGGCTTTTGAAATTATTCTTTAAAATTTATCTGATAGCATACTTATAATTTTTTTATAGTTACAACATTATTTGTTGACTACTTCTAAGTATTCCTTTCTTGTTACTGATTTGCAGTGTTATAGACAGTGACTAGAATTCGTCATGATCTCTGAGGGTCCATGTCTTTCATCAGTTCTGTTTTTGTATCTAGAAAGTTTTTTTTCACATTTGCATTACCTTTTTTTCCTTGGGTTATTTTCTCATAGTTTAGCTCCTATCTTTTTTAATTTGAAAACTATTTACATATGCATTTGTATTGTATTAATATTTACTAATTATGTGGTTTATGAGGGTCTATTTCTCTGGTTGTTGATTCTGCTGACTGTAGCTCATGGAGTAAGAATTGTTTCTGCATGTGTTTCTTATGATTGTTTACTATGAAATTTTTTATTGGAATTTTATCTATAGAAATTTTATAATGTTTGTCATGTGTATTTTGCCAGAGAGAATTAACATTTTACTTTTCTTAGATATTTGGGGACACAACCTATCTGAACCACTTTTTTATTCATGTGACAGTAACTCCTATGTTAATAGGGGTAAAAATTTCTAACACCATGTGAATGCACATGAAAATTTTCTGAGATCCTCCACCCTTTTTTCTGTCTTTTCCAGAGCCATCCTTAAAAACCTCAAGTACAATCCCATCATTCTCAAAAACATTCTGTTCATTTGTCTTTATATGGAGAGTATCAGATCAGATCTTCCACCTGGCTTGTTACACAAGTTTAATATCCTGTCACTTTGGGCTATTTAAACCCCAGATCCAAGGCAGCAGATATCCCCAGAGGCCTTGAAGACACTAGTTCTTCAGTGTCTTTTCTTGTTTCTAAATCTGCTTTATTTTTGTTTCTCATCTCCAATGACTTTTAAAATTTCCACTGAGGTCAACTATATGTTTTGTTTTTATTTTATATTTTTTTCCAGAATTAAATATATAATATAATAAGAGTATTTGCTTAGACAATAATTTCCAATTATTTAAAAAGAACTACTCAATAATATTTCATTTTAAAATAGATGAATGACATGTTTTCTGGGAATTTTGTCAGGGAGGGTCTTGCTGGATCAATGTTTGTGAAGAAATTGTTGTAATTAAGAAAATCTGTAAGAGTTATCATATTAGGTTGAATAATATAATATTGCCATTTTTGAATCCACAAAAAGTTGAATTTCAGCAATTTCATATGATTTAATTTAAGTACCTTTTATTTACATATTGAAATGCAATAGCATCAAATCAATTGAATTATTAATAGAATGCTAAAACAATAAGTTGGTTATTTGTTCTGTTATACATTACTTTTCAGTACATGCAATAAATTTAGAAATCACATAAATATAGTATTGTGATCTAATCAGATGACAGATTAACCTTTACCTTTTTTCTAGTGCCCCTCTCTCTACCCCAGGAGATCTATCATAAACACTAAATAGGCATGCTTTTGTGTTTTTTTCTGTATATCTATACACACACACACACACACACACACACACACACACACAGGTATTTTATCAATTTTCCCCAATAATACACAATTTTCTACATTTAAGTTTCTTATTTAATACCTCATAAAAATATATGCATCTGTGCAAGTCATCCAATATTATTTGAATTTAGTATTATGACAACCTAATGTTCTATAGCATTAAAGTAGTAGGTATGTTACTTTCATTAATTATTAACTAACCATGAACATTCCTTGGTAAAATATTGTGTGTCAGACATAATTTTATTTAGGATAACCATCATTATAGACTGACATGGAAATAAGAAGAGAAAAATAATGTTTGAATAGAAATATAACCCAGCAGGCTTGGAGTGGTGATTCATGCCTATAATCCCAGAACTTTGGGAGGCCAAGGTGGGGGGATTGCTTTAGCCCAGGAGCTCAATACCAGCCTGGAAAAAAATGGCAAAACCCTGTCTCTGTCAAAACAATATAAAAATTTGCCAGTTGTGGTGGCACATGCCTCTAGCCCCAGCTACTCTAGAGGATGAGATGGGAGGATCACCTGAGCCCAGGAAGTTGAGGCTGTAGTGGGCTGAGATCACACTATTGCACTCCAGCCTGGGTGACAGAGGGAGTCCCTGTGTCAAAAAAAAAAAAAAAAAAAAAAAGAGAGAGAGAGAAGAAAGAAAGAGAGGGAGAGAGACAGACAGAGAGAGAGAGAGAGAGACAGAAGAAAAGAAAGGAAAGGAAAAGAAAAGAAAACAAATATAACCCCAAATGTGGTTATCTAAGCTATTTTTTAAGTCTGAGTTTTTGACAAAATATTCCATATTTATTACCATTTAGAAAGCTTGGCTCAGGCCAGAAGCAGTGGCTCACGCCTGTAATCCTGGCACTTTGGGAGGCCGAGGAGGGTGGATCACAGGTCAGGAGTTCAAGACCAGCCTGGCTAACACGGTGAAACCCCATCTCTACTAAAAATACAAAAAATTAGCCAGGCGTGGTGGCAGGCACCTGTAGTCCCAGCTACTCGGGAGGCTGAGGCAGGAGAATGGTGTGAACCCGGGAGGTGGAGCTTGCAGTGAGCCAAGATCATGACACTGCACTCCAGCCTGGGCCACAGAGTGAGACTCCATCTCAAAAAAAAAAAAAAAAAAAAAAAAAAAAACAAAGTAAGCAAGCAAGCAAGCTTGGCTCAAAGTTGTGTCCTCTGTAACTTCTGAGGCAAAAAGTGCTGTCTGACCCTACCTTTTTCTAATTACTCAGATTTATAATTTCTTGATATTGTTATTTGGTGGATTGTTAATGTTAGATGTCATGAAAAAGTTCCAAAATTGTTTGAACAAAGAGATATACTCTATGGTAATGAGACTATTTTATTTGGGGCAAAATTTTTGTAAGGGTAGAATGTTTTCTGTCTCTGTGGTAATCTCCTAATTGACACATATCATAAAAATTGGAGGTTTAAGAATGCCTTTTTAAAAAAAAATTATTGAGTTTATTAAAGTCAGCATATAATTAGTTGCATGTATTTAAAATGTATAATTGTATAAATTTTGACATATGCATGCACTTGTGAAAAAAACCTAATCAAGATAGTGAACATATCCTTCACACCCAAAAGTTTTCTGACTCCCCCGTGTACCCTCATACACTGCCCTTTTGACCTACTCTCTCCTCTCATCACCAAGTAGCCACTCACCTGCTTTGGATCACTATAGATTAGTATCAGTCTCATGAATTTTTAAATATAAATAACAATATGTGTATTCTTTTTTGTTAACTTCTTTCACTAGTCATAATTATTTTGAGATTAATTCTTGTTGCTGTCTTTATAGCTGAGTGGTATACACCACAATGTGCTTACATTTTTACTTCCTCAAGATCACTTGAGTTGTTTCCAGTTTGATAATATTACAAATAAAACATTTATAAATGTTTGGATAAATGCCTTGGTATGGTTATAAGCTTTCATTTGTCTTAGGTTGATGCCTGGGAATGGAATAGCAGGGCCATGTATGCATGCATGTTTAGGTTTTGAAGAAACCGAGATGTGAATTTTCAAAATGGTTGTGCCATATGGCATTCTTGCTAAGAAATTATGAGAGTTCAAGTTATAACACAACCTCATCAACACTTAGCGTGGTCCATGTTTTTAATGTTTATCATTCTAAATAGTAGGTATTATCACTTTATGATTTTAATTTAAATTCTCTAATGACAAAACATGTTGAACACCTTAATATATCCTTATTTGGCAAAATAATATCTTTCCAGGAGTGTCTCCAGAACTTTGACACATTTCATATTAGGTCATTTGCTTTCATAATACTGAGTTTGAGAGTTACATATATATCTAGATATAAATCCTCTATCAGATATGTAATTTTACAAATATTTTCTCTGTCACAGTTCGTCTTCTTATAGTCTTAACAGTGCCTTTCAAAGAACAATGCTTCATTTTGATGAGATAAATTTAATGAATTTTGGTTTTTTATGAATTTTACTTTTGGTGTATCTAAGAAATCTTCACATAACAATGGTCAAAAACTTCTAGAAGTTTTATAATTTTATGGAATATATTCAGGATTAGAATTCATTTTGAATTAATTCTGCATATGGACCAAATCATGCGAACCAAATCACGTTCGTTTTATGCACATAGATATCCAATTGCTCCAGCAAAATTTGTTGAAAGATTTACAGCTTCTCTGCTGAATTGCCTTTGCAACTTTGTTGAAAATCAATGGAATATATATAAGTGGGCTATTATCTGGATTCTCTATTCTATTTAATTGATCTGTTTGTCTATCTTATCATGAATGTAATGCAGGTATGATTGCTGTGGCTTTATAATAAGTTTTAATGCTAGGTAATGTGAAACCTTCAACTTTGTTCTTTTGTCAAAGTTGTTCTTACAATTTCAGGTCTTTTCATTTTTACATGAGTTTTAGAATTATCTTGTCAATTTCTAGCCATAGCAACAACAACAAAAAACCTGCTTGAATTTTGATAGTGGTCATATGGGATTTATAAATGAATTTGGGAAGATTTGTCATCCTATAATATGGAGGCTTCCACTAATAAAAAACAGTTTAATTATTAATAATTAATTTAATTACTTTAGTTCTTATTTAATAGTTCTCAGCAATGATTGAGTGTACAAATCATGAATATCTTAGTTGGGGTTATCCATACTATTTTTCATAATTTTTAAATGATATTTTAATTCCATTTCTCTTAATTTATCACTTGTGTGTAGAAATACAGTTGATATTTTCATAATGAACTTGCATCCTGCAATTTTGTTGAGGTAACTTGTGTATTTTAAAGACGGGTTCTTTCTCTGTTGCATAGGCTGGAGTGCAGTGGTGCAATCACAGCTTCCTGTAGCCTCAATCTCTCAAGCTCAAGTGATCCATCCACCTCAGCCTTCAGAGTAGCTGGGACTACAGGCGTATGCCACCATGTCTGGCTAATTCTTTTTAAAATTTTTTTGTAGAGATAGGGTCTTCCTGTGTTGCCCAGGCTGGTCTCAATCTCCTGAACTCAATCAATCCTCTCGCCTTGGCCTCCCAATGTGTTAGGATTACAGATGTGAGCCACCTTGCCCAGCTTTAACCGTTTTAAAAGGTAATTCAGCAGTGCTAATAACTATGATCACATCATTGTGTAAACAATTTTCAGAAGATTTTTCTTTTACAAAACTGAAATTCCATACTTACAAAACAACTCGCCAATTTCTTCTCCTTCTGTCCTCCATCATTCCCTAGCAACAACCATTCTACTTATTGTTTCTATAAATGTGACTATCTAGGTATGTAATATAAGTGGAGTCATACAGTGTTTGCCTTTTTGTGACTGGCCTATTTCACGTAGGATAACGTCCTCAGGATTCATCTATTTTGTAGATTGTGCCAGAATTTCTTTTTCTTTAAAAAAACTGATATTCCCTTGCATGTATATACCACATTTTTCATATCCATTCATGTGTTGATGTACTGTTGGGTGTTTCCATCTTTTGCCTATTTTGAATATTGCCTCTATGAATATAGGTATGACATCAATTTCTTGAAAGTGACCTTGGGAGCACAAAGTTTTCAATTTTGATAAAGTCAAATTATCTATTTTTTTGTTGTTGCTGCTTATGTTTTTGGTATCATAACTAAGAAATCATTGACTAATACAAGGTCACAGAGATTTACACCTACATTTTCTGCTAAGGATATTTTAGTTTTAGCTTTTACATTTTGGTCTTTCATCCATTTTGAGTTAGTTTTTGTATAGATGTGAGGTTGAAATGTTGAAATTATTAGACAAAAAATTTAAAATAACTATGATAAATATCTTATGGGCTCTAATAAAAAAAGGTAGATAACATGCATGTACATATGGATGAGATAAGCAGAAGGATGGAGACTTGAAGGAAATATATAAGAGAATTGATTGAAAACAAACATGCCATAACATAATTGAAGAATGCCTTCTGTGGCTCATCAGTAGAGTCAATGTGGCTGAGAAAAGAATCACTTAATTGAAAGATATGTCAATGGCAACTTTCCAAATTGAAATGCAGGGGAAAATGATGAAAAAAAGAATAGATTACCAAAGACTGTGGGATAATTCCAAAAGTTGTAACATATGCGTAATAGGGATGACAGAAGAATAAGGAATAGGGAAATAAGCAGAAAAAATATTGAAGTAAAAAAGATGGAGAACTGTCCAGTATTAATGACAGACATCAAAACACATGTTCAAAACAGTTCAGAGAACACTATACAGGATAAACACCAACATGCATACACACACACACCCCTACCAAGGCATATCGTGTTTAAACTAAATTAAAAAAAAAGACAAAAATGAATCTCTTGAAAGAAGCAAGGGCAGGGGGAAACATCTTTCCTACAGAGAAACAATTGCAGAAATCCAGTATACTTACTGGAAACCATGGAAAAAAAAAAAGAAAGAAAGTGGAATGTAGTATTTACAGTATTGAAGAAAAGCAACACAATTATAGAATTCTGTAACCTGTAACATTTATCCTTCAAAAGTGAAGGAGAAAATAAAGAGTTTCTCAGACAAATAAAAACTAAAGGAATTAATCACTAGCAAACCTAGGTTTGCTGTAAGTATTAGAAGAAATTGTTTAAGGAGAAGGAAAACTATATAGGAAAGAAACTTGGATCACATATATAGTCATGTAAGGAAGCGCTCAAAACAGACTAACCACATTGATGAATGTATATCAAAGGGACACAGAACACATTCATCCTGGACAAAATTGTAAAGTGAAAGAAAGAGAGTCGATAAAAACTAAGGACATCTGAGTACATTATGGACTTTAGTCAGTAATGATGTTTACATGTTGGTTCACTAATTATGGTAAATGTACAACAATAATGTGAGATGATAATACAAGAGCAAACAGTGTGTGGGCTTTTATGGGAACTCTCTACATTATCTTTGTAACCTTTCTGTAAATCAGAAACTGTTCTAAAATGGAAAGTTTATTAAAAATAATGTTAATTAATATGGACTTGTAACACATAGATACATTTTCAATGGGATTATACACGTACACATATGTGTTGATTTTTGCATGTCACATTCATCCAGCACTTTGTAAATATACCATGTAAGCCATTTTATGCAAATTTTCTTTCTTTTTATAAACATTTTTATTTAATATTTCTAATTTAATATATACCTTTTCAAAATAATTCAGTTTATTGATTTGTTTTATTTTTTACTTGTTTTTTAAGGTATTTTGGAAACAATACACTGAAGATACTGTGCACCTAAGATTCTCCAAGTAATTGGAATTCAACACTAAAAATGCCTATAACTATAACTAAACCATGCCACTATAGAAGAGATCATGTAACTTATGAAGAAAAAAGATTCAAATAGTGGGAACCAAAGGAAAAAGTAAAAGATAGATTTTAAAATAAAATCCCTGTATTTGGTTTTTAATTATTGTATTCTATTCGGTACTTTGGCATAAAAAGTGCAATGCATATTATGTTTTTGAATTACTTGAATTTGGTAAAATACTTGATATTACTTTTGGTTTTCAGACACTCAATAATATGCAGCCAATAAAGAAAATCTCTTTCTCATGATTCTAATTTTCATGAGATAAATTGTTTCTTACACAGTTCCTGCATCACGCATTACCTGTTTCTCCTTCCCACAAAAGTGGAGTAATTTGCCTGGTTGGAGAGAAAATAAATTTTTATGTGTCTTAATTTAGGTATAATTAATGCTCAAAAGTCCTAAGCCTAGAAAATTTGATCAATTTTTCCTTCTTATCTTCCTGGAAAAGTACAAGGTAGCATCTCAGTTCATTTTGAGTTCTCTGCAGATGCAGACGTTGGCTTAAGTGAGCAGTGGGCGGGGAAGCAGGAAAAGGAGTTTGCAGACACATTGGCCCCTTCATTGAGTTACAATTTCCAAATCATCCTTTATCAGTAACAAAGGCAATATGTTTTCTCCTCTTTATTTTAATCTCTTGTATTATTGTCTAGTAAATTCAGAATTTGGTAGGAAAATTGAGTTTAAGTGTCTTCAAACAAGAATCAAAGAAACCATTCTAAATTTTGTAACACCTCAGCAAACTCTGGGTAACCCTGCTTTACCTCAGTACTCATGTGGAACAATGCAATGTGAACAAGTAGGCTGGTAAATGTAGCCTAAAATAATATTCTTCTCTAGAAACAAACAGACCAAAAATGTTGCCTTCGTAAAGTATGTGAAAACATGTCTGTGGCAGAATGATTCAAGATTGGCCTGGAACCTCTTGTTGCAAGAAATTAAACATGCTATTTAAAACGTCTAGATTAGCAGCTTAAAGGGAGAAAATAATTACTGGCTTAATTGTGATGAAAAATAAAGTGATTATAGTTTGTTGAAACAAATGGAGTAAATGAAAGGAATTATGCATATTGCATTGACAATAAAAATGGAAAGGTAACAAAATGAATGCCATAGAGCAGTTGTAAAGCACACATGATTTTCCAAGACAGTCCACCTGTAACACTATATACATTGTTAAGCCCAAATTCTGAGTCCTATGTTAATTTAATGATAAACCACATGTCGGGTTTTTTGTTATATGTCAAATATTTGGAAAGGCATATATAGAATGTTAAATGGTTGAAAATGTTCAGAAGAAAAATATTTGCCTCAGAAAAGGGAAGAGGAAACCCATCCATGTTTTGTTATTGAAATAGAATGTGTGAAGTCATTGATTTTAGAAGAACAAACCTCTGGTTTGCAAAGAAGTGGAAAATATAAGGACAAGAAAATTCAAGAATTATGTAGTACGAGGTAATCCAACAATGAAGTAAGAGCTTATCCAAACAGATTCTAGGTCTCAATAGTGGCTGAGCACCTGTCCATTCCCTGTTGCCCCATCAGTAAACCCTACTTTATGGTAATAGCATTATAATCAGAAAACCCATATGCAAATAAAAAATTGCATTAATTTCAGGGCTTTAATTCCTTGTTTGGATAGCTCCACATTCAGGGAGGGTTTGGGAAGGAAATTGAGAAGGGTTTGTGATAGAAAAAGCAAATAATGCCTTGAGGAAAATAAACTGAATTTTTATATAAAGGAATTTAACATCATCTTATACACTATTAAAAAAATTGTGGTGTCCTGTATATACACGGACTGCAGTCAGAGTCAGTGCAAGTATAAATCCTGTAATTTCATGTCCATATTATAATCACTTGTCATTTTGTAATTCATCATTTCCTGAAGGCATCTTTGGGTTTTGGAAAAGGTAGACATTCATGCCAAGAGCACATACTAGTTTGAACTGTTAATCTCCATATATCAAATCCCAACTATTACGGCATAAATTCTTTGAGTGCAGCACCAAATTTTGTACAACTATTCATAATGTTGCATGAGGATATACACATAGTAAATGTATAATACTAATTTCTGAAGGATAAATATAATTTCTGAAACTTAAATTCTACATGCAGAAAACGGAACTTGCTAATAACTCAAGAAACATGAATGCACACATTATTGCATTTTATAATCAGAATAACTCTTTAAAATAATGAAATACATTGTGAATCCAATATACATATGTTTTCTTCCAATTTAGCATATTAATTTAAGCATATAGCTTGTTAATGCAATATTCAAACCAGTTAAATCGTCAGTTTTAACATTTTTTTCCCAAAACATGATATGCATATAAATTTAGAGTAAAAGGGGAAAAAAAGGCAATTGACAGATAGAGGCAAGAAATGATTGGCTTTCTTCACTAAATGTCTGAGTAGGCAGAGAAAATCATGAAATGCCTGGACAGGTGATGATATCTAAAATGATGTGTCAGAGTCTTAAAGCAAATGATAAATGAATATACAACTCATATTTTTTATAAATACATACAATAAAAATGTTTCATTTTAATGTATTTTACTGTAGCTATCATTTATTGATTATTTCTCTTTCTTTCATATCGTTAAGTTTTGCTCTATATATTAAATCTTAACCCTTGCAGTGCCTTAGAGAGATCTCATAGATGGATAGGAAATTGCTAACAATGCAAGCTAACATATAAAGGAAATAACAGAGATAGGCCATGACCATGACTGTCATAGCATATGTCGCCCAGGGCTTTATCCTGCCACCTCAAGAAACTTCTGCTAATAGGAGCAGAGTTGTCAGACAGGGCCATGGTATTCGTCTTCTCATTTTACTTTAATGGAGCTGGCCCATGACTTCAGCCCGACAAAAGGTATCTCATTGCTGCCTCTGCTTTGTTTATGAGATCAGCAAGAGTTAGGGAAAATGTTTCAACTGGGAATTTAGCCTCTCAAATATCCTGAGATAGAGAAAAGAATTAAGGTTTTAGATTACGGCAATATTCCACAGTAACTTTACCTCTTCTGGTAAATGCATAGACTAAAGAAACAAAGGAGAACTTCCCTTGCCCCATTATACAGGTTTATTATGTGTGGGACTATCACATGACTGAAGTTGAGTATCAGCCTATTTGAGTATTACTGATTACTAGTACTCATGCTGACCAGAATCAAGAATATTAAATTGATCATGATAATGCTTTTCTCACTCACTATTGGTTACTTACTTACCTGTCTGTTAGGAAGAGTCTTTAGACATGCTAATTATTTTCATACTGCGTGTTAGTTCAATAGCAAATGAAATCTTTTAAACAGATATTATCCTGATTTTACAGATGGAGAAATATGGGGTTAAGTTAGTAAACCATGTGTTAGCAACCCTAGATGAAATATAAGAATGAAGATTGATTTATTGACCAATGTCCCCCAGGAGAGTCATGTTATTATGCCTCATTTCAGTAATTTTCAAGGAAATAAATTCAAAGTCTTTGGGAAAGGAAAACGTAACACAGGTACTATCTTCAACTACTGGTGTTAATGTTTCTTCATAGTCAACCAATTTTTTAAAAGTTTCTTGCTTTCTCTTTGCTTAGCTCAAATTAAAATATCTCAATAATGGTCATACTATTTTCACTATATATTATAGTTCTGTATGGCTTCATTTTATTTGTGTGGTTATTATTGACATAATTATTCTCAAGTTTTCTACCTTTAAAAATACATTTGTTTATTTCAATGTCAATTGCAAAACAAATGGAAAAGAAGAAAAGGCAATTATGCAATAAAGGACAATTTTTACTCTTTTCTAATGACAAAGTATTCCTAGGAAAGAGTTAGCTTTATTCTAAATAAATACAAGTGTTTATTTAGGCCCATGTGTGGCTAATACATTATGCAGATATTTAAAAAATTGTTAAAATCCTTTTTCCTTCTTGACCTTCAACTCCTCTTTTCTCAGCTACAGTTTACCCTTTCTTATTCTTCTTAAGGTTCTATTTGATATAGATTTTCATTATCAGTTCTACCTATTAGTTTACAAAGAGTCCACTTTTTTAATGTAGATAAGATAATGATATAAAAAGAATAATATGCTTATCTTTAAGGCACAAACACCAGAGTGCTGAACAAGGTCATGTTCTGAAGGCTAAAATTTGAGAGATATAATGCAAGAATTTACAATCAAGAATTGATGCTGTGGCTCGGATCTGTTTACCTAATCAGTTTCCCTTAGAGCCTGTGTGAATGCACCATGTGATAGAAGAATTCCTACAGGGAAAGGAGAAGGATGCTAGAGGGCAGTATAGTGCCCTAAAAATAGAAAGTTAAGAATAACAAGAAATCCAAATAAGGAAACCATGACATGGGAAATGATAGAATCTGAAGACAAGCTTCACATACTTCAAAACTGGTTCTGGATGAAGTCCAATTTGTGTGTTTCGGCAGGCAGTGTAAGTGATTTTTTTTTTTTTTTTTTTTTTTTTTTTTGCTGATGTATATTCTTAGACACAAACGTGATGAAACAAAAATGGGAGGGAACAAACGCCTCTAGAACCTTTCTTTTGAAATAATGACCTCTTTGCCTCTTCTCATTAATTTTAAACAATCACCACAAAGAAGAAAAGGCTTCATTTATCTGTATTCTAGTGGCTGGTAATTGGCATTTCTCTCTAGTTTCATTAATATTAAGCCTTCTCATGAACAGAAAAATGGCCTATGCTTGACTCTCATAGATAGTCTTCAAATTTATTAATTTACTTCAATAACACCCAATTACCAGATGTTCTGTCAAAACCCTCACCCCACAAATATGTACATTTTCACCTAGCAGACTCCATGTAGTCGGTATTCAAAATATTTGCTGAAATAAATAATGCATTAGATTAAATAGAATATGATAAATGGGGTGCAAAAGAATATTGGGTCATACAGTTTCTTTTGAGAAAAGTAGCAATATTTATATAAGAAATGAAGATATCATTTACTTGATCCAGAAATTCTATTACTGGATATTTGTTCTCCAATATGTGTGTGCAAAGACAAGTGTAGTAGGATGTACAATAGAATTGCTTGTAATACCATAAGACTAACCACAACTTAAATGCCCTTCAATAAAAGACAGGTTAGAAACTGTCTACAGCCACAGATCGAAACCATGTAATCGTTTAAAAGAAATATATTTGTGTTAGAGATGAAATGTGTGTGTAAGCAATGCACATACATAATGTACATGATATACATCGTGTCTATATATGTATATAGTATTATATAGCATATATACATATTTATCATATATATGACATACACATACAAATATAGAAAACACCTCCAAGGTGTATAAATTTTAAAATACAAGGTACACAGAAGTATTATATACTATACATAAATGTCAATACTATAAACAATTCAAATATCTATCAACCAAGAGAATGAGTAAATTGTTTTGTTTTTATAATAGAATACCATACAGTAAAGAAAATAAACAAGCTATAGCTACACATGATATATTTGAATCTGAAATACATAATGTTTCACCAGAAAAGGTTAGACACTAAAGAATACTTTTAATAAAATTCAAAAACAGGAAAAGCTAAATTATAGGATTTAGTTATCATCTGTAAGTGGTAAGGAAGAAAATCAAGAAGTGAATGCAATGAAATCTAGCTTTTTTTGTTTCCAGTATAGAGAAGAACTTTCCCATTTTATTTGCAAGAGTATGTGTATGTGAAGGTGTGTTGGCAATATTCTATTTATTAAACTGGATGGTGATTGCATTGTGGTTCATGCAACAATAATTCATTATCCCTAAATTAATGTTTTATACACTTTTATGTGTGTTATATTTAATCATTAATAAAACATGAATGTGGTGTGCAAGATGATATGCATGATGCATTATACCTCCATTTGTATTAAAAGGAGAGTGTAGTATGTTTAAAATATCTGTGCTTTTAAACACATTGACTATTTTTTTAAGGACAACCAATAAGTTGGAAAGAGTGGTTACACTGCGGGGAGAGACATAAATATGTAAGACAGCAATTGTGCCCTTCATATCATCAGGCAAAATACTAGCCTGGTGAGGGTTCCTATCCCTGCACCGCACTTGAAGAACTACTTGTCAGTCATTTGGTAGAAGGGCTAAGCTTTTGAAAATATATTAGTCTTCTTTTCTTAAATCAGCAAAGTGTCAGATAAGTCTAGTTTTTTCAATTGTGTAAATTCCACAGTTTAGCTGATGCAAAAATATTTGAAGTCCAGTCTATAGAAGTTTTCAATTAGCTACTTTGAAATATAACATTTAGTATAACTAACTGTCACTACATAAACTTCTGTAATATCTTGCAGCACTGAAAGCAGCAAATTGACCTAAAAGCACAAAAAGATGAATTAATGAAATGAATTGAATGAGCTATTATTTGTTCATTTTTAATTATAGCCAAGTTACATCTCTTACTGTATTTGGGGAAAATAATAGAAGAACAAAAAGCAAAATTAATTTTAAAAATAAAAACTGCTATTCTACTAAATGTACAGTTAGCTGTATACTGGACAAATCTTTTTTTTTCTGTTACAGAATACGTTTATAAATGCAATGACAGTATTATAAATATGTTTTGTTTGCGTTGGAGAGGATGACCCAACTCTTTCTTACTTATCTGTAACTGCTGTATTGCCTCAGTATGAGGTGAGAGGTGACGCAGCTGACTATTCATCCCTACTTTCAGACGTCAGGAAAATCTGCAGGTGTCTTCTGAAATCCAAAGTCTGTTCTAAACTTGTTTTAGAAAAGCGACACACAATAAGTAGTGATGAATGAGTCTCTCCTTGTGGTCACGAACTTTTGTAGAAATACTCCATTAAGTTTAAATCTTTTGAAAATATTGTGCCTCAAAGAGGTGCCAGCAAAAAATGAAAGTGATTCTGTATATCTTAAGGTGATGGTTCAGCATTTCAGTATATAGTAAGAATTTGACAACTTTCTTTAGCTGTGATCTCTATAGCTATATTGTCCCTGGGAATGCAATGTGATAATAGAGAATATGCTGTGATAATCTCACCAAAAATGCAATAGTGAAAATTGACTTGGGGATGTTTAGTTCTAAGTAGAAAAGGGCTACTCTGTTGCCACCAGTCTCATCAAAACATTTTAATTTGCAAGAGATGTTGGCAATTACATCTAGAGTGTTTTATCATCATCCACATTGCTGATTGAGATTCAGTGTGCATTTTAAACTACAAAAAAGGAAGCATGGATGAAAATATGGCCCAGAAACAAGTCCAAAATTGGTACAAGTGGTCCAATTATTTTCATGGTCAAATATTTTATAAACCTTCAGCAGAACAATCAATGATTATTAAACCCCTTTGAAATCTCACACCCTCAGTTGCTTGGTCATTTGGCTGTAGACTCTCCAGCTGTGGAGTTGGGGGAATGAAGATGAGAATATTTGACTATGTGTCTGTTTCTTTTACCTTTTCCAATAATGAGGACAGTAGTCAGTCTTACTCTGCATACAAGAAAGATTGTCATTTGGTTGAATTTTCTTTGGAATCTGTAGATAAAGGTTAGGAATTTAGGAAAACTTGGATATAAATCCTAAAAGAGCCCCTTATTCACTTTGTGGCCTTAGGCACTGTTTTAAACTCTCTGTGGCTCAGTGTCTTTATTTGTAAAATGGGAATGATCCACCTTATGTTTGATTTTAAATTAAAAGAGCTTAGCAATGTGATACAGCAGATAATGGTGATTTTTAAAATGTTGACCTGAAGGCAAAACATTTGTGAAAAGGTTGTGTAATAATGATTATGGTCAAATATTAAGAAACATTTTTCAGTAGCTTAGAACAATGGCAAGATATACGTTAGTTTTCATAAAGTCAGTATTCATTAGAACTCAAAATTTTTAATATAATATTAAACATAATGGATCTCATTTACAAAAGCAGCATACCTAAAATTTACCATGGTGCAAACTAAACAGCAAATGTGCAATAATCATATAGATAATACTGTAAATAAATCAATAGACATAAAAGAAACTCTAAATAAATGGAGTGCTGACAGATTTACGAATGGAAAGAGTCATCTTGTTAAACTGTCGGTTCATTGCCCCCAACAATTTTATAAATTTAAAATAACCTTCAAATCTTCTGACATAACAATCTCATTCTAAAATTTCTAAAATTCAAATGCAATTTTACACAAGCAAGAATAGACAACAAAATATTGAAACGTGATTATAAAGAAAGAGAGGGCCAGTCACAGCAGCTCATGTCTGTAATTCCAACATTTTGGGAGACCAAGGCAAGAGGATCACTTAAAGCTGGTAGTTTGAGACTAGCCTGTGTAACGCAAGAAGATCTCTTCTCTACTAAAGAAAAAATAGCCAGCTGTGGTCGCGTACACCTGTAGAGTCCCACCTACTTGAGAGGCTAAGGTGAGAGGATCACTGGAATCCCGGAGGTCAAGGCTGCAGTTAGCTGTCATTATGACACTGCACTCCAGCCTAGGTGACAGAGTCAGAACTAAATATATAAATAGATAGACAATAGATGATAGATGATAGATAGACAGACAGATAGATAGATAGATAGATAGATAGATAGATAGATAGATAGATACATGGATAAATAAAAACAGAAGGGAGATGTTTTTCTTACCAAATAGTACAATATAAGATAAAGACATAAAATAGTGAAATGTTAATGTTGACATAACTTGGCCTACAGAACAATGGAACAGAGGTTCTGAAGAAAGCTCTATATATACATAAATTTAGAATTTGGAAAAAGTGATATCTCTAATAAGTGGTTTTGGAATTCTAACATCACTTATGTATAGATGCAAATAAAAATCTAAATGAATAAAAAGCATAATAAAAAAAGCTTAAACTAAAATTATTAGAGCAATTATGAAAGAATTTGTGTAATGTCAATATTGAAAAGTGTGTTGAACAAATCATAAATAAATAACTTGGTAAATGTGAGTGAACAAAATTAAAATTATTTTAATTTTAAAATTTAATATAACACTATAAATATATGTAAAATGGGTATAAAAGCATAGAAGAAAATATTGGCAAAGTGAGTGATAAATATAATTGATTCAACATCAGTCCCATGAATGTGTAAAGCAGAATTTAGTTTTATCTGTCATGCTTCAATTCATGTATAGAAAATATACTTGGATTCTATATTGTTCTTAACTAATAACAACCATAAAAATAATGGGCATGAAATGGATCAGGCTGGTGCTGGTATGTATGCATTTAATCTAGATTTAAACTCTAAGTATAATGGGAAATTCTGAACAATTTTAAACAAAAAAAGTAAATAATCTCATGAACATTTTAAGATGCAAAACCTCATCGGTCTTTTTAGGTATTATATTATAGACAGTTTAGAGTGGAAGATTGGAGACTAGTTAAGAGACTAGTTAATGTCCTAATGCTAGTCAAAGATGATGGTAACTTGGACTTTAGACGTGATAGTTAAAGAGGAAAAAAATCACAGTAACTTGGACTTTAGACATGTAAAGAGGAAAAAAAATCACAAATTGATGAAATTGCCTGGGTTTTTGTCTTGAGCCACTGGGTAGATACCGCTGGCAATTGCTAAGATGGAAAAGCCTCTTAGGGAGAGCATGTGGATTAAACAGGATTGGATGAAAGTTACTACTTCCTGAAGTAAACGGTTTCATTAGTAACCTGTAACTGAAATGTAATCAATTTAAGACTTTTCTGTTTCTAAGAAATATATTTTATCATAGTACCAAAAATTATAGCTATCCTAATTAAAATGATGGAAGAAGCCAATTAGACATGATATACACTTGTTTGTCACAAGTACTGAGAGATACTGAATCTAAATTAAAACATTATATATAATTAACAAGTGGTGCTCTGTTCCATTTTTGCCGTCTTGCTTCCCATGCAAAATTTTAAAATTTTTGGGTAAAGATAAGGACATAGACTCACATCTTTCTTTGACTCCTCTAGTATCTGACAGAGTATAACACTGTCAATACATAGTGATGAATGACTGGATGACTGCCTATCATGTGTGTTGTGTACATGTGCGCATTTGGATTAGACTGACAGTGTGTAAACAAATTACCTTTGGAAACACAACATATTTGAAATTACATTACTAATTATTGTTATCATATTTAATAATAATGATATAAGTACCTGAAAGAGGCTATAAGTCTTTAAAACTTTTTAAGAGTTTCCAAAACTTGCACTCTACCAGGGTCAAGTTCTACATCTCAAAAGAGTTAAACATATCTTTACCTAGAGATGCTTCATTTTTAAAATCTTGATATAAATGCTATCATGTTTTTTACTACAACTTTTTGTATTTTCTGCATCTTTTTTTTGTTTTTTTTTTTGAGACGGAGTCTTTCTCTGTCGCCCAGGCTGGAGTGCAGTGTCACCATCTCAGCTTAATGCAACCTCCACCTCCCGGGTTCAAGCAATTCTCTGCCTCAGCCTCCTGAGTAGCTGGGATCATGCCCAGCTAATTTTTTTGTATTTTTAGTAGAGACAGGGTTTCACCATCTTGGCCAGGCTGGTCTTGAACCCCTGACCTTGTGATCCGCCCACCTCCACCTCCCAAAGTGCTGGGATTACAGGCATGAGCCACCTCACCCCGCCAATTTTCTTTGTCTTATTCAAATGCTTAGTCAAATGCTCACCCCACTCATCCTTCTCCTGTCCCAACCCATGGTTCTTATGGCATTTTAAATGGAACTATTTCCAAATATGCCTCTTCTATCAGGCCATTGGTGCGTTCTTGAATGCTGTGCAGGCCTCGAGATATAGTGTGTGCATTCCAATTCAAAGTCCTCCTCTCCATCTTGATGCTCTCCTGTATTTATTATTATGCATAGCTCTAGGTAATCTTCAAAATATCGTTCCTCTGTTATCACTTTTTGTTCAGAGTATATTACTGTATACTAAAAGTATGATCATATGATCATGCTACTTTTCTATTACAGAAAGAATGAAGGATGAAAATCCTTTTACTTCTATAAATTTTCCTTTTAATTTGGGAAGTGACATCTTCCCCAGGCATTTTTATCTAGAAAACATTAGACAGTACTATGTCATAGGTCCACCTCCAGCAGCAGGGGATGCTGGAAAATTGAACTTTCCATCTATAAGTAAAAAAAAGGCCAATAACAAAAGGGAAGGTAGTGTGCTTCGTATGGCTATTTCATAGAGACTGCATGGTTCCCATGACAAAGTGTTATGCTGAATTCTTTTCTTGTTCTTCGATTATAACTTCTCTGAATCTTTCACTCCTGTTTTCACTCATCTCCAGTTCTCCTTAAATCTGATTGCAGTTTACTTTGAACAGCAATTAAAGGCCTACAAAACCTAGTTGATAAACTAGCATATCATCATATATGTTACATTGCTTCATTGCAAATGACAGATTTGACTGTCTTCATCTCTTACCACTCTTCATCTAGCTTGATACTCATTTTCCAAATTTTCTCCCCTGATGAGATCTCAACAGTAACAAATGAAATGAGAAATATTTAGGGTATACATCTTTAGGGAAAATAGCATAGCTCATACTAACTAATGTCAATATATAAGAAATAAATCTATAGGAAAGTGAGGTTTACTTCTTTAGAAAAGAAGGCCATGTTAGTTCGCTGACTGTCAGTTGATCCTAGTTTTCTGGTTTTAAGTTCTGCCTACTTTCCCTTTTATGTTCTAGTTTCTAAAACATCACCTCCAGGTACCACTAACTACTGAAAGTGTGTATCCATTTTAATAACAGAAAGAGCCTGAGGTTTGGAGTCAGAAATTATAGTTTAAGAGTCAAACTTGACCATATATGAGCACCAGGGACTCATTTTCTACATGTCTTTAAATGTGGGCTTCTTCATCTATAAAGTGATGATAATGGTGCTAGCCATAGAGGTAGTCCAGTTAATATAAGTGTTAAAACTTTGCACGTAGAAGAGGCTGAACAACACTTCTCTACTTTTACATCAATCAAACAATACAGTGTCCCAATGAACAACACTTTAACACTATAAATGAAGGCAATATGTAAGAAATTTAATCTTGAACTTGGAATATTTTTTATTATTTCCATGAATACGTTGGTAATATGTTATTTTTTAATTCTAAGCAATTGTAACCTAAGTCAATACTGTGACCCAAAGTTTACATGTTTTATCATGCTCTACAGAAGGAAGATGTTTCTTGTGTCTGATCAATAACACAGAAGCAACTGAAGAAACAATATGTGGATGCTTCAAAGATGAGTGAAAACATTTCTTCCAATACCCACCATTCTCAATTACAATTGATGATACTACTCTGGAGTACTTTTGCACCTGTTGAAATGTTATGTTGAATAATAAATGATATCTGCTATGAAGACAAAAGGAAATTGTAAGTGATGTGGTAATCTTTAGTGCAAACCAGGAAGATAGTGGCAAAATTGTGAGAGAATTAAGGGAAAATGCATTGTTTGCTCATTCAAACTTATTCCCGTAAACATTTACAAATATCTTATTTTCTTAAAAAGGTAAAACTATGACTGACAGTTTAACACCTAATTTCTTATAAATTGCTATTAGAAGGTCAGGCAAATTTTTCTTTGATTATAATACAGAAAATGTTGAAAAAAAATTATTTTTGCCCTTCTGTGTTTTGCTTAATATTTCTCATCTAAAATACTTCCTTATTTTCTTTCTTTTTAACTCATCTTTGCCAGGCTCTCCAAAAGAGGTGTGTCCTCCATTGAGTATACCATGCTTGCTTTTGAAAGCAAGTACACTCAACTCATCCTTGATATTTGGAGTTGTACTGACCAAACTAGTACCTACCATGTGCCAGCTTAGATTTCTCACTGTTGTTTCAGAAGCATTAATTGCCTCTTTTCATCTCAGACTCTGTGCACCATTCTACTAATCTTATTTCCTCAAATGAACAATACTCTCCCACCATTTAATAATATTTGTTTACATGATTTCCTTCTGTCTGAAACAGTCTTTTCCTCCTATTTTTCTGGTTAACTACTATTCAATCTTTAGGTCTCATTTGAAAGATTAGATCTTCCAGAAGGTATTCTCTGACCTTTTACATTTCTTAGGTCTTTTGCAATATGTATACCCTAAGCTCTGTGTATTTCTCCTATTATAATACTAATCAAAATTGGTCATAAGTTGAATTTAATCATCTGTCTTCCTGAGAAGATCTGTGGGGGCAGAATCTGGATTGAGTATTCACTGCTGCAAGCCTACAAGGCAGCACTGTGTCTGTCGAGGGATAAATGGTAATAAATACTTTTTGAAGTAGTAAATTGACTTTTAAGATCCTTGAGAGCAAAGACTGTTGATTCTACTTCCTCCATGTGCTCCATACAGCATTCCATGAGGGTCCAAAGTCTATTAGAAGTCCTCAATACTTATCAAGTACATTCCAAGGATCCTAGAGTTAGGAGATGTTTTATAAACAGTCTAATATAAAATCTTCAACTTATACCACGTTGCAGAAGCATAGGATCAAAGGCCACAAACCTGGTTGGTTTAATGGAGCACACTGAAACCCAGGTTTTCCAACATCTGGAAAAGGATTTCTCCACGACACTATGCTGCCATATGGGTGGATTCAGTTTCAGAGTTAAACTAGATTATTTATCCACCAAAACGCTACCACGGCTATTACGAACAAATGTCACCTTACAAATTCTTCCCTCAGCCATCAGAAATAATGATCCCTATTGAATACCAAGTCATTGTAGAAGCTCTTGTAGAAGATTGTTAGATTTCAGAAACTTGTGAAAATTTTCTGTGTCCTGATGTCCTTGACATAAGCGAAAAAAACTTTCAAAAGTCTAATTGTTTTTTTTTCCATTTACTCCACATAAACACGTGTGCACACACGCACACACATACACATTTACAAACATCCTTCTACTATTCAACCATGTCTCAGTTTAGAGAAAAACATTGCAGACATTTAAATTTGGGCAACCATTCTAGTACATATAGTAATGGTCAATTTCCTGTAATGCTAAGTTATTCCCTAGGCTTTCAGTTAAATATTGTGGGCAGTGAATTCATCCTTTGAGAGAACTGAAGGAGCTATAAAGTACTTCACATAGTCATTTAGTAAAGTTATCCAAAGGAGTTAAAATTTCCCTAAGTGACTTACATGCTGAATTGTTTCACTGGGTCCATCACATTAAAAAAATATATTTGTCATATAAAATTCTTTCTTCTGTAAGAATGAAACCACAGAACTTGACAATTTCTATGTTAATTAAATTTTGAATATTTTTCTTAACTTTTGTCGAATCACTGTGCAATTTCACACATCCATTTGTTATTTCATGCCTGACAGAAGATATGCGGTAAATAGTAAGGAGAAAACAAATCATTTGTTCTTTCTGTTGCTCTAAAAGTGCCTATATCTGCTAATTCATTGTTTTCATATCTCAGAAATCACAACTGTAGTCACACTCAGAAGTAATAATCTTTCTGCTTTAAGATTAGCACAACAGGATACTGGGCAGAAATCTTATAAACTTTTGGTATAACAAGTAAATATTAACATAAGATACATGCTAATTTCTAGCCTAGAGAGTTGTAGGTAGAAGTAGTCATAGACTTATGTTCATGGGTGAGGAAATAACTCATCTTTTAAGATATTGTTCTTGAGTTTGCAAAGTAAGATGACAAAATATAATTTTGTATAATTAATCATTTGTCGACAATTATTATTTAGACATTCTTAGGTCCTACAAGGCTAACGGGTTGTTGCTTTACTAGATAATTCATGGCAATTCAAATAGACATTGGTAAATATTTGAATTTGACATTTGATGCTGATTACATTTCAAATAGTATATCTAATGTAACATGACTTCCTAATTGTGTGCTTGCATATCTGTGTGTTTGTGCATGTGTTAAAGAAATAATCAATCCTCTCTTTCCAAAACCCTAAACATCTCCATCATGACTGCATTAAACGAAAGGAAGAGAGATGAGACCTTAGGAGGAAAACAATGGCATTTTAAAAATAAATATGTAAAGTAGTTTTTAATCCTTTACTTTCACTTAATGAACTTGTGATATAAGGTAGGTGTAATTAGAACTGTCAATACTGAATTTCAACTGTGCACTGCACCATGAATTTAATTTAAATTTTCCTATCCCTATTTTTCCCTTCCCATCACCTCTGGGAAAAATTGAAGCACTTGACTGCTGCTGTGGCAAATTGGATCCTAATAAGTATGATGCTTTACTGCTTCTTGTTTTTGCTAAGATACAACTGCAATATTTCAGGAGAACTCACCTGGGCATTGATTCAACAAGAAATGTTGGTAGGCGCCTTCTATTTTCCACATTTTGATATCTCAGTGAATGACTTGCATATAAAGAGGCCCAGCAGCTGTTTTTTATCATTCACCAATGTGCTTGTCATTTCAACTTCAGGTTCCTCTGACTCACCTCTGGAGGCTTAGAAATAATACTTCTTTCCATGCTTCAAATTATTTGAGATTATAATTTTTAAAAATCTGAATAATGTAACTGATAAATATGCTTAGATACGAAGGGGTTGATTTCAGAAGGTATTCTAAAACTATCACCAACATCACAGGTCATGATAGGCCTTATTTAAAACTTGAATCATGTCTTGAGAAACCAACAACTATGATATAAACAACGAAAAGCAGAACACAATCAATAAGTCTTTTTTAAGGTAAGATAAAATATTTCGTGAAACAAAGCTTGTTAAATATTGTATAAATGGAGAAATTTGAAAGTGATATGAAATATAGTAAGTGCTAGTAAGAACAGGAACTTGTAGAACTTTCATGCAATGCTGCTAAGCGTGTAAATTGGTACAACTACTTTGAAAGTATTCGGTAGTGCCTATTAAATCTGAATGTATCCATGATTCTGCACAAATATACATACATTTTTAGCCCTAAAGACACATACAAGAATGTTCATAGCATCATAATTCATAATAGACAAACCAGAAACTACTCAAATGTCCATCAATAATAGAATGGATAACAGAATAGACATAAGATGCAACATTTTTCAGCAATGAGAAAGAACAAACAGATGCCATAAGAAATAATATTAATTTCTCTCAGAAACACAATTTTTAATGACAGAAACTGGGAAAAACAAATCTGTATTGTTCAATTTCATTATCATGAGTTAAAAAAGAGTAAAATCTAACATAAGGAATAGAAATCACATTAATGGTTACCTATGAGGAAGCTTCTGGAGCATTGATTGTGTCCTGTTTCAGTATATGAATGGTAGTGACATCAAAGATTTCCCTATGTGAAACTTTCCTCAGCTGCCTTATTATTTGACCACAATTTATATGTGTTTCAGATTTCAATTAAAAAGTTACCTTAAAAGGGGCAATATGAAGTATAACAAAATATGAGACATCCTCATGAAAAAACAGATCTTTCATTTCTACTTTCTTTGTTCTTCATAGTACTTCACATATATTTTTATTCCAGCCATAATATATTAAATATATGTATATTTTACTATATTATAAAAATACTAAGTCACAGACTATGCATTACTGTTCTTACATATCCAGGATCTAGTGAGGTGTCTATTACATGTTAGGTTGATTAACGATAATAATAAAAATTTTTAAAACTAACATTTGTTGAGTGCCTGTTATATGTCACTATTATTATAAATTATTTGTATATTAACTTATTTCAATTTTACAATTATCTTATTTAGTTAATATTAGTTCATATTTCATATAAGAAAACTCAAGCACTTGGTGGGGCAGTTATTTGCCCAAGGATGTATGCGAAGCAGTGGTAAAAAAAATAGGTCTGAAATTCAGACTACAGAGCTTAATTTCTTAACTACCATGCTACAAAGAGCAGGTTAAGCACGTAACAACACAGGATTGGCGAGCAGTAAGTTCTCAGTAACTGTGAGCTATCAATACACTATTCAGTTTATAAAGTAAGATAACATAGTGATTATTCTTCCTGTTGAAACTATAGAAGATGGAAATAGGCAGATACATTTATTCACACATATCACTCTGCAATAGGCATTGAAGATACAATGGATTAAAATATCAGATGAAGTCCTAGCTCTCAGAAATTAAGCTTTACTAGAAAAGACAAAAATTAATGAAATCATCACATTTGTTATAAGTGCTGTTAAGGAAATCTATTGAGTGCATAAACATACCTAATAGGGTGAAAGGCACACTGATAAAAGTAAAGGAAGCCAGTGTGACATAACTAGAGATGGCCAAGAGATGGCTGGTTTGAGAGAAAAGGGAGAGGAAGGCAGGGCCAGAGGATGCAGTTAAGTGGGTGAAGAACTTGAAGAAATGCAATCACAAAGAATTGGGGGATGACTGTGTGTATAAAGAATAACTTCATAAGATCACCTTGAGTAAACTATGTTCTATGCTTTTAAGAAAATATTAGCAAAGTTATTTTAATAAGAAAAGACTGTGATGAAATTAAGTGAAAAAGACAAAGTCACTAGGGGTTAGACCTCTGATTCTGTAGGAGTCACTTCATTTTTGAAGTTTCTCAAGTATCTTTGTTTTAATGAGTGTAAATAGAGTGGAATAAACAAATCTTGCGGTTTTCTCCACATACAAAGCAAATGATGATGCAGTCTGAGCATTACCTTATTCTACTGTGGTCTTTCAGCAAATCCTAGAAACACAAGTTTTAGGTGACTGTTATTTCCACTGCCCAAGTCAAAAGTCAATCGATGGTGGCTAAATACTGACAGAATTGGTGCTGCTGGGATTCTGAAAGCATCTCTCCCCTTAAGCTGGATGGAAAAATGATGCTGCCTTTATAACATTCTGACATTCATCACTTTGTGTCATAGCTCTAAAATAAAATCCCTGGTGCCTGAGAACCTGACACATCCGCATCCGATCACGGTTGCAGGACTCATCAACCACCTTAGTGAATCCAGGGTGACACTGTGTGGCTGAACAGCACTGTCCTGAAACAGTGAGGTGACAAGCAACGTTCACTATAGGGTTTTGTTTTCTTTTAAATTTTGTTAATTTGGGTAATAAGTCAAAATCCTGAGAAGTAAAATTTATGTTTATAAGCATATTTGCCAAACAATGCAAATTTATTTTAAGTTAACCTATGTTCTATCTGCTTTCTGTAGAGCTAGAGCAAGAAATAGAACCAGTAACTATAACTGGTAGGTAGATTTTTTTAAAATTGCAGAAACAAGTGTTGGTATATTATACACAGTCTTGTGCAATAGTGGGCATCATTGTCCTTGAGGTGCTCTGGAGGCTGGGAGGATATAGGGGGAGGAAGATACCAGCAGGGGAAGCTGTTAAGAGGGGAAGTTATTAACAGTAAAAGCCTATGATTGCTCATTAAGAACCACACTCTTAAAATTTTCAAATAATGATAACTGTTATTAATAAATACAACGTATGCTGGCATTATTCTAAGTATTCTAAGTAACATCAATTCTAAGTAATTGAAAACATTATCTCATTCAATCCTTAAGACAAACATATGATGTAATTATTATTACTCCTACTTTACAAAGAACCTAAAAAGAATCTAGCGACTATTTTAGATTCCAAAGAACCTAAATAAGTCTAGTGACATAACATTAGCTTATAAAAGAAAATACTGGACCTCCAAACCAAATCTGTTTGCCCTTTCATCTCGTGACTCAAAATAAAAGAGTGTGGTCACGTTCTTGTAAAGTAGATGGAGTAATTTGGATTGAGGCAAGACAATTTTTCAAATCTCTCCTCAGTCTCTCTGGAGATAAGTACCTCTGAAGTAAGTCTCTTGCTGTTGTGTTTGATTATATCCTCTCCCCTCTTTCGGTTCATTATGGCTTTCTAGGTTTTAAGGTGCCTATGTTTAATTAAACCCCGGATAACATAAGTCAGTTAAAATGTCAGTCTTTAAAGCATGTGAAACTAACATTCAAAACACGTAATTGATAATTGTAGGCGTGAAGCTCGGTGAGTCTGGCATTTCCTTTCTGCAGTCTTGGGGAATCAAAAGAAAACTATACCAGGTCTAATTTTAAATATTTAACAGACAAAAAAAAATTGACTATCCCAGAAAGAAATTATTTATAAGAAAAAACTTTTGTTTTTGTTTTATCTTAATTCTCATGCAAAAAAAGCATTTGCAGAAATGTTGACTGACTCCAAATGAGAAGTTTTTAAAATTAATATGGTATCGCATTATTTTGTCTTATTGTTCACCTATTTTGTCTGTCTGATTTGGTCCATGAAAAACTGCCTTACTTGTGTATTTTCATACATACTTTTTGATATATTAAGTATTTTAAGAAGTCAGAGTCAGTGGAAAGTGTTAGTGATGACCACTATGACCCTAACTCTGCCCTCAGCTTGAATTAACTTTAGGCAGGATTCTTCCTGACTCGAAGCCACTTAATTTTTTTTTTTTTTTTAGAGAATTTACTTTAGAAAACTTGTAAATTATTTTCCTGTCATTTTAAAATGTAAATATTTTTGAAAGCCTCTTGCCAATTTTTCAACCCAGGAATGTCTTTCTCAAGAACCAGGGAGTCATCTATTTAAAGTGTAATCATCAGGAAAGATAGTGCCCCTATTGCCCACTCTCTGTAGGAAGGTAGGAGCCTAACTTCTGGCATGCCCTGATGCCAGTTAAAAAACTACTTCCTGCTGAACGGGAAAGTCACACACCGGGGCCTGTCATTCAGCGGTGGGAGAGGGGAGGGATATAGCATTAGGAGATATACCTAATGTAAATGACGAGTTAATGGGTGCAGCACACCAACATGGCGCATGTATACATATGTAACAATCCTGCACGTTGTGCACATGTACCCTAGAATTTAAAGTATAAAAAAAAAAAAACTACTTGCTGCTATAAAGATGAGAAAAGTTTGTTTTTCTCTTAGATATAGCCAATAAGCAAACACAGATGGCCTATAACTCCTGCCTTATCCCAGTATTTAAAACTCTGTAGTCATGTTTGTTTCAACAGAGTTGAGTTCAGTCTTTCTCTTCTTGCAACAGAAGTATTAAATAAAGTCTTTCTTGCCTGTTTAGAGTTGTTGGGTGCAAGTTTTGCTTTGATATTAATCAGCAGCAGCTCCAAAAGTATTGATAAGATATTCTTAATCAATAATGGTGCTTTATTAAATAAAGTGCAAAGATAATAAAGCAAATACCAATCTTGTTCTATAATATAGAGTGTAGACAAAAGAGGCATGATAGTATAGTGCAGAAGATACAAGGGTTTGGAGTTGGGAGATATGGAATTCTAATTATGCCCCTGAATGACAAGTTCATACATAGCATAAGGCAGGGCTTCAGTGTGTACCTCTGAGATTATTCTTCCCTGTGCACATTCAGCAGAATTCGAGGAAGAATAGGAATAATAAACATATACAATTAACTCACTAGGTAGACTGTATATTAATAGTAGAAAGAATATAGATAGATAGATAGATAGATAGTTTCAGAATGTGCCAGAAATATAATTATTATAGCACCTAGTTATATGGGATGGACATATAATGACCCTTCAGTAGCCTATGGTTAGAAATCCCACAGAATGGAAATCACAAAACCAAGGCAAATTCTTTATGCTTTGTGGCCACATTTTCTTCATTCCAGACTCTGTTCTTTAAAGTCCCTTCACACTTAAAAATTCAATATTATCAAACTGAGATGAACATTATTCACATCCAACTAGTAAATCAAATGTTTATATTAAATCTATTTGATTTTTAAGGTATTTGGGTTCCAAATAACTATCTATTAAGAAAATAAACATAGTATGTTTATTAGTTTCCTACTGTTGTGTAACCTATTCCACAGATTTGGCAATTTAAAGCATCACATTTATCATCACTCCGTTTCTTTGAGGCAGAAGTCTGGGTAGGGTCAACTGGGTAATCTGTTCCAGGTCTTACAAGGTTAAAATCGATGTGTTGACTGGGAAAGACTCTTATCTGGAAGCTCTGGGAAGGTGCCACTTCTGAGTTCATTTAAGTTGTTGTCAGAATTAGTTTCCTTGTAGTTGTAGGACTGTTTCCTTGCTGGCTGTCAGCAGGAGTTTGCAATCTCCCCGTAGAGACCACCCATCCTCCTTCATACATGGCTATTCTACATTCAGAGTGGGAAGAATGCATTATATTCTTCTCATACTTCAAATATTTCTGACCTCTGATATCAGCCAGAAAAACCTTTCTGCTTTTGAGGGTTCTTGTGATGAAAACTGGCCCACCTAGAAAACCCAGGATAATCTTCTTATCTTAAAGTCAACTGAACTACATGACATAACAAACACAGGAGTGACAATTCATCATATTTACAGATTTTGTGGGTAATGGCTGTTCAACTTTGGAGAACCATTTCAGAAATTTTGCCTCCCATACACAGTTATAATGCACTTTATTTATACTGAAAGGCTAGGTAGTTTCAATTAAAATATATCTTTTAAGAAGTTCTATTTTGAGAACTGACACAAAAATAATGACTAATGCCTTATAATTACTAAGGAATAACTATAGGTTTGCTACTCTGCATAGTACTTTAAATGAATTTTTTCTTCTAATTCTCACAACAAAAACATGCTGTTGTGAGCAGCTATCACTCTCTATTTTATAGATAAATCCAAGGTAAAGAGGGCTTAAGAACTTGCCTAAAGTCACATAGCTAGGCTTCCATCAAAAAAAAAAAAAAAAAAAAAAAAAAAAACAACTCATCCCTCATCCAGAATCAACAGATTGACTAAAACTCCCTATAGCTCATTGTAACTTACTAATAACTGAATATCTCTCCAGGTTTTGCATTTTACATCTAGGTTTAATCCAAAATTGAGGATATACTTGATCATGATATATACAAACATTATCTTTTCAAATTGATAAAAAAAATCTGACTGTAAGAATGGGAAGTTGAATACTGTTTCCTTGAACTTTTCAAAAAATAAATTGTGACTTCCCAAATAATTTCATGTGCAATGCTGATGCCAATATTTCTATGTACTCCAGGAATTATACATGACTAATTATATATTTTCCTTTGTGGACTCATTCTTAGTTAAAATAAATTTCTTCATGTTACATAGTAATTCTTCTTCCTATGTGGTTATGCTCAGCAATCTAACCAACTAGAATAAGGTGAATTTTGTTTTGTTTTGTTTTGTTTTTGTGTTTTTTGAGATGGAGTCTCACTCTGTCCCAGGCTGGAGTACACTGGTGCGATCACTGCTCACTACAGCCTCCGCCTACTGAGTTCAAGTGATTCTCCTGCCTCAGCCTCCCGAGTAGCTGGGATTACAGGTGCCTGCCACCGTGCCTGGTGACTTTTTGTATTTTTAGTACAGACGGGGTTTCACCATCTTGGCCAGGCTGGTCTTGAACTCCTGACCTCATGATCCACCCACCTCTGCTTCTCAAAGTACTGGAATTACAAGTGTGAGCCACCGCGCCTGGCCAGGTGAAGTTTTAAAAATCAGAGGGAAATAAAATAAGTATCTAAATCTGTCTTCTATGGCTCATTGGCTGTGGGATATAATAAATTATTAACTCTCTGTGTTGGTTATATCATTAGCAAAATAATGATAATAACCTACTTAAATGAAGTTATGAGTGAAAAATCAGTGAAAGATTGAAAACTGCTTTATAGACACCAAGTATTCTAACAAATAATAATGATAGTAATAAAGATTTCCATCTACCAACTTGGGAATTACGTTTCTCGTTGCTTTACTTGATCATCTTTTAGGTTATAATCTTTGAGATATTGAATTTGTGTAGTATTTTGACATCCCAGGCTATATTTAATAACTGATTAACATTATTCTTATACTGTTAATCCTACTGTTTCCTTAAAATTTTTCTTAGAATTTTAAAAACTACTCAAGAAATAGGAAAATAAGAGCTCTTATTCAAGGAACTTCCTTTAAAATATAAACTGTAACTTAGAACAAATGCTAGAGATAATCACTTCATTACTTCGTTTGCTTTTAGTATGATGTCAATTTTGAGGCTATTTCTTTATTTTCTATATGCAAAATATTTAGAAGAATTACAGAATCTGCAGAGCAGAAGAGAAATAACATATTAAACTCAGATGCTATTTGAAAGAAAAAAATCCAAATTAATAAGTGCATACATGTATGAAATAATCTATTCCAATATCCATCATAACCCAGGAATTCCTCTTGCTTCTGGATGAAACTTTGTTGACAGAGAACTAAATATTTTGTTTATCCACATTTATTGGTGATTCATATACCAAACTAAAACTTTCTTCTTTCTAATTCCCATCAATTTATGTGATATTTTCTTTCTCTTACATAAAGTCTACTTTCTTTCCACAGATTTAAAAAGATTTAATAAGATTTAAGATCACATTTAAATGTTCTCATTTAAAACATTTATAGATTTCTTGTTTGCTTTTTGCTTTTCTTTCTCTCATATTACAAAACACTATCTAGGTCACTCTGTCTGGAAAAACCCCATGTAGACAATTTCTTTAAAAATATAATGTCAATGTAGGGGCCAGGCGAGGTAGCTCATGCCTGTAATCCCAGTGCATTAGGAGGCCAAGGCAGGAGAATCAGATGAACCCAGGAGTTCCAAGACGCAGTGTTGTACTTCATCCTGGGCTGAACAGAGCAAGACCCTGTCTCTAAATAAATATGGAAAGAAACAATGTAGAAAAATAGTATAGGTGAGTTAGGATGCTATGTTTTCCTAGAACCTAAAGAGATGTCCTGAAATCACTGATTGCATAGTGGGGTGGATCTTTCCCTCTCAGAGCTCCCCATTACTCCAAAATTTTGCCCCATAATCAATATATCATTGAAATAATTATTTGATTGAAAATTTCAGCTTTGTCAACTACAGCATTCTTGTTATAGAATTAAAATAAATATGCAAATATGTCTGAATAAAGTGATACTTTTGTGTTTTTAGTATTAGTCTTATTGACAAATAAATATTGTATATATTTACTATGTAGAACATAATATTTTGAAATATGTATAGATTGTGAAATGACTAGATTGAGAAAATTAACGTATGCATTACCTCATATACTTATTACCTTTTGTGGTTAGAGCACTTAAAACCTACTCTTTGAGTCATTTTCAAAAATACATTGTTATTGACCATAATTGCCATGTTATATGATATAGCTCTTGAATTTATTCCTCCTGTATATCTGAAATTTTGCATCCTGTGATAAACATCTCCTCAATATCCTTCCCCCAGCCCTGTCCCTATTCCCTGGTAGCCACCATTCCACTCTCTGCTTCTGTAAATTTGATGATTTTAGACTATGAGTGAAATAATCCAGTATTTGTCTTTCAGTGACTGGCTTATTATGCTTAATGTCCACCAGGCTCATCCATGTTGTCACAAATGACAGGATTTTCTTCTTTGTTAAGACTGAATAGTATTTCATTATGTATATATACCACATTTGCTTTATTTACTCATCCTTTGGTGGACACTTATATCGACTTTCTGTCTTGGCTATTGTGAATGCTGCTGCAAAGAACATGGGAGTCCAGAGATCTCTTCAACATACAAATTTCATTTCCTTTGCATATATATTCACTAGTTGGATTGCTATGTCATGTGATTGTTCTATCTTTAATTTTTTGAGGAAGCACCAGAGTGTTTTTCATAATGGGCTGTGCTAATTTACATTCCTACAAACAGTGTGCAAGAATTCTCTTTTCTATACAACCTCTCCAACACTTGTTATTCCTTGTCTTTTTTAACAATAGCCATTTTAACAGGTGTGAGGTCATATTTCATTGTGGTTTTGATTTACATTTACCTGATGATTAGTGATGTTGAGTATGTTTTTATGTAACTGCTAGCCCTTTGTATGTGTTCTTTTGACATCCAAGTCCTTGGCCCATTTTTTAATCAGGTTATTTGTTTTCTTGTTATTGAAATGTTTGAGTACCTTATAGATTTTGGCTATGAATCCCTTATCCCATGTATGGCTTGCATATATTTTTTCCCATTCATTAAGATGTTTCTTCACTCTGTTGTTTCCTTTGCAGGGCAGAAGCTCTTTAGTTTGATATAACCCCATTTGTCCATGTTTGCTTTTGTTGCCTGTGTTTCTGGGGTCATATCCAAAAACTCATTGCCCAGATCAATGACATGGAGATTTTTCATGTCTTATTTTAGTAGTTCAAACTTTCAGATCTTCTATTTAAGTCTTATTTTGAGTTAGTTTTGTTTTATGGTGTAAGGTAAGAATCTAATGTCATTTTTCTACAGGTGGATATCCAGTTTTCCCAATGCCATTTATTGAAGAGAATGTCCTTTCCCCATTGTATGTTCTTGGCATCTTTGTCGAAAATCAATCAACAGATATTGGAGCCTTTCATAAGGTGGAGGTTGGGAGGTGGAAGAGAATTAGAAAACATATCTAACAGGTACTAGTCTTAATACCTGGGTGGTGAAATAATCTATACAACAAACCCCCATGACACAAGTTTACCTATATCACAAATCTGCACATGTACCCCTGAACTTAAAAGTTCAATTTGAAAAAATAAATAAAAATTCTACATGAGTAATATTTTGTTTATCCAGAGGAATTCAATCAACCCAAAGTTATTCCAGCATCAATGAAAACAATATACAAATTTAGGATTGACTATAGAAGGCTGATGTTACTAGAGAAAGAGCCTCAGGCCTTAATGAATGCTCATGGTTACATGAGTGACTTCCTTTAAGTGGTGGCATTTATTTCTCCAAGGTTCTAACTGCCGAATTGTCATAGCAGTGCAGGGGGTGCAGTGATGACCCAGGGAATTGCTTTGTATTTCATTGGATAGTTATTATGCCCCATATAAACCATTGCTCCTTTCATAAAACTGGGTTCCAGTTTTGGGTCTTCCATGTGGTTTACATGTGACCCTAGATGATTTACTTTATCTTTAGCTTTGTTTCCTCATCTGTAAGATGGGATTATAAAAATGCTTACATCACAGCTGTCCCAAGATATAAGAAATTATTCCTTTATCACTTCACTTCTCATTCTAAAGTTTTATGATACCTATTTCATTTCAAAATTATTTGAATGCAATGTTACAGGATTATTAAAGGGAAAGTATTTTATTGGACATAAGAAAGATAATGTAAAAAATAAACATACGGGCTCTGTTTATAAGACCAAGAACTTAATGAATCTCAGAAAATAGTAACCTTTTATAAATAAATATTTTTTCTCTAAAAAAAAAAATCAACTGACTAAACACATGGCTTTAGTTCTGGGTTCTCTATTTTGTGCCATTTGTCTAAGCATCTATTTTTAGTCCAGTATCATTCTGTTTAAGATGATATTTTTGTAATCTAGAATTTTGTTTGTGTATGTGTGATTCTTAGAACTTATTTTCAAGTTGACCTTAAAAACACAACAAAAGATGTTTTCTTTTTTTTGCTTTTTTATCATTATGATTCAAGCGCATACAAAATAGCTAAATCTATTCAATTATCCTATTATAAAGTTGAATTTTCCTAAAAGTTTATACAGTTTAGTCCAATATTAACGTCTTTTCCATTATGACAAATATAATTTTCTTATTTTTACTTTCTGTGGGCTTTATTTACTCTTATTATATATCCACATTTTCATTTAACCACCTGTATTTGTGATATGAACAAACCATAGTCATAAAAGATAGACTTTAGATTCAAATAGAGAAATTTCAAAATATACAACAAATCCATAATAAAAAGCCTTATTCAATTTCATTTACATCGCACTTACAATACTTGCACATTTTATTTTAACATCCAAATTATTTCCTGAAGTGTAAATATATCCAGGTAATTTCAAAACATGAAGCATTCTTCCATTAATCTTTGGTAAAACACTGAGTCAGGCAGTCTAAAACAGAACTCTGAATTCCGTCACACAATTGTATTTTGTGTTTGTGTTCTTTCTCTGAATTCATCTTCTAATTTTTTTTAGGGTTTTTTTGGCAAAGTTTTCTGTCTCTTAACTCTTGTAACTATGTGATTTTTGCCACTGTCTTGAAGATTATTCAGTGCTTCATAGAATTCATCCCTTGGGAGCCATCTGTAAATAACAGGCAGGCTAAATTTCTACAGAAACACTTGATATCTTGCCATCTATTTCAGTGACATGACATCTGAAATTACGTTTTAAACCTATGAAACAATCATCCAAGGCAAATAAGTCTTTTGAAACAAAATAGGTTACATTTGGGGGAAAAAAATGTTAATTCTACAACATAAATTCCATGCACCATGACAGTTTGGCAGGAGATTAAAACAACTGAGTTCTTGTATCTAAAAACATTTTCTTTTAGAAGAAAGTGTGACTTGTTGTACTGCTTAACAGCACAGTTTTGTAAAAATAAAAATATGAAATCAAGAAGTCCTCAAAAATTCAAAATGTGCAATTCAAATTTTCAATGACTGGATAATTTTTTGAAAAATTTAAAATCTCAGATTTTTAAAAGTAGATCGTAGCAAAAATTAAAGTATTTTTTATCATTTTCTTAGTATTGAATTGCTCAAAATTTTAAGAAGTTAAAGATTAGCCAGAAATATTTTAATCAATAACCAGATTACATTACATTGTGCCCGTTGATTGTGATAAATACATAAAGGGAAATTACTGTCATCCATTAAGTATTACTAAATACTAGGCATTTTAAGTTTCTAATAGATAGATATGTATATAGATGATAGACAATTAGATAATGATAGGTTATACAATATAGATAGATAAATAATACACATACATACTTACGTATGTGTGTGTGAATTTTTATTTAACCTTATATGATAGTTATCATTAATATTTCCATTTAGCAGATGAGGAAACTGAGATGCAGAGAGTTAGTAACTTGTCTTAGCTACATAATGAGGCAATGTTAGAAAACATATTTTTGTTGAACTTGTAGCTGAAATAAGACATAGAAATCTCATAAAAAACAAATTATTTTGATAGGAAGAACTAATCTAAACATTTAAAAAATGTCTAAGGCCTGCTTTTCCTAAAGAGATTTAGATAAATCATCAAGCAAAAACCAAACCTTTTCAAAATTCATTCCACACAAATATATTACTAAAACATGTTTGTTATTAAAACAAAATGCTAGCAACATTTCTATCAATTATAATGTGAACTGAACATATACAGGCTTATGGAATCAAAATAAAATGTTGCTTAGAGGAAAATTTATAATTATAATTAAAAAACAAAACAAACTGTAGCAAATATCTAGACAAGGTGATTGGAAAATTCAAATAGACAACATAAACCACCCAGAATATCCAGGAAAAGTGAGAAAAAATGGCTATGAGATCTATGAAAACTAACTGTAAAACCTTAGTAATTAAAGCAGTGTGGTATTGTCACATGAATAAATGAATAAATGAATGCTGAACAGAAAAACTAGAAACAAGACACAATATACATAGTAGCTTATTATGATATGAAGTGACAACTTAAAGAAATATTAATAAGATAATGTGTTTTTTACTATGATGTTTGTTAGAAAACTCACTAACCGTCTGGATTAAAATTGGATTAATACTTCACACAGTATACCAGATTAAATTCCAAATGTATCAATGTTTCAAATATTAAACACACAAACAGGAATAAAACATTAGCCAATACCATTATAAATTAGGAAACCTTCTTAATTCTGATTAAAAATTCAGAAGTCGCTAAAAATTAATAAATCTGCTTACATAAAAATATTTCAGGAGGCAAGATAAAATAATCCATTTGTGAAAATATCTGCATCTCAAATCACAGACAAATCTACCTCACATTAGAAACCTTGTAAAAAAAAATTAAAGGAAAAAGGCAAAAATCTAACAAGAAAATAGACAAATGACATGAAGCAACAGATCACATAAAAAGTAACACAAATTGCCTCCAAGACAAATGAGAAGATATCTTCGGCCAAAATGTTTACAAACGCAAGCTGAAACAGCATTTTTCGCTCCTCAGATTGCAGCATCCCCAAGTTCGTCAGCTCTGTTTACTGGCTAGGGATAGCAGCAGTCTCATATATTGTTAATGGGAGGGTAGAGTGATGCAACTACAGTAAGAGTAATTTGGCAATATGTACCAAGATTACAAATGCGTCTGTTCTTAACCCAGCAGACTTACTTCTGGAAAAAGTTATATTAAAGTTATTTTCTAGAGATCCACCTACACTCTTGTGCAAAATGTGGCATATCCAGTTTTACTTAATGTAGCATAATTTGTAATAGAAAAAATTGAAAAAAGATATTCATCTACAAGAGACTGGTTACATAAGCCTCACAATGACAATACAGCTATTACACACAAAAAAGAAAGATTTCTGTATATTTATAGGGAGAGATATTTAGAAATTATTAAGTGGTCAAGCAGAAGAGTTTATATAATCTGAATTCATTTGTGTAAGAACATAAGGAAATAAGGGTATATAGTCACATTTGCTTGTATTGGAAGAAACACTAAATTAACTATATAAGACTAATAAAAATTAATATCTGTGTAAAGGTAAGTGAGACGATAGGGGCATACATAGAAGCAAAATTCCTGAATATCTATGTTCTTTCATTTTGATTTGTGAACCAACTATAAAAAGTAAATAACTATATAACCATATGTGTAATTTAAATAAATACATATGAAATAATAACTGTGGTAACTACATTTCATTCAAGGGGTTTTTCCTTAAGTGTATCAGTTGGTCCCTTGTTATTCTTGCTGCCTTCACTCTCGTTCAGGCTTTATTACATTTATCATGGAGCAATTTAAAAAATTCAATAATTTCGCAAACTCTTATATCCCAACTAAAACTTATCCTACATACTTGTCATATTTTAATTCTTAAAAACAATCCAAATATTTCTAAATTCTTCATATTGTCCCAGTATATTTTTCCAGCCTCATGTCAAGCTGTTTATTCAATCTTCAATTTAATTTAGTCTTAAGATTCCTCACAAATATGCATTCTTAACCTGCCCCTGCTCCTGCCATTGATTCTATTACTTCCATTATCTGAAACACCTCATGGTTAAACCCTGTCTATCATATAAGGCAGCTTTCAATCACAGCCACTGAAGTCTCTCTTGACAGTCCTAATTTGATATGATTATATTGTTCTCCATCTCTCATGTATTTGTTGTGTTTTTTTCTTTTTAAAAAAAGTCTTTTTACACCATAAGTTCTTATTTTTAAAAATCTTATTCCAAAATATACTACTACATGTATATGTCTCGTTCTTTATCCTTCTCCAGTTTTAAACGTCTCCAGAACAGATTTCATGCCTTTCTCATCTGTGTCACATGCAACAGCTTGCACAGTTCAACATGAACTGAGATGAGGCAGGAGTGTAAAAACACTGAACAGAGAATTAACAGATGTGAGTTCAAATCTTATCATTTTTTTGGCTCTATGACCTTCTCTCTGTGCCTGTTTCTATTTTCGTAAAGTTAGGAGATAGAGTAAAGTTTATTTGAAGTTCTTCTCAATAAAGAAATATGGTAGTTACCGTATTTCTAAATTATTTTTGTTATATAGTATTATATTAATGACTACTACTATATTATTTATAAATTTGAAAATATAGATAAAATTAACATGGTGGATAGTTAAAAAGCAAAATTTTAAATGATGGGGTCAACAAAGTTTAAGACATGCAAATAAGTCTGGCAGTGCTTTAAATATTTATTCTGCATGTCATCTATACTTGCTATTAGTATAATGAGTCATCATTTGCCTTATACCTAATCTAGAATAATAGCATAAAGATACTGTCTGTGTTTTTTGCTGGCTTCTATCTGCATATGTAGCAGTTTAAATAACTACTGTTTTGCTATACATAATGTTACAGCAATTACATTAGTGGTTGTTTATATCTGTATCATGAGTACACACAATTTTAAATGAATTCCCATACTCTGTAGTGGCCATAACACATTTTGATTGATCAATAAAGGGTAAGAACACCTTCCTGTAGTGATGATTAAGATTTTATCAAATAGTGATTTTTGTCATAGGTATCTGTGTGAATGAAGTGGCATCCTCAGTCTCAGAATCAGATTTGTCCTAAATTGTGTTTATGCCAACAATTTAATACTGTACCTACAAGCTAAGGACAAGTTCATGACAATTCGTTTTGGAAAAATTTACAATGAGATTCAGTTTGCTAATAATAAATAAATAAGAATAAATTCCTCATAAACAGTAAAAAGGAACCATTTACTTAAGCATTTCAAAGGATTTTGCCACTAGATTTTTAATGGTTAACAGTCACAATATTATAGAGGCAAATTGCATTGTTTATGTGTTTTATTTTTATCAACAAATATTTATAAGCACCAATTTTATGGTAGATGCTGCACCAGGCACTGAGCATTCAAGAGCCATGTTTCCTGGCCTCGAGTTCATTATCATTGTATTCTCCTACCTATATAACACTAAGCATGTAACCTAATCTGAAAATTTTCTATCTTCTTCCTTTGCAATTTCCTTGAAATTCCTGCTCTGTAATCTGAAAAGTCTTCCACATTTTTAACATGTTTAAACATTTCCATCACTTTCCTGCCTGAAATGAAACCTGACTATTACAGATGAAATTGCTGACCCTGGCCGGGCGCGGTGGCTCACGTCTGTAATCCCAGCACTTTGGGAGGCCCAGGCAGGCGGATCACGAGGTCAGGAGATTGAGACCATCCTGGCTAACACGGTGAAACCCCGTCTCTACTAAAAACACAAAAAATTAGCCGGGCGTGGTGGTGAGCGCCTGTAGTCCCAGCTGCTAGGGAGACTGATGCAGGAGAATGGCGTGAACCCAGGAGGCAGAGCTTGCAGTGAGCCCAGATCATGTCACTGAACTCCAGCCTGGGCAACAGAGCGAGACTCTGTCTCAAAAAAAAAAAAGAAAAAAAAAAAAAAAAAGAAAAATTGCTGCCCTTGTAGGCAGCCTCACAAGTGAGGGTTTATATTTTTCTCATGTTCCATTTGTCTTAGGAAAAGGAGGTTTGGCATTTTTCTCCTAGCTCCCTTTTACAACTTCCAAATCATTTCTTCTAATTTAAAAAATTATGTTTAATCCCATCTATCTGGCTTCACCATCCTATCTACCTCTTGCTTACATTAGTTGGTTAATCTTTGTTTTATGCTCCATTTCTTACATATTTTAACCAAAAATTTTGGATTCTTCATCCCTACTCCTTCCAGCATTCTTGTTTTCCAATTAGTGAATTAGTTAACTAAAATCATAGCCTCTTGGTTTATCTAACAAATTTTTCCTCCTCTCCTCTTCTTCTACCGCTTCCATAGTCATATGCTAAATAAAACATAAAATATGATTGAATACTTAGACACATGTTCCAATCATGTAAAAGAACAAAAAAACCTGGTGTATTTTAGAAAATTTAAAGATAAAAGCTTGATATCAATTGCTTGCAAAATTACTATTGTAACCTATATACAAACACACAAAAATAACATTATCTTTCCCAAAACCTCTCATTAAAAAGATTGAGGAATAGGTTGCAGATATTAACACACACACACGCATGCACACACACACACACGTACAATATAGGTAATATAGGTCCTAGTGATCAGGGATATTAAATCAGGCACAGAAGAAAAGGATTATAGTAATGCTCTCTAAAATCCCTTTTATTTTTAATCAAGTTTTATGATACAGATAGGAAAGGTTGATTTGTATTTTTCCCAAAAGTTTTTAAAAAATAGTTACAGTGTTTTTAAAAATTAATAACAATTTTTTAAAAAAATGAAAGGCCAAATTTTACATAGTTTAGAATACAGAGTATAAGCTCAAAATAGGTTATTTTGTGTTATTCAGTCAACTCAAAAACAAGGCATATTCTTTCATGCTTACACTCAAGTTTCATCTCAATTATCTTTTCTTCTAATAATGCATATTTTTCCATCTATGGTTCTTCTTACTAAAGTACACTAATAAGGAATTAGTTGGCAGTCTGGTATAAATACAATGTATACAAAGCAAGCAACATGGTCAGAGGACTTTCTGCTTTAAAATTACTCATTATTGTTAAAAATGCAATAAAGGCCGGGCACGGTGGCTCACACCTGTAATCCCAGCACTTTGGGAGGCCAAGGCGGGGGAATCACGAGGTCAGGAGATTGAGACCATCCTGGCTAACATGGTAAAACTCCATCTCTACTAAAAATACAAAAAATTAGCCGGGCATGGTGGCGGGCGCCTGTAGTCCCAGTTACTGGGGAGGCTGAGACAGGAGAATGGCACGAACCCGGGAGGCGGAGCTTGCAGTGAGCCAAGATTGCGCCACTGCACTCCAGTCTAGGCGACAGAGCGAGACTCCATCTCAAAAAAAAAAAAAAAAAAAAAAAAGCATTAAAGACAAAAATATATGATACTATTTGAAATACTCTTTCAAAGCTTTAAAGCATTTGAAATATTAATCATGCAATTAAAATATATACTTCACTAAGAAAAGAAACAGCGTCTCAATAACATTTACAGCACCTGTTAGAGTATAAAATGTCACTTTAAAAGCTAAAAGCTTTATTTAAATAATTCTATTCTGTACTATTTGCAGCTAAGATCAATTATAGGTTTACTGGGAATAAATGCCATTAGAATAAAACTTGAAAACATTCACCATAGATAAATTAATTTCTCAACGTACTTTTTACTCATTTTAAATGTTGTTTGCTTTCCTTAAATGAATATTCTGTTGCAGGTATGACAAAATTTTGTTTGTTTCTAGCCACATATATTTCTCCTCTAAGGCCCTCAGCTGTCCTGCTTTCCCTGGGCTGTGTTCAGTAATTATAAATGTTCTCATCATTTCTATCTAATCATCAAAATTCATTTGTGTTCATACCTAATTCGTTCAGACACTCTCTGTCTCCTCTCTAGGATGATGAAGAGTTAATCTGCCATTAAACTCAAGAGAGTATGATAGGGAGGAATAAGTGAGGAAGCCTCAAAGGGTGGCATTAAGATGATTGTCTTTTATAGTAACAGAGTCCCCATCAGAATGGAGTCACTTCTACCCAGGTAGCTAACAGTATCAATTTTAGGATATATTGTTGCATAAACTTGTATAAGGAAATGCTCATGATAACATGATATAGGGTTGTTAGGCCAGGATGCTAAACTTTCTTGCCTTTTTTGTTTGTTTGTTTCTTCCGGAGTACCTGACTGGCAAAATACTAACCCTAGATTATCTTTTAACAATATTTCATCTGGTTACCTATATTTAAAACTGCTGGAGTCTGAGGCAAAGCTGAATAGATGCCTACCATGGTTAATTCATGATAACCAACATCAATTGATAATTCGAATAAATGTGTGTAATTGGATTTTCTACCTTTTGCAATCACTATTTCAAAACATCTCCAAAGCTTTCACCTCTTGACCCATGTTTATTTCACCTTCAGAAGTGGTGGTGCCCATTTCACACCAAAAATAAAGGCTATCAGACAGAACTTACATCGGCATCTCCACACCAAATCCCTAACCCTGTGATTGGCACTATCTTTTTTTTTTTTAATCTTCCCTCTTTTATTATCTTACTCTACTACAATAGTTATCACACTCCTTTACTTTCCCCACAGCCAATCATTTTTCGAAGACTTATTTCACACTGTGGTCTGCATATACTCAACACCCATCTATTCCTTAATCCCCAGAAGTCAGAATTAACTCTTTCCTTGACCGCTCTGAAATTTCTATAGATGAAATAAGAAACCATGTCCACTAAATAAAATGGTTGCATCTCAGTCCTTTCCCACAGCAGCATTAGACATATTTGATTACTCCCAATGGGTGAAAAGCTGACTTTAACTTCCTTAGCCACAGAATATATCATTCGTTTCCTTTTTTCTCTGTGGGCATTCCTAGTATGCATGCTATGATTGTTACATTTGCTCTTCTGAGTGACCATGTAATTTTTTGTACAAACTGGGACACTTTTGAGTGTGAAAAAAATGCTTTTAGGTAATTATGCTAGGATAACAAGTGTAAACCAGGACTCATCTGGACAAACCAGGATGGAATTTGGCCACCAAATTTGTAGGGCCTTATATGATGTGGTCCTTCTCACTGCACCACTTTAATTTCTCTCTCTCTCTCTATTAGACTATTTCTGAATTCCAGTTTCACTAGCTCTCCTAAAGTTTCTCAAAACTTTAGGGCTTCACAAACAATCCACCCTCTGACTTAACCACTTTTTCTCCTCTCTTTATTCCATTTTGAAAATATATTATCCTTTTATGATGAGTCCAATTCAAGAAAACTAGGGCTTATAGGAAGAAGGCTGTAAGATTGCTTTCAGATTGGCATCTGGAAGAAAGGTTTAATTCCTAATAATGATAACAGAGACACACAATTGTTTAATGAAAATAATTGGACAATTATATCACATAATTGCTTGATCTATTCTCAGGAGCATTTAGAGGAGATACTTCTCAAATTACTGATATTATTCTGGGGTTTTCATAATTGTAAGTTAAAGGCATAGGCCCTAGGATAATTGACAGATTAGAAAAAAGAAAGATGTGGAGTGAAAAAGAATACAGGAGTAAGGAAATGTGAGTAAGATATTAAAAAAAACCCAAAATATTATGATATCTAAGAATCCAGGTACAAAATCACATTTCATAGAGAAATGTATGATCATTGATATAAAATGCTCTCAATAAGTCAATCAAGCTAGGAACTATATGTAGATGAACCAAAGGATTTAGCAATATCATGTTATTTGTGACCGAACAAGAGCTCTTTTGATAGAATAGAGTGAAAGCTTAAGTAGATTGGATTTTTAAAAATGAGAATGGTCAGCAAGAAGGCAGACTAGAAAGTCACAGTCCATCCTTCCTTCACAAAGATACCAAGTTAACAACAATATATTGACCAGAATGACTCTGTGAAAACACAAGAGGCCAGTTGAAAAGCTACAGCACTCTGCTTATTGTAAAACCAGGAAGGGATCCCAGAAAAAAAAATGTAGGAGGATTCTAGGCATTTAATGCTCCTGTTCATGTTTCTTTCCCTGCATAACCTAGTGCAGAGCAACTTGAAGAAAGCCCTCATATGTGGATCTTCCCTCAGGACAGAAACAAGGAATGGACCATTTACCTAACATGCGGCCTTGTTGTGGGGCTACCTAAGAGATTGGTTTCCGTCTCACTTAACTTGGAGCACTGATGAAACCAGTGAAAGAGTTTGGAAGCCACTGAAAAGAGGAGCAAGAAGCACATTAAAGCTGCATTTCTGTAGACAGTTCTGGGAGTGGCAGTTGCTTTTACAAATGCCCAAGTCCCAGCAAAGATTACAAGGCATACAAAGAAACACGCCAAATCAAAGAAACAAAATAAAACTTTAGAAACTGACGCTATAGAAATGCAGATCTATGAGCTGCTGGACAAAAAATTAAAATAACTGTCACAAAGATATTTCAGTGAGCTACAAGAGATCACTCACGACTAAATAAAATCAGGGTAATGAATGAACAAAATGAGAATATCAAAAAAAGAGATAAAAACAGAAATTCAGGAACAGAAAATACAACTCAACTGAAAACTTTATTCCAAGGGTTCAACAGTAAGACCTTATCAGGCAGAAGAAAGCATCAGTGAATTTGAGGACAAATAATTTGAAATCATTGAATCACAGGAACAAAAATAAATGAAAAAAGCAAAAATAGCCTAAGTAATTTATGTGACCAATATATGTATAATGTCATGGAAATCTAAGAAGCAGGAAAGAGAAAAGGATAGAGAGCTTATTTGAAGAAATAATGGCCAGAAACTTCCCAAATCTGAAGAAAGAAATAGATATACGGATTCAAACAGCTCAAAGACTTCCAAGTAGAATAAATTCAAAGAGAACTACAGAGATTATACTCAAATAGTCCAATGTCAAAGACAAAGAGAAAATCCTGAAAACAACAAAAGAAAAGCAATTTGTCACATCCAAGGGGGCTTCCATAAAGTTATCAGCGAATTTCTCAACTATCAACCAGGAATACTTCATACATCAAATTTATCTTTTGAAATGAAGGAGACATTAAGACTTTTCCAGATAAACAAAAGCTGACATTGTTCATTACCACTAGGCCTGCCCTACAAGAAATGCTAAAGGTAGTCATTCAAGTTGAAACAAAAGTATGGTGGACAGAAATATGAAGCTATACAGAAATGTAAGGCTCACTAGTAAAGGTAAATATGTGGACACATTTTGTAGGCTGTATTACTACAATTTTGGTGAATAGAATTTAAATGACAAAAACATTAAAAGTTCCTATAAATCTATGTTAATTGGTGTATAATATATAAAGATGTGATTTATAATATTAATGTCATAACAGGGGAGTGTAGCTATAAATGAGTAGAGGTCTTGTATGTGACTGAAGTTAAGTTGTTCTTTGTTTAAATTAGAATGCTAAAACTTTAATATATTTTAAGCATTTCTAATGGTAACAAGAAAGAAAATACTTATAGAATATATACAAAAGGAAATAAAAATGCATATTACTAAAAAACATAACAAAATATGAAGAAAAGCAGTAAAACAAAAAGAGGCACAAAAGCCTACAAAACATATAGAAAATAATTAGCAAAATGTCAGTGGTAAATCAATTCCTAGAAATATTTACAGTATTTTTTATATTTTTATTTTTAAATGTAAGTGGATTAAACTCCCCAATCAAAAAACTAGATTAACTAAATGGGTTTTATGAAACAGGATCTGATATATGCTGTCTACAAAAGACTCACTTTAGCTCTAAGGACATACATAGGCTGAAAATGAAAGGATGGAAAAAGATAACCCATGCAAATTGTAACCGAAAGGGAGCAGAGTGGCTATATTGACATCAGACAAAATATACTGTAAATCAAAAACTGTTATAAGAAACAAAGAAGAAGGTTACATAGTGATGTGTCAATTCACCAAGAAGGTATAGCAATTATAATTATGCATGAAGCCCCAGAGTTCCTAAATATGTAAAGAAACCTTTGACAGAATTAAAAGGAGAGGAAGAAGAAAACATAATAATAGTAGGAGACTTTGGCATTTCACATTCAGCAACAGATAGAATATCTGGACAAAAGAACAATAAGGAAATAAAGGACTTGAACAACACTACAGACCAATATTACCCAATAGATGTAGACAAAACACTCCACTCAACAATATATACATTATTCTCCAGTTCATATGGAGCATTATCCAAAATACACATGTTATGGTACAAAATAAGTCTTAACAAATACAAAGAATCGTTTCTTATCACAATAAAATGAAATTATGAATCAATAATAACACAAACAAACCAAATGTCCACTGACATGTGAAAGTAAAACAACATACACTTAAACAGCCAATGGGTCACAAGAAAAGTTACAAGGAAAATTAGAAACTAATACCTTGACACAAGTGAAAATAAAAACACAATGTATTAAAACTTAGCAGATGCAGTCACCACTGAGCTAAGAGAGAAATTTATAGTTGTAAGAGCTTACATTAAAAACAAAGAAAGATCTAAAATCAATACAACACAGAAATTGTACTAGAAGTGGAACACTTGCTGGTGACTCCAGATTTTTCTGCAAAGCAATTTTAACTCTGGGACTCTCCATGACCCAGGCCCAAAACTTTCTCAGAACTGCATTGAGGTCTAAGATTCTTTCCACAGAATTCTTACTTTCTTCTCTCCCTTCACAGTTGTAGCAGCATCAGCATCTGAAGACTTTTCTTGCAGACTCCTGCTCCCTTTCCATTTATAATTCACAAACATTTCTCCCAATGAACTATCTTTCAGTTCTACTCTTGTCTTGGCACGTGCTTCTCTGAGGACTCAAACACTTTTGAGGACTTTTTTGCTACTCATAAGAACAAAGAAATGAGGTAGCAGCTGAAAGGATTTTGGAAGAGAAGGCACATTTAAATGTGAGAAATTATAGAGTTGCTTTATGCCAATGAGAAGAAGGCAGTATAGAGAACAAAAACATTCGTGAAGTAAGACTGAAAGGGTGTAAATATAGGAGTGATGTTCTTGTGTAGACCAGGGAAAATGGATAGTTGATGCAGACAGGAGAATAGTCTGAAATGGGAAAGCCCAAAAGTAGTAGAACACAGAGCAAAGAACACGAGCATTAATGCTGTTAATTTGACAGATGACATAGCAGGAGCTTATAGACTTTATTTATAATTGTTTCTCTTTTGAAAAAAATTGTATAACATATACAAATTATATGTTTATTATGTACAACATGGTGTTTTGAAATATTTATACATGTGAGAAGTGAAGATTGTGCTAATTAACATGAATTATCTTATATACTTATTATTTTTTGTGTGGAGAACACAAATTTATCTGTTAGCCATTTTTAAGAATACAATACATTGTTATTAATCATGGTCACCATGATGTACAATAAATCTTTGAAATTATTTCTTCAATCTAACTAAAATTTTGTATGCTTTGATGAACACATCCCCTTTTTCCTCTTCCTCACCCACCCCTATCCCCTGGTAACCACCACTGTACTCTCTGCTTCTATGAGTTGGACTATTTTAATTTCACATATGCGTGAGATCATCCAAAATCATTCGACTCTGGCCAGCATTACTCTGACACTTATAGTGTCTCTTTTTGCAGTTTTTGCTTAAAGAGTGTTTTATTTGATATAAGAATAGTTAGCTCTGCTTTCTCTTTGTTTCCTTTGGCAAGGAATAGGTTTTTCCATCCTTTCACTTTCAATCCATTTGTGCCCTTGAAGCTGAAGTGAGCCTCTTGTAGGTAGCATATGAATAGGTCTAGAGTCTGGGGCCATGGGTGCCTCCCCAATACTGGATTTCGCTGAGGCAGGCCTGGAGTTGCATTCAAGGCCATTCCATTGTCTCAGGCTCCAGGCCCAGCTTAGGTGCCACACCAGCTCAGAGATCAATCAGCCAACATGGCTTCAGGTTTTAGGCACACACCAGCGCCAGGACAACACTGAGTCCACAGGACAGGCTTGAGTCCATGGGGGAAGGCATGAATCCTAAGTCCACAGGGGTTGGTGTGGAGCCTGGGTCTGCATGGCTAGTTCTAAAGCCTTGATTTTTGAGGGCTAGCCTGGCACCAGGGTCTTCTGGGGTGGTCCTGGACCCTGGGTTTATTAAAGCCAGCCTGGAACCCATGTCCCCAGAAGCCTGAGGCTATAGGAAGCTAGGGCTGGCCTGGTGCTGGGACAGGCATGGGGCCTTGGTATAGGTATGGGTATGGGTATGGGTATGTGGGATTCTGGGATCACAGATGCTGTTCTGGTTCCTGGTGCCACAGAGGTCAGCTCAACGTGGGGTGAGTAGGTTCTGTCCTGGAGTCTAGGTCTAGTAAGTCTCATCCGGGTCCTCCATCCACAGGGGCTGACCTGTAACCTGGTTCCACAGGGGCAGTTCTAGAACCTATGTCTCTTGGGGCCAATCTAGCACTGGAGATTACTGAGATGAGCATAGACCCTGGGTCTGCTGGAGCAGCCCTGCACCCTCTGTATGCTGTAGCTTGGAGCTACAGGGTTGACTTAAGGGGTACAGCCATGGGGACTGGCCTTGCACAGGGCAGTCCTGGAGCCTGTTTCCATGGTGCCAGCCAGGGGTGACTCAAAGGGTATCTTTAAAATGGGATATAATTTTATTAGAGCAAAAAAGTGATGCAATTGCTCAGAGAAGAGTTTACAAGGAAAATTTGTTTAATAGTAACTGACCATGTATTTCAGAATGTGCAGTGGGTTTAAAGAGTTAGGGAGGGGCAATATTTTGAGTTGAGAGGGAATGCTGATAACCTTTCAGGCAAGCAAATGAGTGGATTTCAACTAGATGAGGCAACATGGGCAATGGTACAAATTTTCCATTGTGTTTTACAATAATCAGAGAATATCAGGAGCACCAAACTTAACCAGCTTCCCTAGTTAGAGAAAGTGCATAAATATTTGTAGTGTTGCTGAGATAAAATTCTAAAGTGGCAGTAAGTCAAAACTGACAGTACTACAGGGGAAATATCTAATAAGGTTAGTCTTCACACCTGAGGCCCTGCAGGAGCTAAAATTTTAAGCAATCTTCGGTTTATTCTTAGTCATCCCATTTTTGTATTCTTTTATATGAAAACCCCTAATGTTCTTAATCAGTTTTCTCTACTACCATATTCTGAGAATAAAATATATCTTGCTCATGTAACTAAGAAAGTACTGATCATAAGGTATCAATCTTACTCAAATCTAAACTTACCTAGTGTATTAGTCCATTCTCACACTACTATTAAGAAATACATGAGACTGGGTAATTTATGAAGAAAAGTTTGACTCACAGTTCCACAGGCTTAACAGGAAGCATGACTGGGAGGCCTCAGGAAACTTACAGTCATGGCACAAGGTGAAAGGAAATCAAGGACCTTCTTTACAAGGTGGCAGTAGAGAGAGAGAGGTTGGGGGAGTGCTACATGCTTTTAAACCATCAGATCTCATAAGAAATCACTATCACAAGAACAGGCAGGGGGAAATCCTCTCTCCTGACCCAATTACCTCTCACTGGCCCTTCCCCTGACATGTAGGAATAACGATTTGACATAAGATTTGGGTGGGGACACAGAGCCAAAATATATTATTCCACCCCTGGTCCCTCCCAATTTCATGTCCTTCTCATATTTCAAAACCAACTATGCCTTCTCAACAGTCCCCCTAAGTCTTCACTCATTCCAGCATTAAATAGTCGAAAGTCTCATCTGAGACAAGGTAAGTTCCTTCCACCTATGAGCCTGTAAAATCAAAAACAATTTAGTTACTTCTGAGATACAATGGGGTACAGACATTGGGCAAACGGTCCCATTCCAAATCAGAGAATTGGACAAAAACAGGGGCTACGGGCCCCATAGAAGTCCAAAGCCCAGGACAGCAGTCATTAAATCTTAAAGCTCCGAAATAATCTTCTTTGATTCCATGTCTGTCATCCAGGGTACACTAGTGCAGGAGGCAGGTTCCCAAGACCTTGGCAGCTCCACCCTAGTGACTCTGAAGGGTATGGCACCCACGGCTGCTTTCATGAGCTGGTATTGATGCCTGTGACTTTTCTGGGTACACGGTGCAAACTCTCAGTAGATCTAACATTCTGGCATTCTGGTCCCTGGAAGACAGCAGTCCTCTTCCCACAGCTCCACTAGGCAGTGCCCCAGTGGGTACTCAGTGTGAAGGCTCCAACCCCACATTTCTCATCCCCTCCACACTGCCCTAGTAGAGGTTCTCTATAAGAGTTCTGCCCCTGAAGCAGAATTCCTGCTGGATATCCAGGTGTTTCTATACAGCCTCTGAAATCTAGGCGGAGGTTCCTGAACCTCAATTATTGGCTTCTATGCACCCGGAGACACAATGCCACTTGGAAACTGCCAAGGCTTCATGATTGCTCTCTCTGAGGCAATGGCCCAAGCTGCACCCTGGCCCATTTTAGTTATACCACCTTAGATGGAGTGCCTGAAACACAAGGTGCCATGTCCCAAGGCTGCACAGAGCAGTGGGGCCCTGGACCCCGACCATGAAACCATGTTTCCCTCCTAGGTCTTCAGGCCTGTGATGGAAGGGGATGCCATGAAAATCTCTGAAATTCCCTGAAGACATTTTCCCCATTGTCTTAGCTATTAACATCTGCTCCTCAATACTTATGCAAATTTCTGCAGCTGGCCTGAATTTCTCCCCAAAAAATGGATTTCTTTCCTACTACATGGGTCAGGCTGCAAATTTTTCAAACTTTTATGGTCTGATTCCCTTTGAAATGTAAGTTCCAATTTCACACCATCTTTTTTTTCATGCATATGAGTGTACAGTTTTAGAAAAAGCCAAGTGACATCTTGAATGCTTTGCTGCCTAGAAATTTCTTCTGCCAGATACCCTAAAACATCTCTCTCTAGTTCAAAGTTCCACAGTTCTCTAGGGTAGAGGCAAAATGCTGCCAGACTTTTTGCTAAAGCATTGCAAGAGTTACCTTTACTCCAGTTCCCAGTAAGTTTTTCATCTCCATCTGAGACCACTTCATCCTGGACTTCACTGTCGATATCACTATCAGAATTTTGGTCACAACCATTCAACAAGTCTCTAGAAAGTTCCAAACATTCACTCATCTTCTGAGCCCTACAAACTGTTCCAACCTCTGCCTGCTAACCAGTTCCAAAGTTGCTTCCAAATTTTCAGGTATCTTTATAGCAATGCCAACTTCTCTCAGTACCAATTTTCTGTATTAGTTCATTTTCACACTGCTATAAAGAACTACCTGAGACTGAGTGATTTATGAAGAAAAGAAGTTTAATTGACTCACAGTTTTTCAGGCTTAACAGGAAGCAAGACTGGGAGGCTTCAGGAAACTTGCAATCATGACGAAAGGTGAAGGCGAATCAGGGACCTTCTTTACATGATGGCAGGAGAGAGAGAAGGGGAAATGCCATACACTTTTAAACTGTCAGCTCTCATGATAACTTACTCATTATTAAGAGAACAGAAAGGGGAACATCCATCCGCATGATCCAGTTACGTCCCACCAGGCCTTTCCCCTGACACGTGAGAATTACAATTCCACATGAGATCTGGGTGAGGACACAGAACCAAACCATATCACCTAGAGTGTTCCAATTCTGCCTTTCATGCAGAAAAACAAAAATAATTTATTTCATTATTTGTATATTTAGGCTTTCCAAATATGGACCAATTCCATTTCTTTCCGACTTTTCTTGCACGTTGCTGTTCGGCGTATTCCTGTGTCATTTATTTTCATCTCCATTGGCTCCATTTCCTCCACATGAATCAGGACAAATTTATCTCCAACATATAAAAATTTTCCTTAGCTCCAAAATATCTCCTACCACTCCATAACATTTGCCTACATTCTGAACATTTTGCAAAAGTATTTAGCTTACTGTATCCACTTCTACAATTCTCATGTACTTCTAAACTACGATTTCTTACTCTACCAATCTACTAAAAATATTCATGCTGAAATTATCAAGCATTTCATGTTCAAATAAAAAATATTTTAGTCCTCATTCGGTGTGATATCTCTATACAATTTGGGACTATAAACAGTTCCTTACAGCTTAAACCTCTCTCCTCTCTTAATGTGTTTTTTTTTTTACATTATCTCTTTTTTTATAGCTCCTTCCTTTTCTATTGTGTAACCCTTAAATATTTGTTTCCCTAGTTTATATCATTTATCTTATTTTTTCTTGAGATACTCCACATCTATATTCAGATTTTCATTGTCATCTCTCTTTCTAGCTGTAAACCATTTTTTTCTAGGAATCTATTAATCTGAATGTATTGCATGTACATCAAATATAAAAAACAACATATTCTCTCCCTTCTCTCCTCTCCTTTCTCAACTTTTCTGCTCATTGGCATCAACTTCAATTAAGTTTAATTAATCATATTCCACTTCTTCCTCTTTTCAACATCCTATTGATCACTAAATCATATCAGTTATATAGCAGAAGTATCTCTAAAATTGACTTTCATCTTTTAACATTTACTTATATTGTTTACTTCGGATTCAAATAATACTGTTTCTGATTTATTTCAGAAACCATATGTCTTGTCTGTGTTTCCAAACAACTTTCACACACTATAGCCATGGTACTTTTCCAAAGAAGCATAATTGATTATGTCACTTTTCAGATTTCAAAATACTTTTGACTTACATTTTTCTCAGGCCACATATGGAACTCTTCAGTATAAAGCTACTTCATATTCTGTCCTCTTATGTTGTTTATCTCCACTTTCTAATATCAATGTACTTATATAAACTCCTATCTTAAAGAACACCTCAATATCCTCAGTTATACTTCGTTTCTGATTGCTCTCTGTCCTTGTATTAATGCATAAGAAAAGGTTTTTTCCCAAAATTTCCCATTTTTTTCTTTTGAAAATCCCTGCCCATTCTTCATGTGCCAGCTCGAATAAATGACAGTAGTACACCTCTCCTAAATTCTCCAGACTGCATTAAATTGTTTATACATAATGCTCTCAAATCACTTCATCCAAATCTCTTCAACAGCAATTATTACACTAAATTTTAACTGTTTATATAATTGTGATTTATTTATGTGTATATGTGCATGTGTGTATGTGTGTTTATATATGTGTGTATATATAATATATGGGGTATATATCTATAAATAAATTTGTACATATAGTCATCATGTATCTCTTAATTATAATATTAGGTTGGTGCAAAAGTACTTACAGTTGCCATTAAATATACATAATATATATCATATATCTATACACACACATATCTCATGATGACTTATTGATCAAAATTTTACAATACCCATGTCAAAGTTTTTCAGCTGACTTCAGTTTCACTCGAGTCTGTGTGAAGAGACCACTAAACAGGCTTTGTGTGAGCAATAAAGCTTTTTAATCACCTGGGTGCTGGTGGGCTGAGTCCGAAAAGAGAGTCAGCGAAGGGAGATGGGGTGGGGCTGTTTTATGATATTTGGGTAGGTAAAGGAAAATTACAGTCAAAGGGGGTTGCTCTCTGGCAGGCAGGGGTGGGGGTCACAAGGTGCTCAGTGGGGGAGCTTTTGAGCCAGGATGAACCAGGAGAAGGAATTTCACAAGGTAATGTCATCAGTTAAGGCAGGGACCGGACATTTTCACTTATTTTCTTGTGGAATGTTATCAGTTAAGGCAGGAACGGGCCATTTTCACTTCTCTTGTGATTCTTCACTTGCTTCGGGCCATCTGGACATATACGTGCAGGTCACAGGGGATACGATGGCTTAGTTTGGGCTCGGAGGCCTGACATTCAGGACCAATGCACAATCTGGAAAACTTGTTTGGGAATACTTTCTCAGTGGTAAAAAAATGAAATTCCAGTTATACCTTTATTAGATTTTCTCACAACTAACTTTCCAACTGAAAAATATAAACAAAATCAGGTTGATAGTAGAAAAAATAACTAAGGGTAAGTAACATTTTTAATTAAACAACCCTAAATGAATTTAATTTACCTAGTCCATCTATCTTCTATAGGTAATATTCCATTTTTTAAAGGAGATTCCTGAACCACTTTCAGAGATATTTGAGATATTGGGAGGAAGGTAATAATGATAGATTATTAGAAACATATCAATGTAGCAAATTTTTAAATGAGAGTCTGTGGCATTACTCATTTATCAGAAACTTTTTAAGCTGTAGTCCCTGAACTAGGAATTTAGAAGATAGAGTTAAGATAAACAAATATATCCCCTGATTTCAAGGAAATTCATCCTAACCATTAAATGTATGTGTGTGTGTATCTATACATATATGTGTGTGTGTGTATATATATGTGTATGTGTATATATATATATGCACATGCACACAAACTATAAAATGTTTTATTAAAAACATATTTATTAAGAAAGTTTATATGGAAGGGGAAATATTGAGAAAAAAATAAAGTTCAACAAGGGGACACTCAGCAATTATCTTTTTGAAAAAAGCAATATTATATCTAAATATTACATTTTACCTAATGGTCAACCTATAGTTTTGAACATCAAACATTATTTCTGAACACAATGGTAAAATGAATTATTCAAATGAGAGCTTATAAATATGTAGATGGGGCTACATTGATTATTAAATATTATAAAATATTTGGTTGATTATGTGTTGAGCTGACCTAATTTTAACTTTCTAGTAGTGTTGGTATCCCAATGAAATATGATAAATTTGGAGAGTCTGGACATCAAATAGTCATGTAACATATAATTTTATGTTTATGGAATATTATAAACTAAATATAAAAACATAATGGATTAGTCATTTGATGAATAATTATGTTCATAGGGCTCTGACCAATAGATCAATATCAATTTGGAACTTTTGTGGTAGCTCATAAATCAATTGTGAAAGTATTTTGATGAGGGTTGTATATTAGATTATTGTCAACAAATATTTGCTCCTTCTATGACACCACTTTGCTGGGGATATACTTCTCTCCACGATATCGGGCTTAGTCACATTGCTTGCTTTCACCTCATAGTGAGTAAAATATACTTCTGTACCTTAGATTTTAGTCTCAACCATGTGACTGGGTAAATGAGATTCTAGCAAACAGAAAAACAAGCAGAAGCATAAAACATGCTTTGTGCAATTAGGTTAACCTGTTATGTTTCTGTCATTGCTATGAAAAAGAGCATGTCTAGGTTATTCCACTTGTCCAACCTAGCATATATTTTTTGTTTTTTTTCTTTTGCTATAAGTAGTACATGCCCAGTTTAACTCACCTGTTCCAGTTAAAAGAGAGTCAGGAACACGTAATTTGACAGATTCGACCTAACATGCAGTTTGGAGTCAAGCCCAGCCAAGTTTAAACCAAGTCAGCAAAATCTCAGCTGATCCATGGAAGAAAGAAATGAGATTTCATTAGACTGTTTTGTCACATAGCAATAGCTAATAGTGTGAAACATAACCGGTAACTTACAGATAATGAAATAGAATGGAAAAAAATAGAACAGAAAATGTAAGAATGGTTAATTCATAGTAGGGACAATAATTTAATTATTAAATTTAATTGAATTTAGATATACTTAAATATTTAAGCATACACATGTGTGTTCTGGAGTACAATATAAAATGTAGTTTTCACTCTTTCATTATTTTTTTTATTTGAAAATTGCTGACCTGAATGAAGTTCCTGGAGTATGGCACAGTACTCTGGCATTAACCCTGCATATTTAATCTATTTATTTATTTATTTATTTATTTATTTAATTTTGTATTTTTTTTTTTAGTTCAATGGGTTTTTGGGGAACAGATGGTGTTTGGTTACATGAATAAGTTTTATAGTGGTGATTTCTGAGATTTTGGTTCACCCATCACCTGAGCGGTGTACACTGTATGCAATGTGTAGACTTTTATTACTTTCTACACCCACCCTTGCTCCCAAGTCCCCAAAGTCCAATGTATCATTCTTAGGCCTTTGTGTCCTCATAGCTTAGCTTCCACATATGAGCGAGTTACAATGTTTAGTTTTCCATTCCTGAGTTATTTCACTTAGAATAATAGTCTCCATTTCCATCCAGGTTGCTGTGAATGCCATTCTTTCATTCCTTTTTATGGCTGAGTAGTATTCCTATATATATGTATGTATATGTATGTGTGTGTGTGTATATCTATATCTATATAGATATAGATATAGATATAGATATAGATATAGATATATATCTCACATTTTCTTTATCCACTAATTGATTGATGGACATTTGGGCTCAATTGCAAATTGTGCTGCTATAAACATGCATATGTAAGTATCTTTTTTGTATAATGACTTATTTTCCTCCGGGTAGATACCTAGTAATGGGATTTGCTGGATGAAATGATAGATCTACTTTTAGTTATTTAAGGAATCTCGACACTGTTTTCCATAGTGGTTGTACTAGTATACATCCACACCAGCATCTATTATTTTTTGATAATGAACATTCTTGCAGGGATAAGTTGGTGTCACATGGTGGTTTTTATTTGCTTTTACCTGATCGTTAGTGACGCTGAGTATTTTTCCATATACTTGGTGGCCATTTGTATATCCTTTTGAAAATTGTCTATTCCTGTCCTTAGCCTACTTTTTGATGGAATTGCTTGTTTTTTTTTTCTTGCTAATTTCTTTGAGATCTTTGTAGATTCTGGATATTAGACTTTTGTTGAATGTACAGATTGTGAAGATTTTCTCCCACTCTGTGAGTTGTCTGTTAATGCTGCTGATTATTTCTTTTGCTATGCAGATGCTTTTCAGTTTCATTAAGTCCTATCTATTTGTCTTTGTTTTTGTTGCATTTGCTTTTGGGTTCTTGGTCATGAAGTCTTTGCCCAAGCCAATGTTTAGAAGGGTTTTTCCAATGTTATCTCCTATAATCTTTAAGATTTCAGGTCTTAGATTTAAGTCTTTGATCCATCTTGAGTTGATTTTTGTATAAGGTGAGCAATGAGGACCCAGTTTCATTCTTCTACATGTGGCTTGCCAATTATCCCAGCACCATTTGTTAAATAGGGTGTCCTTTCCCCACATTATGTTTTTGTTTGCTTTGTTGAGGATCAGTTTGCTGTAACTATTTCGCTTTATTTCTGGGTTCTCTATTCTGCTCCATTGGTCTATGTGCCTATTTTTATACCAGTACCATGCTGTTTTGGTGACTATGGTGTTATAGTATATTTAAAGTTTGGTAATGTGATGCCTCCAGATTTGTTCTTTTTGCTTAGTCTTGCTTTGTCTATGTGGGCTCTTTTTTGGTTTCATATGAATTTTAGAATTGTTTTTTCTAGTTCTGTGAAGAATGATGGTGGTATTATGATGGGAATTACATTGAATTTGTTGATTTCTTTTGGCAGTATAGCCATTTTCACAACATAGATTCTACCCATCCATGAGCATAGGATGTGGTTCCATTTGTTTGTGTCATCTGAGATTTCTTTCAGCAGCATTTTGCAGTTTTCTTTATAGGGTTTTTTCACGTCCTTGATTAGGTATATTCCTAAGGTTTGTTTTTTGTTTATTTGTTTGTTTGTTTGTTTTGGCAGCTATTATGAAAGGAATTGAATTCTTGATTTGATTCCAAGCTTGGTCACTGTTGGTGTATAGTAGAGTTACTGATTTGTGTACATTAATTTTGCGTCCTGAAACTTTGCTGGATTCACTTGCCAGTTCTAGGAACTTTTTGGATGAGTCTTTAGGGTTTTCTAGGTATACAATCATATCACCAGCAAACAGCAAGTGTTTGACCTCCTATTTACCAATTTGGATGCCCTTTATTTCTTTCTCTTGTCTGATTGCTCTGGCTAGGACTTCCAGAACTATGTTGCATAGAAGTGGTGAAGGTGTACATCCTTTTCTTGTTCCAGTTCTCAGGGGGAATGCTTTCAACTTTTTCCCCATTCAGTATGTTGGCTGTGGGTTTGTTGTAGATGGCTTTTATTACATTAACGTATGTCCCTTCTACGTCGATTTTGCTGAGGCTTTTAGTCATACAGTCATGTTGGATTTTGTCAAATGCTTTTTCTGCATCTATTAAGGGGACCATGTAATTTTTGTTTTTAATTATGTTTATTTGGTGTATCACATTTATTGACTTATATATGTTAAACCATCCCTGCATCCCTAGTATGAAATCCACTTGATCATGGTGGATTATATTTTTGATACGCTGTTGGATTCAGTTTGCTAGCATTTTGTCGAGGATTTTTGCACATATGTTCATCAGGGACATTTGTGTATAGTTTTCTTTTATTGTTTGTTCTTCCCCGATTTGGTGTTAGGGTGATACTGGCTTCATAGAATGATTTAGGGAGGATTTTCTCTTTCTCTATCTTTTGAAATAATGTCAAGAGGGCTGGTACCAATTCTTCTTTGAATGTCTAATAGAATTTAGCTGTGAATCTGTCTGGACCTGGACTTTTTTTTTGTTGGGAATTTTTTTACTACCACTTTAATCTTGCTGCTTATTATTGATCTGTTCAGAGATTCTATATCTTCCTAGTTTAATCTAGGAGAGTTGTATATTTCCAGGAATTTATCTGGATCCTCTAGGTTTTCTAGTTTATGAGCATAAAGGTGTTCATAGTAGCTTTGAATAAGCTTTTGTATTTCTTTGGTATCAGTAATTGTGGTGTCAGTAATCCCATTTCATTTCTAATTGAGCTTATTTGGATCCTCTCTCCTCTTTTCTTGGTTAGTCTTGCTTATGGTCTATCAATTTTATTGTCTTTTCAAAGAACCAGCTTTTTGTTTCATTTGTCTTTGGTATTATTTTGTTGCTGTTGTTTCCATTTCATTTAGTTCTGCTCTGACCTTCAATATTTCTTTTCTTCTGCTGGATTTGGGGGTTTGTATTGTTTTTGTTTCTCCAGTTCCATGAGGTGTGACCTTAGATTGTCTGTTTGTGCTCTTTCTGACATTTTGATGTGGGCATTTAATGCTATGAACTTTTTTCTTAACACCACTTGTGCTGTATCCCAGAGGTTTTGATAGGTTACGTCACTATTATTGTTCAGTTCAAATAATTTTTTAATTTCCATCTTGATTTAATTGTTGACCAAATGATCATGCAGGAACAGGTTATTTAATTTTCATGTATTTTCATGGTTTGGAGGGTTCCTTTTGGAGTTGATTTCCAATTTTATTCCACTGTAGTCTGAGAAAGTATTTGATATAATTTTGATTGCCTTAAATTTACTGAGACTTGTTTTGTGGCCTATCATACGGTCCATCTTGGAGAAGGTTCCATGTGCTTATAAATAGAATGTACATTTTGTGGTTGTTGGGTAGAATGTTATGTAAATACTTGTTAAGTCTATTTGTTGTAGTGTATCATTTAGGTTCATTGTTTCTTTGTTGACTTTCTGTCTTGATGACCTGTCTAGTGCTGTCAGTAGAGTATTAAAGGCCCCTACTATTATTGTGATGCTATTTATCTTATTTCTTAGGTCTAGTAGTAACAGTTTTATAAACTTGGGAGCTCCAGTGTTACATGCATATATATTTAGAATTGTGATATTTGCCTGTTGGACTAGTCCTTTTATCATTATATAATATCCCTCTTTGTCTTTTGTAACTGCTGTTGCTTTAAACTCTGTTATATCTGATATGAGAATAGCTACCCCTGCTTAATTTTGGTGTCCATTTGAATGGAATATCTTTTTCCATCCCTTTACCTTAAGTTTATGTGAGTCCTTATGTGTTAGGTGAGTCTACTAAAGATAGCGGAAACTTCGTTGGTGATTTCTTATCCATTCTGCCATTTTGCATCTTAAGTGGAGCATTAAGGTCATTTACATTCAATATTATTATTGAGATGTGAGATACTATTCTATTCATCGTTCTATTTGTTGCCTGAATGCCTTATTATTATTATTATTATTGTGTCATTGTTTTATAGGTCCTGTGAGATTTATGCTTTAAGGAGATTCTATTTTGGTGTATTTTGAGGATTTGTTTCAAGATTTAGAGCTCTTTTTAGCAGCTCTTGCAGTACTGGCTTGGTGGTGGCAAATTCTCAGCATTTGTTTGTCTGGAAAAGACTGAATTTTTCCTTCATTTGTGCAGCTTAGTTTTGCTGTATACAAAATTCTTGGCTGATAATTCTTTCATTTAAGGAGGCTAAAATTAGGGCCCCAGTCCTTTCTGGCATGTAGGGTTTCTGCTGAGAAATCTGCTGCTAATCTGACAGATTTTCCTTTATAGGTTACCTGATGCTTTGCTTCATAGCTCTTAAAATTATTTCTTTTGTCTTGACTTTAGATTACTTGATGACTATGTGCCTAGGCAATGATCTTTTTGCAATGAATTTCCCAGGTGTTCTTTGAGCTTCTTGTATTTGAATGTCTAGATATCTAGCAAGACCAGAGAAGTTTTCCTCAATTATTCCCTCAGATATATCTTCCAAATTTATATTTCTATTCTTCCTTGGGAACACCAATTATTCCTAGGTTTGGACTTAACATAGTCCCAAACTTCTTGAAGGCATTGTTCATTTTAAAAATTCTTTTTTCTTTGTCTTTGAAAGATTGGGTTAACTTGAAAGCCCTGTCTTCAAGCTCTGAATTTATTTTTTCTGCTGGTTTTATTCAATTGCTGAGGCTTTCCAGTGCATTTTGCATTTTTCTAAATGTGTCTTTGACTTCCAGAAGTCGTGATTGTTTTTAATCTGTGCTATTTCACTGAAGAATTTTGATTTCATATCCTTTATTTATTTAAGGTAGATTTCACCTTTCTCTGGTGCCTCCTTGATTTGCTCAATAATCAATCTTCTGAATTCTTTTTCTGGCAATTCAGAGTTTTCTTCTTGGTTTAGATCCATTGCTGGTGAGCTGGTATGATCTTTCGCGTGTTAAAGAAGCTTATTTTGTCATATTACCATAATTCTTTTTCTGGTTCCTTCTCATTTGAGTAGACTATGTCAGAGGGAAAATCTGGGATTCAAGGGCTGCTGTTTAGGTTATTTGTCCCACAGGGTGCTCCCTTGATGTGGTGTTCTCCCCATTCCCCTAGGAATGAGGCTTCCTGAGAGCTGAACTGTAGTGATTGTTTTTGCTCTTCTGGGTCTAGCCATCCAGCAGAGCTACCAGGCCCCAGGCTGGTACTGGGGAGTGTCTACAAAAACACTACAAAGATCGTATCCTGCGATGCGACCTGTCTCAGGTCTTGCAGCCATGGATACCAGCAGCTGCTCTGGTGGAGGCAGCAGGGAAGTGAAGTGAACTCTATGAAGGTCTTTGGTTGTGTTTTCGTTTAGTGTACTGGTTTTGTGCTGGTTGGCCTCCAGCCAGGAGGTGGCACTTTCAAGAGTGCATCACTGTGGCCCTATAAGAAGGCTACAGGTTTGCCATGGGGATACCTGGTTAAGTATTTGTGTTTCTCAGGCAGTGGGCAGGGCCTTAGCGCTGCCAAGAGATTATGACCTTTGTCTTTGGCTACCAGGTCGGGTAGAGAAAGACCGCCAGGTGACAGCAGAGGTAGGAGTGTCTGAGTTCAGCCTCTCCTTAGGGCTTACTGTGGCTGCTGTGGGGCATGAGGGTGTGGTTCCCAGTCCAGTGGAGTTATATTCCCAAGGGGATTATGGCTGCCTCTGCTGAGTCATGCAGGTCACCAGGAAGGTGGGGGAAAGCTGGCAGTCACAGGACTCACCCCACTCCCACATAGCTTGCAGTCTTAAAGGCTGGTCTCACTAACACTGTACATCCCCACAACAGCAGCAAGTCTATTTCCAGGTAGCCCATCACCAGGGCTGAGAACTTACCCCAAATCATGAGCCTCCCCACTGAGAAAGAAAGCAGACTTACAGGTTTTCGGTGTCTCAGGGAGCCTGTAGCAGTGATCCAGTTTCTTCAAAGGGTCTGTGGATTCTCTTAACTTTCTTGGTACATTCCTGTGGTAGTTCTTGGAGCAAAAGTTCAGTCTGTGAGTCTCCACGTGATGCTCTGCCCATCCGAGTGGGAGCTATAAGCTAATCCTATCTCCTATCCAACATCTTAATCCTTCTTAACCTTTTTAGCAACTCAAGTAAGATTTAAAATGAATGGTCATCAAATTTGTAAATTATTAAAACCTATGAGAGAAATAATGAATAATTTGGATACAAGATTCGGATTGCAAAAATCCTATTGTTTGATCTCTAAGTAAAAGAAATTTGAATATAGGTCAATAGAATAGTGGAATATGACCATTTAAATACCTAATTGGGTCACACAATGCATCATTAGAAATATATATCAGAGATGAAAGATAAGATAGTCTAGTTTCATTCTGTTTGAAGGTAGACCAACTTGACAGATTACATTCAATTTAGGCTCATAATGCTTTGAAAATTTCTGTGTCACACTGAAGGAGTTTGGTTGCATGTGTAATTAGTGAAACAGTTTTAAACTAGATGATGTAAATAATGTCATAAACAAAACTAGATAAGTTTTGTTTGTAGCAGGAAAAACTCACTGGGAAAACATGTAGAGATGATTTTTGTATGGAAGGTAGTTGAAACTTTTTTTGTGTTGCAACAGGGTAATAAGATATAGCTTGCTTAGCACAAAGTTTAATTATGTGGAATGATAAGCAATAAGTGTAATGGGGTGTTAAATCAAAACAGAATCATATTAGTGGGGAATCACCAACATTTATTCAATTTGATGGAGAAACCTTCTTTGGGTGATGTGACTTCAGAAGTTATTTTAATTACAGGTCTAAGAGGAATACCAAACTGTAGGAAAGGTAAAACAAGAAAAACATTAGCAGGAATAAAGGGTGTAAAAAATAGTGCATCAACTTAACAAAAAAGGGATTGTAAGTTAATTAGAAGATGAGAGAGTAGAGAGGTTTTTGAAGTAAAGGCAAACATTTCTTAGAGAAGGTAGTGAAGAGAATGAAAGTCTTGGACTGGAAGAAACAAGGCCTTCTATAGAGAAGCAGCAGATACTCACTTTGAATAATGACAAGACTCGGGCAGAGCTGGAGGGATAGAATCTTATATGAAGGTTGCAACAGTTCAGAACATCAAAAGCCTCTCAAAAGTATCTACTTATTTTATTTTTCAAATATTCATTGTGAACATATACACTTCAGATGTGAATTCAGTGTTTAAAACTGTCCTGAGGGTGAGCGTTCATGATGTTTGCCATTTTAGAACATTTGCCAGTGACAATACATGACTACTTAATGAAAAGATCATAAATTTTAGGTGGCATAGAATCAATTTCACTGGTTACTTATTTATCTGTTAATTTATCTTGAACAGCGACTGCTGAAAATTTTTGAGGAACATAATATGGGACACATTTTTTAAAATAATAGTCTCAATGATCATTACATTCCTGGAAGTTACTGAACATCTTGGAGTTAGAATGGGCCTTGGGGATCAAATGTATCTGTCTTACAAATTCAGAATACTACCTAAACCCTTCATAGGTGTTTATCTACTGTCTGCCTGAAAAGTATCAGTGACTTCATTGACATTAGTGTCCACTGTTACATAATGATATTGATGCAATTTATTCCTTAATTTTGTAAGTAATTATCATTTAAAACCAACTTGCACCTGGACACAGTGGCTCACGCTTGTAATCCCAGCACTTTGGGAGGCCGAGGTGGGTGGATCACTTGAAGTCACGAGTTTGAGACCAGCCTGGCCAACATGGTGAAACCGTATCTCTACTAAAAACACACACACACAAAAATTAGCCGGGTGTGGTTGTGGGTGCCTGTAGTCCCAGCTCTTGAGAGGCTGAGTCAGGACAATCACTTGAACCTGGGAGGCAGAGGTTGCATTAAGCCTCTGCACTCCAGCCTGGGCAATAGAGTGAGACTCTGTCTTAAAACAAAACAAAACAAAACAAAACAGAAAACCAACTTGCATTTTTTTGTTAAACCATTTGCCAATTCACTAAAATGTATCCCAAGTGTGAAAAATAAAATCAATATGCGTTACTAATAATTGAAACTTGCAATTTAATTTTTTTTACTTGCCATTCGGAATGTATTTTACTCCCAGAGGAAACCTATCCACCCTGCATTCTGATAGCAAGACAGTCTCTCAAAACAGTGGTTCCCAGTCATTCTAATGTTTCTGAATCATTGAAAAGCTAATTCCATAATCTGAAAAATGTTGAAAGCTATGAGCCTTTATCTGAGAACAAATGACCATAAGATTAAGATTTGCATATACTGTCAGTACAATGTCAAATTGACTGAATCCACTGTGAACTTCCAGTTAAGAATGCTTTGGATGTATGGGGAATTGAAATCTCCTAACTGGATCAGGTTAGAGATAAAGATTGCTCTCCCTGTGTGCTGGAGCATTTCCAGTTTCTGTCTTTGGGTCACTGTGTGGTTCCTCTGAATTTACCTTTTCAAGATAGTGATGGGCTTTATCAGTGTGAATGTTTGTAAGAATATAATAGTATTAGTCATTCTATATAATTTTGCCATAAACATTTATGTAATAGAGTTTTTCTCTTGTTCCTAACAAGATTTACAAATTCAACATGGAACAGAGGTAAGGTAAAACTAAACTATTATTTAAATGTGAACACAGAAGCCTATCTTAATTGCTGCTAAATAATTACAAAATTGGCCATAGATCTGAATATAAACTTTTTGCTTTGGGCCAGGCGCTGTGGCTCACGCCTGTAATCCCAGCACTTTGGGAGGCTGAGGCGGGTGGATCACAAGGTCAGGAGTTCAAGACCAGCCTGGCCAAGATGGTGAAACCCTGTCTCTATTAAGAATACAAAAATTAGCTGGGTGTGGTGGTGGGTGCCTATAGTCCCAGCTTCTTGGGAGGCTGAGGCAGAGAATTGCTTGAACTTGGGAGACAGAGGTTGCAGTGAGCAGAGATCGCACCATTGCACTCCAGCCTGGGAGACACAGCCAGACTCTGTCTCAAAAACGAACAAACAAACAAACAAAAAAAACTTTGCTTTGTAAAGAACAAATATAAAATAATTACAGTGGAGTAAAATTGTAATAAAATTTAGTAGAAATTAATAACATATAAATTTTCACTTAAAAACGCAATTAGCTGTAACCATATTTGCCCTTTAAAGGCAGGGGCCATCAGCTATCTTCATAGTCTTCTCTTTTCTTTGCAGAAATGATAGGAACAGGTTGAGAACTGGAGCACATCTTCATTGTTTAGGAAGGATGAAATGAAGTGCATTTTTGTTTTGATTTGTTATGTTTTCATATGCAGTTCATATCTTGAAAGTTGGTGATCGAAAGAGCTAATTTTTTTTCTATAAGATGGGAATTTTTTTTTTCTTTTCATTACCTTCTTTTGTTTTTGTGAAGGGCACAGACCAGGAAAAGAGAGGCAATAAAAGAAGGATGAATTTAGTAATGTAAAGCACGAGTAAATAGAAATGGTTTACAGGCTGTAAAGTAAGAGGTAAGTTAAGTATTCAATTTTAAGTTGGCTTCGTTACTTTAAATGTGAACTCCCTTCACCTTTCCTATGCTTGATATAAGTGGAACGTTATAAAATCAAAGCCAAAAGATAAAGTAATCTATCTGAATTAACAGGATGTACAGAATCGGGAACAGTTATGGGGAATGTGATAATATTGAGGACACCTTGTGGAAGCTGGAATTCGTAGACCAAAATGCCCATGAGCAAGTAAACCCTGAAAAATACATGGAATTCATCAAAAGAACAAGATTAGAGTGTTGCTACTAATACTTGAGTTACATATAGATAAAATGTATATGTGACATTAATTAATCTAGCATAACTATTCCATATTCTGAAATTATTAAATTTGAGCATTGGATTTTTCTAAAATAATTTAAAAGTTTACTCTCCTTATGAAAATATTAATCTATCTCTCATAAAAATTTGTCTGCAAGAATTAGGCAATAATTATAAAAATATGGCCTTCTTTAAGCTCTACCAGCAAACAGGGTGAGTAGCATCACTCAGAAAAATATTTCATTCAATTTAAAGATTCAAAAGTAATAACTAACATTCCCAAAGGAGAATTATTCCCAAAGGAGAAAAAGTAAATAGACCTTTTTAGATCTATATCAACATATATCTATAACATGTGTCTTAGTGTAATCAGTTCTTCTGGTGTCAGAAATTTTTGTAAACACCTTTTATATAATGACCTATTTGTCTAAGATTTTTTAAAAAATAGACTTTGTTATTTAATGGTCATATTTAAATTAGAAATATTCTGCTTTCTGGATACATTAAATGATTCCTTTTATATGAAATATCTAGACTAGGCAAATCCATAGAGTCAGAAGGTAACTAAGTGGTGCTCGGGGGCTGGTGGGGAGGAGCAAATGTGGATTGACTGCCTGGGAATATGGGTTTCTTTGGAGGGTGATGAAAATATTCTAAAAGCAGGCAATAGTGATGGTGACACAACTCTATGAGTCCACTAAAAATAACACTGAATTATATACTTTAAAGAAAGAATTTTATGGTATGTGAATTATATCTGAATATTGGTGCATAAAAATTTAAATAAACATTACAGACATCAAAGGCAAGGTGAACTCCTACAATCTGCTAACGTGGCCACCGACTCCATCAACAAGTATTGCTGTGATTATAAATGTCTTGCAATGTGTTCTCTATCAGTTAAATGATCTAACCTTTATATCTTAACTAAAATAAGTACAATAAAAATAAAAATATATTTGTGATTTTTAAAAGGGATTAAAAAACCGGAAATATGTATACTGCTAAAGGGTCTGTCACCATTTTTCAGAGTTTGGATTTGATAGCTGTTTAGGCTATATTTTCTTTGAAGTGCAGAGTTAACCCGTGTAAATCTCAGACTCCAGCAGAAGACTGGCTTGTACTTCTTAACAAGTTTTTAAATATGTGGACCTCTGGGGATGTGTATGCATGCATGCTGATCTAATTGTGCATGTTAGCTATGTACTCTACAAGAAAGTTAAAATTTATACAGTGTGTGCTCAGAATGGCATTTGCAAATATTTAGAAATTTAATCAAATATATATAAAATACACACAATCTCAGGCATCTTATCTTCAACAAAGTATCACTTAAGTATTACAATTGTTTTTCTGTTTTTACTTTTTTCAATGAGGAGAGTATTTTAATCTTGGGTCATATATTTTTTATTCAGTCTGTTTCTTCATCTGTGTTTTAAGTGGCTTTCTTTGTGCAGTATGTAGTGATCTTGACAGAGAAAAGAATGAACAACAAAAATACATCTATCTCTGTTTACCTACCACAAAGCCTTGAAGGGTTTTGAAATAGCAACGGAATTAGATTGAAGGCCAGAGGAGTAAGATGAAGCTTGCAACTCTTTCTTAATATCACACTTTGAATATACTTCCTTCAAGAGTATACTAGAACAATCAATTAAATAGAGGGAGGGGAGGTGGATACTCTCTTTACTATTACATGCCTTTTTTTCCTTTCACAGATGATGTCTCATTACGTTGCCCAGGCTAGAGTGCAGTGGCACAGTCACAGCTCACTGTAAGCTGAAACTCCTGGTCTCAAGTGACCCTCCTGCCGAATCCTCCCGAGTAACTGAGACCACAGGCGCATGGCTTTACGTATTTTTGAAGGTGGTATTCCACATGTGTGAGGTCTGTATCCTTTCTTTTATCTAGAATAAATATAAAGCTCATATGAGGTATCATGCAGTTTCAGAAGGCTATTAGGAATATTGTTATTTTTTTTCCTATTTTGCCAAGTGACAAAGAAAGTATTTGGAATCTGTTAAGTCTCCTTTTGCTAAATCATAGATCCATTTTCAGAAATGAGGCGTGCTAAAAGGGTATGACATGAAAATGTCTATCTAAGTTTTCATGTTCAGAAATGAAGAATTGTGATTTCAAGATGGGTTAAATGAGTGGCAGGTTGTATTTTCCCAAAGTATACAACCATTTTCCACTAAATGTCTCTAACATCATAAAAAAATTAAAAATAAGGCTCTAAATATATAACATGGATACATATATAATATAGGTATTACCAAATTTTTTATTTTTTAATTTGGCTTTTGGCATTATTAATATTAAATGTCTTATTTTAAAATGATGACTTTTTACCCTCAAAAGCATGCACACGCACTGCCATGCACACAGAGACACAGAAATATACACACCCACACACATATGCATGCCCAACATGCGTAAACACACATATGGATGCACACATATACACAGGCACTACTCTCTTGCACTCGTATCTTGGATTTTAAATGGAGACTACTGCAAATCAACAGATGCTTTATTCTGCAGGACCTTGCCTTTTGAGTGAACGTTTCTGGGTTCCAAATCTCCAGCACTCTCTATCATACTAGGCTCAGTTTCCACAAACTGAAGTCCAAAATACTTTGGCTTTTTCTAGCTTCAACAGTAATAAAATAAATAATATTTGTCTAACATGGATTTGTGGTGAGACCTTGATTATATCACTCCTCTGTGCCTAACCAAGTCTTATCTGTCGTTCAGGATGAGCTCAGGTGGCCCCTCATGTCCCGCTCTCATGCCTACAACAAAGGCGCTGAGAACGGGTCAAACTACACAGCCCATTATAGTTTATTGCCCTGTACTTTTCTAAGAATGGCATCTTTATTAAATTGTTCTCTAAGAGGCAATTGAGAGCCTCTCCCAACTTACCCATTGCCTTGGCACAGAGCTAGGTATGCTGTAGAGACTATATTAGCCAAGGGGAATTTATTATTTTAGAAAGATCAGTCTCCCAATATGAAAACTTGAAGATTAATGCAGTTATCAAAAGCTACTGAACAGAATCTAATAATTTTAAAATTATGAATTTGAAGGTAAAAGATGATTTGGCAATTTTATTAAGCCAAATATTTCATTCCTATTTAATTTCTAGGTGAATGTAGACAATGCATTCAATGCTTTATAATTTTAACATTAAAAAATGGATTAGCAGTGAAATTATTTCCTATTATTACCTACTATTTTATGTAATAGCTATTTTTTTGAAAACTGAAGTCCTGATAAATGATGTAATTATTACTATAGACAACTTTCTTATATGTTACCATAAAGTGGTGAAATGTTGTCCTGAGATTTTTCTATCATTGAAATCAAAATAAAATGGATATATTGCTTTGCTAAAGTGACTATTCCCATCTTTCCATATATTGTAAAACTTTCCCTATGGATTTTACTTTCTTCCATTCATTTCCACTGTTCGACTTACTTGAATTTTGTCTTAAAAGATAATAATCTTTATGAAAATATCTTATAAAATCAGAAATGGAAACCCATATATTAATTTTAAAATATAGTTGCTTGGCCACTACCAATATTCTAATATAAGATTAAATACATACATAGTCATACTTACTCTAATTATGTAACTATTAAAGATGATGCACAAAACTATATTTCGCTGCAATTCCGTTATCTGTGTGTCTGTTTAGCCCATAATTCTCTTTTGAAAGTGCAAAATAATAATTATTATTATTAATAGTAAAAATTTTAAAACCTGGATTATATAGGTAGTATTTTATAATCTTTATGTTCTCACTGATGACCTATTTTGATTTTGGCCACATAGGAAATAAACTGTTATTTCTGTGAAATTGGTATGCTTTATTAGAGTTACATTTTTGTAATTACTTTATTAGAGAACATAGTGGAACATATACTATATGTTTTGACAATTTTATTCTTGGAAGAAAATGCAATAGAATATCTCTGCGTGACACATTTTGGCTATTAAATCTTGTCTATAGAACTGGGTTCTATAAATTTAATGAATTCAGTTGATTCTTAATTAATTAAAAGCTCTAAGTACAGTTTTACTAGTTTTCTTTGGTTTTGTTATCACTGACAATTTTTTTTTTTTTTTTTTTTTTTTTTGAGACGGAGTCTCGCTGTCGCCCAGGCTGGAGTGCAGTGGCGCAATCTCGGCTCACTGCAGGCTCCGCCCCCTGGGGTTCACGCCATTCTCCTGCCTCAGCCTCCCGAGTAGCTGGGACTACAGGCGCCCGCCACCTCGCCCGGCTAATTTTTTGTATTTTTAGTAGAGACAGGGTTTCACCGTGTTAGCCAGGATGGTCTCGATCTCCTGACCTCGTGATCCGCCCGCCTCGGCCTCCCAAAGTGCTGGGATTACAGGCGTGAGCCACCGCGCCCGGCCATCACTGACATTTTTATGAGATTGGTTGGAGTACATAATCTAACAAGAATCCAGATGTCTAGAGCTCTCAAAAGTGTGTAAAACTTCTGGATTTCAAGTACAAATCATTCTGCTGTAAGGAATCCTAGGTCCTGGCCCCTTTTGCCTTCTCTAGCTGTTCTACTCTCCTGCGTGATCTCATTTGGTCTCATATTAATTGTTAACTTTTGGCTCATTACACATGCACACACACACACACACACACACATATTTTTTTCAGCCTTATGTCCTAGACTTCTATATTCTATTCTCTGCCAGGCTGTTTATTTGAATGTTGTGTAGATACCTGTTTTTATTTATTGTTTTCTGCCTGCCTCAAATCCCTTCCTCTGATTTCAAGTAATGTAATTCTTCTTTTACTTTAAAATACTTCCTCAAATAAATTGGGACAGAAAACCTAAAAACCCACATTTGCCACCAAAAAAGGGAAAAGGTGATCTAAGCAACATAGAGCCTTTTTTTGTTGTTGTTAATTACAGACATAACTATTGCCATAGATTATTTTAAAACCAATCAACTGTATCGTAAAAATTACACCCATGTTACTGAAAATGATGGCTATAAACCGTGGTTACGTTAGACTGAAATTATTACAAAATAAGTCGCTAGTATTTTCTTAGAATTCCCAACAAAATCAGCCCCGTTCATTTACCAAATACTGTCATGGGCTAAAGTATAAATCAAGGGCTAAGTTTCATGTTATTCCAGATCCCAAGTCTCTTGCAGGCGCTGCCACATGCTTATTTTATACTGCAAGGTTGTACTGCTAGTGTTTGCGTTGTATTTTATCTTTAAGTAATACCCATCTTTCTCCCTTCAGTAAAATCCTAGTAAGTTAAATAGCTTTCTAATCCCAATTTTCTGCACTATTTGGTAAATCTCTTTTGTATTTATCTGTGAGGCCTGGCAGTTAGAGAGCACCTGTGCTAATTACATTTTTCCACTTAGAAATTCCCATTGACTTCACCTGGGGGACCTTACTTCTCTCATGAATTTATTCCTGGTGCTCTCACTGCCAACATCCTACACCATCGACCTTGGGCTTCCTTAGCTCCTTTCTGGAGGATCATACTTGTTAGAGTCTCTTGGGTCAGTGTGCATTCTCTGTTTCACTCCTTTTTCTTAGCATCATGAACTACTTGTTGAGTCTGTTTATCTATTATTTTAAACCATAGTATCTACAGAGGTCTTTGCCATCCTGTCCCTCGCTTTTAGAAGACCCTTCTAAGTGTCCATTATGAGCCAATAAGTCTTTTTCTTCAGAATACTTCTTTTCAGTAAAGACATGTTTGGTTTTCATAAGACAATAGATGTGCCAATTTTGTCCCACTCTCTCTTAGAGCATTTTGGCCAGTATTGGTTTATCCACACTTGCTGCTTGCTGTCATTGAATGCTTATTGAGAATATTTTGAGTATATATTTGGACAATAGAATTGTGATGTAAAATTTGAAGTTCCCTTGGAGGCTCTGTGTACTTGCTTGCTTATCTTGTTTAGGGAAGTATAGATTAATGGTTCTTTCTGGTTCAACTGCTTATCAGCCTAGCTTTAGTTACATGAACATGTGGATATTAAGAGACTCCTCAATAGGCTTATTCCAGGAAGCTAGCTTACCTAAAACCGAGGTATGTCTTACTGATCACAGGGGCTCATTATTCAAAGACAAAGAACATCCACTGTAGCTGAGAAAGGACCCGAATGAGCAGTGCATGGCAGTGTATTAATCTCTCCCTAATTGCCTGCTCTGTCTTTTCTCTGTTGTGCCATATCTTTTATGGATATTTATTAAAGCATTGTACACGTAAAACCTGTGTACTCTCAATTATTGGACACTGAATAAGTGATGTAAAATTCAGAGAGGTGGCTGGTTTTAGGTATAACTCAAACCAAGGGCTTGAATATCCCTCTGATCTTTTGTGTTTTGAGCTAATCTAACAGAAAAAAAGTCTATATTCATATCCTTATCTTGCCCTCAATTGAACTAGGATGACGTTGAGTTCACAGACAGTATCACATGGGTAGTAGACATCCATAAATATAGTTCGAACATGCCAAAGGGCTTCCATAGGCACTCTTGGTGATCACTGTGACCATGTTTGGGCCACCTTTCCTCCATTGTGTTGGCAAATATGGGTTATTATATTTACTGTCACACTTGGTTTGAGGGGAAGTTCCAGAGTAAAAGAATAATTTTTTACTAGAAATCAGGGGGGAATAGATGCTGGGCAAGCAGAAAGAAAAAGGAAAATTTAAAAAGTGATATTTACTACCACATTTAAAGAAATAGATTAGGGAGAGAATGGGAAAGAAGGGTCTAGGGCTATCAGTGGTGGATATATAAATCCACTGTGTCACATCTAAACTGACATTGATCTCCATTTGCTTAGTATTCCTTTTTCCTTGTTACTTTGCATCCACAATAAGATTACCTGTAAGTATTAAGGCATATGATACTATGACAAATATGGCCCATAACAGATATCTGAACTTGTTTTATTAAGAGATCATTACCTAGATTAATAGACACACAATGGATTATAATCCCATTGAAGTACAAAGTCTTTTGAACGTATTTTAGAGGCAACAGTTCCTGTGTGTTACTTTACAAGATGGATTCTCCACAATAGATATACCTGCAAAACAGAGACCAAAAGACAAAGCAGCATTAGTATTTCAATTGTTCATGTACAAGTGTGATATTATTATTGATTCATATATATATGTGTGTGTATGTATGTATACATATATGTGAATACATATATATGCACACATATAGGTATATATAGGTTTTTGTTCATGATTCCTGGCTCGTAACTCCCATAACCCTTGTTATAGTAAATAGAGTCTCTCTGTGATTTCTTGCCCTCCTTTTACCGGTCCAAGACAGAACTCTAATCTTATTATATGACTATGGATCAGTCATAAGACACTCCTTTAAGAGGAGGTCCTATCCCATAACCTGGAGGAAGAAATGATGCAGAGAGAGGCCAAGAAGACCCTGAACAGATAGTCCTTGCTGTGTTTAGATCGTACCTTTTTTGTCCAGTCACATTTCTACATGGCTGTCAATTGTGCCTATCCAATGAAGTCTCCATGAAAAGCCCAAGTGGACAGGATCCAGAAAGCCTCCAGATAGCTGAACACATTGAGGCTCCTGGAGTGTGGTGCACCCAGGGAGGGCATGGAAGCTTTGCACCCCTTCCCCCATACTTTGTTCTATGCATCTCTTCATCTGCATCCTTTGTAACATCCTTTTTAATAAACTAGTAAATATAAGTGTTTCCCTGAGTTTTGTGAGCCACTCTAATTTATCAAACACAAAGTGGGGGTCATGGGAACCCCACCTTGAAACCAGTAGGTCAGAAGTTTCACAGGCCTGGACTTGCAACTGGTCTGAAGGAGGGGAGCAGTTTTAGAGACTGAGCCCTCAAACTGTGGGATCTGACACTACCTTCAGGTAGCTTTTCGTGTCCTCTGTAGAACTGATTGCTTGCTTGGTGCTGGGGAAAGACTCCCTCCCACACACACATTTGTTCACAGAAGTCTTCTGTGTTGATGATTGTTGTGGTATGAGAGCAGAGGAAGAAATGGTTTCAGTTTTTTTCAAACAAGGTTATGTTAATGTCATTGAGATATATCACTGGATAACTCCAGATTGAGAGATTATGAATGTTATTTACTTTTGTTTATTATAACTGCAAAGAATGAGTTTTAAAAGGAATAATATAATTTGTTAAAAATTTGACAATATTGGATTAATTTGGGCAGATTTATTTATAAGATGGGAAAAGACTGGTGAATAATTTACTACAAAATGTTACACAGATGATATATATAAAAAGTAAAATTAGAATTTAATTTATACTCATTAAAATGACAGTGAAATCATTGTCCTTAAAGTGGGGAAGGAGAACAAAAGCCTTATTTCATGGCAGGTTTATAATGGTGATTGATTCAAGTAAATGTTGATTATTATATAAAATATATTTGACCAGTGGAAATGAAAAATGATAAGGACTGTAAATAAATCAATCATAATTATTTAATCTGTGTAAATGAAATACACGTATTTTTAAAACATTCTCTTTAAATCTACAGCTTCAAACAAAAAAGATGTTTTCTGCATTCCAAGAGCTTCGCCCTTATTGGTATCTGCAAATATGCCATATAATCTCATGACATACTAGATATTGTTAATGTCACATTTTTGCAATATCCAAATGGCTTCCTTTTAATTTGCAATCACATTCTCTTCTTTCTATTTGTAATTAATTTTCACCAGATCCTCCCTTCTAGGGTAGGACTGTCAGGTTCAGCAGGAGGACTGATCCATGGAACTGGCAGTATGAATATGGCTAATCATTTTCCGTTTGACCATTCTTAGTTGTGTGGAGTAATGTTAGACAAGTATAAACTTATGGTACTCTGGTCTGCTAGCTAAGAAAGAGACAGAAAATGTTAATTTTATTTTAAACTGTTAAAAAGAAGCAATAGCAATTTTGAACTCGTCATTCCTTTAGAAAATCTGGCATATCACTTAGAGGTATTGTGATGGTATCATGTGTAGTAATTGATTCTTCCTAAAGTGCAAATGTAACCCAGGTTTTGGCATTACAGAATCAGGCACAGGAAAAAAATTGCTTGCATTCTCAATATTTCAACAGCCTCAGAACTATTACATTTAATATCTAATGGTAGAGTAGTAAACTTCCTCTTCAATGTATGTGTTGCTTAATGCTGCACTTATTGAAAAAAAGAGATTGAATGTTTTTCAGAACATCTATATTTCTGAAAAAGCTGCAGCTTTCTGGGAGTCCTAAGTAAGACACAAAGTGTGCAGAATCTAAAGTAAAGGAAACAGTCATTGGATTTTCCATTGGGTAGAATCTAAAGTAAAGGAAACAGTCCCTGGATCTCTCATGCGTAAAGTTCACTTTAATAGAAGCTTATCAGGAAGTTGCTGATAATCCATAAAATGGCATAGTTTTCGACTGAATATTCTCCAGTTTTAGTAATCTCTTGATTTTCTTTCTGTGAGAATTGTGAAAACATTTTGGTGATTATTGGTCAGACGAGGACCATATTCCATTCATTGGAGTATTGGTCCAACTTCATTTGGCAATCAAAATCTCCTTTACATATTGAATCACTAGCAATTACTTGGAAATTTTACCAACCTCAGGCTGCTTCTCAAGTATTTTCATTTTTGCCAAAGGAGCAAGAAGCAGCTACAATTCTTATTCTTGGCTGATTTCCTCTGTGTTTGAATCTCCTTTGTAATCTCCTTAACTGTTTTTACCGACCCTGGATTTACTATCTCCACCCCCAGTTGATAAGCTTTTCTTCCCATTCATAATTGCACCACTTGGGCAACTTCACCCCAAGAGTAGGCAGCGACACATCCTCAGTAAAGGATCACCAGAATCCTGTTTCCTTTCCTTTCTTCTGAACAAAGCCTTAGCCATCATTTGAATTATAGATTAAAGTATTATTTAAAATATTCTGCTCACAGCATCAACTGCAAAAACTACACAGAGTTGGATAATTTTCAAAACTCAGAAGACTCCCTAGGTATACCTCTATAAGCCTTTAATAAGGGGTTTGGCACTACAGTTGAAAGAAAATGCAGGCAATTATCAGAGTATTCCAAAACTTCCAGTCAATGCTGCCTATGCTCATTTTAGTGGCAGAGAGCACAATTTGTCTTCAGATTTTGAACCACCAACATATGTGAAAGTTATTTTAGATTCAGAGGTGTCTGGGACATGTTTAGTGAAAGGTCTCTTATACACCAAAATCACATAGCAAATACCAGGCTGTGAATTGCTTAAACCAGGTATAAACCATTAATCTACACATCCTTAAGAGGATGTAGTTACACTAATGTTGGTTGCCCCAGGGGAGTTTTAAGCTTTAAACTATACAATAAAGATTACTAAGTAGCACATTTCATTTTCTTTGTGCCCAACTCTCCTTGACTTCCAGATTATCACTGAAAAGATGAGAGTTGACTCAATTCAGCTGTGAAATAAGCCTATTCTTATACAACTTTTCATTTACATAAGTAAGGAAATTATAAATTTTGCTTAGCTGGTGTTGCAGACAGACTTTAAGGTCTCCACATGATCTTTGTCATAGTGTATTCACCCTTATATAATCCTCTTCTTTGAGTGTAGGTGGGACCTGTGACTTGCTTCTAAACATTCTGTAATTGTGTTACATTATATAACATTCATTTTGATAGCAGACCCACTGACAAGTTTTGCTCCCCTTGCTAGCTTTGAAGAAACAAACTGCCATGCATACAACATCTACAGGGAAATTAATTCTGCCAAGAACCTAAATGAGCTCGTGTGCAGATCTTCCCCAGCTGAGCCTCCAGATGAGACTACATACCTTGCTCCCATCCTGATTACAGCCTTGCAGATGAACTAGCTAAACGTTTCTTAGACTGCAGATTCACCAAAAACATGCAATAATAGTGTGTGTTGCTTTAAGCCACCAAGTTCATTGTAACCTGCTATGCAATATATAAAAACAAATGCAGGTAGTATGATGGGCTTATGTCACTTGCAACTAAAAAAAAGTACTATCAAATAGAAATGTCTACTGGAATTCTTAAATGTAGCATGTCAAAAACAAAACTCTGGGGTTTCCCTACAAAGCCCTTTATTCTTAAGTCTTCTTCATCTCAGTAAATAGCATCACCAACCAATAGATTTTCAGGCCAAAAATTTATGACTCCTTTTTGATTCCTACTTTTCTTCAGGTACTACACAAAATCTATTAGTAAAACATGTAATTTTCTTGCTCTTCATTTCCTATATATTAATCTAAGCATTTTCATTTTTGGCAATTTGATGTCAATCAAATCATATTACCTTAATGCTTAAAATTCTTCAATGGCTTCTCATTATTCTTTTTTTTTTTTTTTTTGAGATGGAGTCTTGCTCTGTCGCCCAGGCTGGAGTGCAGTGGCGCAATCCCGGCTCACTGCAAGCTCCGCCTCCCAGGTTCATGCCATTCTTCCTCAGCCTCCCAAGTAGCTGGGACTACAGGCGCCCATCACCATGCCTGGCTAATTTTGTTTTTATATTTTTAGTAGAGATGGGGTTTCACAGTGTTAGCCAGGATGGTCTGGATCTCCTGACCTCGTGATCTGCACACCTCAGCCTCCCAAGGTGCTAGGATTACAGGCATGAGCCACTGTGCCCGGCCTGTTCTTAAAATAAAATCTTTTAATCTTTCACAGGCTCCTCAGGACCTGCTTGATTTGGCTTTCACCTACCACCTTGTCTCATTTCATACTATTCTTCTCATTTTTTGTTGAACTCCACCTATTCAGGCCGCCTTTCTACAAATTAGTTCTTGATCTTTCCTCCTTCTGAAATACTCTTTGAAGCTCTGCCTAGTTATTACCAGAACAAAGAAGCCCAATTTTATTTTCTCTATCACACTTTATTTTCTCTGTTAAAATGGGCACAGTCTGGTTTTTCTTTTTGTTTCTGAACGTGTTGCTTGTCTTTTATCTGTGATGGTTTTCACTATAATTTCTGTTCCATGAAGTCAAAACCCTAATCTTGTTTGTTCACTTTGGTATCTTCATTCTTACCTCTGTTTCTATGTGCCTAGCTTCATAATAATACCTCTGTCTCTCCCTCTCTCCTCTCTTTCTTCCTCTCTCTCTCTCTCTCTCACACACACACACATACACACACATATGTATTTGAACATGTATATTCAAACATCTTTTAAGACTATCCTTAAACATTGTGGGCAGTTCTATCAATTCTTCTCATTGTCTGGTGAGCTTTGAAGCCACATATTTCAGATGATGTCTCTACAAGAAAGGTAAGGGTCACAGGTTTAAGATAAAACTACATGTAACCAATAAACAACCTTTTATAGTCAATCACTGAAAATTTATGGTTGATTTATTGTAACCCCATATTCTAGCCTAATATTAATACAGAGTGCCCAATCGATTACATATCTTAATGAATGTGCTAATCCTGCTTGGAAAGCAGAAAGCGTGTCTGATATTTCTTATTCTTCCTGCTTAGTACTCATATGTTCATGCTCATTCAAACCCTGGTTTCTTTATAAAGGCTTTTGTAAACTCACAAGTTAAGGTAAGAGCCATATTTCATTTTAGTAAGAGACAACAATCTTAGCACCTGCAGGACTTTAGATAAATTACCAATTTATGTGTTTATAGAAGCTACTAGTTCCAGGGCAGGTACAGGTCAGAAACTGAAAAGAAACTTAAGGAAAACTCCTGCTTCTGATCATGACAGAATAAGTGGGAAAGGACTTCACCGTCTTGGCAGAAAACTAAGAAACTTGATAAAATATATGAAACATATATTTTGAGATATTGGACACAAACACTGGACTGTGATTCCTAAAACAAAGAGAAACACAAAAAAGTAAATGCTATAGTTGTCTTGGATATCTTCTTGGAAGCACTTTTGGGTTCATGGTGGAGGAAAAGGAAACTTTGATTTGAGGAAACAGAACAGAGTTTAGGGAGAATGAGAAAGATAAAATTTGTGGAAAATATGCTGATGGGAGAGGGAAATGGCAAGTTATTTAATGGGTATGGAGTTTTAAAATTACAATATGAAAATCTCCTAGAGATATGTTACAATGTGAATATACTTCTTTACAGTATTGAACTATACATTTAAAATTATTAAGATGGTAAATTTTGTAGTATGTATGTTTAACCACAATTTTAAAAAGAAATAGGACAAGATGAAAAAATAAACAAATAACAGATGGAACAGATGGAAAAATATTAGCAAGATGGCAATTTTGAACCCAACCATATTGGTTACACACATTTAATATAAATGGCTTAAACATTCTAATTTAAAGGCAAGGATTGGCAGACTAAATAAAATAGCAAGACTCAACTAATGTGGTATATATATATGGGCAAAGTCAGGTTAAAAGTAAAAGGATGGAAAAAGAATGGTTCAATGGTAATCAGAAATTGGATGCTGAGGGTCCTCATCCACGCTCACTGATTTTTGGCAGAATTTGGTTTCTTATAGTTGTAAAACTAGAGTCTCAATTTTTATGTTGGCTTCTGGTCCTGGACTGCTCTACCTCTTAGAGGCTGCCCTGGGGTCCTTTCCACATGTCCTCTCCACAAGCAGTTCATTTAGAGCATGGCTGATTGCTTCTTTGAGGCCAAAAAGGGAAGGGAATATCTGTCTTTCTCTGTCTCTGTCTGTCTCTCTTTCTCTCTCTCTTTCTCTCACTTCCTCTCTCTCTTTCTCACTTCGTCTCTCTTTCTCTCTCTCTTTCTCCTTCTTCCTCACCCTCTCTCCTCTTTCTCATGTCTATTTTTCTTTCTTCCTTTTAATCTTTCTGACTTATCTCTAACCTCCTAATTCTCTTTTAAAGTATTCTCATCTGATTAAGTCACACACATCCAGGAGAGTTCCTTTAATTAGCTTAAAGTGAACTGATTAGGGACCTGAATTATATCTGAAAAATCCCTTCATCTTCATCATATAATATAACATAACATAATCATGAAAATTATAGTACATTACAATCACAGTCAAGTAGAGAGGATTATCTAGGGTTTGCACACCAGAGGTCAAGAATTTTGGTAGCCATCTTAGAGTTCTGCCTACTACAGCCAATATGCTTATTTTCTGGTCCTGAATAGCTTTACTGTTCCCCCCCTTTCTCCATATATGCCTCCATTATATTAACTAAATCTTATATTTCTTTTGGACAAGGCTGGAGAATGAAATTGCACTAGACACTAACATTAGACTTAAAACAAGAAAGTGCCTAACGTTTAGTAAGCGTATTAGGGACAATTAATGCAAAGATGGTAAATGAAACACCAAATCGACTAAAAAGTTTAAAAGCTCCTAAAATTTATAATAATATTTACTAGCCTAGACCAAATTTTATTTTAACTTGTTTTTATTTTTGTTTTTGTTTTGAGACAAGGTCTCTCACTGTTGCCCAGGCTACGGTACAGTGGCACAATCATGGCTCACTGCAGCCTCAACCTCCCAGGCTCAAGTGATCCTTCTGCCTCAGCCTCCCATGTAGCTAGGAAAACAGCTGTGTGTCACTACACCCACCTAATTTTTTATTTCTATTTTTTGTATAAATGTGCCTCACTGTATTGCCTAGGCTTCAATTTGGTCTTATATGTTATTGTAGAATGGTGTGTGGACCAGCAAGTACAACATTTTTCAAAATAATTCTTATACCAGACTTATTAAGGATGGGGAGAGACAAAGTTTGATCAATTTCAACCTTTCCCATTTTCCTACTTTTCATTTCTAGAGTAGCCCCCTTCTATTTCTGAACAGTCTCCATTTAGGAATGCTGTCTCATATTACAAATTTAATGAAAATGGCATTGACTCTCAGTCCCTCCAGGTTCCCAAGCTCCTTTGTAATATGTGTTTGGAGAATAAGATAGGAGAGACTAGAAGTGGAGTGCTCAGAATTTTAGGGTCTTCTGCACAGGATGGATATAACTGAAACTTTCAAAGGGCCACCCTGTCTCCCAGCAAGGCTAGTTTTCTATTGGCCCAGCTAACCAAATGTTACACGGAAGGTACAACTTATTACGTATGCTTGAACTCAGTTAAAGTTTTCAGCTGAAATTGATTTTTATTTTCTATTTACCATTTAGACATTATTCAGACTGAAAAATCTATGTGATTGTGTCACTATTTTAGGCTTGTTCTAGTGAATTTAACTAACTCATGATTTTAAATACTGAATCTTCGATTTTTTCCCCTTTTCATAGCCTCTTCTCCTTTTTATATATTGGTTTGTTCTTTATGACTTTAATAGTTCTCTCACTTTTATTCTTATTCTTCTTGCTTCCTTTTTGATTCATTTTTCTTATTATAGCTTTTCCTTTAACTTGTTGCTTTCTGTTACCAATATCCTATGCAGTTAATGAAAACATCTTCTTTCCTATGGATATTTATTAGACAAAATGTGTACCTTAGCTTCTCTGTGTCTTCTAAGAGCAAGAACATAGTTGGAGAAGAAGGCAGGTTTTTTCCCTACTGTTTTATGAGAATTAACCACATTTCTATCAGTCCAGATCAAAGGTAGACCTCATACATACATTAAACAATTTCAACACATATACTAAAAAATTTCACCATCCAAATCTTACAAGTGAAATCAGTAATTATTCATTGAAGGCATGCTCTGTGCCTTACAGTGGGTTTTTAAGCCTGGGAAACTTGAGGGAAAAAAAAGCATGAGAAAGTTTCACTTCTTTCAAGAAATGTATTGTTTTATTTGAGAGAAATAAAGATAATTTTTTACCAAAACAGTCTAGATTAATGTGAGTGTTTAACTTATATTACCATGCAGATTACAGGTCATGAAAACACTTATAAGAGAGAAAATAACATGTCACAAAATGTAAATGTCATAACCAAATCAAGTAAGTAAACATTTTAATGCCCCTAAAACAATGGGGAAGGAAAGTCTTCAGACTAAAAATTTAGAAACATACCGTAGTTTGAAGCATGAGAATAGGCTAAAATTAAACTTTCAAGGAGTTTTTCGGACCTTTAGTTTTATAAAGGCTATTTGATTTATCCCACTATCTATCTTTACATCATTTCCCCTAATTCCATTTATTCTCAAAAAGAATCCAGCTACTAAACAATAAAAAAGACAAAAAAAAATCAGAAATTTTTATCTCTTCCAAGGAGACAGGTGAACATTTTTTCAGACCCTGGGGAATCCTATTAATATCAAAAAGGACACCGGAGACAACATGTTATTCCACCTGTGAGTGCTGCAGGTAAAGACTGGCCAAAATCTTCAATAAAAATATGAAGAAAACACACACAAACACTCACCCACATCACACACACACAGCTGTATCGCTATGTACACACCAAACATACATATACGCACAGACTCATGCATGGATAACCACCGCACAGCACATGCACGCATATGCATCAAAACCACACACAACACACCATCCATCACATATATACATACTCCCAAATTCTCCAGAGATCAAATGACTAAGACTAAAATACGTGTTTTCTTCCTTAATTATAGATGAAATGCTATAGTTTTGGAAAGTCAAGTAGATAATTTTAACTAAAAGTGCATGAATTCTCATTCATAGAAAATGTATTTTATTTTCTACATCTGCATATTAAAGTGAGCTAAAGTGCTTTATTCTTGTGATTTTTACAATGCATCTGTAACATAAGTATCTAGATCAATAGAAGAAGTACACTTAAAAATAAATGATAGAAGCAGGTACTCAGTCAATCAGAAAAAGAAGACTTATTAAAGAGATAAATATCATATGGCATCCTTTCATGGCTGAGGAATTTTAAAAGTTGTTAGGTCACAGAGAATTTACAAGCTTTATCCCTGACATCAAAAGTTACCTTTTTACTGTGTCTTAAAGGCCAGGAGAGTCAATGGAAGTCCTAGAGAGTTGTTTAGGCACTAAAAGAAGTCGTTCAGGCTAAGAATTCCTAGGTGCCAGCTGAAAGGGCAACACTTATTCGCTAGTTTCCTAAATTATCAATGTCATATCATTTAACTGCATATTGACCCAGGCAACTTAGATTAACTGACTGCAATCTAGGACCTAATGTCAACAAATATGATCTAAGGCCCCGGAATTTCCCAAACTAATCTGAGCACAAGAATCATCTTGGACATGAAAATAAATATGTCAAGGCTTTTAGAATCTCTGATTCACTTAGTCTGTGTTGATCCTAGAAATCTTTATTTATAACAAGTTCCCAAGGTAATCAGTAAGACCGGGCAAGTCCAATCACACTGCAAATAGCTGTTATCAGATGTTTAGCAGGATTATGTTATTAATATCTTTCCCTAAAATTCCAGCCCTGGCAATATCCTCCTTGTTTATTCTTTCCCTGCTCCACATTTCACTTATTTTTCTACCACTTCTTTCAATTTGATCCTGACTGTTAGTTGATCTGATAGATTTTCAACAGCCTCTCAGACTCACAAAGTTTTTATCTACCTATGTTAAGGAAAATCAACTAAAATTTGATGATACTGCCTTATAAACCCAACAAACTCCCACCAGGTTGCTCTACAGACAAAAGGGCAAAGTGATGGTGGACAGTTCTCTGAGTGGCCCTGGACTGACCCAGTTCTCCCCAATACCCTTACTTTTCTGCATGTGGCTCTCAAAATAACCACAGCCCAGGCTTTGATCTCTCCCCTAAAGCAGGATGCCCTTTAAAGTTTTGCCCAGTTCGTCGTGTAGCCCCTGAGGGTGGTCTGCCTTTTGGAGTCCTTCAGCTGTGGTGCAAGTGGTACACATGCAGTGAAGACTCCATCCACCCTGCACAGCTTTCTTGAGCCTTGGGAGACAAGCTCACGATGGCTCTGAGTCTTCTTTTGTCCCTTGCTGTGTATTTGTAAGTAGTGACCCACTTTCTACAACTTGATATGTATGAGTGCATTCTGTGTCTCTGGACTCAGGCAACTGGTGAAGCTGTAGCCCAAATTGCAGTGGGCAGAAGTGTTTGTACTTTTATTCCTGGATGTTGGCATAGTGAGGATCTTTGCTAACTTTTACGAAGGGGAAGTCCTCTCTTTGGATTGGTAATTAGAGAAATCTCTATTAAGTGACACAGTCAAGACTGCTGAGGATGGCGAGGCATAAAAATATTTGTAATTATTCTTGTCTGTCCAGCATCCGAACCTCCATCTTAAGTTTGTAAAATCCCTTTCCTTATTAGACAGAGCCTGGGTTTTGTTTATTTATTTGTTTTTTGAGACAGAGTCTCACTCTGTTGGTCAGGCTGGAGTGCAATGGTGTGATCTTGGTTTACTGCAGGCTTCGCATCATGGGTTCAAGTGATTCTCCTGCTTCAGCCACCCAAGTATCTGGGATTACAGGTGTGTGCCACCATGGCAGTGGATTTTTAATAGAAATGGGGTTACATCATGTTGACCAGGCTGGTCTCAAACTCCTGACATCAAGTAGTCCGCCTACCTCAGCCTCCCAAAGTGCTAGGATTACAGGTGGGAGCCACCATGCCCAGCCCCCTGGTTTTCAATATAGATACTGAAAGTACCAGATAGTTCTCTTTCTAGCCTTTCTGTAGCTAGGGCCCATGAATCAGGGCCCTCCGGTCAGACCCATCCACAATAGTGGGAGTGGTAGTGGCCTCAGAGCTTGTGGCAACATCTTGCTTTTAAGAAGCATTGGGGACAGTGGTCCTAACAAAAGCATCCGTGTGGTATATGCAGTGGTCCATTTCCCAGTCTCTGGATTAGACTTCAATAGGTGCTAATGGAAGAATTTACTGCCCAAGCTTCAGAAGTAAAGATGAAGATTAGTACTTTCCTTTCCAACTCGATATCTCTCATTTTCCTGAGACCTTTGTCTCTCATCTTCTGGTAGGTCTCAAACTTGGTTTTGCAAATTGGCCCTTAATTCATTGTATGCAGCAAACAATAAGGGTAAAGAAGAGCTAGTGAAAAAATATTTTTTATTTTCAAATGGCAAACTGATAAAACAATAAGAAATTAAAAAGGATTAACTATTACTGTTATTACTGCTAATAACATTTTTTAATTTTTCCAAGTATTATTTGTATATATTCTTCATATTGACTGCCTGTAGTTCACTAATTGTTAAGATAATTTTGTGCATGTGTTTTCATTTTTAAAAACTGGATTGCTAGAAGTTTCTTCATGTTGTAAATATATAGTGTTATTTTACATTTTCATTTCAACATGATTTTAATTTAAATTAAAAGACATCTAAATTGGCAAAGCCTAAAAATATATTCAGAAGAAATATTCAGTAACAACAATGATGTGATATATAAGATAATTTATATTATTTGCTCATATCCTTTCTCTCTCCCTCTTTTCCACCTTTCTCTAGCTCTCTCTTTCTATCTCTCTCTGTTACTGACCCCATTCTCTGACACACACACACACACACACACACACACACACACACGCACGCACACACAAATAGCCTGCCTTCAGGAGGCACAAATTCTCTCTTCCTATAAGTAGTGCCCTCTTGGGCCATCTATGGTTTTATAATACTGGCTGCGACTAAATAAGACTGACTAATTGACAAAAGAAATACATGTATACAATAAACCTAAGTTCATATTTTCCTTCTGCTTTATCCATAATAAAAATATATTTTGATCTCCATCAATCTGACTCCTTTGTCATCTCATAAATGATTCAAAATCTGGCTGGGAAAGAGAGATTTTATATATAAGATCTCTCATATCCCCAGACTAATAGAGAACTCTGGGGCAGGCAGGGGGTCAGAACATTTTTGGTTTTTTATCAGCCTAGCATCATAGAAGAAGACTGTGTCACTGGTCCTCCTTGTCCTCGTGGCATCTCCTGCTAGCCACTGCTGAGATGTAGCTGTTCCTTGTGTGTGTGGTTTCCCAGCATTAACATCAGTCACTGGGTCCTGACAGCATTCAGTCACTGTCCATACAGGCAGTCTGCATGCTGCTTATCCAGATCCCAGACAGTTACATCCCTTGCCCCATTCTATGATATGTCCCCAGCTCTTTTAAACGGGGCTATAGGAACCTGTGGCTGCATCTGCCACTTCAAGTTAGGATGTTCTCTTGTTGATCTCAGGACATCTTTTAGAAGCAAATATTCAATTACTCTGAATCTATGCTCTATGTAGACATTCTTCAAGAGGTTTTCAGTCTTCCTAGGCTACATTCATGAAAATCGATTCTTTTCTATCCATTACACATATTGTTTTCTGGAGAAGAGTGCTTTTCAAACTGAAAGTTGTAGCTCATGACGTCAACCTATTGGGTCATACAGTTTAACCAAAATTTAGAAAATAGCCCAGGAAACACCACATTTGTCATTGTAGGACCAACAGGATGTTTTGTAAAATGACTGTTTTGGGAGTTTTTTTGTTTTGTTTTGTTTTGTTTTTGTATTGGGTTGAATTGTTAGGTGAATTCTAACTCTTGGTCCTGGCCAAAAATTTTTTTAAAGGTGATATAAACTACCTTATACTTTAGAATTTAACTCCAGTAATGGGCATACTGCTGAGCTCACACAGAAATACTCAAAACCACCATTATCCCCCTATATTACTCTCCTTTGCTTATTCTCTTTCTTCTCACCTAGGGGATTGTTGCTGCAGCAAGGTCTGAAATCATTTTGCATCTTTCCCCATTTAGTGTTTATGATGCAAACAGTAGATTCTGAATTCTCCAAAATCTTTGCTACACATATATATGTGTGTGTGTATATATACACACACACGTGTATATATACACACACGTGTATATATACACACACGTGTATACATACACACACGTGTATACACACGTGTATATATACACACACGTGTATACACACGTGTATATATATACACACATATATGTGTGTGTGTGTATCTCAAACAAAAAAATGCCAAGAAAATATTATTTTCAAGAATTTTCTAAGAGCACAACAAATGGACTTTGGCTTTCTAGTGAGTTCACTTTCCCTAAACTGTAACCATGCAGTAGAAAAGAAACTTAAGGGCAAAAGAAAAAAAATGCAGAAGAGAAAAATATTTTTTAATTCATTATTTTCCTCTTCATATCTAATAACACTGATTTTGTTCAGACCCTCATAATCTCTCATTTGAATTTCTCTGAGGGCCTCCTTATATCATTACAGTATTCATACTCAAACCCAGTGATTATATTCTTCCCAGTGTCACAAAGGCCAAGGGCATTGTATTAGTCCATTCTCATACCGCTATGACCAAGACTGGGTAATTTATAAAGGAAAGAGGTTTAATTGACTCACAGTTCCTCATGGCTGGGTAGACCTCAGGAAACTTACAAATAGGGTGGAAGGCACCTCTTCATGGACTGGCAGGAGAGAGAATGAGTGCCCAGCGAAGGGAGCAGCCCTTTATAAAACCATTAAATCTTGTGAGAACTAACTCATTACCACAAGAACAGGATGGGGAAAACTGCCTCTGTGATTCAATTATCTCCACCTGTTTTCTCTTACAACACATGGGGATTATGGGAGCTATAATTCAAGATGATATTTGGGTGGGGTCAGCCAAACCATATCAGGGATAGATATGTATAGTATGAAAATCAGATCTTGTCACTTCTTTTAATTAAGTTATTTATTGTTAAAGAACACACTATCCCAAACCTTAGCGTGTTAAAACAACTGTTCTTTTTTAATAAAATATTCTAACATTAGTGGTTCCAAATTCAGGCAAGGCTGAGATAAATGATTCTCGTTTACATCTAATGTTGGTGGCCTTCACTGTGGGCTTAATTTTAGGAGATGTTCTAATCTAGAGAATCCCAGCCATTGTCATTCACATGTCTGGTACCAGGGCGGAGAAAACAGAAAGACTGGGCTCAGCTGGGATCATCAGCCAGAGCATCTGGGAGAGGCCTTTTCTGCATAGTCAGACTTCTTTCAGCGAGGCTTGGGGCTCCCAGAAAGTGTCCCAAGGGATTGGAAGTGGATACTAACAATCCATTAATGCCTGGGCCCCAAGACTGGCACATACATTCTGCCACATTCTTCTCATCAAGGTTGTCACTAAAGCCAGCCTAGATTCAAGAGGAGTGGAATTAATATACTCCACTCCGGAAATGGGAAGAGTGACAAAAGATTTTAGTTATCTTTAATCTACCACATCACCACTCTGCTCAAAATAACTTTTCTTTTCTATTTATCTTTTTAAAGAAATTGAAAACGTTTATGATCTGGCCAACTTGTCTCATGACCTTTTAAATTTTTGTGTTTCAGAAACTTGAAGTTTCCAAATTTTGTTTACTTATTTTTGTTTAACAAACACTTAGACATGCACTGTTATAAACAGTTAACATGCATTAACTCATGCTATCCTCATGATAACTCTATGATGCAGTTCCTATTTTATAAATGAGGAAACAGAGGCTTAGAGAGTTTACGTAACTTTTCCTAAGTTTTCACTTAGTAAGTTGTGGAGTTACATCTGAACCGAAAAACTGTGGTCTCAAAGTCCTGGCTTGTAACCATTACTATTGGCTGCTAAAAAAGTCTCTTTCCTCTGAGTGTTTATGTTTTCCTCTGAGTGATATGTTTTCCTCTCTCTTGGCTTATCCATGTGGCAAAAGCAATGTATTTTTTTCAATACCAGCTTAGTTAACACCTCCTCTCCGAGATGTCTTTGGTGCTTTGCATGTACATTTAGTTTAGCAATGATTGTGTTTTCTGCTATACATTTTGCCTGTTTGCACAGTAGCAGGCAGCAAATTTGTCCTCTAATTTCCATACTCCAAATTTCAGCATAGTGCCAGGCAAGTGATTTATGCTCCGTAATTACTTATGTAAAAAAATGAATGACTAGACATTTCTCAGTGAATGGCCCTTTCATTCTGTACCTCGAAAGCTGACACTGAAGCCGGAACAAGTTTTCTGCCATTCTATTCATACTAGAACATATTTTAAGAATACCTATGAGGAGGCCGGGCGCGGTGGCTCACGCCTGTAATCCCAGCACTTTGGGAGGCCGAGGTGGGCGGATCACGAGGTCAGGAGATCGAGACCATCCCGGCTAAAACGGTGAAACCCCGTCTCTACTAAAAATACAAAAAATTAGCCGGGCGTAGTGGCGGGCGCCTGTAGTCCCAGCTACTTGGGAGGCTGAGGCAGGAGAATGGCGTGAACCCGGGAGGCGGAGCTTGCAGTGAGCCGAGATCCCGCCACTGCACTCCAGCCTGGGCGACAGAGCGAGACTCCGTCTCAAAAAAAAAAAAAAAAAAAAAAAAAGAATACCTATGAGGAGATGGAGATGGACAAATATTCTCCTTTGGTCTGAATCATAATATATACATTTTATAAATCTTATGAATTTTCCTTCGTGCGAGTAATGCTTAAAGTGTTCAGTTTTGAAGGGAAAGTTTTATTTTAGGAGCTCCCATTTTGTGTGAAGAGATCATAAATGTTGTACGTTTCTAGCTGAGGTTTCACAGTGAGACATTGACTCTATAAAAATTCAGTGGCATTGGAGAATACTAAGAATATTATTACAGTCAGGGTAGCTATCTGGAGAATGAGCTAAGTATAAAAGAAAATCCATATTTAATTAAAACTAAAATTGCAGGGCATATTATGTGTAAGAAAGGAATGATATACATGCACAGTACTCATTTAATGCTTAATGAGAACATCTGGTCATATTTCTAGATTTAAAATTTAGACTGCAGAGTAGGGAAAGGCCTTCTTTCCCACAGGCTACAATAGAAAGTCAAAGCTTAAATGATATAATGAGTAGATTTATGCAATTCAATTGTGGTGTCTCTAAACCTTAACATGAAATTATACTGTAGAGGATGAAAGGTGTTCAAAGAAGACAGGAACCAATATTTATCTGGTAATCAAGAAGCTATGGACAAAAAAAAATGCACAATACAGACAAACTCTCACCAGATTATTTATTTTGGTCAGTAATTCTGCATGAAGAAATAGAGAATTTAAGAGAGCTTAGTGATAACAAAAGGAGAAGAGAGAGCTCATAGAATTATATTCCCAAAGTGATGATTTTTTTTAGTGACTTGGACTTCGCTAACAGGATATGTGTGCAACAATATAGACACATCTTTCCCAGGACAAACTTAATAGAAATGCTTGGGAATATCCAGATGTGATTTTTGAAATAACCTATCACACAAGTGGTGTTAATTCATGGTAAAATAAAATTAGTGGTGGCAAATATAATGGATTTTTAAATATTATAGGAGATAAAAATTTTAAATTATTTGCTCAAAAAGTCCAATATAAAAAAAGAATAAAATTTGATATAAAGTAATGGTGGTAATCTTTACTTTGGTAACGAGGATAATATTTTATACAGAGAACAAACTAAACACAAAATGCTTCTGTATTTAGGTTTATGTAGAATAATTTTTCAGTGGAATCTGTCCTGAAATACTCTTATATTTTATATGTTTAGTAGATCAATGAGTAAATTACACAAGCAATTTAAAATCATAATCTTAATAACCAAGAACTAGAATAATCGAGGGAAAGACATTAATTTTATTATTCATTCTTTAAGTAGCCATCTTTCTCATTAAATTTTAAATACAAAGCTTATAAAAATAATTTTATAAAAATTATCTAGTTAAAAAATGCTTACGGTAGGTTAAGCAAATGAAAGATATAATTAGCATTTATTTTGGTTAACATAAACAAACTTAGACCAATTATTGCTTACATTTTTTCACTTATCAATTCAGTGTATTTAGGAAATAATTTGTATAAATTCAGAGTTTTATTTTTTTATTTTATTGAGTGAAGGATTTTACAAATTACCTTTCAAATTATATTTCAGGGTTCCTGTGCTTTGCCAATTGTCTAAATTTAAACAGAAGGAAAGCTTTCCTTCATTTTAGAAAGTCCATAAAAGTTTAACATTTGAAACTATTATTTTAGTTATTTTAATCAAAATATATTTGGCTTAGAAAAATACTAATAGTAACGAAATTGACGTCTTCCTTTTACCACATTTAGATTAAAAATAATCAAAGTGGACTACTTATGCCCAATCATACCTTTGCTCTTTTCTTTAAAAAGGGTGAAAAATTAATAAGTAAAGAAAGTAAGTGCCACGTTCACTGATCATGGATATTTTATTTAGATACGTTTTATTTAGATTAAATAGCCCCTATACCCACCACAGCAGTTGCTCAATAAATATTTATTGAAAGTTGAAGTGAATAAATGACATAAGCAAGGAATTCTGATTCAATTCTAGGAAACTATTTTAAGGAGCTTAAAATGAGGTCCACAAAATACCAGGCTTTTGCCCAGGGTGGCTGGCTATACTGGTTTACTTAAAGGTGTGGTTAACCTTTGTGAGTTTTTGGTAAGAATGTTTTTTTCAGTTCACTTATTACTACATAAAGTTTACTATTGGGGAAATTATTTAGTGATAATTATCATTATTATTATTATTTGCTGAAAGTGTTAGTTTCATTAGTCAAGTGTTTCATTGCAAAGTCTATTCTATGACTTCTGCTTGCATCCATTTCTATACTAGTGTCTTGAGGATGAAGTTCTTGCATCCAGGTCTTGGGCAGTCTTTTGGACAGTGGATTCATTGCCTACTTGAACAAGTCCCTTTTAAAATATGCCTTATTTTTATACACCTGTAAAACTTCATTAAATTATATCCTGGCCTGAAAAATTCTCTATTTCTTAAGATTACTTTATGTATTTCCAAGTATGTATATTTATTGTTGCTCTTCTAGCTTCACTTTTGATTATAGATATCATTTCTCTTATTTTGTTGGGGGTGAATGACTTATTTATTTCTTACGAGAGAGAGAAAGAAAGAAAGAAGGAAGGAAGGAAAGAAAGAAAGAAAGAAAGAAAGAAAGAAAGAAAGAAAGAAAGAGGGAGGGAGGGAAGGAGGGAGGGAGGAAGGAAGGGAAAAGAGAGAAAGAAAGAGAGAAAGAGAGAGAAAGAAAGAGGCAGGTTCAGAGAGACACACACACATACAGAGAGAGAATGCATGTATTAATATACACTTACTTACCCACATACAATTTGGCAGGGGTTTTGTGAACATACTAAAGTTTATATTTATATCTTATGTCATGGAAGTTGAGGGAACTGCAACCTGCGTGAAGAAATTTAGTATCTACTGAAGATGAAAGAAGGGAATATAAAAGAGTGAAGGAGAAACATGAGAAGAACACAGCAAAGGAAACCTCTCCTGCGATATCATGGGACCAAAGTGTTCTGTAGTCAAGCACCACATTTTCTTTCTTCCAGAAATTTAAAACATATTTCCTCCCCGCATCACCACATCTTAACATTTCCTACTTTCAGAAAATTCATGAGTGTTCAGGAACAAAGACATATGTAGGTATATTTTGGCCAAAGATCAAGAGAGACTACTTTTTCCTTGCCAGGACCCAGCTTAATCAAAAGTAGCATATGAGAGCTTTAGAACTCCAAGGGACAGGTATGAATACAAACAGATTTTCAGTAAAACCTCTTTATTCTCTTACTCAAGTTTAATTAAATAAAATCACATATTAATTTGCAATAATTGCTCAGGTATTGCTCTACTCAAACAGCTTTGAAGCTCTAAACAGAATGGGAAAACACTCCCTGTGTTTTGTCTCAGCAAGGCCTTCTGTTCTTTCGAGCTCCAAAAATGAGACAGGGTCACCATTTTGCCTCCTTCTGTTGACTATTCTGTACTCATGATTGTTTGGCATTGGTAACACACAATTATAATGTTGCCTTGTTAATTTCAGGAATTGCAAAGTTTTCTTTATTCTTTAACAAATATATTACAAAGCAACAAGCATGTATATTTTCTCCCATGTTGGTCCAAGTTTTACAAACAAAAGATGTATTATGTGTAGATTCACTTTTTCTTGTTATAACATATGCATTACCTCAAGTGTGATGTATCTTGCTTTAACTTTTTTATTTTTTTAACTTTTATTTTAAGTTCAAGTTTGTTATATAGGCAAACTTGTGTTATAGGGTTTTGTTTACAGATTATTTAATCACCAAAGTATTCAGGATAGTATGCACTAGTTGTTTTTCCTAATCCTCTTTCTTCTCCTACTCTCCACCCTCTGATAGGCCTGGTGTCTGTTGTTGTCTTCCACGTGTCCATGTTCACATCAGAAGACATGGTATTTGTTTTCTGTTCCTGTGTTAGTTTGCTAAGGATAATAGCCTCCAGCTCCATCCATGTTCCTATAAAGGACATGTTGTCATTCTTTTTTATGGCTACATAGTATTCCATGGTATATATGCACTACATTTTTAAAATCTATTCTACCTAATGGTGGTTTACAAACTATATGTTCACGAAGGAACAAATTATTTTCTCATGAGGAATGCTCAAGAATTCCCCTCTATCTATTGAGACGGGACCATTCAAGAGGATCCCTGCCACAGGGGTTTGGGGATAAAAGAAAAAATTACACAGCTTGTCTAACTCCTGCATTTAGGTTTCAATAAATTACTAAATTTTGTCTATCACCCAAGACAAACTTAAAGTGATTGAGTCTTACCAAGTGATCGATTAAGTAGAAATTAAGCCAAATTCATTTGTTTGCTGTACAGAATCTGATTCATTATGAGTGAAATGATGATGTAAAGGAGAAATAAAACTGAAAAAAAAGAATAAACATTGCTAAATATAAACATAATCTGTTGCTACCAGGCCAACTGAAGACAAATAAGCCTACCACATTAATAACTAAAGGTAACACTAAAAACTATGTGAAAGGAGTCTGACCTACAAACAACTTGAATATTTATCACACAAAGGCATTTCTTTTCATTTGTTGGTAATAATAAAATATTAATAATAATAGTAACAAAATGTAACAATTTTCAGGCTTTTCGTAAAGCAACCACAGAGGAAAATATCCGTGAATTATTATAAGAATGCAGGACTCATTTACTAAATCTTGCACTTTTCGTTGGACTGTCTCAGGTTCACAGAGCTCCACTTTGTGGAGGAAACTCCTTGTATATATATCATTTTATATGCCACAGTCTTCCAACTTCCAATTGGGACAGAATTTCATCTCCTATTTTCCTCTGTGTATTTGATCATATCACCATTTCCAACAAATGTGTTACCTTCAAGAAAACTATTATTATTATCTGAAGTAACACTGAATATCAACCTCCACCATCACCTAAAAAGGATTGTAATATTTTTTCAAATTGGAACAAAATACATTAAAATTGATAAATACTGTTTACAGTCAATAGTATACTGACAACATAGACTTCTTTGTTTATTTCTAATAAGGCTACATGATGGACTCTGGGCCAGAAGTCTTCAGTGTTAATATGGAAACACTACCTCAATGCAAAGAGCGTCTGTTGCATGGCAGATCGTGGTACTTAGGAATATACCACTGATGCTGCCTTTTTCCTTTCTACCCTTCAGAAAGACAATAGTGAATGATAAAAGCTTTTTCTATGACTACTATATGCATAACTTTAAGAACTAGAATCAGCATAACCAAAAATATGAGCAAGTCATTCCTCCTCTCATGGAATGGATATCAAATGAGACCTGATTGTTTGGCAGTGCTCCCACCCAAATCTCATCTTGAATTATAGTTCCCATAATCCCCATGTGTCATGGGAGGGACCCGGTAGGAGGTAATTCAATCATGGGTGGTTACCCTCATGCTGTTTTCATAATAGTGAGTTCTCATGCGGTCTGATGCTTGGCACTTCTGCTTGGCACTTCTTTCTCTTGCCACCATGTGAAGAAAGATGTGTCTGCTTCTCCTTCTGCCATGATTTAAGTTTCCTGAGGCCTCCTCAGCCATGCAGAACTGTGAGTCAATTAAACCTCTTTCCTTTATAAATTTCCCAGTCTCAGGTATGTCTTTATTAGCAGCGTGAGAACGGACTAATACAGTAAATTGGTACCACAGAGAGTGGGGTACTGCTATACGGATACCCAAACATGCAGAAATGACTTCGGAACTCTGTAACAGGCAGAGATGGAACAGTTTGGAGGGCTCAGAAGAAGACAGAAAAATGTGAGAAAGTTTGGAAATTCCTAGAGAGTTGGAGGGCTCAGAAGACAAGAAGATGTGGGAAAGCTTGGAACTTCCAGCCAGGCATGGTGGCTTATGGCTGTAATCCCAGCAATTTGGGAGGCTGAGGCAGACAGATCACCTAAGTTCTGGAGTTGAAGACCAGCCTGGCCAACATGGTAAAACCCTGTCTCTACAAAAATACAAAAATGAGCCAGGCATGATAGTGGGTGTCTGTAATCGCAGCTACTTGGGAGGTTGAGGGTGGAGAATTGCTTGAACCTGGGAGGTGGAGGTTGCAGTGAGCCAACATCACACCATTGTACTCCAGCCTGGGCAACATAGTGAGACTCTGTCTCAAAAAAAAAAAAAAAAAAGAAAAGAAAAGTTTGAAACTTCCTAGAGATTTCTTGAATGGCTTTGACCAAAATGCTGATAGTAATATGGACAATTAGGTTGTCTCAGATGGAGGTGAGGAACTTAGTGAAAACTGAAGTAAAGGTCATTCTTGCTACTCAAAGAGAGTGACAGCATTTTGCCTCTGCCCTAGAGATCTGTGGAACTTTGAACTTGAGAGAGATAATTTAGAGTATCTGGCAGAAGAAGTTTCTGTGCAGCAAAGTGTCCAAGAGGAAGCAGAGTTTGGAAACTTTGCAGCCTGACAATGCACTAGAAAGAAAACCTCATTTTCTGAGAAGAAATTTCAAGCTGGCTGCAGAAATTTGTGTAAGTATTGAGGAGCCAAATGTTAATCACCAAGCCAATGGGGAAAATTTATCCAGGACAAGTCGGAGACCCTCACAGCAGCCTCTCCTTTCACAGGCCCAGAGGCCTAGGAGGGAAACATGGTTTTGTGTTCCAGGCCTAGGGCCCCCTGCCCTATGCAGCCTCAGGACATGGTGCCCTGAGTGGTAGCTGCTTCAGCTCCAACTGTGGCTTAAGAGGCCAACGTACAGTTCAGGCCATTGCTTCAGAGGGTATAAGCCCCATGCCTTGGCAGCTTACATGTGGTTTTTAGCCTGTGGGTGCACAGAAGACAAGAACTGAGGTTTGGAAATCTCTGCCTAGATTTCAGAAAATGTATGGAAATGCCTGGATGTCCAGGCAGAAGTTTGCTACAGGGGTGGATCCCTTATGCTAGGGCACTAGCCCTTATGCTAGGGCACCTATGCTAGGGCACTGCAGATGAGAAATGTGGGGTTGGAAACCTCACACAAGAGTCCACACTGGGTCACTGCCTGGTGGAGCTGTGAAAAGAGGACCACCATCCTTCAGACCCCAGAATGGTAGATCCACTGACACCTTGCACTGAGGGCCTGGAAAAGCTGCAGACACTCAACTCCAGCTGATGAAAGCATCTGAGAGTGGGGCTGTACCCTGCAAAACCACAGGGTTGGATCTGCCCAAGGCCATGGGAGCCCACCTCTTGCTTCAGCATGACCTGGATGTGAGACACAGAGTCAAAGGAGACCATTTTGGAACTTTAAGGTTTAATGACTGCCCTATTGGATTTCGGACTTGCCTGGGGCCTGTGGCCCCTTTATTTTGGCCAATTTCTCCCATTTGAAATGTGAATATTTGCCCAATGTCTATACCCCCATTGTATCTTGAAAATAACTCACTTGTTTTTTATTTTACTGGCTCATAGATGAAAGGGACTTGACTTGTCTCAGGTGGAAATTTGGACTTGGACTGTTGAGCTAATGCTGGAATGAGTTAAGGCTTTATGGGACTGTTGGAAGGGCAAGATTGTGTTTTGAATTGTGAGGACATAAGATTTGGGCAGGTCCAGGGCAGAATGATATGGTTTGGCTGTGTCCTCCCCCAAATCTCATCTTGAATTGTAGCTCCCATAATCCCCATGTGTCATGGGAGGGACCTAGTGGGAGGTAATAGAATCATGTGAGTGGTTACCCTTATGCTATTCTTGTGATAGTAACTTCTCATGAGATCTGATTGTTTTATAAGGGGCTTTTCCTCCTTTTGCTTGGCACTTCTTTCTCTTGTCACCATGTGAAGAAGGACATGTTTGCTTCCCCTTCAACCATAATTGTATGTTTCCTGAGGCCTCTCCAGCCCTACAAAACTCTGAGTCAATTAAACTTATTTCTTTTTAGAAATTACCCAGTCTCAGATATTTATTCATAGCAGCATGAGAAAGGACTAATACAAGACCCAAACTCTTTCTCTACACATAAAGGTATCAGAAGGGAAGAAATAGTTTCTCACCCTACAAAGAATCACAGTTAACATGTAGTGAGCCCTTACCATAAGCTAAATACCTTATGTAAGAGACTGAAGCAACTTATACATTTATATACCCTGGTATAGATTTTGTATTCCCCTCTGCAGTCTACCCAAAGACACACAACTATAAATAGTAAAGAATGATCTCTTATCAATAATTCCACATCAATATCTACCACTTCTGTAATTTGAATTTTTCCCACACCACTCCACAGAAATGGTTCTCACTAAGGGTACCAGTAAAATTGTTCATTTCCTAAACCAATAAGTAACTATTTTTCTTTCATTCGGAGTATTCCACAGAATGTGCTCTTATTAATTTTTCTAGTTGAAAATTTATTCTCTTTGGATTTTCATGACAGTAGCATTTTTTGCCCCTTTCCATATACTAAGATGATACTTGTCAATCTTGTTTAAGGAGTTCACTTTTTTTCACACTCCTAAAATATTGGAAGAACCCTGTAATACTTTGTCAGGCTTAACCTGGGAACTATTACCTATACGTTAATGATGATTCTCAGATCTACATATCTAGGTCAGATCTTTTGTATGATCTTTAAATCAATTAACATAACTACTATGTTATATCACTACTTGAAATTCACAGAATCATCACAAATACAAAATGTCACAAATAGCATTATCCTTTGAAACTTACTTGCCCTCCTTCTAGTCCATACACTTAGCCTAATGAATGAAAACATCATTCATGCATTTGCTCAAGAGATATTTTTGGAGGGTTATTGCTTTTCCCTTACCAAATATCTCCTCTGTGTCTTGTTAATGTTCAGCCCCCCACATTTCATATAAGGCATTGTTAACACTGCCATCATAACCCTAATGTCCTTCTAGAAATTCTAAGAGAGGTAAGAGTTGTGTACTTGAATATGTAAAGAGACAAGTTGATGCTTTTCAGACAATCAATATCTAGAAAACACCTTCTGGAGTCAGTAATTTTGACAGAGAGTTATATTAAACTAAATGTGAAATAGTCTACTTTAGGGTATATCTATATGGAACAGAAGTTGTTACGGTTTTTTGAGAGGAAAACAAAATCAAAATATTTTTGAACTTATTGAGGAGGTGCTAGAATATTGGCAATGAAGAAACCTGAGTTTATAAGAAATTAAGCAAAAGTCCAAACAAACTTACCAAAAACTTAAAATTCAGACTTACTTTGACACTGAAACTAGGCTTCCAAACCAAGATATAAATTAAATGTAAAAAGGCATGCCTTATTAAGAAAAGATATAATTATCACACTCTTTATCTTTATTCTTTAAAGCTGTTTCAAAAAATTATCTTTAAGCACATTGCATGAAGTTTAATTTCAAATGTTTTTTAAAGGTTATCCAGTTCTTTGGATATAAAGTTACATGTATTCTAATATCTAATACCTAGGGACCTATTCACTGCCATCTGGTGTCAATGTAATCAAATTGCAATGGCAGGTCCTTAGACTAACACATTTTTTACCTCTTATGAGTTGAGACTGCAAAAATAAATATGCAAAGAGACAAGCTTGACATTAAATGTTCTACTACACTCAAAAGTATTATAAGTTTAAGCAAAGACAGACAATTAAATCATTTTCTTATAGTGCCGTACAATGCAGCACAAGCACAGTGAAGTAACATTTATGTTATTGAAAGGCAATGGCACAGTAAATCCTACTTCATTGCCAATAAACTGAAGATCAAAACAATCAACCAAGCTCCACTGCTAATAAATTGAAAGTCAGTGGACCACAAAATGTATTACTGTTAGAATTAATTTTGGCACAAAATGAGTTGTTGAGTTTCCCCTTTTCTTAAGGCAAATCAACCCCAAGCAAATAGTTAATAGACTTGAAAGGGAAATTCAATCTGCTCATGATATTCTGATGAAATTCCAATTTTACATTTGATTTTTAAGCACAATGTAATCATTTGGACTCCATTTTAAATCTGTTTTGGAGAAATTTTTACCATAGCTTCATGAATAATTTGCATCTTACAAAGTCTATTGAATTGTGTATAAATTGTTTTCACACATTTACCAAAAGCTTTTAGTTTTCCAACACTTACCAAAAAGCTTTTAGGGACCAGCAGTCAGTCAAATCTCTGATTATAATAAGCTAGATTGATATTTTATAGACTTCTGTGATTTAAAATTTACTAACAAATTAAAACTATGCCAGAGGAAGTTGTTTGGATACTGAGAGAGTTTATAGCCATACAATATGAAGCCAAATGAAGAATCCTTACATGTTTTTAGGATCCTCTGGAAGTGTAGAAATGAGAGAGCGAATCTCAGGCACTATGGTGAACTTAAGATTCTGGTAGAAATTGCGGAGATGAGGCAAGTTTATCACTCTACGGCTACTGGTTATCACCAGACTTTCATTGCTTCTATTCTATTTCCTTTTGCTCAAGACTAGCATTTGAGCAGTGTCATTTCGAAAGACACTCCATTACTTAATTTTTACCATTAAAATAAAACTGTTGCCATTGATGAGGAGGTCTCTATCTGTATTTATTTGGAGATGATAATTTCCTCTAATATCTAAAATAATAGACACACATTTTATCTACTGACCTTTAAGTAAATGAATTATAGAAAAAAATATTTAATATTAAACATAATGTAGAAAGTCTAATAAAATAATCTATAGGGAAAGAGAAGGGTTTTTTTTCTTTCTAATCTTCCTCTGACACTGTCTGGTCACATCTCTTTTTCAAAGACTTTCTGCAGAAGTAGAGATTTCCAAGTACATAACTCAGTTTGTTATTGAACCCAAGTTCCTTAGGTCCATAAAAATCACATAAGAGTGATGCCATGTTTTAAAGTTCATAAATGTGCCATATGGGTCATAAATTGTCTTTCTGCACCTCACTAAACCCAATAGAATAAACCATGAGTCTCTCGGAAATAGTTGCATGATATTACACTGACTAGGCTAGCCTCTCCGATTTACTATCGGTAGTAGGGAGAGCCTTAAGTAACCAGTGGGAGAATATTTAGGGTTTTTTTTTTAATCACTTTGAGAAAATAAAATTGTCGTTCAAAAATTCCTAAATATTATGATGAGAGTAATTGCTAGAGAAGTATATCTATTTCCAGAGTTGGGAGAGATTTTCATTCAATATTTTCATTCAGAATGAGGTAACTAACATGTTCAAGCCCATATGGTGGCAGATTCAGAATTTTACCTCAAAATTCATAACTCACACGAAGATTACTTTTAGGTACAAAACATCTCTCATGAAGTAACCCTCATTCTGAGCATATTTTAAGCATTTGGTAGTACCTGGTTTACATCATCAAAATTCACGACAGATATACTTTTACTTCAAAGTCTTTTTTTCTCATATTCTAAAGCTGAATCAGTTGCTTGTAAATCTTTGTACAGAGGAGATTACTATATTATATAAATCCATTGGGAAATCATTCATGATTTTATTTATTCATGTCTACAAAGTTAAAACTGCTCCTTGATCACAGAGAGAATTGACGTCCATGGTTACATTAGGATATGGTTTAGTCTTGTTAAAGGTAGATAGCAAGGTGTGTTTACTGATAATGGTACTATAATCAGTCATAAATAATCCTTACAAAGAATAATCTATTTTAAAAAGTACATCTGGTTTTCCTCCATCTGGTTTTTATGGTAAGGTAGAGTATGTAAACTTAAGTATCTGGACCTACAAGGCAGGAGCTATTAATCAGGGGCTTTATTGACTTGGTAAAATGATCTCTTCAAAATAAGTCTACACTCTTGTGATAGTGATGATCATGATGACAGCTACCAATAATAAGATGGAATTTGTCCTTCTAAGTTATGGATAAGTTTCCATATATTTATCTTGGTATGACTTTCAAGCAATCACCTTAACCGTAAATAAACAGATATCCAGAAATAATATAAAACATTACTAATAACTGATACTGCTACCAATTACTGACAAATATTGGCAGGCATAATTTTTGTTTTTTTTAGATAGAGTCTCTTTCTGTTGCCCAGGCTAGAGTGCAGTGGTGTGATCTCGGCTGTCTGCAACCTCCACCTCCTGGGTTCAAGCAATTGTCCTGCCTCAGCCTCCCAAGTAGCCAGGACTACAGGCATGCGCCACCACACCTGACTAATTTTTTTGTATTTTTAAGAGATACATGGTTTTGCCATGTTGGCCAGGCTGATCTCGAACTCCTGACCTCAGGTGATCTGCCCACCTTGGCCCCCACAAAGTGTTGGGATTACAGGCATGAGCCACCGTGCCTTGCCAGTAGGCATAATTTTTATAAGAACTGTTGACATTTCATAGCATTTTAAAATTACTTATTTTGAACAAAATAATTTATAGAATGTGTATGAGTAGTATGCTTTTCAGTAAACAATGCAAGAAATTACTAAATTTCTTTATTCACTTATCCATACCTTAAATATTCTAAGGAGAGTAAAAATGGTTGAAATGAGTAAAAGAGTTCTGAGAACTCATACAAATAACGCTAATAGGGCATTAGAGGAAAGATCAAATAGACTACTATTGAAATAAAAGCCTAAATAGAATGAAGTTGAACACAGAGCCTTGGAAAATAAGAAAAGAGATTAGAAGTGAGATAAAGAGCAAAGTGTTATAAGGCTAATCAAATCATATACTTGGTTCGAATAACCAAGAAGATTTAATCAATGTAGAAGGGCACAACATAGAAAAATGGTCTTATAACTGTGACTATTGCAATAAACTTACATCCTGTTCTTATAGAACATCTACTTTTCATTCTCATCTGACAAAAAAATGGATATCCTATTCTACAGGCTATCAACAAATCACTTTACAGTCTCTGCATATATATTCCTAAGAATGTATTTGATCACTTTGCTCTCTTAAGAGTGCAAACATCATACTTTTAAGTGTCATACTTGAAAAACAAATTAATATGCTTATGATAAAATCTAAGTTAATTAAATTCTTAAAACTTTTTAAGTACCCATTTAAAACTGCTGGAATGACATATGTTGTATGCCATACAACATACAACATATTTTCAAGCATAAAGGTATATAATTATAAACGCCATTCTTTGGTGTTCTGATAACACATTTTAATTCCTACTTACATAGATCTGTTTCTCGGATGTGATGCAAACCTTAATAAATGCAGCTATGGAAAAATTCCCCAATCGCCAAATGCCTTTCTCTCATGTTTGACAGAGCTCTTTATTGTATCTTACTACAGAACAAGTCCAAGGATGAGATCTATCTTATATTTAGTGTCATCAGTTGCAAGAATCACTTAGTCATGTCATTTGTCATTACTGTGTTTGCTGTGAATGTTATAGGTTAACTTTAAACATGGTTTTTAATAATTGATTTTTATGAAACTTGATTTCATCTAATAAGGATGCAAAATTTTTACTGCCTTCATTAACCACTAAAGCAGCAATTGCTTCTCTTTCTTCATAATAATTTATGAGTTCTTTGTCAATGTGTTATTTTTGTGCTATGATCAGCATTTCTTTAAGATGAAAAACATTTGTCAATTATTTTTAGTCTTGAAATCACAAAATGCAGTTTTATTATTTGATCTCTGTGTGGAAAAAGTCATATCCTAATATTTCAGCTAAAAACAGATTCCTGAGTTGTTAATTGACATATTTGTATGATACAACATTTCACTGGTAACAACATTTCAGTTATTATCTTACATTTTTCTGTATATGAAATAAAAATAAATAATTCACTCTGCCATTCTATATCTCATCCACTTGACACACATAAATATTCACGTGTACATACACACACTCACAATTTATCTCAGGAGAAAAGATAGTACATAAACAAAAGAAAATTGAACGATATAATATCAGAATTGATAAGTTCAGTGAATACACTAAAACAGAATGACGTAATAGACAGTGATTGGGAAAGAGGTAATTTAAACTAGATGGTAAAGGCATTTTTAAGGAAGTGTAACTTATGTTAAGACTGGTATAACTTGTCATTGTGAATAGTGCTGTGATGAATATACAATTGCACATGTATTTATGGTAGAATGATTTATTTTCCATTGGGTATATACCCAGTAATGGGATTGCTGGGTTGAAGGGTAGTTTTGTTTTAAGTTATTTGAGAAATCTCCAAACTTTTTTTCACAGTGGCTGAATTAATTTGCATGGAATTAACCTACATATTAATCAATGGTGGATTGGATAAAGACAATGTAATACACATACATCATGGAATATTATGCAGTCATAAAAAAGAACAGAATCATGTCTTTGCAGCAACATGGATGCAGCTGGGGACCATTATCCTCAGTGAATTAAGAGAGAATTAGGGCAGGAACAAAAAACCAAATACCACATATTCTCATGTATAAGTGGGAGCTAAGCACTGGGTACATGTGGACATAAAGATAGACACTGGGAACTACTACAGAGGAGAGAGAGGTAGTGAAGGAAGGGTTAGAAACTTCCTATTGGATATTATGCTCATTACCTGAGTGGCAGGATCATTTGTACCCCAAGCCTCAGCATCACTCAGTTTACTCATGCAATAAACCTACACATGTACCCCTTGAATCTAAAAGTTGAAATCACTTAAAAAAGAGAGAGAGAGAGAGACTGGTATACCACAAAGAGTTTATTGAAACAAAAATCTGTTGACAGTGCATTACAAATTAAACACACACACAGACACACACACACACACACACACACAGCAAAAACAGAAGTTTTAAATGAATAGCACAATTTCAAAATACAAGTAATTAAATATGATATAAATAATCCAAAGTAAAAGTCCTATCATCTTTAAGTACTTGATCTTCTTAAAAGGTACTTGCTTTGCAATGCATCTGGAAATATTCTGTGAATCTGTGCTATCTGAGTGTGGTAGAGAAAACTTAGCTCTCTATGTACATAAGAGTATTTCATTCTATTTCTGATTATGGTATTAAAAGCTGTTGTTCCCATCTTTGTGTGTTTACATTGGTATGACTGTTATGTCACCACTTTTCTCCTGTCTTTCAAGTTAAACTAAGCCTGAAATTCTCCTGAAAACACTTGTAGCTGGAGAATGTTGCACATTTCACGGCCTTGGCCTCATGCAAGCACCATTAAGAAGACACTCTGTTGTCATCACTTGCATTCACCTCATTACAAGAAAACTGCAGATGAAGGTACTTTATGAAAGAATATATAAAATACTTAAACTATTAGCAAACATTTAAATGTAATATATAGATAAATACATCATGAACAATTGAGCTTCATATAATAAAAAATAATATAATAAAAAAGTTGATTTCAATATTTGAACATAGATGCATTTCCTTATATCCATATATAAAAGATGCACTTCATTATATCAATACATGAAAAAAACACTCATGTGATTATCTCAACAGATACAGAGAAAAGATTTGAGAAAAATTGACCATCCTTTGTGATCATCATTTTCAACAAACAAACAATAGAGGAGAGCTTCCTCAAGGTGATGAGGCACATCTACACAACAGCAACAGGTAACACATTTAATGATGAAACACTGAATATTTTCCCCAAAGATATTGAAGAAGAGAAGGATGTCTGACCAATCCTATTCAGCATTGTTGTTGTACTGAGATTCTATACAGTACAATAAAGAAAGTGTGAAGAAAAAGGAAGGAAAGACATGGATATGAGAAAGAAAGAAAGAAGTAAAAATATTTTATTTACAGACAACCTGATCCTCTGTGTGCAAATATCCTTAAAAATCTACAAAAATTTCACTGAAGTTAATTATCTGAGTTGAGCACAGGATACTAGACCAAACAATTGCATTTCTATACAATAGCTAATAACAATCAGAAATTAAAACTAAAACAACCATTTATAAAATAAAATACTTAAGGATAAATATTGGCAGAATTTACACAATGCAAACTACAAAAACTCTGATGAAAGCTTAATGAATACTTAATAAAACGAAAGTATCGACCATGTTTACGGGTTTAAGCAAAGACTTTTATATGAGAGACAATATTTTAATTGATAAATTGGACATAATCAAAATTAAAACATCTGGTCTTTGTAAGACACTGTATAAAAATGAAATGAATCTGTCAGCTGAGGGAAAATATTTTTAAAACACATATCTGACACAGGACTCGTATTTAGAATTAAAACAAATGCTTACAGCATATTAATAAGACAACAAGCATTCCAACTGAAAAGACAAAACTATCTGAACAATTACTTCAAAAAGAACAGTACAGATGGCAAATAAACATATAGAAAATATAATTAACAATATTGTCATTAGGGAAATATAAATTAGAACCGCTATTCAATACCTGAATATAAAAATTATCCATCCTATTAGAATGAACACATTTTAAAGTAAAACTGACAACTTCAAGTTCAGGCAAGTATGTAAAGTAATAGGAAATACTTATACATAGCTGGTGAGAATGTGAAATGGTATGGTAACTTTATAAAATGATTTGCAGCTTCTGATAAAGTTGGATATATGCTTGCAATATAACATAGTGAGCCTACTTCTATTTATACAAGATAAATAAAAACAAATGTTCACACAAAGAACTCTATATAAATGTTTTTAGCAGCTTTGTTCATAATATACAAAAATTGGTAAATATCCAGAGTTCCTATAACTGGTGAATGAATAAGCAAATTGTGGTACATTCATACAGTGGAATACTACTCAGCAATGAAATGGAACAAACTATTGATACATTAAGAGTGTGGGCTTTTCCCCCAACTACAAAAACACTGGAAGGCAACCTAGGTTTCAGAGAAAAGGGAATGCTTATACACTGTTGGTGCGATTTTAAATTAGTTCAACCATCATGGAAAGCAGTGTGGTGATTCTTCAAAGAGCTAAAAACGGAACTACCCATAGAACTGCAATTCCATTACTGTGTATGTGCCCAAAAGAATATAACTCTTTCTACCATAAAGACACATGCATATGAATATCCATTGCAGCACTATTCACAGTAGCAAAGACATGGAATCAACCTAAATGCCCATCAGTGACAGAATGGATAAAGAAAATGTGGTACATAAGTATCTTGGAATACTATGCAGCCATAAAAATGAATGAAGGCATGTCTTTTGCTGGAACATAAATGGAGCTGGAGGACTATTATCCTTAGCAAACTAATGCAAGAACAGAAAACCAAATACTGCGTGCTCTCACTTATAAGTGAAAACTAAATGATGAGAACTCATGGATGCAGAATGAGAAACAACAAACAGTGGGCCTATTTGAGGGTGGAGGGTGATAGGAGGAGAGGATCAGAAAAAATAACTATTGGGTACTTGATTTAGTGCCTGCGTGACAAAATAATCTGTACAACAAAACCCTGTGACATGAGTTTATCTATATAAATTAATTAATTTGTTAATAAATTAACACATGTATTAATTTATTTTAGCTACCACTGAACCTAAAATAAAAGTTTTTTTTAAAAAAGAAATAAATATGTGAGGATTGGAATGATTAAAAAACAATTTTGGTTTGCATAAGCTGGTTGTGTACATTAAAAAAATCAAAACAAAGCAAATATAAGACAAAGATAAATGCAAAAATCCATTGCACCTTTCTATACTATTAACAAAGAATTAGAAAATATAAGAAAATCAACCATTCACAATAGCCGCAAAATATAAATGGTAGCAGAGAATAAGCTACCCATACAGTTATGGTTTATTTCTTCTTCTCTTCAATCTTTCCTCTAAGTTCAGTTTCTCAATTTGACCTAATTTGACCATCTCATTTAAAATTGCACATCCCACCCCACAAATGCTAACTAGTTTTTTCTCTATTTTTTCATTTATTACCTTCTAACAAACTTATAATAATTATTTGTTGCCCATTCCTACATCTTCTCTCTCCATGAAGATAGGTATTTTTTGTCTGCTTTGTTTACTCTTGTATTCCTAAAGCCTAGAACCTGGTAAGTGTGCTACATACCTAGTACATAGTAGATGCTCAGTAAATATTCACTGAATAAATGAATTGATTGAAAATTAAAGAAAACATAGGTTTGTAAAGTGCATTATGCTAAGCGAAGAATGCCAGGCATAAAAGGCTACATAATGTATCATTCCAATTATATAACCTCTACAAGAGTAAAAAAATATCGAGTAAAAAAATCATATCAGTGGTTGTCAGCAGGAGCAAGGGTAGCAGAAGATGGTTGACTAAATAGGAACCTGAAGCTTTCCCAAGCGGCTGCCGAAGATGGCGGAGGTGCAGGTCCTGGTGCTTGATGGTAGAGGCCATCTCCTGGGCCGCCTGGCGGCCATCGTGGCTAAACAGGTACTGCTGGGCCGGAAGGTGGTGGTCGTATGCTGCGAAGGCATCAACATTTCTGGCAATTTCTACAGAAACAAGTTGAACTACCTGGCTTTCCTCCGCAAGCGGATGAACACCAGCCCTTCCAGAGGTCCCTACCACTTCCGGGCTCCCAGCCGCGTCTTCTGGCGGACGGTGCGAGGTATGCTGCCCCACAAGACCAAGCGAGGCCAGGCCGCTTTGGACCGTCTCAAGGTGTCTGACGGCATCCCACCGCCCTACGACAAGAAAAAGCGGATGGTGGTTCCTGCTGCCCTCAAGGTCGTGCGTCTGAAGCCTACAAGAAAGTTTGCCTATCTGGGGCGCCTGGCTCATGAGGTTGGCTGGAAGTACCAGGCAGTGACAGCCACCCTGGAGGAGAAGAGGAAAGAGAAAGCCAAGATCCACTACCGGAAGAAGAAACAGCTCATGAGGCTACGGAAACAGGCCGAGAAGAACGTGGAGAAGAAAATTGACAAATACACAGAGGTCCTCAAGACCCACGGACTCCTGGTCTGAGCCCAATAAAGACTGTTAATTCCTCAAAAAAAAAAAAAAAAAGGAACCTGAAAAGACTATGTGAGATGTTAAAAATGTTCTCTAGTTTGATTGTGCTGCTGGTTACTTCATCATGTAGATTTATATTTTATATATATATACTTTATATATATAATATTTTATATGTATACTTTATATATATTTTATATATATACTTTATGTATATATTATATATACTTTATATATTATATATACTATATATATTATATATACTTTATATATAACATTTTATATATACTTTATATATAATATTTTATATATACACTTTATATAGTATTATATATATATACACACGTATATATATATAATGCATTTAAGAAAGATGAATTTTACTGAATATAAATTATACCCCTATTAAATTGTACTTTAAAATACTAAATTTGTGGAATGTTAATTTTTACCTCAATATCCTGTCTAAAATAATTAGAATGAAAGAAGAGAGAAGAGGAGGAGAAAGAGGGAGGAGGAAGAGAAAAAGGAAACGAAGAACAAAAGAAAATGCGATAAATATTCAATTGTGGAAAGTAAGAACCAACATATGAATAATGGTTTTTTTGAAAAAGGAAACAAAAGCAACAGAATTAGTACTAAAAAAATAATTCAAGAGAGCTTTCGGACTAGAATAGAAACTACATACTGAAGGATTGCCACGTGTACCTGAAAATATTGAACCAGAAAAGCTGTTACCAAGAAATATGCTAGTGAAATTACTGGATATTAAAGAGATATTTTATAAAATCATTTGTGCATCTAGGAAAAGATAGCATTCAACTTATAATTCAAAGAAAGTATTTTATCCTCAGACTTTATGAAAACGGTTTAAGACCAGAATGAATTGAAGGTACATATGTAAGTTACCCAAGGGAGAAAAATGTGAGCCAATAATTTAATGCATGAAAAAGTAATGACTTACAGGTATAAGGGTAAAGACAAACTGCTATTAATGTGTGAGGACTCAGGGAATATTGCGCCCATGAGCTCCTCCTGAGACTTTTATTAGTGTGCGATCTTTAGAGAACATCATCAGATAATGAGCATTACAATTATAGTTATTTGTGAAACTAAGACTATATAAGGAATAAAAAGGGCAGAGTATAGTATGTAATGGCTATATGTTCTAATAACGTAGATATAGTACAACTATAAAAAACCGAGTGGACAACACAAAAACATATGCAAAAAGTATTTTAACTCTTCTCAGTAATTCTGTTGAGGGAATCATGTTTAGTTTTGTCTATCTAATACTATTGTGTGTGTGACATGACAGAAAAAAATAGTAATTATAGGACATTCTATCTATGCCATCCTTTCTGCCCGTGAGAGACAGAATTTATAGTATGTAATAATGGGGAAATAGATGGAATACTAAATAGATGGAATACTAAAGTGGTTGTTGTAGTGAGTTTGGGCAGTTCTAACAGTATACTGTAGATTGGGTAGATGAAACAAGTTAAGGTTACTTCTCACAGTTCTAGAGTCTGGGAAGTCTAAGATTAAGGTATAAATAGATTCAGTGTCTGTCGAGGGTATTTTTCCTGGTTTGCAGATGGTCGTCTATTTGTTGTATCTTTATAGGGCAAAGAGTAGAGTGAGAACACCCTAGTCTTTTGGTCTTCTTTAAGGACACTAATCCTATCCATGAGGACTTGACCTTCATGACCTAATTACCTCTCAAAGGCCCAACCTCCAAATGCCATAACATTGGGAATTAGGCTTCAAATTACAAATTTTGAGGGGACACAATCATGCAGTCCATATCCCCAATTAAACAAAACCTAATAGTCCTAACTATGGATGAAAAGTTACCAAATAAACTCAAGAAGTATTTTAACATATATAGAATACATGTAGATATACATAGCAATATTATACATGTATATTAATATCTCTACATGTTTATCTACACATACTATTTTATCATGTATAATATATATATATATACTTCCTTAAACAAAAAGTACAGGAACAATGCCAACAGAAGCAATTAGACTGTAATCTCAAAACATTAATTTCAATCAAAAACACTCCAGAATTCCTAGAAAAAATACTGACTTCACAACTGAAGCTGGAAATGTACAATTTGAACCTGGACCATCATGTCTTCATAACAAATAGTCAGGAGGCTATCAGGACTACCAGGTTATGTCAAAAGGACTTGAGAGCCAATGTGAAGAATCCAGAATTAGTCAAAAATGGGATCACCTGAGCTTCAGAAAGCATACTAATTACAATCAATACATTTATAATTATATTTTTAAAAATTTTAGATAGTATTGGGGAATAATTCATTAACTGGTAAATAAAGGGTAAGTGGGTAAGCATTAAACATTTATCCTTCCTTTCTTACATGAAGTATACACTCCATCTTAAGTGCCTCCCATTGAAAAAACACATCACCTATATGACTTCCAAAAAGATTAAACCCCAATTCAGGATTCCGTTGCCAATACCTAGGAAATATGGATGTCAGTAGAACATATTGAACCATGTAAAGAGAGTGAAATCAGTAAGACCCAGACTGTGAGACACTCTGCAGGTCAAAGAGCCTAGGTTCTTCAACAGATAAACTATGGTGAGAAGAGTAGGATAAAGGAAGAATGTGTAAGTAAAGAGACTCAAAAGCTCTATCATGCTTTATGGGGACAACTGAGTTACAGTGTCTAGAATTGCACACTTGACAGATAAAATGAAAACACACAGAGAAGTGTTTACTACAAAAGTCCAGAGAGGTGGCTACTATTTTGCAAAGAGACAGGACTATAATTGGGATGGGACACATGGAGAGGGTTCTGGGGTCCTTAGCAAATTGTTATCTCCTTATCTGGTTACAAAGATATTTACTCAATAATCTTTACAGTTGTTTGGTTTGGTTTACTGTATCTATGTATTATCTTTCAATAGAAGAAATAAAAAGGCTTAAGATATACCTGTTATAATGAATTAACCCATTAAAACACATTCTTCCTAGTATTTTGGTTACCCAATTATCCCATTCTGCTCCCTGGTAAATATAGTTCACAAGATCAAGTGCTGAGCTGCATGCTGCAGACCATAGCCTGGCATCATATTACCTTGAGTAGGATTGCAAGATATTACACCAAAGTGTCACACTGAAACTACCTAATGACAAACTGAAAAGGAACCATAGTTTCCAAGTATTTTTTTCTTCACCTACTTGGAAACAAATATTTATCTTTTTTAAATAGCAACAGACCATCTATGTTACTTTTAGCTGCTTAATCCTTTTCTGTGAATTCTAAAAGAGAATTAAAACACCTTTTCAACTCTTTCCATCAGTGGTCTAATATTCATTGAAAGCTATGTTAGCCCACAAATAAATGTGAAAATTAGAAAATTGTCCAACCTCAAAAGCGAAGTAAACAAATCAAAGAGATACCAACATGGAATGTGCCTGATAAATCCTAACCTTTATTGAGAGCCCATAATGAAAACTGATTTTAGCTATAAGCTGCTTTAAACAGAAGCTACATCAAATGTAACTGTATGCCAGAATTCCTTTAAATTTATTCTTTTCTTTAAATATGTTTCACTACAAACTATTCAACCATAAGGATGAATGCAAACTGAAAGTACTATTTTATAGTGATATATATCCATAAGAATATTCAGTGTAAAATGTGTAAGATATTCAATACTTTATTTGGATAATAGTGAGCACACTTAAACAGCAGTAAATTATAGGTCTATAGTGAACAATTCTTGTTATTTACTTTCTAAATGTACAGATACTGGAAAAGAGTCCTTGCCCTAAGAAGTCTTGATAGTACTAAGTGAGGGGTGGGAGGACATGCTTCATAATTGAAATCGTCTTATGTTCTTACATTACATTCACTTGTGCAATATACCAAATAGACATATTAAATGTATTAAAAATGTCAACTAAATATGACAATAGACTGAATTATAAAGAATGAATTTTAAAACAATTCAAATTACAAAACCAAAGTGTGTATTTCTCACCCCAAACTATTTTTATGCTAAACTAGTAACTCATTTATAGCTAGTTATAAGGAGAAAAAAAGAGCTGTCAGTGTTTTGTAGCTGCCATTTCCTTAAGGGATTAAATTTAGTGCAAAGAAGCTGGTTTGCTAAAATTTCTAATTTAAACACTTGAACAACCATATCGTTGTTAGCACAACTTTGCCTTTTACCATTTCCATCTGCAATGTTAATCACAATTCTGGGACCCTTATCAGTTAAACATGCCAAGTTCTATCAGTTTGTGAAGTAATTGAGGATGGCAGCAAGAAGATTTTCTCAGAAAGAGAGATGAATTGGAATTTTCTAAAATCTTATCAAATTTAACACGTATCTCAGCTGAAATATCTCACGTACGCAGAAAAATGTAGACATGTATGATATTTAGATTTCATGAGATAATAGCGTAAAAAAGCGCTGTCCCAATATACACGCCCACAATCAAATCAATCAACAGCAACTAAAGAATATAATCTCTCCGTAGGAATTACAATAAAGTAAATCCTTAATTTTGACATTTTTGTGTTTACTAAGGATCAAAATGTCTTTGCATATTTTCAAAGAAAGGTAAACATTTATTTGTGCTTTACGTCTCTATATAGACATCTTCAAAAATATGCTAACACTGCATACCTTTTTTTCACTATATCTTATGATTTCATCATTCCTTAATGGGTTTTTTTTTTTTTTTTACCAATTTATGATGAAAATTTGTAGTTAAGGTTCCATGATCCAGTGTTCAGTTAGTGTCCAAATATACTGTATACCATGTCTGAGGTCCATTTGAAAGATGATGAAAACATTGCAGTAAGAATAGGGGAATTACATTTCCCTGGGCGGTCTCCATATCTAAAATATCAGTTCAAATGAATGGGAGCAACAGCAAGCACTATAAATCATTTAGGAAAATGATGAGTTAAAGAAAAGTTTCAGTGAAGAAAAACGTACATACACCATCATTTCTACCAAGGTCAAAGATTCATTCAACCTTCAACTCTTACTTAAAATACCAATATTACAGTGAATTTTGGAAGACAGTTTCGTCTTTTGGAAAAACCTCAGATTGGCAAATAAAGGAAACAATAAACTAAAAAAATTTATGTCTAAATGTCCTGAAGCCTTGCTATTACATGACCTATTATAAGATGAATTTCTGTCTGAGACATTACTGTCTTAGACTTCCTCCAGGAGGATTCATTAAAGTAAGTAGCAAAAGAATGTAGTTGTAACATGTTTTAACCTATAACAGACTAACGTGTTGTTGAGCATGTTATATACTCCAGTGTCCTTTTTGAAAAAGAAAATATCAGATCAGGGAACATTTTAAGGTTACAGTCAAAATAACTATTTATAAGAGTATCATATAAGATGTATGCGTTCATTTATTTATTCCTTATCCAATTAGTCACGTGATACATTTTTAGTTACTACACATACTTTGAAAAACATAAAAAATTCTAATAAGGATTCTTAATGAAGGCATATTTATTAACAAAATAAAATATAAAATAAAAAAGATCCATCTTTGGCCAGGCGTGGTGGCTCACGCCTGTAATCCCAGCACTTTGGGAGGCCGAGGCAGGCAGATCACGAGGTCAGGAGATCGAGACTATCCTGGCTAACACTGTGAAACCCCGTCTCTACTAAAAATACACAAAAGTAGCCCGGCGTGGTGGCGGGTGCCTGTAGTCCCAGCTGCTCAGGAGGCTGAGTGAGGAGAATGGCGTGAACCCGGGAGGCGGAGCTTGCAGTGAGCCGACATCGCGCCACTGCACTCCAGCCTGGGCGACAGAGCAAGATTCCGTCTCAAAAAAAAAAAAAAAAAAAAAAAAATCCATGTTTTATAAGCACAGATCTAATTTTCTCTATTATGCTCAAATCTTCAATGAATGAAATGAATTCATCCTGTGTCATGTGAACTGTTATCCCAGCAATATTGAGAATTAGCAAAAAGTATTTATTGAAAATCCTAATAGTGAATACAGCACATATTAGTCCCTGGGGTAGTTATAGGAATAGAACACAAGAAACATTAAAACATCATATGTATAGCAAAAAAAAAAAAAAAAGTAAGACAACAGATAACAGATAGACAACAAAAAGACAAATACACATGTAGATTGTACAAAGTGGTCTACCTAAACCCACATATAAATCATTTAATAAGATAAAAATGTTATTTTTCAGGCTGGGTGCAGTGGCTCATGCCTGTAATCCCAGCACTTTGGGAGGCTGAGGTGGGCAGATCACCTGAGGTCAGAAGTTCGAGACCAGCCTGACCAACATGGTGAAACCCCATCTCTACTAAAAATACAAAAATTAGCTGGGTGTGGTGGCACACATCTTTATCCCAGCTACTCAGGAGGTTGAGGCAGGAGAATCGCTTGAACCCAGGAGGTGGAGGTTGCAGTGAGCCGAGATCATGCCACCGCACTCCAGCCTGGGCGACACAGCAAGACGCCGTCTTAAGAAAACAAACACACACACAAAAAAAAGAAAAGAAAATGTTCTTTTTCCATTCCTTTGTTACAAAGTAGTGTTAAAGATCATTAATTCTTTTCTGATGAAAAGTTCATAGATTCACACAATCCTGCCTAGTAGTGCCTGTTTGTCTTTTACTACATTGCCCTTAATTGTATAACTATTCAGCTCCTCATCATATTACAAGTGTGATTACTTTCAAATTTCTGACTCCATATAAAAAGTTATTATTCCGCACCTGTTCTCTAGATTTTATAGTTTTTTCATTCTTCTATAACAATCAAGTAAAATCTTATCTGTTTCATTTATTTGCAAGAGATGTCATGGCTTCATCACAGAAAAAGTGTCGTATCATGACTTATTACACTTTCAGGATAAAATGCATAAATTGGTAGATTTTTTTTCATGTATTTCATACCTGAGACACTACCAGATGGTACTGTGCTAGTCTCAGGTTAATCATTATGTGAGAGAATTGGGCTCACAGCCAGACCCAACACACCATTGACAGAGAAAACAATGTAATGCTGAACCATACGTAAAATCTCAAGTGGCACTTTTGTACTTTAAACAGACATCTGCTTTCCACATGTCATGTTTATCTGATATGCACATATCAAATATTATATATATTATATAAGTATCAGCCTATATAGATGTCAGCTATTCCTATTTCTCACACACATAAATACATACATTAGAATTTTAAAAAATTTAGGCATTTTTCTGTGCTCTCCTTCTAGGTTTTTTCCCCTAAGACTTTCTTAAGGGTGATGTTATTTTACTTACCCAGGAAATTTCCCAGCTTAACAAAGTCATCATCTAGACACAGTGCATGGGTAAACTCCCTGCTTTTTCTGAGAGAGGATTCTTCTATTTGTTTTGGGAACAACTTCTGCAGAGATATCTTCTCATTTGAATTTTTTTTTTAAGTACAAATGTTTCTATTTCAACAAGCAAAAAGAGAGCCTAGTTTTCTCCTAGCTTTCTTCTCTTCTCTTTGCTTTTACTTTTTTCTGTTTTTTGTTTGTTTTTTTGTTTTGTTTTGCCAATATCCTCAATAGCATCTCTGATTATTTTTCTTGTATATGTAATCATTCCATTTACTGTAATTGTCTTCCAAGTTGCAAGAGATATGGGCCTCAGGGGTTTTGTTTTATACCTTGCTCTTCTTCTACACTCTCATTTTTGTTTTGAGAGTCCCAGCTAAAGTGAAGTTCCAGTAATGGAGCAGCTAGCCACCCTGCCCTAATGGGAAATGAAGGGGAGCTGGACATGGGTGTTTACAAATTGCCTTTCATGGGATACTTCTTTTACCTGGTGGAAGGCCAGGTAATTTGCTTATTTGTATAAGTAAACAATAAATAATTTTTGTTGCATATTCGCTTGTTTGTATAAATAATAAAAAATAATTATTATGTATAAATAAATAAAATTTGCTTATTGTATAAGCAAATACCTAGTTGCCCAACTCTTAAATAGGGACCCCCACACAGAAAACTTAGTTACACTGGCCAGTGTTCTTGTGGGTCTTGTCTGACCTTTGTCTGACCATCACTCTGGTGCGGGAAGGCCGACCTCGGGTTTCCCCTCCCCTTATCCACATCCTGCGGAAAAACCTGGCCTGGGGCAGCCCTTAGTTCTTCCCATGAAAGGTGCAGATTCAACATACTACCACAATAGAAAACAAGTTAAAAGATTTTTACTTACAGACCCTGGGCAAGGAGGGTGCAATAAGTCAGGAGGATAGTCCTCTATTCCCAGTCACAGGAGCAGCAAGAGAGAATGAGAGAGAGAACGTGAGAACTAGCAACACGTATAAGTGAACGGGATGTGAGTCACTTTAAGTTCACAGACAAATGCCTGAAGGGTCCCTTTGAAGAAAGCAGAAGGAAAGCCTGGATCACAGTCTGCTAATCAGGAGAGATGCTTCTAATTTCGTATCTCTGGTCACTGACTTGAGCCTTTTATATGTGATGTAGAACAGAAAATGTGGCAGGGGTGACTGAACCCCACTTCTGGTATGAGAAAGTTAGACTTGTATGGAAAACAGATGCCAAGGAAATATAGAATTGTAAGAATTCATTGCAATCTTCTAATCTCTCTTGAATTTTTGATCATCAATAATACAACTATGAGAACACTGTTAGTGTTTCAGATAATAACTTCCAGGCAGATTTTATACCTCATGGAAGACATTTAACAAGAAGGAAAGCATCACAAGAGAATTTTAGTTTCATTTTGACTAGTTTATTATGTAGAGTTCCTTTTCTTTGGAAAATATTACACAAATGATTTGGTTAACTTGGCAAAACTTGAACCTCTCAAGTACAAATATTCTTAATTACCCTCTTAAGTTCAGTTTCATAACTAGAATAAATCAGAAAAACATATATTATTGGAGTTTTACAGAGAGCACAAAAATAATGATCAGTAATAAAGACTTAATATTTACATGATAATATAAGTATGACTTAAAAAGGTAATTAATCTTTAGGTAAGCACAATCTGTTCTAAAGACTTTAAGCTTATAAGGGCTGATTGCAAGAGCAAATAAGCTAGGCTTGTTTCTCGGGATCTCTGCTTTCATTAGCTTTTACTTTGGGTAGTTTAACTTAACAGGTGTTTTACTTGCAAATGTATACATTATGTGCATGTTATATAATATATTTGCATATACCAAGTCATATATATGTTTGTGTATGTATATATGCATGCATATTACAAAGTGTATATACATACTATTCCAGTCACTTAAAATTTTTATTTATGTGATTAGGAGAAAATACATCTCTATCTATCTATCTATCTATCTATCTATCTATCTATCTACACAACACATACACACACACACACACACACACACACAAGTAAATGCTTTATACATGTAGATGACTTTTATGGAGGTAAGTTTGAAAAGATTTTTATCATAGTAAAAACACTTAACATGAGATCTATCTTCTTAAGAAATTTGTAAGTAAACAATATACTACTATTAACTATAAGCCTACTAGACAGGACTTTAAAATTAATCTTACATGTACACTGTCGGAAAACTTTCATTTATCACAGTTAAGGTTTAACTTTATGCAATTAGCTATGAAGTTCTTTTCAGTAAGTAAAAAATTACATTAACTTCAAGATGTAAAATTGGAATAGTAAATCTTAAAATACAAAAAAAAGTAGAAACTTGATCTTTACGATGGAATTGATCATCATTCACAGACTTCTTTTGCTCTTCCTTTTGCAAAATCTGAAAAGTAGTTCCTAATTTCTTAGGTTCAAAGTGAAGGAATAGCAGTAGAACTAAATATAAGTAGCAATGAAGGCATACATTGCGTTTCCTCAAGAGGACGGCAAATCTCTCAAATGTAATATAAAAGTCTAACCACTTGGTCAGATCTGTCTTTCTTTCTAAACCATTGTATAAGGCTACTACTACTAGGCCATTCAGTATATCATTTTTTAGGGGGGGTTAGTATTTATTCCCAGTATATCTAAATCTGATTGTTTCTGTCACAATAGTTTACTTCCTAAACCAATATTGAGTTGTATGTTTCCAGTATTATTATTTCTGGGGAAACACTCAAAATACAAATTGTTTAATTTTAACTATTGGAAAAAAGTGGTTATGTATGTGTTGATAAGTTTCAACATTAAATGATGGTAAAGAAAAATGACATATTCTCTTCTAAAAGTGCTTGAAGTAATGAAATTTGTGCTTGGAAATTATATGAAAACAGTAGGCTCCAGGAAATAGTTCCCATTAAATGCCAAGTTAACTTTGTACTAGGAAGAAATAAGTGTTGGGCCTGTCTTCTTAGATTGCTAATAATAATGGCAACTATAGGAAGATACATGGAAATTAGTAACAAGTCAGATTTCCCTGTTTTATTCTGTGGGTTTAGAATGGAGAAAAGATGGAAAGTTAAGGAAGAATATATTAAAAGATCAAACCACAGAAAAGAGGGAGCAAAAATGCAACCTCAAAATGGTTTAATGGACATGCCTGGATAAAGTCATCTAGATTCAAAGATTCTAGGGTTTTATTTTCAGTTTTTTTTTTCAAATGCTAATACAATATTAATACCATAGATCTTAGGATCATAGAAACAAATAATTTTTATATCTTAGATGAGAAGTAAAATATTTTCTAGCAATTAAAATACAATTCTGAGAGGTCTCCAGGATTACTAAGTCAGTTACTGACAGCTTGCAGAGTTAGGCCAAGAATACAAATTTAGGGTCTTTTTCATTATGACAGACTCTTTTCAAATAACTCAAGCTTATTTTAATAAAAAAATAAAATCTATATTTCCTTCTATCTGTAATAGAGTAATTTCTAATGAAATAATAAATTTAGTTTTAGATATCCTCATTGTGCTGTTTGTATGCAGAAGTATTACAGGAATTTAGATTTATCATTTTAATTTCAGAAATGAGGTCTGACACAAAAGTCTTTTACACATACATAATACTGGAAACCACGGATGCTAATAAGGGGGCCTGGAGACAGAGATAGTGAAAGGAGAGAGATTACAACAGAGCCCTAAAAAAACCCTCTTTATTATTATCTTTTGCCTCTGAATCCATAGAACCTACATGAGTGATAAACCAATGGATAAAATAAGTATAATTTGTTGGAGGAGGAAGAAGCAGCAAATGAAGGTCAGTAAGAAGAGCGAGATGGTAAAAGAACACCAGAAGAACCCAGTGCCAAAGAATCCAAAGGAAGAAAAGATTACCAAGAGTGATCTAGCAGGATAAAATGCTACTGATATCAAACTTTGTGAACTTGAACAAATTGCATTGGATATATGGTCCTCTTGCATCCTAAGTAATGTAGGTTTGAGTAAAATGTGGGAGATAAAAACAAGATTATAGAAAGAAGTCTTAATCCTCCTTTGAAGGTATCCATAGTACAACAGAGGGGGGAGAAAGAAAACAGAAAAATAAATAAATAATCACAATAGACTGAAATAATGCTACAACAGAAAAAACAAGAGTGCTATGGAATCCCATATGTCATCCACATACATCGGCCACATATGGCTTTTTGGAGGAAGTAATCCCTGTGCCGGGTCTTAAGAACTAGAGAGGTAGATTACACAGAACAGGCACAGTTATGAATGAGCAATGAGGATTGTTACTAGTGCATTTATTTCAGTTAGAAGAGTTACACACACAGAAACAGAAATGAGAAGGTAGATTTAGTGAAGTTGATCAAGTAGTTCTATAAGGTTCTAATTTGTATAATCAACCATAATGCCAGGAACTTCCTGGTTTCCTGTCTTTGCTCCTCACTAATTCAGTCTAGTCTAATATATTTAACTTAAAATAGAAATGCAGCTTTATTACTAAACTTTCTGAGCAGGAGTTAATTCTTTTAACAGATCCAAATTAATATTTCCTTTATATAGAAAGGAAATTATATTAAAGAAGTATCCATGTCTTTCCCAACCTGTAAAAATAAGTGAAAAGGAAGACATGCTCTTTTCAGCTTCTTAATATGGAAACATATAAAGTCAAACAAAGATAATAGTCACAATGGCAGAAAAGAAATGCACACTAAAGTAGCAGTTACACATTTTAGGAATAGTTTCCCTGAAAATTATAGTATTTTTATTCATCTACTAGAATTTCTGGTAAATTTTGTTCCCATCGGTTTATAGTAACTGGCTAAAAAAGAAAATTTGAGAATGACTCACAGTTATGAGAAAGAGAGCTATCTTGGTAATGGTATCATTATTATAGAATTGTGGGGATTTAACAGTAAAATGATCTTGCATTTATTTTGTGAGGAGATAGTCAATAAAATTCATATTAAATTTTAAGTTGTTAATGTGTACAGAAAAATGAACAAATACATCTCTAAAAGAAAATAACGCAAATGTAAGTACTACTTGGGAATCTATTCAGCAAATACCATTGAAGAAGGGTACTTATAAAAATATGTAGCTTGCCCAAAATATGTATTATAAAGCTTGAAGTCTTGTGGATATATTCAAGTTTTTCTTCATATACTGAATTTGATACCAGAATTACTTATAACTAAGACTTTGAATATGGTATACTTTACATAAATTCAATAAGTATATCTAACTTTTCTGTCCATGCAATGTGCATTGTATAAGGAAGATAAAAGATAAACCAGAAATACATGTCTCTGAGCATCTCAGCACAGAAATGAAAAATTATACAACTCATGTTCTAATTCAGTCACAAATTACTACATTATTTTCCACTCATATCTGACAGTTATCAAAAATTCAATATTCTAGGACCAAACATTTATTTTAGAATACCTGATGTATATAGCACTTTATAAAGAAATTTCATGAAAGCCAAACTCTATCTCAAAAAAATTTGCATGTGACCAATGCAAGAGAACACTCATCTCTGATAGACATGGTTCCCGCAATTAATAGTTTTCAATTTTTGAAAGATAGATGAAAGCCTTAAAACTTAGAAATATTTGATGGGAATGAAAGAAAATTAAACAGGAAGTTATATCATTATAAAAGCAAGAACAAAAATTACATTAGGGTGAATGGAAAGTGTTATATTTAAATTTTTTTAAATGTTAAACATATAATTTTAAAAAGCCTTAAATTTTAGTTAACTATGAATAGCATAACCGTGAATTCAAAAATCACTAAAAATGCCATACAGTCAGATTAATATTATGGCAGCAAAAGGAATTATGTACTTGAGATTTTGAAGGTAGAGAATTATACCATACAGTTGTCAGATCTCAAATGGAGTCTACTTCTAGGCAACAGATTTTTAAAATGACTGTAAGTAATATAAAAGTATTAATAATTGAATTCAATAATTTATTTGAGTGATCTGCTTTTCATTTGATTAGGTTCATTTGACTAGCTACAAAGATATATAAAACAGAATCTTCATCTGTAACTTTCAGTGTGTGATAATACAAGTCCATAGACAAATAACTCCTAAGCATGTGAGAAATGATATAGAGAATATATACACTGGAACTGAATGTAGTTGACATGGAAAAGCACACTGCACACGTTGTAACCGAAAGCCTTACTGTAACTGGACTCATATGCTGGTAGCATTATGGGAGCAGGTAATGGGAACACATCATACCCCACTTAAAGAAATAAGTTTTGGCCGGGAGCGGTGGCTCACACCTGTAATCCCAGCACCTTGGGAGGCCAAGACAGATGGATTATCTGAGGTCAGAATTTCGAGACCAGCCTCGCCAACATGGTGAAACCCCATCTCTACTAAAAATACAAAAATTAGCCGGGTGTGGTGGCGGGCACCTGTAGTCCCAGCTACTCAAGAGACTGAGGCAGGAGAATCGCTTGAACCCGGAAGGTGGAAGTTGCAGTGAGCCGAAATTGCACCACTGCACTCCAGCCTGGCGACAGAGCAAGACTCCATCTCAAAAAAAAAAAAAAAAACCTTCACAGATAATTACATTGATGTTTACAGCAGACTGCATTATCTTTCTCAATTCAAACCACTTTTTTCCATCAAAATTAAAACCCACTTGTTTAAAAAAATCAAAAGTGATTAGAAGTGTAGTCCTACAAATGCAAGCTTTGGCCTCAGTTTGGAACAGTTTATTCACAATAACTTCACTCAGTTAAGTGATTTATAATTTTGTGGGATCTTTCTATCTTGAAGCATACCACCCAACCATAAAAATTTTTTAAATCCTTATTGTCCAAATCCTGTCATGAAAAAATCACCCCAAATGTATTTCATAAAAAAATCTTGATTTAATATAACTGTACACATAGTATAAAGGTATTTAAAATAAAAAAGAAATGCAAAAAGATAAGTGATACGTGCACTGTATGAGAAGAGTAGAGAGAAATAGACTAGAGGCTAATCAGACAAACTACAGAAATTCTGTCTGCTTAGCTGGGTGTCCAGCGTAGTCCATCCTTACTCCGTTTGCATACCTCCTTATTTTAGAATTTTTGCCGATGGAAAAAATTGTGAATATTTAAATTATGAAACAGTCACAACTTGATATTTGTCCTCAAATATTTGAAGATGTCCTTCTAAAAGGGGATGCAGGTATATTTTATGATAGCGTATAGACCAAACTGGGATGAATATAAATAAATAGTTAGAGAGATAAAATGATAGATAGATCAATCTACATATCTATAGAGAGAATTTAGTAATAGATATCAGTTTTTTATAAGGTAGGACATAATAATGATTGCAAATATTATATATTGCAATATAAATAACATTTATTATAATGTATTATTGTATTTATCATAATATAATGTATTATTGTAATTATATATATAATTTTAATAATGATTGCTTATGTTATATAATAATTATTGCAAATGAAAAAGATTTCTCTCTTTTTTTCTCAGAACCAATGAACACCTTTTTCACTGGATGTATGCATTCTCAAGTGGTATGCTTATATTTCAGTGCTTAAAATAATTTTAAACACTGGCTTTAAAATATATTCTCACATAGAAAATCTATAATTCTTGAAACTGGATACAAGAAATAAAGCAATGAATTTATTTTTTAAATTTAGCAGCTCCTCACTATTTTTATGAATATATTCACAGTTATCTGTTATTCTATTTAACTATAATGAAAGAGTAAAATTTTGCTAGTTCTGCTTGATCAGAATTTGTTTCAACTCAGTGAGGATGGTCTAAAAATTATGTACAACAGATGAAGAAAGGGTTTTTACAGAAAATTAATGAACTCACAAACTGCAAGGGAATTGCGGTAGCATTTGAGGAGCTTATTTCTCTCAAGGGTGCCATTGTAGCTGTTAGTACCATGGTCATAGAAAAAGTCCTCGACTCTGCCCATTAACCAGTTAAGAGGTCTTGAACAAGCTTCATAGTCTCTGTAGGGCTCAGTCCTTTCATCTGTGGCTGAAAGGATTTAATCCAGATGATCTCTAGAATTATTCCCATTTCTATGTTTTTATTATTTCAGCTACCGCATGGAACCATATCAAGAGGAGAATATTATTTATTGAGTTTGGTAACATTACCATAAATAATGACTTATATTAAAAGCATCTTCTCTGGCAGTAATTTTTTTCATATTATCAAAATAAATTAAATAAAAATACAACTTTAAGAATCATGTTTTTCTGTTTTATTTATAAGCCTTAGTGGATAAAAGCATGTTTCATGGCAAGAGATTATAAGTAATACTGCCGTTTTTACAGAAACACGAATATATATATTTTTAGATATTTTCCACCCGATCTCAGCTATAAATGTTTTTTTCAGCGGCTTGGAATTAAATCTTTTGAAAAATAAATGTTGTAGACTATTTAATGCTTCCACAGTCGTAGGTGTTTATAACTTATGGGAAGTTAAAATGTTTTTATTTCATAGTCATGCTAAATCTTTATTGTGTTTTTGAAACAGATTTTTCAAAACAAAATTTATGTTACTTATCATCCAGCCCAATTTTGGCATTTTTAAACCAGGACCAAAAATATTTTTCATCCCTCCCATCCAAGAGGTGATAGCTGAAGTCACTGCTCTTAAAGCTCTGAGGCACCCAGTGAGAGTCCCCCTGCTCTCAGGGACCTGTTACTTTGCCATGCTGGAGAGGTTACCTGCAGAGATTCTTCTTGATGATTCAAGGTGAGGCTGGCCTTCCAGCCATTCCCAATGAAGCATCATGTGACTGAAATAGTTTTGGGCTTTTCATTCCAACCCATCTGTCAGCCGAATACCCTTGAATGATCAGTCAACACTACATGAAAGAGAGCAATTAACCGTTTGGATGCTGCTGAATTATTGATTCACAATATTATAAGATAAAATAAATTCATTGTTGTTTTAGGCAGTTCAGTTTTGGGTAGGTTTTTAAAAAATGCACGAATAGATAAACATAATTTAGTACCTTGTAGTGAGGTGCTACCATTAAAAAATCTAAACTGTGTGGCTTTGTTTGGGAACAGGGCAGTGTGTAAAAATCTGATAAGGACTGAAGTGACTAGTATGAAAAGATTAAAGGAGATTGAAAAGAAAAGAAAATACTGGGAGCTGGCATAAAGTTCATAATACTGCCACCTGAAGTAACCTGAAAAATATAAAATGTACTTAATGAACTTGATAATCTAGTTAAGATGATTTCTGGGCATAGTGTTGAAGATACCACCTGGTTTCTTCCAGCTGTCTATGACAAAATAAGAAAAAATAGAAATGAACTAAGTAATCAACTGTTTGATTCTAGTACAATATGGAGTTAATGTAAGGGGCTTAAGAGAATCTTTCCAACCAAGGAGTCGCTCTCAAATAAGAGATGGCCCCAGGGTAAAGATCAAATAACTATAGGGCACTGCCAGTGGAGCACAGCCTTAATGAATCAAGGCTGTGGCTGTGAGATCCTTTGTTATGACTTCTGAAGGATCTAATGCTGTATCTCATATACACTGGCAGTTACCAAAAGAAAAAGAGGCCTCTAAGAGCATGTCACTTGGATGCTTTAGGGTGGACAATAGATCTTTAGATTCTTCAGTGCATAAACAACAATCTCATAGGGAAACCAAGACAAAGAAGGGTGTATCTCAAAAAGGTTCCTGAGTGTGTGTGTGTTTTGTTTTTTTTTTTTGGTCAATTGACTAGATTGGGAATTAACATGCAAAAACCTCATGAGGATTTTTTTTTTAATTATAGTAACATAAACTGAAAGAGACAGAGTAAACAATATTTAAGGAGGCCATTAGATATCCCAATATCTATAGGCAGTAAGTAATCTAAGAAAACTAGTCATTAAGGGAAATGTTTTAGTGAAAAAGGCTATATTATGTGGAAAAGGAAGTTTTCAGAGGGCAAGAAAAAAGCCAAGAGTTATACATAGGAATCGGGAATGAGTCCCAATCAAGGCGATGTAAGCATGTGCCAGGATGTATTTAAGAATTGCCATGGGGGCCGGGCACGGTGGCTTACGCCTGTAATCCTGGCACTTTGCCAGTCTGAGGTGGGTGGATCACCTCAGGTCAGGAGTTCGAGACCAGCTTGACCAACATGGTGAAACCACGTCTCTACTAAAAATACAAAAACTAGCTGGGCGTGGTGCCAGGAGCCCGTAATCCCAGCTATTTGGGACGCTGAGGCAGGAGAATCGCTTGAACCCGGGAGGTGGAGGTTGCAGGGAGCTGAGATAGCCAGGAGCCTGTAATCCCAGCTATTTGGGACGCTGAGGCAGGAGAATCTCTTGAACCCGGGAGGTGGAGGTTGCGGGAGCTGAGATAGTGCCATTGCACTCCAGCCTGATCAACAGAGCAAGACTCCATCTCAAAAAAAAAAAAAAAAAACTTGCCCTGGGAAAGTGATGGCTGCGTGCTTTCCATTTTTCTCCTTATGGAACAAGAGTGTTTACTGTAGTTATCCTCTGCTTTTCTCGTCTTTGGGCATGTTGGTGGAAAGATTTGTCTCTTCAGTTCACCGGTCTTCAGACTAAAAGTAACTTTATACTCGAGGAAAAGAATCCAAGGTACTTCTTATGAAGCTAGACCTGATTTTGCTGATGAGATGCTGGACTTTGAATCTAAGCCTCATATCATAATAGAGAGACTTTTTACGTTTCTTCCACAATAAAGGAATATCAATAATTTTGTGGCCAGGTCAATAAACTCTAGTGGTTTTTCAGCACGGTAGTGAATTATTTGAAACTTCTTTTGTGGACATTCATGTCTATACCCTCTGCACTTGAATATGTGCATGGCTGCGACTGCTTAAACAAAATAGAGTATGGAGTAAGTGATGCTAGGTTGTAAAAGGTCACACAACGAGAACAGCACCCAAGGGGATGGTGTTAAACCATTAGAAATTGCCCTCATGATCCAATCACCTCCCATCAGGCCCCACCTCCGACACTGAGTATTAAAACTGAACATGAAATTTGAGTGGAACACAGATCCAAACCATATCAACTTATGAAAGTTAACAATGTTTTTGTTAGTTCTTTCTTCTGTTTATTTCCATTTATTTCCTTTTCTTCTACTAGGTAGCTAACAGTTTTAGATTCTGCTCACATATGAAGATAATAAACATAATTATAATTCTTAGTGGACTTTGAAATAAAAATGTGTTATTTCTGTGATGGAGATTTAAAGCCCTACATTTTATCTGCCCTCATTTAGTCTCATTCCATATAGTTATAACGAGAAAAAATTTCACACTATCTTCCCCACTAGGGTAAATCCAGTTCCAGGATCAAGACAGATTCCAGCCATATAGAATTTTAAAGCTCCAGTTCAGCAAATCAGCATTTCTACACTGAGGTAAATTTTTGCCAATTCAGTTTTTCCCTCGTAGTCATATCCTCCTTCCTGATTTTGTTTATTGAGATAAAGACATTCACCTTGTTCACTGAAACAATTACTCTTGGCACCTTGACCCAACATGTAAGTTTATGTGACTACTTTGTGGCTGCCATACTAAAGGGGCCAAATCCAGGTATTTTGTTGTCAGCCCCAGCTGGACTCAATCTTTTGTATATACCTAATGAGTTGCCAGATGTGTGAGTATGCCATTTCCACCCTTCAGTCCAGACTATGTAACAGCTGAATTTTATCAAGTGATCCATTATACTACATGGAACAGTAAAATTATCTATCTGAGCTATGCTGGATAATAGGTAATTTTTTGCTGATCCCATTCTTTTCTCGTAGTCATATTCTCCTTCCTGATTTCGTTTATTGAGATAAAGCCATGCTATATTCTATATAAAACAACTCTCTCTCTCTCTCTCTCTCATTGAATCTCATGCCTAGGTCTTGGTTTGGATTTCCTGCACATTTCTCCCATCCTTTCAGCATTTTAGTACCATCATCTTAGGGAGTCTCTATTCCAATCTGTCTTGAAGTCAGAATTATGATACTTTTCTCCAATTTCCTTGGCACTCTTGTAATCCTCTCTAGAATCTCTGCTTTGGTACTTACTTTTAAGTTACTTGGCACCTAACACTGACACTCTTGCTGGATTTCCCTGACACCACTATGATGCCTGCCTATCTGTCTGCCTGGCTTGATCCATTACTGTCCAGTATTCATGCTTGTATTCTCTAGATAAAATGCTTTGACTGTGTAACCGGATTTTCATCATTTGATTCTTGTTCAATTTCCAAGAGCTGATTTTATCTCAGTGTTGATTTTTAGTCTCCCACATCTATCCAACTTAAACTCTTTCTCCACTTACAAGTCTTAGATTGGCTAGAGAGCAACTGCTGTATGATAGCTAATAGAGAGGCAATTATGTCACTCCAATAAAGAAAAAATGCATTGTAAATCAGTTGTACTGATACAATTTTAAGAAAAAATTACCTGTATTCATATGTTGAACAAAAATTGTGCTGTGCTTTCTACCTAGTCTCTAATTAGAATACTATCTGAAGGCTATAAATTTAGATATACAATCTCAACATTTTTCATATGCACATATTTACAAAGGCTCTCACTTTTGATTCATTACTACTTAGGTGAAAGAAGTAGTTTTTATACTTGCTTCTAAATAACATTCTTCTTATAGTATGAAAGTATGACATCCCATTTATATTTAAAGTCAAAGCTTTTCTCAGTGATACAATGAAATAAAATATATTGTCACTATGTGTATGATTGTTTTCCCCCTGGAGAAAAAATGCTTATCATTCTGAGCTGGATTCCTGACCTAGGACTTAACATCACTTAAAAAAATTCATGCCAGCTATTATAGCCATTTATGGCATTAAAAATTGTTGCAAAAAGATGTTCTTTATTATATTGTATATGGACAATATATGTGTCTGGATCAAATCAGCAGACAGAGCCACATAGTCATTTAAATAAAGTTTTTTTATATAAAAAATTACTAAGCTATGGTAGAATTTTACCATAAAGAGGAAAAGATGACTCAAGTATAGCCTAAAATGTTGTTCTACCTTTTCCTAGGGCTAAGAAAAAGTACCTAAGGAAGTGTATACTTAGCACGGCCTCCCACAGCCCCCAGCACCTTGCCAGGATAAGGTTAAGACCTAGTTGGCCAGTGAAGAAATTCATTAGGTTGTGTGGGACAAAGCTTGCCTACAGTTTTCAAGCAAGCAAGGGAAAAAAAGTCCTCTGGGCTGGGGCTGCATTATCACCAACATGTGCTCTGGCTGCAGAAATGAGCCAGTTCAATACCAGATGTCCCCATGATGGCATGACTCAATGGCTATAAATAATGGGCTTAACCCAGAAGATTTCTGATAGCTGATGCTTCTTTGGTCTTTACCATTATATTTTGCCCCCAAAATACACACATACATGCTAACCTTTTGTTGGTAAAAGAAATTGATGAGACCATTTATAATATTCCAATACGTATCTCCTAAATGTTTTCTTTTTCATTTTTCTTGGAAGGCATGACACATTTTTTGTTCTAAGGACTTCAGGGGTTAAAATTTCACAGTGGCACAGGTCAGAAGAGTGTTTACCACTACAATGAATGAAAACTCCTTTGACCTTCTTATATTAACATCAATACAAAAGCTAATTTAACGTAGTTTTTGGCTCGCCAAAAATTAAGGAGTTATTTATAATAGGGATCATTAACATAATTACATTTTAAAATCAAAGCTGTGTTTCTAAAAGATTTCTTCTCCCAAGAGCAAATGAAACTCATCCTAGAATAAGATTTGTGTTCCTCATTTTCATATAAAATAACTGTTTTTGTTCTAGAAGGTTAGTCACATTGTTAGCCTAGTTTGCTGGTTTTAGGTGTGAGGTGTGGAGAAAAAAATTTGAATTGTGCAATTGAATTTTAGATTCATCTATTTATTCATCCACTTACTCTTTTAAACAATATTTACTGAATATAAGACATTGTGCTACATAATGAAGATATAGCAATGAGCAAGGCAGATTCAGCCCCTGACCTCATAGTACTTACATTCTAGCCCAGAAAAGACACACATTGGATAAATAAATAGCAACTGAGTTATTGGAATTTCTGGTAGGCACTTTGAAAAAGCATATAGAGTAGTCTGAGAGACAAGAGATGGTCTAATCTCTGTTGCATGTTAGGCAAGTCTTGCCTGGGAAAATTACAGGTGACTTCAGGTCTAAATAATGACTAGAAATTAATCAAGGTAGGCATACTGCAGTTAGGTGAGTTTGGAGGGAGAAGCCCTTGAGGCCTGGAATAACCTGGAGTGCTAGAGAACTTAAAAGAAAAACAATGTTCTCAGGAGAACATGCTGTGAGAAGAAGCTGCTGAGGAGCCAGGGGCTTCATCATGCATCATTTCAGATTATTTGGGAAGTTATTTCGTGAAATAAACCTATGAACCTCAATTCTCTCTTCTGTAAATGAAGAAAATAATGCCTCTGTTTCAGAAATGTCATAAATATTGAATAACAACGTTTATCAAATCTTTGGCACAGTCTTGCCGTACTAAACCCTCTGTAAAGTATTTCCAACAGCAGAAAAAAATGCAGTTTATTTTTATTATTTTTCTAATCTATAGTTTTTGCATAATTGCAACTCTAAACATAAATCATCAAGGATATGCTATTATTTATATATTTAGAAATGATGAAGTATTAGAGAGGTGAGGAAGGCACCTCTTAAAATATGAATAAGTGGCTTTATTTTTAAATATTAGGATACTAGGATGTATATATTTTAGAAACTAGATGTGTAAGTATTTCAGTCAATTTAGATTCTAATTTGAAGAATTTCAATTTTAGGCATCTTATTAATATATTCTTATGTTTTTCTTGGAAACATGGAAAACAGGATTAACCATGTGGCATTTGTTTTAACTTTTCTCCTTGGGTGAGAGCAAAATTACTTATCTTTTAAGATGCCTTCCAATATTCAATTAAATAACCTTTCAGGTACAAGAAACAGCAGTCCTCCTTCTTGTAGCATTTTTAAAAGAACACTGGGCCTGGTTGTCAAGGATAGCTTGACCTCATTTTAAAGGTGAGGTAGAAAACCATGGGAAGGTGTCATGGTGTTCAGTAGTTCCTCAATAAGCATTGCATTATGGAAGTGTTGTCAGATTCAAATTTGAAGTGGCTGTATTCTTCTCTTTTACATGTTTTTGATAAAAGTTAGAAAAATCCTTTTAAACAACAATTCTTTTACTTTTGTATTTGTATTTTTTCTTCAAGGAGCATTTAAATGGCATGTTAATGAGCATTCCCTTTCTCCCATTTGGATTCCTTCCTCTACGGTATTCTTTTCAGTTGTGTTTCACACAACAAACCGACAGTTTTGGACTTGTTAAAAGGATACATTGTCTGTTTTTCTCTGATGAAAATAACTCCACCAATGTTCCATCGACCTTTCGGATTTTTCCTCTTTACCTCTGCTGTTTTATGGGTGCAATATGCACCCCCTTTCCCGAATAACCTATAAGAAAATACATGTATGACAATAAAGAAACAAAAGCATAAAAAGCAGGTGCTGTGATTCTGGCCTGTGCTACCATGAAATGCTAACCCCTGGTGTTCTTGGAACCAAAAAAAAAAAAAAAAGATATCACACCTTCCAAGAAAAATTAAAAAGGAAAACATTTCAGAAATATGTATTGGAATATTAAGAATGGTCTCATTAATTTCTTTGAGGATACCAGCAAAAGGTTAGCATATGTGTATATTTTGGGGGCAAAATCTGGTTATGAACAAGACCAAATAGCCAAATATCAGAAATTATTTGACTAAATCTGTCTTTTATAGGTGTTGAGTGATATGTACAACAGCACACTTGGCGGTAGAGCTGGAAAAATGCCTAGCCTCTGACACCATGGAGTAATCTTTCCCTGAGCATGCCATGGTTGCCTCATTTAAGAAAACAACTACACTGTTTGCCTTTTAGACTTTGTTGTTGTTGTTAGTTTTGTCTTTACTATTATAGTGGTGCCCTCTATGGTAGTATTGTAGTTAAGGGAAAATGAGTGAATTTTGAAGGAAACACTAAATTACAATCAATTCATGAAGACTGTCTTTTCCTATGTGAATATTATGAGATGCTATGGGAATGATTGTATGGACAAATAAAAGTTAGCACAGGGGCTTAATTTTCCCAGTTGAAAATAAAGGAAGAGAATTTCCTTCCCAGTTTCTTAGAGCATTTAAGTTAGAAAACTGGTAACTGTATATACGTTCTCCTTCCTCAAATGTATATAAATCCTTTCAAAAACTAGATAGGACTTTGTCAGCTTTAAAACCTAGGAATGCTGTTCTTAAGGATTTGAGAGTCACCCATTTGAAATGTAAGCATCAAAGTAGATACACCCATATATCCCAGTTACTGGGGGAGGGTAGGAGCATAACTTTAGTGGATACCTTGATCCTGATAGTAGTAGGAGGCAGACAAATGCCTAGGCAGATAGGGGCAGGTCACTAGTAAAACCCCACCTTCAAACCAAAGGCAGTTTAAAGACTGAAGACCAAGCTACAAGTCTCAGATAAATCCACGGACTGGATTGAGAACCTCTCTTTCCATTTGGCATGCTATCCTATGATTGATCCTCATCCTCCACCTATTTTACATATACCTACCCTCCACAATTGGCTTTTTACACTGTCATGCTGACCTTTGAGTGGTGCCTTTGTTTTAGCCTTTTTTGCACACTCACAAAGCAATTAGCACACACTCCCCATTCTGAGCTCATAAAAGCCCCTGACCCAGCCACACTGGAAGAGAGACCACTGGACTTTGGGTGAGGGACCACCCTCGCATTCTCTCTCCACTGAGAGCTGTTTTGTCGCTCAATAAAATTCTTCTCCACCCTCCTCACCCTTCGATTGTCAGTGTAACCTCATTCTTCTTGGATGCAGGATAAGAACTCGGGACCTACCGAACATGGGTACAAAGAAGGCTGTAACACTGTGCCTCCTCTGACCACCACTGTCAGAGGGAATCTGCCCCACACAATGGGAAGCAGCAGGGCCAAGCCAGCCCTGGAGCCACAGGCCATAGCAGAGCAAGGGGATGACAGAGATGTTAATGTGCTGCCCTCTGTCAGGCTGCAGAGGGAGGGAATAAAACAGCTAATTAGCACTCTGTAATACCCACTCTGGGGCTTCAGGGTCACGGGCACTCCTGCCTGGGAGCCACTACATTCCCCTCATCTGGACGCCAGAGTCCACTGTGGCAGTTGTTTGTGACATGCCTGGTCCACCCGCAAGTGCTGTGTGGAGCTTGCTCTTGTGCTGGTGCTTGGAACAGCTGGCCAGACCCCACACTTGCTCACTTACACACCCCCTCCAGCCAGGGGCAGAGTGTGTAGTCACAGCAGCCAAGAGATCCATGCTGGAGTACAAGCCAGGTGCAGCCCAGCAGCTGAGTAGACAGGTCATCTCCTGCGGTGAACTCAAGCCCAAGCAAGGCACAGGCAGGGGTGTCACCAGCCAGAGGTCTCGGCTGGCAAAGTGACCAAGAAAAATCCTGTGTCACTAAAATTTGCAAAATTATTTCCTATCATAAAGATATGAGAAGTTCATTTTTCCTCTGGATAAAACTAGTTAATACAGATGGTCACTCCAATTACTGGGTAAAGTTACAATGTACTATGTGTGACAAATAGTGCTATCAAGTTTCTTACTTGAGGACTAGTTATTTTCTTACCTGAGGGTGAGTGCAGAAGTTTATGTTGAAGACGTGTATGCAGTTAGTTGTGTATGCTTCACTATATAAATGAGTGAGCATTCCTTCTGCTCTTGAAATCTCTTAGTGCAGCAGTACCTAACCTTTTTGGTACCAGGGACCAGTTTCATGGAAGACAATATTTCCATGGATGGGGGTCAGAGGGGGGTTTCGGGATAAAACTATTCCACCTCAGATTATCAGATTATCCACCTCAGAGAATCAGGTTAGATTCTCAAAAGTCACAAACAACCTAAACCCCTCACATGCACAGTTCACAATAGAGTCCAGTGAGAATCTAATGCTTCTGCTGATCTGGCAGGAGGCAGAGCTCAGGCGGTAATGTGAACAATGGGGAGAAGCTGTAAATACAGATGAAGCTTCTCTTCCTTGCCTGGCGCTAACCTCCTGCTGTGCACCCCAGTTCTTAACAGGCCAGTACCAGTCTCAGGCCTGGTGTTTGGGGACCCCTGTCTTAGTAGACTGCCTGTGAGGCACATCACATTCTGATTCAATACTCAATAATAAAAGTGTTTTCTTTCTTTTCTACCTTTGTAGAGAGGATTTGGGGGTTAGGAGAAAATTTTGGTTTTAATTATACTTCTCCAACACAATACAGTTTAAAATAAATAGATACCTCTTGAAATGGGTATGTGTCTACGAGGAAAAAATATTATAGGCCCATATGTTGCCTATCTAAAATAATTTTACTATTTGTTCATTTATATAACATTTAAAAGCCATGTCTATAGGCAAGAAAGAGTTTGTATACAAGTGGGAAATCTAATCTATAGCATCAAGAAAGTTGCTGAGACAGACAGAAACTATTTGTCTTCCTCATGATTTCCTGAACCAGTCATCATAGTTGGATTCATTATGAATAAAAAATAAATGCAGTTGGTGATAACAGAAAAAGCATTTTGACCATTAACCAGAAATTCTATTCTATTTTCAGGGTGTAATTCAATATTATATTTCAAGAGAGTCATTAAATATTTCCTAATATATATTCCCGACTGCAAAAAGGTTCTGAGAAATGAGAATTGTGTCAATAAGTAAAAATCTAACAAAAAGTTTATTAAAATGTATTATATCAGAACATTTACAAATCAATATTTTTATCACTATACTCATGAAATGATGTTCATACTCCCTCACTAGTTAGCAAATCAGTGGTGGGTTTCAGCAATAATTCGGTTAGATGTTTATTTTACTACATTTTATTTTTGATGTAAACAGAAACTACTTAATTCAATCAAACAGAAACTTATGAACTGGTAATTACAAAATGCCAAATAGTTCAACATAGCCAGGGAAGTGAGAAATGGGACGCACAAGGATTACAAAAGGGATGTGTGTCTAAAATGATGCACTTACATTAGAAACTTTGCATGTTGGACTCTCCTGAACAAAGTTTATCTTTCTTACCAAAACCAATAGTAAAATAATAGTTGCGTATAATGCCCCCATTGATTTGGAATAGGAAAAATTACGGGACCACAAATATAAATATGTTTCTTTTTATAATCAGGGTAAAGTACCTAACATATTTCTCTATGGATCAAAAGGTCATTTATAATATCTTCTTTTTAAGAATTTTTCCATAAATTATTGGGGATACAAGTGGTGTTTGGTTACATGAGTAAGTTCTTTAGTGGTAATTTGTGATATTTTGGTGCACCCATCACATGAACAGTATACACTGCACCCTATTTTCAGTCTTTTATCCCTCACCTCCCTCCCATCCTTCTCGGCAAGTCCCCAACTTCCATTGTATCATTCTTATGCCTTTGCGTCCTCATAGCTTAGCTCCCACATATCAGTGAGAACATACAATATTTGGTTTTCCATTCCTGAGTTATTTCACTTAGAATAATAGTCCCCAATCTCATCCAGTTGACTGCAAATGACGTTAAATCATTCCTTTTTATGGCTGACTAGTATTCCATCCTTCATATATATATATATATATATATACACATATACATATCTCACAGTTTTTTTATCCACTAGTTGATTGATGGGCATTTGAGTTGGTTCCACGATTTTGCAATTGTGAATTGTACTGCCATAAACATGCATGTGCAAGTATCTTTTTTGTATAATGACTTCTTTTCCTCTGGGTTGATACCCTGTAGTGGGATTGTTGGATCAAATGGTAGTTCTACTTTTAGTTCCTTAAGGAATGTCCAGACTGTTTTCCCTAATGGCTGTACTAGTTCACCATCCCAACAGCAGTGTAGAAGTGTTCCCTGAACACCACATTCATGGCAACATCTATTTTTTTATTTTTTTGATTATGACCATTCTTGCAGGAGTAAGGTGGTATTGCCTGCAAGAATGGCATTTCCCTGATCATTAGTGATGTTGAGCATGTTTTTATATGTTCATCGGCCATTTGTATATCTTCTTTTGAAAATTGTCTACTAATGTATTTAGCTCACTTTTGATGGGATTGTTTGTTTTTTTTTGCTGATTTGTTTGAGTTCATTGTAGATTCTGGATATTATTCTTTTATCAGATGTATACATTGTGAAGATTTTCTCCTACTCTATGGGTTATCTGTTTATTCTGCTGACTGTTCCTTTTGCTGTGCAAAAGCTCTTTAGTTTAACTAAGTCCCAGCTATTTGTCTTTGTTTTTATTGAATTTGCCTTTGGGTTCTTCATCATGAAACCCTTGCCTAAGCCAATGTCTGAAGGGTTTTTCCAATGTTTTCTTCTAGAATTTTTATAGTTTCAGGTCTTAGATTTAAGTCCTTAATCCATCTTCAGTTGATTTTTGTATAAAGTGAAAGATAAAGATCCAATTTTGTTCTCCTACATGTGGCTAGCCAATTATCTCAGCACCATGTGTTGAAAAGGGTGTTCTTTCCCCCTTTATGTTTTTGTTTGCTTTCTCAAAGATCAGTTGGCTGTAAGTATTTGGGTTTATTTATTGGTTTTCTATTCTGTTTCATTGGTCTATGTGCCTATTATTATACCAGTACAATGCTGCTTTGGTGACTATGGCCTTACCGTGTAGTTTGAAATCAGGTAGTGTGATGCCTCTGGATTTGTTCTTTTTACTTAGTCTTGCTTTAACTATGTGGGCTTTTTATTTTTCCATATGAATTTTATAATTGTTTTCTCTAATTCTGTGAAGAATGATGGTGGTATTTTAATGGGGGTTGCATTGAATTGTAGATTGTTTTTGGCAATATGGTCATTTTCACAATATTGATTCTACCCATCCATGAGCATGGGATGTGTTTCCATCTGTTTGTGTTGTCTGTGATTTCTTTCAACAGTGTTTTGTGGTTTTCCTTGTCATAGTCTTTCCCGTCTTTGGTTAGGTATATTCCTAAGTATTTTATTTTATTTTTATTTTTTTGCAGCTATTGTAAAATAAGTTTAGTTCTTGATTTGATTCTCAGCTTGGTCACTGTTAGTATATAGAGGAGCGCTGATTTGTGGTTCATTAATCTTGTATTCTGAAACTTTGCTGAATCCTTTTATCAGTTCTAGGAGCTTTCTGGAGGAGTCTTTAAGGTTTTCAAAGTAAACTATCATTTCATCAGCAAACAGTGACAATTTGACTTCCTCTTTACTGATTTGGATGCCCTTCATTTCTTTCTCTTTTCTGATTGCTCTGGCTAGGACTTCCAGTACTATGTTGAAGAGAAGTGGTGAGAGTGGCCATCCTTGTCTTGTTCCAGTTCTCAGCAGGAGTTCTTTCAACTTTTCCACATTCAGTATTATGCTGGCTCTGGGTTTGTCATAGATGGTTTTTATTACATTGAGGTATGTCCCTTGTATGCCGATTTTGCTGAGAGTTTTAATCATAAAGCGATGCTGGATTCCATCAAATGGTTTTTCTGCATCTATTGAGATGATCATGTGGCTTTTGTTTTTAATTCTGTTTATGTGGTGTATCACATTTATTGACTTATGTATATTAAACCATCCCTGCATCCCTGGTATGAAACCCACTTGATCATGGTGGATTATCTTCCTGATATGTTGTTGGATCAGTTAGCTAGTATTTGGTTAAAGATTTTAGCATATATGTTCATCAGGGATCTCAGTCTGTACTTTTCTTTTTTGGTTATGCCCTTTCCTGGTTCTGGTATTAGAGTGATGCTGGCTTCACAGAATGAATTAGGGAGGGTTCTCTCTTTCTCCATCTTGTGGAATAGTGTCAAAAGAATTGCTACAAATTCTTCTTTGGATGTCTGGTTGAATTCTGCTGTGAATCCATCTGGTCCTGGACTTTTTTTTGTTGGTAATTTTTTAATTATCATTTCAATCTCACTGCTTGTTATTGGTCTGTTAAAGATATCTAATTCTTTCTGATTGTTGTATTTTTCTAGGAATTTATCCATCTTTTCTATATTTTCTAGTTTGTGTGTGTAAAGGTGTTCATAGTAGCCTTAAATGATCTTTTGTATTTCTGTGGTGTCAGTTATAATATCTCCCATTTCATTTTTTATTGAGGTTATTTGGATTTTCTCTCTTTTTTTCTTAGTTAATCTCGCTAATGGTCTATCAATTTTATTTAGCTTTACAAAGAACCGGGTTTTTGTTTCATTTATCTTTCGTATTTTTTGTTTGTTTCAATTTCAGGAACTTCTCGTCTGACCTTTGTTATTTCCTTTCTTCTGCTGGGTTTGGGTTTGTCTGGTTCTTGTTTCTCTTGTTCCTTGAGGTATGACCTTAAAGTATCAGTTTGTGCTCTTTCGGTCTTTTGATGTAGGCATTTTGGGCTATGAACTTTCCTCTTAGCACTGCCTTTGTTGTATCCCAAAGGTTTTGATAGGTTGTATCACTATTGTCGTTCAGTTCAAACAATTTTTTAATTTCCATCTTGATTTCGTTTTTGACCCAATGATCATTCTGGAGCATGTTATTTAATTTCCATGTGTTTGCATGGTTTTGAAGGCTCCTTTTAGAGTTGATTTCTGTTTTATTCCCCTGTGGTCTGAGAGAGTGTTTGATATAATTTCAATTTTCTTACATTTATTGAGGCTCATTTTGTGGCCTATCATATGGTCTGTCTTGGAGCAAGTTCCATGCACTGTTGAACAGAATGTGTATTCTGTGGTTATTGGATGGAATGTTCTGCATATATCTGTTAAGTCCATTTGTTCCAAAGTATAGTTTAAATCCATTGTTTCTTTGTGGACTTTCTGTCTTGATGACCTGTCAGTGGAGTATTGAAGTCCCCTACTACTATTTCGTTGCTGTCTATCCCATTCCTTAGGTCTATTAGTAATCATTTTATAAGTTTTGGAGCTCCAGTGTTAGGTGCATATACGTTTAAGATTGTGATATTTTCCCGTTGGACAAGGACTTTTAGCATTATATAATGTTGCTCTTTGTCTTTTTTAACTGCTGTTGCTTTAAAGTTAATTGTGTCTAATAAAAGGATAGCTACCCCTGCTCGCTTTGGATGTCCATTTGCATGAAATGCCTTTTTCCACCCTTTACTTTAAGTTTATGTGAGTACTTATGTGTTAGGTACGTCTCTTGAAGGCAATAGATAGTTAGCTGGTGAATTCTTATCCATTCTGCAGTTCTGTATCTTTTAAGTGGAGCATTTATGCAATTTACGTTCAATGTCAGTATTGAGATGTGAGGTACCATTCCATTCATCATGCCATTTGTTGCCTGTGTACCTTGATTTTTTGCTTTTGCTTTTTAAATTGTATTTTTGTTTTATAGATCCTGTGAGATTTATGCTTTAAAAAGGTCCTGTTTTGATGTGTTTCCAGGATTTGTTTCAAAATTTAGAGCTCCTTTAGGCAGTTCTTGTAGTGGTAACTTGGTAGTGGTAAAGTATCTCAGCATTTGTTTGTCTGAAAAAGACTGTAGCTTTCCTTCATATATGATGCTTAGTTTCGCTAGATACAAAATGCTTGGCTGATAATTGTCTTGTTTGAGGAAGCTGAAGATAGGGCCCCAATCCCTTCTAGCTTGTAGGGTTTATGCTGAGAAATCTGTGTTAATCTGATAGGTTTTTCTTTGTAGGTTACCTGGTGCTTTTGTCTCACAGTTCCTAAGATTATTTCCTTCATCTTAACTTTAGATAACCTGATGACAATGTGCATAGGTGATGATCTTTTTGCAATGAGTTCCCCAGGTGTTCTTTGTGCTTCTTTTATTTGGATGTCTAGATCTCTAACAAGGCTGGGGAAGTTTTCCTCAATTATTCCCCCAAATATGTTCTCCAAACTTCTAGATTTCTCTTCTTCCACAGGAACAACAATTATTCTTAGGTTTAGTCATTTAACATAATCCTAGACTTCTTGGGTGCTTGTTCATATTTTCTTATTCTTTTTTCTTTGTCTCTGTTGGATTGCATTAATTTGAAGACCTTATCTTTGCGCTCTGAATTTATTTCTTCCACTTGTTCAATTCTTTTATTGAGACTTTCCAGAGCATTTTGCATTTCTATAAATGTATACAATTTTTCCTGAAGTTTTGATTTGTTTTTTCTTTATGCTAGTTCCTTGAATATTTCTCCCTTCACTTCTTGTATTGTTTTTTGGATTTTCTTGCACTGGGTTTCACTTTCTCTGGTGCCTCCCTGATTAGCTTAATAACTAACCTCCTGAATTATTTTTCAGGTAAATCAGGGATTTCTTTTTGGGTTGGATCCATTGCTGGTGAGCCAGTGTGATTTTGGCGGGGGGGGGGGGGGGGGGGGAGGGGGGCGTTGTTCAAGAGCCTTGTTTTGTCATATTACCAGAGTTGGTTTTCTGGTTTCCTCTCATTTGGATAGGCTGTGTCAGAGGGAAGGTCTAGGGCTGAAGGCTTTTGTTCAGATTCTTTTGTCTCACGAGGTGTTCCCTAGGTGTTGTATTCTCCCCCATTTTCCTGTGGATATGATTTCCTGTGAGCCGAGCTGCACTGATTGTTATCTCTCTTCTGGGTCTAGCCACCCAGCAAGTCTATCAGGCTCTGGGGTGGTACTGGGGGTTGTCTGCGTAGAGTCCTGTCTCATAGAGAACCATAGGAACTGTCTATGGGTCTCTGAGCCATGGATACTAGCATTTGTTCCAGTAGAGGTGGCAGGGGGGTGAAATGGACTACTTAAGTCCATTTCTTAGCTTTGGTGGTTTAATGATCTATTTTTTTGCTGGTTGGCCTCCTTCTGGGAGGTGGCACTTTTCAGAGAGCATCAGCTGTGGTAGCATGGAGAGGAACTGTCAGTGGGCAGGGCCCTAGAACTCCCAGGAGTATATACCTTTTGTCTTCAGCTAGGGTAGGGAAGGACCATCAGATGGGGTCAGGGCTAGTCGTGTTTGAGCTCAGACTCTCCTTGGGTGGGTCTTGATGTGGCTGCTATGGGGGATGGGGGATGGGGGTGAGGGTCCCAGGTCAATGGAATTGGGTACCTAGGAGGTTTATAGCTGCCTCTTCTGAATCATGCAGGTTGTCAGGGAAGTGGGGTAAAGCCAGCAGTCACAGGCCATACCTAGCTCCCACACAATCTGAAGGGCCGGTCTCACTCCCACTGTGCACCCTCTAATAGCACCAAGCCTGTTTCCAGGCAGTGGGCAAGCAGGGCTGAGAACTTGCCCCAGGCTACCCACCTCCCAGCTGCAAAAGAAAAGGGCCTTAGTTCTTCCCCTGTCTGTGGAGTCTGAATATCGGATATATGCTGGACCAGTTAAAATTGTTACAAAGTTCAGGTGGAGACTTCCTTCTCCCTGTGGCATTTACCTTGCACTTCTGACTGCCCTCCCGAAGGATCCCTATGGTGCCAGGCAGGCAGGAATAGCCTGCTTGGGGACCCAGCAAGCTTCCAGGGCCTTTCCCGCTGCTTCCTCTACCCCTGTGTTTCACTCAGCTCTCTAAATTGACTCAGCTCCAGGTAAGATCAGAATCTTCTTCCACAAACTGGATCTTCAGCTTCTCCAATGGGGAGGGTGGAGGGGAAGTGTTTGTCAGTGGAGGATCTCCCTTTCCCCCTTCCGCAGTTTGGGAACTCACAGTTTTTGGGATGTCTCCTGGGTCCTGCAGGAGCAGTCTGTTTCCTTCAGAGGGTCTATGGGTCCTCTTGAGATTCCTGATTTATTCCTGCAGTCGTTCAGCACCTAAAATTCACAATGCGAGCCTCTGCACACTGCTCTGTCTGTCCAAGTCAGAGCTGCAATCTAGTCCTCCCTCCCCTCCACCATGTATTTATCATATCTTCTTGATTTACTAAAAGATTCCGTGAAATGGGAACTGCCTATGGGTAGTCTTCTGGTCCAAACCTGCCATTTACAGATGTTGAGGGAGTAGAGCTTAAACAATACCCAGGCTTTCGGTCATCATAGAGAATCTTAGAGGAACCACAGACTTAAAATCGTAATTATTAATGTAGGGAATAGTAAATTCCCCAAAATGAGGGCTGTTTAATTCTATTGTAGTCCATATTGAACTGACCAAAAAGTTCAGCAGAATCCAAGAAGACAAAAGGAAGAGCTGCTTAGCACTAACAATTAGACACACACTTAAAGTAAACTGGGAGTTTCCAGAATAAGGTGCTATCTATAACGGACTGTGTTGTCTGCCTCGCTACCTATCCTGGGTCTACGATTCTAGATTGGACATCTGTGTCCGCAGTCTTAACTATTCATACCAGATATGGAGCTGCCTCATCCTTCAATCAGTATTTAGTCTAGTGTAAACATTTCTATGGCCTAGCCTTCCTGGTATCCCTTGTGGGCATCTGAAGAGTGCTTGTATACATTTGAATACCACTCAGTACAGTTTCCAAGTGAAACTCCCAGATTTTTCCACTTTCTCAGCAACTTCAGGATTGGTGTCATATCTCCCTGCATCAGATCCTTTTCATCCAGTGAGGACATTCTGAGTACCAGTTTTGTTTCTTGGATCAATTTTTCTCTAAATTTAGTGACCCATGAATCATAGACTGATGTTGGGAAGAAGGCAATTTTGCATCCTGGCTTATATGTAGGTTCTGGGGCCTTGCTCATACTTGATTATGGGTCATTGGATTCTGCACTGAAGTTCAAAGATCCTAGATGATGTCTGAGAATATGACCCATATGATAGGCCCCTTGCTTTTCTGCCCCTCAAGGTGCATTTCTAGTACTTCTAGGATATTACCGTGGACTGAATGTTTGTGTTGTATCAATTTTGTTATACAACATACCAGATTTTATATGTTGAAATCTTAATCATTGATATGATGCTACTAGAAGATGAGGGCTTGAGAAGGTGACTAGGTCATGAAGGAGGAGCCCTCATAAACCTAATTAGTGCCCTTATAAAAGAGACCTCAGAGAGCTCCCTTGCTGCTTCTACCATGTGAGGGAAGGGCAAAAATGTGGCAATCTGTAAGCCAGTCACCAAACATGAAATCTGTCAGTGCCTTACTCTTGCTTGGGCTTCCCAACATCTAGAACTGTGAGAAATAAATTTCTGTGGTTTACAAACCACCCAATTTATGATACTCTCTTATAGTAACCAAAATGGACTAATACACATATAGAAAATTTACCAGAGGGACTACACAGTTCCTTCAGCCTAATCAGCCTTTTTGGCTCATAGTGAAGGAATAACAAATGCTTGTCAATTGGCCATGGGGACACAGGAGGTATTAGGTGTCTTTGCTCCTTCCTTATCTGGGATATCTTCTCACCTGCTATTCTGCACTGAAAATCACACTTCACTCTGAGGAAGTTTAAATGTTAGGCAGGATCCATTGAAACTGCTTCTATTCAACCAGTTCCTTTTGATTCAACATAGTTTTTCACAGACGTGTTCAGGCAGGTATCTCAAAGTCTTATAGATCTGGAAGAAAAGAAAAGAAATCATGGCCTTTGGTAAGAATAACAGTGTAGATAAATGGCAGGAGCATATCTACATTCTGGGTTGCAATTTGTTGTCTCCTAAAATATCTGAAATATATCAAAGTCATTTGCTGCATCAAAGGAATACTATGTTTCTTTATTACACCTCTGGTCTCCCAAACTATGAGATAATAAATTCTGTTATTTTAAGCAACCCAGTTTGTGGTAATTTGTTACAGGAACCTTGGCAGATGAATATAAGAGGCTAGAGCAAATGTCCAAGTGAAGCATAATGGAGGTCTGAACTATAGAGGGAAGAGGTAGAAGCAAAAAGGAATATATGTGAATGTGAAATTTACCATAAAACTCATGTGCTACAGACTCTCACTTGCACAACTCTCCTTGAACTCATGTATTGAATTATGTGTGAGTAATTTGGAATTCTTTAATTCAAATAAAGCCCCCCATTATATAAATTTCTGATTGTACAGAGCTTACACCAGCCCCTATCACATGCCTTGACAACCTACTCAGGTAAATTTTCGAATAAGAGAAAATCAAACATTTCCAGCCTGACAATCACAGAGGGTGGTGATATCCTTGATTAGAAATGAAGTTTCCTTATCAGAAATTTTCAGATTTTTTTTTAAGTAAAAATAATTCATGTTTTCAAAGTATTTGTGATCTACTTATCCTTCAGCACTCAGCTCATTAGTGGGCCTGCAGTATGTCGTTTACTGACTCCAGGTATAAAGAAACAATTACAGTCATGGGCTTCATAAAAGCATTGTGATCAATGACAAATGCATATATGATGGTGTTCCTATAAGATTATAATGAAGCTGAAATATTCTTATCGCCTAGTGATGTCGTAGCTGTTGTGACTTCATGGCTCAATGAATTACTCATGTGTTTGTGGTAATGCTGATGCAAACAGATCTACTGTATTGCCAGTCATATGAAAGTACAGCATATACAATTATGTATAGTACACAATACTTGATAATGATAATAAAAGAATATATTACTGGTTTATGCATTTACTATACTACTCTTTTGTCATTAAAGTATATTCCTTCTATTTATGAAAAAAGTTAACTCTAAAATAGCCTCTGGCAAGTCCTTCAGGAGGTATCCAGAAGAAGACATTGTTATCATAGGACACGGCAGCTCCATGTGTGTTAATACCCCTGAAGACCTTTCAGTGGGACAAGATGTGGAGGTGGAAAACAGTAAATGTGTGTTTGTGTCTTAGTTTTTAACAAAATATTTTTAAAAGACAAAAAAAAAAAAAAAAGAAAAGCTAAAGCTTATAGAATAAAAAGAAAGAAAATATGTTTGTACAACCATACCATGTGTTTGTGGTTTAAGATAAGTGTTATTACAAAAGAGTAAAAAAGTTTAAAAAAAGTAAAAATTTTTAAACTAATATCAAGTTTATAGAGTAAGCTAAAGTTAATTTATTAGTGAAGATAGACAATTTTAAAAATAAACTTAATGTAGCCCAAATGTGTAGTGTCTATAAAGTCTGCAGTAGTTTCCAGTAATGTGCCAGGCCTTCACATTCACTCACCACTCATTTACTCACTGGCTCGCCCAGAGCAGCTCCTAGTCCTCTTAGCTTCATTCATGGTAAGTGCCCTATACAGGTGTACTAGTTTTTTAATCTTTCAGAGCATATTTTATTTTGCTTTTTCTATGTTTAGATATGTTTAGATACACCAATTTTTATCATTGTGTTACAGCTGACTACAGTATTCGGTACAGTAACGTGCTGTGTGGGTTACTAGACTAGGAGTATAAGGCTACACATACAGCCTAGGTGTGGAGTAAGCTACACCATCTAGGTTTGTGTAAGCACACTCTATGATGATCGTTTGACAAAATTGCCTAACAATGCATTTCTCAGAAGGTGTCAATGTAGTTCAGTAACACATAACTGTATAAGGAAATGTGATGAGTAGTATAATAGGGGTGTGTGGATGACGCAAAATGGACACAAAGTGGGAAAGCCGTTTACTACCACTGCATACGGGGGTATTAGTCAGGGTTCCCTAGAGGGACAGAACTATATATAAGGGGGAGTTTACTAAGTATTAATTTACATAATCACAAGGTCCCATAATAGACTCTCTGCAAGCTTGAGGAGCAAGGAGAGCCAGCCTAAGTCTCAAAACTGAAGCACTTGGAGTCTGATGTTTGAGGGCAGGAAGAATGCAGCAGGGGAGAAAGATGCAGGCTGGGAGGCTAGGCCAGTCTCACCTTTTCACGTTTTTCTGCCTGCTTTATATCTGTTGGTAGCTGATTAGATTATGCCTAGCAGATTAAGGGTGAGCCTGTCTTCCCCAGCCCACTGACTCAAATGTTAATCTCCTTTGGCAGCATCCTCACAAATACACCCAGGATCAATACTTTGCACCCTTCAATCCAATTAAGTTGACAGTATTAACCATCACACTGGGAAACATTTTCTCGGCTTCTATTGTGAATTGAGTCTAATTGGCCTTTAAAGAAAAGTTTGTTGACCTGTTGTTTAAGCCACAAGCTTCTCAAAAAAAGGGGGCTCAATCATTTTTTTTCTCTTTGTATCCACTGTGATGTACAGAACACATCAAATAGTAGCTGCAGATGCATCCTTACAAATGGTAACATGAGCCTTGGGTAGTAATAGGCTATCCAAATAGACCAAATATAAAGCAGGTGATAAAAAATATGAGTCTCGATCTAGGACAAATATCAGGACTGGAAACATGGAATTAGGTAATTAACAGTGAGATAATTGCTGAATCTCTGGAATTGACTGAGAGAGCCTTGAGACGAAAGATATAGAAAGGAAAAGATATGAGGTTGAGCCTTGATAAACAGGAGCACCATATTGGTTTTTGTGATGAATACAGGGAAGCATTTTCAGCAGTAATAATTGTGGAGCCAAAGAGATACTTTAAATAAATATATTTAATAAATTGGTGAAATTGAACTTTATTGTAACCCTGGCTTTTTCTGGCTTTTTCTTGTTTGGCCCGTCACTTACAGGAAATGTCAAGTGATTCCAAAGACCACCTGGAGTTGCTTTAACTTCAATCCCCTGAGAAGCCTTAAAAGGTCAAGTATCATCTCCTACTGCTTCTCAGATTCCTTTACATTGTACTGTGTTCCTAGTTAATCTTCCTCTTTCCTGTAAAATTCACATGTGCCAGTGCTCTAGATAGAAATGATATACATTCTTCAATTTTGGAAAGAGCTTTTTCTCATAGACTCAAGGGGATAATCCCACATTTTAAATATAGATTTTTAAATATTGAAAGTCATGAAGATCAAAAGATTAAAATAACTTTAAAAATTATCTAAAAGCACATTATTCAATAATAATGTACATTATGCATTGTGCAATAATAATGTACATTGTTTTAAAATATATAAATTTAAATCTAAAAAATAAAGTAAGAAATAATTGTCAGTGATTTTAGAAATACATATTAATCATGCTATTGGAGTATATAAAAATACATACACACATATGAATGTACACATAAAGGAATCTAAATGGACACATAAAAACAAGTACATGTGCATTGATTACTAATCATAGCTGAATAGTGTAATGAGAACTTTAAGATATTACTATACATCAAGGATGAATTAAATCACTCCAAATATTACCTTTAGCTTCTTTATCTTCTCAACAGCTGAATGAAGTAGAAAAAATTATTTAATAAATTTTCCAACTACAGCTGTATACAGCCAACACATATATAACCTAAAGTGGGCAAGATAAGCCAAAGCATACTCTTTAGTTTAATTCAAAAAAATTGTTTATCTGGTGTCTTTTATCTTCCAGTCAGTGTACCACATGCTTAGACAATATGCCTAAGTTTGCCATAGAAAAAGATATATTAATGCAGTTTTGAATATCAAAGGAGTTATTTGCCCCCAAGCTAAATACCAGCCTCCTTTTAGAAGACAGACAGAAATCAAACTGTATAAAAGGGAGAGTCCAAATTGTAAAATATAAATAAGTAAATAATAAGTAAATGTTGACAGCCAGTTACCAATGGAGCACTCTTATTTTTTTTCTAATTTTTATCTTTTTCTTCTTCTTTGCTTTCTTCTTCGCTTTCTTCTTCTTCATCTTCTTGCTGTCTCTCATAACTTGTCCTGTCTTTTTAATTTCAAATATTCCTTGGTTTACGTCAAAATGAGGTCAAAAGAGGCATGGAAAAGTTGAAACTTCTTGCCTTTTATTCTCTAAGACATACTCTTGAGTCTTGTTTAGTTTTAAAAATCTGGCTGCTAATCTCTTTGAACATAAAATAGATGGGAGCTAAGAAAAACTAACACAGGGGAATACAAAATAATAGTAACAACATTCTTCAGTATATCGTCCTAGTTCTAATGGAGGTGGTAATTGGAAGGCTCGTTAGAATTATACTCCTGTGTATATCAGAGAGCTTACTAAGCACTGTCTACAGTATACAAAACATCTGTGCTTAGGGAGTAGGTTTGAAAAATCAGTGAAAGATACAATTTTCAACTTTGAGTAATTTAAGTTTGGGTAACATGTTATTCCCCTGAAATATAGAAGATGAACACATTGAAACATTTCCTCATACTATATGTTCATTTTTTTTTGGTTTGGAAATAATCATATGTGTTACTACATCAAAAACAAAAGTCCTAATTCTGTTCACAGCCTCATATGCATTAATGCTTTATAGTGTATAGTAAGGTTTAGCAAACCCTAGGTATTCAAAGTAAGTAAGATTGAGCCTGTTCAACCGAAGAACATACAGTTAAATGTGGGAAATAAACATGTGAGCATGCTGCAGTTCATTCATTCATTCATTCACTCAATGTAGTTCATTTATTCAAATATTTCATTGAGCCCCATCAAGTACTCGGTACTTTTCTAGGTGCTGAAGACATAGCAGTGAACATAAGGGACCCCAGATGAGATTGGAAGTGTGAGAGCAACACCTTCAACAATGGTATTACTAAACAGCAAATAGAAATTAACTCCAGGAGAAGAGTCTGAAAAAGGTTTCCTCACCTTAAGTGCAGAGGAATAATATGTGTGGAGGAATCTGGGAAGGAGATGGCATACTGACTTGGGCATAGATTTTGTTTATTTATTTGCTCTTCTGTGTTTAGAAGTATTTAATTAAATTGAATATTTAATTAAAGTTAACTTAAAGCAATAGACGAGACTCATCAAGGGCCTTGCATGCTAAATTAAGGGCATTGGACTTGACCCTAAAAATATTAGAAATATTAAAATATTTTATTGGAGGTTAATATAGCCTAGATTTATGTTTTAATAAACAGTAATAACATATGTATTTTTGCTCTTATGATGTGTAAAACAAAATACTAGCTCTATGTAGGCACTGTCTCATTTATTTTTTGAGGTCAAAAGAGCTCTCAAATGAAGGTATTATTATCATTCCCATTTAAGCGACAAGAAAACAGATGCAGAGAAGTTAGGAAAAAAAGCATGCAGTCTCACAGTTTAAGGCCAGCATTTAAAGGGAGGAAACCTCACTGAAAACTACCTGCTTTTCTAGCTCAACAAAATAATTCTGCTTTCTTAGAAAGATCACACTTCATAGATGTTAAATTTACTCACTGTATTAGTCTGCTCTCACATTGCTATAAAGAAGTTCATGAGAAAGGGTAATATATGAGAAGAGAGGTTTAATTGGCTTATGATTCTGCAGGCTGTACAGGAAGCATAGAAGTCTGCTTCTGGGAAGGCCTCAGGAAGCTTCCAATCATGGTGGAAGGAAAAGGGGGAACAGGCACATGACATGGCAAAAGTGGGAGCAAGAGAGTGAGGAGTGAGGTGCCACAAACTTTTAAAGGATCAGATTTCCCTAGACATCTCTCACTATTGTGAGGATGGTATCAAGAGGATGGTACTAAACTATTCAGGAGAAATCTACCCCCATGGCCCATTCACCTCTACCAGGCCCCACCTCTAACATTGGGAATTACATTTCAATATGAGATTTGGGCAGGGACACATGATCAAACTATATCACTCGCCAAACATTTATTGAGTAGGGTAGGGCAATTTGCCATCTTTTAGTTATGTTGATGAATAGGTATGCTTTGTGCTTCCAGCATACATCTATAGCAATATGAAAACCTCAAAAGTTTCATTGGGATTTATTTTTCTTATTTGATTTCAAGCAGTAGTGTTCAGGACATGAATGTGGGCACCATGAGCATCAAAAGAATCAGTTACAAAACTAATGCATAGCCAGAGGAGACTGGAGGAGGGCCTGAAGTAGAGCAAGAACTTATTCTCTCATACCACATGCTCCAATTTTTTGTTTGGAAAGTAGGATAGAAGTGCTACTGCAGCAGAAACAAAAAAACAAACAAACAAAATCCTGGTTTTGTCCTCTGCTTCACATGCATTAGTGTTTTTTCTTACTGTGTGCAAGAAAGCTTAGCAAATGCTGAGTATCAAAGGTGAGAGTATTAGTTGGGGTTCTCCAGAGACACAGAACCAGTAGGTAAAAGGACACTTATTATAAGGAGTTGGCTCCTGTGATTTTGGAGACTGGGAGGTTTCATGATTTGCCTCTGCAAGCTGCAGAACCAGAAAAGGCTACAGTGTAATTCAGTCTGAGTCCAAAGAGCTAAGAACCAGGGGAGCTGATGGTACAAATCACAAACTGAGGCCAGGAGAAGATGAGATGAGATATTCCAGCACATGCAGTGAGGCAGGAGAAAAGGGAGAAAATTCCTCTTTCCTTTGCCTTTTGTTCTATTCTGGCCCTCAATAGATTGGATGATACCCACCCATAGTAAGAAGAATACTGGACTTTACTGAGTCCATTGATTCAAATGGTAATCTCATCTGGATACACTCATCCAGACAGACCCAGAAATAATGTTTAATCTGAGCACACCCTAGCCCAGTCAAACTGACACATAAAACTAACCCTCACAGTGAATAAGACTGAGCCTGTTTCCCAAAGAACATACAGCCTAATGTGGGAGACAAGTAAACAGATGATTGTGCTGCTATTTATTTACTTATTAGAAGTCAGGGTGAAGAAGAGAAATTAAGGAATGACTCCCCAAAACTAAGAGTAATATTGACTTTCACCAAAGATGGCAGAAAATGGTAGAGGAGCACATGTGGATGGAAAGGAAAATGACAAGTTAAAAATGTGAAAGACAAAATACATATTGTGTGAAACATTTAAGATAATTTTGTGAAGACATTAATGTATCTAGAAGATTACTAGATCAATTGGTTTATAGCTATAGAAGCGATCAAAGCTGAAGATAAAGACTTCCATGTCATCTTAATCTGCTGGTAATACATTATACCTCAAGGCAGAACAGAAATAATTTTAAAACACAAATGGGCTTGCAAAGTAATAAGCAACTTGTTTAAGATCCACAATGAAATTGAATAAGAAGCTTTACTTTTTTGATTCCCAATTTGCTCTTCAGTAAAATTAAGAAATAAGTCTAAGCATTTTTCAAACACTAACATCTATTCTGAATAAATTTCATTTTTTCCTCCTCTGTACCCATGCCTCTGCCTCTACCAAATCTTGAGAATATTCTTATATACATAACAATAAAATCAGCAATATACTGGGGGTAATTTTTTGTCCGTTTTCTATGGAATCCTTCACAAATGGATCATGCTGCTGGAAAAAGTCATCAACAAATAACCTAAAAAAAAGTGTTTCTTCCTTTTTGCAAGAGTTTTGTTTTTTTAGAGATGGGGTCTTGCTCTGATGCCCAGGCTGGAGTGTATTGGTGTGATCACTACTTACTGCAGTCTTCACCTATGAGTCTCAAGCAATCTTCCCACCTGAGCCTCCTGAGTAGCTGGGACCGCAGGTGCACACCACCACACCTGGTTAATTTTATTTTATTTTTTTATACAGACAAGAACTCACTATGTTGCCCAGGCTGGTCTTGAACTCCTGGGCTCAAGTGATCCTCCCACCTCAGCTTCCAAAAGTGTTGAGATTACAGGCATGAGCCACCACACGTGGCAAAAAAAAAAAGAAAGCTCCTTCTTTAGCTGTAAAAGCCATCTTGTTTCTTGTTCCCCCTACAACTGGGCAACATCTGTGTTATTGGAAACCCAAGGGACAGCCCCATGGAAGCCCCATGGTAGTTGTACTGGAAGCTGCTCTGCATTCCCATGTCAAGAGCCATCAAGTTTGGTTTTCGCCATAAGAGCAGCAGTTAGTTTCTGGCACAAAGAAAAGGATTTAGTACTGATAACATATAACTCTGTCTTACACAGAGTAGGTGCTAGTAAAATTTTTAAAAATAAGAGTGCCAGAGATCCTCTGGGTGTTGCTCATATCATTTTTTTATTTGAACAGTAAACATTCTAAGATTGAAGACGAACTTTGGATAAACATTAATCAGGAAAATGACAGTAGGTATTTAGCATCTTTTGATCTAATTTTAAAAATAAGGTAGCATGGGTCACTGACTATAAATGTGTATTAAATTAATATGATTCTCATCTTCTAATTACATCATGCTGTAGTATAAGACCTGGTTGCCAATTCAGAAAAAATATATTTTAGGCTATGGCAATAGATTATAATAGAAAAAGACCAACTCAAATTTGAAAATAGAAACAGTGAAGCTGGGTATAGGTGAACTTTTTTGAATGAGACAGATGAACATCTCTGAATGAAATATTCAAGACTATGCAGCAAACTGCCTCCCAAGGGAAATGAGGAAATTCAATTTCATGGGTAAATTAAAATCACAATAAAAAGCCCCTAAAACACATACACCGCACATATATACCCCCTAATATTTGTCTTTTACAGGAACAAGTAGATTACTAGTTAAGCTAATACATTCTTTTCAACTATATGTTTTGCTTTTTTCCCATAAATAATTGTAAACATTGTTCCAGTTATTATTCTGAACCAAAGTTGGTTTATTTTCTTTTAAATTCAGATATCCTATTTTTTTTACCTCCTTCAATCCTAAAGTAAGCGTAGACATTGTATGTTTTTGAATAATTTATCACTCTGAGAAGCTGCACAAGTGTAAGTAACAGATTTCAAACCACAATTGACAGAGAGGGCACTTTGCAATGTCAGGATCCAGAGTCCAGAATTTTAAGGAGTTTTATTCACTTCTAGAAACCTTGTTTACCTTACTTTTCCAAATAAATAAAACTATTTAAACAAATTTCCTCACTTTTGAATATTGTTAACTCTAATTAAGTCTCTTTAAAGTGAGAAAATACTGTACCAAGAAGTTTATATATCTTCTGTGATCCCACAATATTTTTATAATATAGATATTATTATGAGCTTCACGTTAAATATTAAGAAACTGAAATTAAGAGAACAAGTAAGGGACATAGCCAAGTTTACAGAGCTAAGAAATAGTAAGGCTAACATTGACAATAGACTCTAAAGCCCAACTCTAAATCACTACTCCAAATTCTTAAATGCTGCAAAGATTAAATATATAATAATTTGGATAAATCATATTAGCCTTCCCAAAAATAGTACAAGATTTTCATGAAAGATGCCCAAATGTGGCAGAAGATTATGGTGAGTTTCCATTATTTTCAGGGTAATACTTTATGACAAGAAAATTAGAAAATTTAGGAAAAAGTTACAATTGATGTGCATATTAAACTTAATGTTAATAAAGAATATTCTTTTACCTTTAGCCAGTGACAAAGGCCAAACTTTAGTGAGCCTTCTTTTTTAACTAGGCCTTAACCTTGTTTCCTGTCCTCGTGGTGCCTGCATTGCCCAAGATTAGTAAACATCCTTCTTAAGTAAGTTTGTAGAGAATTCTTCACCCTTGATATCTGATAACCTTCATATCTCATCAAATTACTCACCTCCTCAATCCCTCATGTGATATCAGATCACCCTGGCCTGCCTTTAGCAAGAATTGAATTAGGTCAGCTTAATAAGAATCTCCCTATTTTTCATGTCTTTCATTAGTAATGTTTCGTATACCAATGCCCTTCCCCACTCCTTGGCTATAAATCCATACTTGTTCTTGTTATATTCAGAGTTGAGCCTAGATCTGTACTGAGGTACCTATTGGACTATTTTCTGAATAAAATCTGGTTATGCTACCTTCCGGTCAGATTCTGATTTTTTGTTTTTAACACTGTACACATGCAAGAAAAAGAAACATGAGGAAAGGAATGTGTTTTGAATATAGTGATATTTTACACCCATTATTTTTTTTCTGCCTGTATTTAGAGGACTCTGCATAGAAGTTTTTAGAATTTATCATTTAGTTCAAATACTAGTGGGAAAGTCGTCTTTATTTGCTCTGGCAATATTTCTAAACTCAAGAGGCGAGCATGATTATTTACTTCTTCAAAATGTCAACTTTGTCAGACCGTGATGGACTGCATCTTTTAATCTACAAGTGGGCACTATCCTACGGAAAAATTATAGAATCAACCTGAAGCATGCTTTGGAACTACTCCCTCGCACCAGTACTTTGCTGCCTCGATTAGGATTTACTGTGGCTAAAATAATACCCTTATCTTCCTGTTTGCCAGCATTTATGAGCAGGAAATATCCTTGGAGAAGAAAAAAACAGTTTGATTCCCAATCCCTTCTCCACGGGATAAACCACTGTTATCATTGATAGTGTTCTTATCGGGTGAGATTCTATTGTTCAAAACTGCATTTCATGAAGCGGTCATAAAAGATTTTCGAATATCATCAAGTGAGCACTTTTAACACTAGAATAACAAAGGCAGAGTTTATCTTTCATTTGATAACAAGTCTTTTGTGATTTCTCCTGTATACGAAAGAAACCATTTACATTAACTGCAGTAAAACAACAACAACAAAATGCCACTTAGCAGCAGATATTGGATAGATGCATTTTCACCAGCAAATTTAGCCGTTTTCAAAAGAAAATGTATAACTTGCACTTTATAGTTATTGAATTTTTATCATGTATGATTAAATTATAACTTTTGCAGGCCAGGAAAACTTGGAAAGCCCCGTTTACTCCTACCAAAATGTTCTTAAAAGAAGTCCCTGTTTTTTCAGGAAGATGATTATGAAACGTATTCCATTGCCCAAGGTCCTACAACAGACAATTTCCCATTATTTTCCACAAGATCCAAAAGAGCATTCTTGATTTCAATCAGGTCAGACACCCTGTCAGAGTCCAATCTTGACACATCAATGACAAGGCATATCAGAGCAGTCAAAAGTTTACAACATGTAATAAAAACTGAACTAAAGTCAAGCATGCTATCCACGTGCAGGCCCAGGGAGACTCTAGGCAACTAGTGATTTGTAGGCGCCATTACAGCCCAAATGTTCGATGTATCTAGCCCTTGGCAGGGTGTCAAGGACAAGAAATAATCAGTCTTTAGAGATCACTTTTGAAATGCTATGCCCTCTGCTTCTTTCAGGTGAATCATTCTTTCTGTGTTGTCAGGATCCACTGATGAAAGCTGACTACTTTCAATAGCCTGTGACAAGTGACGCATCTCCCCTCCATATGTGGAGAAAATGATATTGTGCACGCAGCTTTCACCAGGCATGCTGTGAGCTACTGCACGACGTCATCCTAGAGAACTTCTTTTCCAGAGTGAAAAGTAAAACTCAGAAGGAGGTACATGATCTTGTACCCAAGAGCATAATGGTTGCCAGAATAGATAGGAGGAGATTTTAAAATTTATTTACAGATTTTTTATGTCTAGAAGCCAAATTGTGTCTTCATGCTGAATCTCTAGATTTAAAATGGTGGACTCATAATAATAATGTGGAAGTAAATGATGCAACGTGGTTGCAGTGTTTACATTGCAATATCTACTAAAGAAGCCTTCTTGTCTTAATATGACCTTTAGTCCCCTTTACAGCTAATATATGCTGCCTAAAGTGCCACTAACAAACAGACAAAGCAAACTAACAAAAAGTCTAAGACTTATGTTAGTTTAACTTCTAGATCACTATAAAAATAACTTACTACGATTCACTTGACATTTAGAATGGATGGTGTGCTGTAGAAAATGGTATTATAATTCTAGGTAATTGCAAAACTTTTCTTACTGAAAGTCCCACAGCACCCAATCCAACACACTGACAGAAATGACTGAGGATTCTGATTTGGGGACATCAAATAATGAATCTTTTATATTCTGAGTATCCTAAAGGTCTTATGTTTTAAAACAATTACACATAATTGTCCATATATCTGCAACCAGAATTGCTATTGATTTTCAAATAGCAACTTTTTTTCTCATGATAGGTTTAGATCTTTTTCACTCACTAGAATTCCAACTATTTATAAAATGAAACCACAACAGATAAAGTTTCTCTTATCAATACACTATAGCTATTATACTTATTGAGAAATACTAATTCTTAAAAACCGATCTATTTTTTAGTTAATTTAAACAGTTAGTTTCAGATTTTCCCCTCACATGTAGTCCAGATTCGCTTTTTTAGTATAATTTGAGATTAGCAATTAGATAATAAAATTAAGGATAAGGAAAAGTATAAATACTCAACATTTCCATTTTGGAGAAAACATGTCAAACACTATGCTGATGGGGAGATAGAAACCAAGAATTCAAATATAATATCGATTACTTGAGGATGAATTTAGGTTTTACCTTAACACAATTGTGTTAATGTGGGAATATGACACTTTGATTTCCTAAGTATTCTGATTTTCAAAAATTGCATAGACTAGGAAATATTGATTATGAAACTTAACTCAATAATTGAATCTTAAATATATTCTCAATAACATAAAAATATACAAGTATATAGGAATGCATAATCTCACATAAAATATTTTATGTTCTTACAATAAAAATTTAGTAAACATTTTATTAAAAATGGCAAATTGTTACACTATTGTATTCTATATAACAGAAACAAATTTTAAAGTATAAAATCAGTTTCAAAAGTAAACAATTTCCAAATTACAGACAATTCTTACTGTCGAGGAATCATTTTTAATCACTATATTTTTTAAGAATATAACATTTATTATTTCCTTTTTTTTTTTTTTAGATTGAGTCTCGCTCTGTCGCCCAGGCTGGAGTGCAGTGGCTTGATCTAGGCTCACTGCAAGCTCCGCCTCCCAGGTTCATGCCATTCTCCTGCCTCAGCCTCCTGAGTAGCTGGGACTACAGGCGCCCACCACAACGCCCGGCTAATTTTTGTATTTTTAGTAGAGACGGGGTTTCTCCATATTGGCCAGGATGGTCTTGATCTCTTGACTTCATCACACGCCCGCCTCGGCCTCCCAAAGTGCTGGGATTACAGGCATAAGCCACTGCGCCCTGCCTATTATTTCTTTCTGAATGCTGATTTTCTTTTTGGTGACTGTTTCCTTCATGTATTTTAATACTCTAGTTCAAGTGCAATAATATTGGGTCTTTATGTTACTATTTGAAATACTTGTGAACTTTAATTTTGAAATTTTTGATTGTACATGCCATTCTTTTAAAAAACTTATATAACTATACGTATATAAAAAAAATCTATATTTGTACTTAAATCTATCTATCTATTTATGTATTGATATAAAGTTATTTGTACCACAGAAATTTTCAGGAAATCTGCAAAGTATTCTTTTTGGATTAATTACTATATATATATTTATGCTGTAAAGGAGAAATTGTTTTCAAGCATCCTGTCTCCCAGGCACTTAGAAATGTTACCTACATTTTTGTTCTAGTCCCAGCCTCACAAATTTTTTTTGGGGGGGGTTGTTCCCTTTTTTCTCTTATATTTCTAAACCTCTCTGCACAAACACACACACACAGTGGGAGTGGGAATGTTCCAATTTCTCCTCTACTTTAAACACGTGTGTGTGTGTGTGTGTGCGCCTGTCTGTGTGAATTGTAAACCAAAAAACAACAACAACAACAACAACAAAACATCCTAGGCTCCCTCAACTGACTCTGGGCCAAGGGAAACCTGAACATCTGAATTCCCTACTATGCCAGGAAGGGAGGTCAGACATGCCTTGCTATATCCCCTGCTTTTTGGAGTTTAGGCACAACTGACCAGCATTAACATTAACACAGAGACCATAAGACCGACAAAACAGACTCTTTGGCAATCAGATATCAAAGTCCTACCTGACTCTGGTATGGCCTCACATGACAAATAGAGCTCCCTGATGGAAATCTAAATATTTTACCACAAAATATATTTTTTGACATATTTCAAAATGGCCCTGAAAAACCATTTTGTGAGGGAATTTTCATATCTGTAAAGAATCTCCATTGAGGCTGCTAGGCCCTTCCCAGATCTAGAAGACATTAAATAATAGTCTGACACCTTTTCAGATCTAAAAATAGACGTTTACCATCTATTCACTCTAAAGCCTGCTACCTGGAGGACTCATCCACATAACAAGAACTGTGGCTTTCACAACCCCCCTTAACTCAAGCTTTTTCTTGTACTAACTTCAAGTCTTTAATTCTTTCAACTATTGTCAGTAAGAAAATCTTTGAATGACCTATGACCTGTAAATACCACCCCCAACTTTGAGATGTCCCACTGATGTTGGTGGACTGGTTCAGGTTCTTGACTTTGCTGCACAAAACAATTTGAGGGCAAGTCCAAAGTGAAAGTAGGTAAAGAAATTTATTATTGCAAAGCGAAAATATACTCTGATAGATGGGTCAGAAGGGACTGCTCAAGAATGCGACAGTGCCATCTGGCACTGAGGCACTTCCCTTTATGGGAGATTTACATGATTATTTATTCATAAAGGGGTGGGAAGGGGTGTTGCTGTTAGGCATGTTGTGGGTGGTTTCCCAAGTCTGCATGCCTAGTGGTTGTACATGCTAGTGCATATATTGCATGTTCACTAGCATCTTAAATCTCCACCCAAGAGTGTTTGTTACTATTATAATGAGCATAATTCACCCCAAGGACACAAATAATGTGTCTCTGCACTTGTGTGAATTTGGGGATTTTTTTCTTTCTGTTCTTTTACCTCTTTGCTGCAGGATATTCTAACCACAAACCCAGGACGTGTTCTGTGCACTGTTGGATGGTTTGCCCTGTCCATCTGTTTGGCAAGTTTGTTCCCCTTTAAGAGAGGCTATGACCACCTTATCTAACCTACCTCGCCACCTTTCTGGGCTGAAGCAATGTATACCTTACATCAATTGATTTATGTCTGTGTCTGTAACTTCCGTTCTCCTAAAATGTGTAAAACCAAAAACAATAACCTGACTGTATTAGTCTGTTCTTATGCTGCTAATAAATATATACTGGAGACTGGGTAATTTATAAAGGAAAGAGGTTTAATTGGCTCACAGTTCCACATGGCTGGGGAGGCCTCATAATCATGGTGGAAGGTAAAGGGGAAGCAAGACACATCTTACATGGCAGCAGGCAAGAGAGTGTGTGCAAGGGGACTGCCCTTTTATTAAATCATCAGATCTTGTGAGACTTATTCACTACCACGAGAACAGCATGGGAAAAACCTGCTTCCATGATTCTATTACCTCACACCAGGTCCTTCCCACAACACATGGAGTTTATTAAAATTCAAGATGAGATTTGGTTGGGGACACAGCAAAACTGTATCACTGATTGACTTGGACATACACTCAGGCCCTCCTGAGACTGTTCCTCAAGCCACGGTCACTCAAATATTTTACAGAGTTTGGTTTGTGTGTGTGTGTTTGTGTGTATAAATTTCTTACAATTGCATCCTACTCATCCAAGCTGAATAATTCCCAAACAAATCAATATGTTTGAAATAAAGACTTGTGGTAGATATTTAAGTTCACAACCTATTTTAACATGAAAATTCAAATGGGAAATATTTTTTGAATGAGTTATAAAATTTATGTTACTTTGAATTCAAACATCAATTGAATATGTGTGCTTATATACAATGTTCTTCAAATTTACAAGAAACGGTTAAGAATTTTAAAACATACATCCATCAATATTTTAAAAAAGGAGAAAAATAGTATATATATATATATATATGTCAACTTACTTTGGAAAATGGTGAGCTGACAAACAAGGGCTACCTGACATGATTTAGCACATATGAAAAAGATGATACCTTCAAGAACATTGAGAACCAACAAGAATCTGACCTGGGAAAGGCTCAGGAATTTGACTAATAGCTGGCTCTAAATGAAAGTCTTTAGAAGAAGCAGTTTGATCTCTAACAGCCTGGAGCCTTTGTATCTAGGCAACTTCCTCAATCTAATAATGAGGAAAACAGGAGGTTATTCATCTGGAGATATTTAATTGGAAAGACTCTGCACTTGGATATCAGGAAAAAGTTAATAGTAAAAGTGAGGCTAAGTTTTTGTATTAGTCTGTTTTCACATCAGTGATAAAGATATACCTGAGACTGGGCAATTTACAAAAGAAAGAGGCTTAATGGACTTACAGTTCCACGTGGCTGGGAAGGCCTCACAATCATGGCAGAAGGCAAAAGGCACAACTCACATGGCAGCAGACAAGAGAAGAGAATGAGAGTCAAGCAAAAGGGGTTTCCCCTTATAAAACCATCAGATCTCATGAGACTTATTCACTACCACAAGAACAGTATGGGGGAACCGCCCCCATACTTCCATTATCTTCCACTTGGTCCCTCCCACAACATGAAGAAATTATGGGAGCTACAATTCAAGATGAGATTTAGGTGGGGAGACAGCCAAACCATTAGTTCTCAATATAGCAAATTAAGGCAGAAGTCTCTATATTTACTTTTAACCCATTGCCCCAACCAAGGGTATTGCAGAGTCTAAGAGAAAGCATTTATAGATTCCTACATTTAGGAAAAGGCCTAATAAGACTAAGTCTCTGTTACCACACTACATTGAGGACTGTTAGCGGATAAACTTTGTTTATGCACCAACTGTTCAAATCATCTTTTCAGTACCTTCCACTTAGACACAAATGTCAGATAATAATCAGCATAGATTTGAGGAAAGCCAGTTATATGAAAAAAGAGTCCAACAAAAGAAAAAGCATGGGAGCAAACAGATAAACAGAGAGCAATTTCAAGGAACCAGGGAATGTTTAGAGAATACCAGAACTTCAAAATGCCTATTAATCTTCAGAGAACCAAGAAATGACTATATACAAACGTTACCAAAAAAATAAAAATGTCAAAAGCACTACAGGAAAAGAAATTTAGACGACAAGAAAGAACTCCTGGAAATTATAAGAGGAGGGCAAAAATTCAGAAACAACCACCACCACCATCACCACCACCACCACCACTACAACGGAGCTAGAGAAAAATGGAAGATAGACTTGGGGATATGCTTCAGAATGTTAGAAAAATAACAGTGAAAGTGAGATGGATACGTAGAAAGAAAAAAGACTAACTAAAATCAATTCATAAGTTTTAACATTCAACTAATACAGAAGTGGACAAGAACAAAAATAAGGATGGGAGGAATCATCAAGATATAATATAAGGGTATTTCCTTGAACTGAAGAATAAGATATATATACATTTTTAAAGCCACACTGCGTACCTAGCACAATAAATTAAAGGAGATCCACAAAAAAACATATTTCTAATAAAACTTCAGAATTACAGAAGGTAAAATAACACTCTAATCTTGTGGGGAAAAAAAGGATTCAAAATGAGAATAACATATGACTTTTTTAATAGTATTGCACTTGAAGACAATGGAACAATGCCTTGTTAATTAATGAGGAAAAATGACTTTCAAGCTAGAATTATACATCAGCACAAACTGTTATTCAAGGGTGAGATATGTAATGTTTCAAAAAAGGTTTCAAAAGACCAGAAAAGTACCTTACTAAGAAAACCTTAACAATCCCCTTGGCTACACTAACCTTAAGACAATCTTCCTTACTCTAGATTCCTGATCTCTCTTCTGTTAGAGCATTTACTTTAGAAAAATTGTCATTGTAAATTATTTCTCTGCCCCTTTGAGGTGTAAATTTTCTAAAAAGACTTGGCAGCTTTACAGCCCAGGAATCTCTTTCTTAAGGACCTGGGAGCTATTCCTTTGAAGTGTAATTACCAAGGAAGGGAGAGCCCCTATATCCTAGTTTTCCTGGAAGGATAAGAGACTGACTTTAGCAGGTGTCTTCCTCCAAGTTGTAAAACCATCTCCTGTCATAAAATATGAGGAGTTTATTTTCATTTGAATAAAGCCAATTAACAAGCACAGATGGCCTGTGATCCACCCACTCCAGTTTTTAAAAACACGCAAGCCCTTTGCTTCAGTAGATAGAAGTTCAGATTGTTTTGTGCCCTTGTTCCCATATTACAAGAGCCTTTAATTAAGTATTTCTTGCCTGTTTAAATTTGTCCAGTTAAATTTTTGCTTTGACACAACTATAGGTTGTGCTTTAAAAGGTAGGATCCAAAGTAGCATTATGTAACAGGAAAGTGATGAATAGAATCTCCAAGCTGATCATACAAGAAATCCTGAAGAGCTGTCAGAGGTTGAGAACATCAGAATACATTGGAAGAAAAGATGGTATCTTAGTCAGCTCAGGCTGCTATAAGAAAATATCATAGACTGTGCTGCTTAGATAATTAATAGATATTTGTTTTTTACAGTTCTAGAGGCTGGGAAATTCAAGATCAGGGTGCAGTTGGTTCGTGGAGAGAGCCTGCATCCTGACCTGTAGGCAGCCACCTTCCTGCAGTGTGTTCACATGAGCTTCCCTTGGTGCATGCACATGGAGAGAGAGATATCTCCCTGACTTGCTCTTCTAATAAGATTAATAATCCTGTCATGGGCATCCCACCCTCTAATCTAACCTAATTACTTCCCAAAGGCCCCGCTTCAAATACCATCACATTGGGGGTTAGAACTTCAACGTATGAATGTGGGAAAACAACCACTAAATTCATAACACATCTAAAATTCAAGAAGAAAAAGCACAGAAATGGAACTAGTAAATTTGTAGATAACTTTCATCATATAGAAAGAAGACATACAATTCTATCATAGAATTTTGTCCTGAATTTGTGTTAGAATATAAACATAATTTAACCCAAGAAGTATCTGGACAATTATTAACTCTATTGAAAATAATAAGAAAGGGAAGAAAAACATGACACCCTACTTGTCTTCCTTCTGAATAATACTTCCATAGTCATCATATTATAAATCTTAAATAAAGGTTGATGGGACCAATATTACCATACAATTATGTTGGAAGGAAGGGGAGCAGAGAATGTACTTAAGAGTGATTAAGCACAAGAAAGCGAAATCTTCAACTGCTCTGTTAAGTGTATGAATTTGTGTCTAAAGCGTAAATGGAAAAATACTACAAACAATGGTTCAAACAGTTGAAGAAGTTGATTATCAGTTCAGAGATTTGGAGTAAAGTGGGTAAGGCTAGAAAATAATTACTTTTCCTTGTAGCCTGAAAATTTTATTCAACTTTTTAAAAGTAAAGTATGTAAAATTGAAATATAATAAAAGCAGAGTCTATAAGAGAAAGAAACACATATGCTTGCTGAAAATGGACATGAAGAAAAAAATGATAAAAGATAAGAGGAGGGAGCAAAAGGAAGAAAAGGAAAAGAATGAAAAACTTGCCATGCCATCTTCATTCTCAGCAATTAACCTTACCTTTTACCTTAACAGAGAAATTAGACAAGATCAGATCTCATCTCTCTTTCTCACTCTTAAAGTCTATATCTTCAAATATATCCGAATTTTCACCTATGCATTCTCCTCTTCTCTTTTTGCAGGAATGTTTGGAAACTGGAATTTTTGCTTCACTTCCTGGTGGTCTCTGTAAAGTTTCTAGCTAAAGTAGTGAGTGCCAAGGCCAGTTCAACACTGTTGATTGTGTGAAACCTGCTAGTGTCCAGCAACATGTAATGAAACACTTCTAGCCCAGCTGTTGGAAAAGCTATTAGAAAGATTTCTACAGGTGTTTCTATTATTTAAGCAACTTCCCATGTTGTAAATGTTTTCCAATTCATGCAATCCAATATCAACCTTCACCTCTGCTATGAAGTGATGCTGCCAAAGAGAAAAATGGGACAGCTTTTGATTTTGCACATGAAGATACTATATTCTTGAGGGTATCTGCCATATTTTATATATATAGTCAGCAAATCTTGGAGGTGTCTTAGTCCAATAATTATTTTGGTATCAGGGATACTTTATTGTTCATAATCATTCCTTGTAAGAAATCCATTTTCTGGATCTGATCCCTTTAATTCTATGGATCAAACTCAGATTTATTTTTAATCTGTCCATTTTCACTGTTTCTTTTCTCTTAACATGCATATATGCTCAAGTTTCTCCCAAGATAAAACACGGCATTTCCATACTTTCTACTAGAAATTTTCCTTTCATCAATAAATCCTGCATATTTTACTTTATTAATATATCTTCATTCTCTCCTCCCACCCATATCCTTATCACTACTACCCCTTCCTACTAATCATTGTAGTTACTGCATTAATCCCTGGTTGTTTCCTTGATCAATTATTTTCCTCCAGCTCTATTTCACAAATATCTCTCCTTTGAGCTTCAAACTCACATATCCAACTATTAATTAGGACATATTCACTGAAACTCACTGTGTCCAATCCTGAAATCAGTTCTCCCTCTTATGACTGTTCTTTCTTTTTGCCCAAAATCACTGCATGTACTTGTCCCAAAAGATTTCTGATTGCTATGACACATTGTTGTCTAAACAGATTTCTGCTTATTTTTTATTTTATTTCCTCTTATACTCCCTAGACAGTCACATTCTCTTTAACAGTCACCAAATTTTAAAAATTCTATTTTGAAAATGTCTCGCAAGTCTAGTCACATTTCTCAATTCCCACTGCCACTCTCCTTATTTAGATAATGGTTATTTCCATCTGGATTTCCAAAACAATCTCACAGCTGATATTTCTGCAATCAGATTTAATCCTCATCTGCCCAATCTTCTCAGAAGAATACAATATATTTGTAGGGATTTTTATAAACTGTATATATGATTCTATGCTCTCCTGGTTCAAGACCATCAATGACTCCCTGTTGCCCTAAGAGTAAAGTTCTAACATCCTTAACTTGGCTTATAAACACCTTAATATCCAGCTCCTATGTTCCTCATTAGCTTAGTCTCTTGATTTCCCACTTCAATATTCCTTCTTAAAACAATTATTTTTGTCATGCAAGTGCGAAGTATTCTTCTTCTCTTCTGGACCTTTGCGCACCTTTCATTTTGCTTGAAATACACTCTCTCTTTGCAAATTATTGTCTTCAACATTCCTCAGGTTTGAGTTAGAGAATCTAACTACATTAAGGAGGGTGTGGACGTTAATAATATGTAATTTTAACTTTAACTAAGTTAAAATATTAATTTTTGTAGGCAAAACACAATATGCATATCTTTTAAAACTTAGGAAATTTTAAGCATATTCTACATTTCTCTTCAGTTCTGCAGACACTTGTCATTTGTACTGTGCTTTTTCCTCATCCATTTTTCAGCTTATTTTAAACTCTTGAACATGCTTTTGAAGTGCAATTCCATGTCTACAGCTAAGCAATTCATTGTTAGATAAGCTACTCATAATTGACTTAATCTTATCACAAATTCTAGCTTAAAATAATATCTAAAGGGGCTCTTCAAAGTTATGAGTTTTGCAGCAGTGTGAACCTTTGCACAAATGTACCCATTTAATGCTGATGGATTTTATAACATTGTTTTGATGAGAAATCATATACTTACATTTAGCTTGTTTTCTGGACATTCAAAATGCAGTATGAATGGGTTTTTAAATTTAAATCAAAAACCATACTTTGTTTTTTCTTTAAAGCATACTCATTTTATTGATTTCTACTTTTATTACAGAATTGTTTTCCTCTACAAGTAGCTAACACTGCATCAAAAGTATATATTGCTCTGAGACCAAATTTACCTGGTTTTATATACAATGTCACACACAAAGCCTTGTTTTTTATCCCTCTCTATTGTCTTCCATTTTCTTACTATACCTACTGCTGTGAGGAAGAGTCAGCTCACAGCCTGATTCAGTGAGTCTTAGCAATGTGAAGCAACATATTCAGGTTTGCATTGTGGGCATATTTATGTAATTTTCCTACCCGAAATTATGTGATATACCTGCTGCTAAAATCAGAGCATTCTTTGAAGAGAAGCAATGCCTTAGTGGAAAAAAAAAACAAAACCGGAAATCATTGTTTTAATCTTCAGTTATTAAACATTGAAAGATTCTTTTTAAATTTCCCCTAAGTTTGCATTTTGAAAGATATTTTAAACTTTTACCATACTGTACTATATCGTGTAGAGAGCAATTGCGAAATATAAAATACTTGAATTCTGGCAAGATCGGCTTACTGCTTCTCCAGTGAAGGGAAAACCTAAGTAGAAGAAAGTATATATAAATATTCTTATGTTTCATAGATCGGAGATAATCAATAATTACCAATAACTACCAGACAATATGATGTATTGTTTTATTTAAAAATAATAAATTTTTATTTATAACTAAATTTATTTATAGTTACAATTGATTGATCATTTCCTAGGATAATTTGATTTTGTCAATAAGAAGGGTGAGGTATTTTATTGATACTACATGAGCTTCTTTGCAGCTGACGTCTCTGCCTGCTTAAAATCCATAGAATTTTGAGGGCCCAATTTTTAAGTCTCTAACAAACTATTATTTTAGTCTAGGTCTATGGTTAGTTTGTCTGTATAATTTCTCAAACAGATTAAAAATCTGTAAAACTAAAATCTCTCTTTTTGAGAGATTATATGGACACACTGTTAATTACTTTTCTGTCTATTTGATTTCAGTGAGACTCTTGACAATAGACACACTAAAAACTATTTCTGAACTGAGAAATTAGAGAACAAGAAGTACTAAGATTATTGCTGGATTTAATTGGCGTAACTTAAGCCTACCATGCTTCCACAAAAAAGAAATGCCTTTGTTTTTTCTCTTATCCCTAAACCATACTTTTCCAACTGAAAGAATTTTCTGGGTACATTGCAGCCATTAAAAGGTTTTAAAATGGGTGCTATAACTATATCCTGATATTGACCCTTAAATCAGCATTTTATGTGAGGCCTTTTAAAAAATTACTATTTAACAACTTTGTTAGTTTTGTATATTATAAGGAGATGAGGACCAGCTAAACTTCCAGCCCAGAAAGCCATCCAACTCTGTGTTCTCTCTACTTTCTTTAAAGTCTGCTTACAAAACAGCCTGTTCTTTTCTGAGCTCATCTCTCTTACATTATCCTGGCAAGTTCAACCAACAACAAAAAAAAACTAAAATTATTTTAAAACCTTTTAAAGATAAAGCTTATTAGGTACACTATCTCCCTCTTAAGGTATCATAGATAATATTTTTTCTAAATATTTTCACCACTGCATGACATGTGTTACTATTCTTCCAGCCTCTAATAAGAATTTTCTTGCCACCATATACTTAACCTCAAACCCAGAGTCACATATTTTATTTAGGTTGTCTGTTAAGGAAGCACCCTGATCCAGTACTCATTTTTCTAATAGTCATGATTGGCCTGATTATTCTGTGTAAAAGAGCAACTTGGAAATCTTAGAGTCTTAACACAGTGATGTCTGTGTCTTCTTGTTTATGAGATGTGTTACAGCATGTGTCACCACAGGGGCTCTTTTTCAGGCTAATAGAGATTCCATTTTTAACCCATTAGCAGAGTCAAGAAAAATGGGAGAGCATGGTAAACAAAGCATTAACTCTTAAAACTTAAGCTGCAAATCACACAGGACATTTTTTGCTCTCATTTTTTTGAGCAAAGCAAGTAACATAATGTCCTCGGTTAAATAGTATCTGCCCAAAATGTATGCCCACCTGGCATATCAGAATGTGTGACCTTATTTGAAAATAGGACTTTTCCAGATGTAATTAGCTAAGGTGAGGTCATATTGGATTAGGGTAGCCCCTAAATCCAATGACTGACATTCTTATAAATAGGCTACATGAAGACACACAGATACAGACATGAAGAGAAGGAGAAAACAGGGGCAGACAGTGTAGTGACGCAACTACAAGCCAAGGAACACCAAGGATTGCCAGCAGCGAACAGAAGATAGGAGAAAGGCATGGGATAGTTTCTCCTTCAGAGTCTCTAGAAAGAACAAAACCCAATGACTCCATGATTTCAGACTTCTGGCCTCCCAAACGGTGACAGAATAAATTTATGATGATTTCAGACACCCAGTTTATGATAAATCATTATGGCAGCCCTAGGTAATTAATACACAGGGGATGCTTTAATTCAAGAGTTTGCAGATGTATAATCTTCCTGTAGACAGGACATTGAATATAACACAAGTTCCAAACATAGATTATTTCCATGCAAATGTGACTGCACTTACAAGAATTTTAAAACTAAGTTTTCAAATTTAGTTTAGGCCTTTATTTTGCAGTGATGTTCTTAACACCTCTTGGTCCCTTAGTACAGAGAAAACTGAATTAAGCCCAATAGATCCAAAGTTATGGCCTATTAGACATAAATAAATGGAGTTCACAAAGCAAAATGACAAAACATTTTGGTTTTGGTGTTTCTTTTTTTTTTTTTTTAACATAGTACACTAAATGTCTTTGTTCATTTGGGGTGCTCTAACAAAATATTTTAGACTGGGTTGCCTACAAACAACAAAAATATATTTCTCACAATTTTGGAAGCTGTGAAGTTCAAGATCAAGGTGCCAACAAATATGGTACTTAGTGAGGGCCCACTTCCTCACAGATGGCTCCTTCCTCACTAGGGTGGAAGGAGCAAGGGCACTCTCTGTGGTCTTTTTGATAAAGACATTAATTTCATTCATGAAAGTGCCATTCTCATTAACTAATCACCCCCCAAATTCCCATTTGCATGTTCCATCATATTGGGCATTAAGGATTAAGATATGAATTGTGGGGATGACACAGACATTTAGACTATAGCACCAAGCATTCTGAGAGTAAATAAACTCAACAAATAAGTTTGATTTTAACCCTTTTATTCTATGTGTTATTAAGAAGTTAGATATGAAAACTAAATTTTCTGTAGTTTTGTTTCTGAATTATATTTTAAATTCTTTTAAAAATATTTTTCTAATACGTGTTTATTTTTACAATACTTATTCTTATTAAAATATTAGTATCTAATATTTTTCTGTAAAAAGACAATATAAAAGATATTGGTGACCTCAAACCCTAAAGATGGAGAAATCAATACCAATAAGAATTTTAGCAGAGTTTAAATAACCAACTTTAATCAGACTTTAATTCTCTCTGTTAGTAGATCAAAAGCTATTATTTTAGGGGAAAAGTATCCTATGAGCATTATTTCTTTGGAACAGAAATAAAGTGAGTATAGTATCATCCAGTGTTCAAACTTCACTTGGTAAAGTACTGTATTGGGAAATCAGTACATTTATCCGTCATTTTCCTATTAGTTGGGATTTATATTACTTACCACGATGGAAGTGGTGCTTAGAAAATGCAATTATGGAATGTAATGTTCCCCATTAAGGTCGGTATCCAGTATACAACCTAGCAAATCAGTCACATTAATCCTGAAGGGCCAGTTCTGCCATATAGACCTTGATACTAGGAAGTCAGCAAGAAAGGCTTCAGTGATAGAGTGAGGATAATTTCTTTTTAACTTGTCTGCAGATAGGGAAGAGTAAAAGAATAATGCACTGGGGTGTAGCCTAGAAGATGAGACTGTTCAAGGAAAAAACAAATGGTAGTGCATATATGAAAACAGTATTTTGCTAAAAAAAAAAAAGCTTTAGCAAAAAAAAAAATTTGACTCATATGCTGGGAAATATTTTAAGGCAATAATCAGAATTTGGGAGGGCAAGTACATTTGTGATACAAATAAAGGTTATCCAAAGTCTATGCAGTAGATCCACGGAATGTTATATTTGTGAATCACAAAGAGAAATGAGAGTTTCGGGACATGGAATAGAAGGATCTTAAGGTCATTGATGAAAATGACTTAGAGATGGAATACAGAACTGCAATGAGGGGCTGAAGGGAAAAAAAGAAAAACACATTACCAAACGATGGATAGAGGTAGCTCTAATGCTCTCTTCACTAGTGTTCATTCTGTAGACAGGCTGTGATTTCCATTTCAGGATGAGCCATTGGCTTTGGTTCCCATTGGCTTGAGGTGCACTTGGTAACACCTGCTCTCCCTTCAGCTTGTGTGCCAAGAGACGCTCAGCTGGGTTAGGCTTGATTAGACTAAATTTCAGTAAACAAGATAAGATTTGGGGGAAAATTTGTGTAAGATATTTTTGAGGGAGAAGTAGAGATCAAATACCCTGGATAAATGAAGAATGACAGAACTTTGAAACACCATCTTAGGTACAAATTGTTTTAAGAAGTATTGGCCCCCATGATTTGCTTCACTGAACAGACGGCATTGATAATGATTTTCATACATAAAATTATGTTTTATTCAGTTCTTGAACTAGGGTGATGGATTGGAGAGCACAGAGAATCCCATTTCCAGAAAATCAAAGTTGATACAAGGAGACTTAGTAACTGAAGAGAGAAACAGAAATAGGAGTCAAATATTATGTGCAGGTTTCTGGTTTGGGTAGTTGAATCCATGTGATTTTTTGTTTTTTTTTGTTTGTTTGTTTGTTTGTTTTGTTTTTTGAGACAGAGTCTCGTTCTTTCACCCAGGCCGGAGTGCAGTGGTGCTATCTTGGCTCACTGCAAGCTCTGCCTCCCGGATTCACGCCATTCTCCTGCCTCAGCCTCCCGAGTAGCTGGGACTACAGGCGCCCGCCACCGTGCCTGGCTAATTTTTTGTATTTTTAGCAGAGACAGGGTTTCACCGTGTTAGCCAGGATAGTCTTGATCTCCAGACCTCGTGATCCCCCCGCCTCGGCCTCCCAAAGTGCTGGGATTACAGGCGTGAGCCACCGCGCCCGGCCTGAATCCATGTGATTTTTGTAAGCAACGTAAGGTGGTAGAAGATAAGAAACACAGGAGTTGAAAGGTTTTGTTTGGGTGAAGGGTAGTGTAGAAAATGAGTTAGTTTGTATATAATAATTCTGAACTAGCAGATAATAACTGGGTAAATTACCCAGAGAAGTGGGAAAAAAATCTTGTGTTGACCCTGGAGTAACATCAGGAATTACATAATAGATAGAGGTAAAGAATATGTCAAAGAAATCTAAGTAGAAATGTCCAAAGACAGACAGAGAGAGAGAAAGAGAAGAAGAGAGAGAGAGAGGAGGGGGTGGGGAGAAAGAGAGTGAGGAACAAGAGAGGAAGAGGATAGAGGGAGAAGAAGATTATTATGTAATGAAAACCAAAGGCAAAGGATTTCAGGACTTAGAGATGGGTCAATAACACCAAATGCTTCCAAAGTTTAAATAAGGTAAAGACACTTCAATATTTAATGAATGTAGCAATAAAGAGATAATTATAATTTCCCACATCCAGTTTAATTAAAGTGACAGTGAAAGAACCTAGACTGTAGCCGATTGTAGAGTGAATAGAAGTTGAGGAAATGAGGATGGCGTTTGAAACAAATGTTTTTAATAAAATTTGCCTGTGACAGGAAGAACAAAACTAGGGCAGTAGCTAGTAGCCATATGGGAATATGTGTTCAAGGAAGGCATTGGGAGGTTTTCAAGATGAGGAGTCAAACACTTAAATGCTGACAAAATGGAACTAGCATTTGCAACACAGAAGAGAGGGGATGAGAGACAGCAATAAAGAATAATTAGAAGTCTCTAAGAAGATGTGAGGGGAGGGAAAGTAAAGCTCACTGAAGAATTTACCAACAGAATCCACCTATTCCTGTGTTATAGTTGGCATTTCTTTTCTTTTGCTTCTTCTTTTTTTTTTTTTTTCCTGATCGCAGAAGTCTGGAACACAGAGGTGAATAGCTTGATAAAGATATCAAAAGCTATCCTGCTATGCGTGATGTACTAGTCATCTTGATCACCTTAATATGAAGATGCTATCTTTAAGAAAATTATTGCTTATTTTTGTTATTTTTCTTATTTTTCTAAGTGTATTTTATTCACTAAGACCTTTTCACAAACCTACACATGTAAATAACCCAGTCAGACTGATCTTATGTTAGCACCTTAGTATGAGTTTTATCAGCTCTCTGTCCCAGTGCAATGTAGGATGTCCACATTATGTGGTTTGGTGTAGGTCAGTATGCTCTTCAATTCTTTTTTCGTGTGTTTACTTTTTTCAAAGCTTTCAAAGTAGCTCATTTAGGAATGAATATTTTAAAACTCCAATGTTTTAGTACATCTACTCAGTAAATTAACACTATTAAAAAAAGCCAGTATACATTTTAGTTATTTATCAGTTGAGTCATAATAACAAAGGATGTCTATTGTTCTTGTGGAAGTCACATGATGTGAAATGTGGGTATGAGGTGGTCTTCAAGTGATAACAGTTACTAAAATCCATAGAGATTATTTGATGTGGACATTCCAGGCATCAGAATCCATCGGCCCTGGCACAGAATGAGTTCATTCAGTCAAGGCATTTGAATTTGGGTTTTGAGAGCCATCTTTATCCTAGTATGGGAATAGTAGGTCTTGGAATAGTAGGTCATGCTCTTTTACATTTTCTTACTTTAACAAATATGCTTACCCATTTCAGCTCTTATTTGAATGTATGTCAAAAGAAAAATAATCATTTGTGTTGTGGAAAATACAGGTGAATTGAACCTGATGACCTCTAGAGATTCATTCAGCTTCTGATTTTTTATTTTATTATTTTATTTATTTATTTATTTATTTATTTATTTATTTATTTATTGAGACGGAGTCTCACTCTGTCGCCCAGGCTGGAGTGCAGTGGCGTGATCTCGGCTCACTGCAAGCTCCACCTCCCGGGTTCACGCCATTCTCCTGCCTCAGCCTCCTGAGTACCTGGGACTGCAGGCGCCCGCCACCACGCCTGGCTAATTTTTTTTTGTAATTTTAGTAGAGACAGGGTTTCACCGTGTTAGCCAGGATGGTCTCGATCTCCTGACCTTGTGATCCCCCCATCTCGGCCTCCCAAAGTGCTGGGATTATAGGCGTGAGCCACCATGCCCAGCCTGATTTTTTATTTCAAAGTGTAACTGTCAGGGTCTAATTAAGAAACCAAAAAACAATGCAAGTGTCTACAATATAGGGAATTTAATTTGGAGAATTAGTTTCATAGGTGAAAGAAAGAGCATCTGACTGTTGGAGATCAAAAGGTGGTAACTCAGCATCTGAGAGTCAATCAAGGGACAGGACGGTAACCCAGAGAACAGCAACAGCAGAAAACCACTACTACCTTAAGCTCAAAGATTATAAAACAGGGGGAGCCCACTGTCCAAAGTCATTCAAAGTAACCTGGTAGCCTGAAAAGCTGCACAGAGGTAGCCACAATCAAGAGGAGTTACAAGGGCAGAGCTTGCTGGAGAAACCACCCAAGACAAAGAGAGAGAAAGGGTTAACCTAGTTTCTTTCCCCCTTCCCCATAAAGCACCATCAGTATTTCCCATTGGCTGACCTGAGCCCAAGGTAACATAATACAAGAGCCCTGCTGTGATACCAGAAAGTGGGAGAGAGTCTGAGGAGCCAGGATTGGCTCAGAAATAAAATACTTTTTTGAGAGATAAAGACAACAATTACAAAGTCTCTGGAGCATAAAATGAAAATCACAGATGTCATTGTCATCATTATTATGTTATCCTTGAGCCAAGTATTGTTGACTTGTTTACCTCATTTCCCTATCCAGTCTGTGCCAGATTGTGTTGGTCACAGATGTCTTTATTTCCAATCTCTCAATCATGGTTAATGATTTGAAATTTCAGTGAAGACTTCTGTTGGTCAAACTCTTACTTATTTAGCTCTTCCTGGAAATAAGAAACCCAATTATCTCTTTTCTGGTGATTCAATTATATAAAAGTAACTAATTTATCTTCCAAAAAGATCAGGCTATATCTTGTAGGATTTACAAAGAGGTATTTTTTAGTTCTGACACAATCTCATTCTCTAAATTTGGACTACAGTATGCTTTAAAATAATGTGTCCACCCTTCTATGTTTTAAGCAATAATTTATCACTAGTTTATTGTATTTACAAATATTTCTACACTTTCTCTTCTTCTTTTTTGATGCTTCAAAATTTTTCATCATTTTCATTTTGTTGCTGTGAGAACTTCTTTTAGCCTTTTCTAAAAGTTAGATCTGCTAGTGAGAAATTATTTTATTAGTTTTCCATCTTCTGAGAATGCCACTATTTTCCATTCATTTCTAAAGAATTGTTTCCCAGGTATCAAATTCGCTGTTGACAGTTCTTTCAGGACTTGAGAGATGTTATGGCACACCCTTATGGACCCCTTGGTTTCAGATGAGAAATCTCCTATTATTTGAATAGCTATCCCTTTATAAGTAATTTTTCCCTGGCTTCTTTCAAGATTATTCCATAATTTTTTGTTTTCCATAGTATGTTTATGATGTGTCTTTGTATAGATTTTGCTTAGCTTCTTGAATATGTGGGCTTATGCCTTTCCACAAATTTGGGAAGTTTCAGTTTTTATTCCTTTGCATACATTTAGCTCCACTCTCTCCTCTCCTTCTAGAATTCTGATGATAATAATGACGGATATTTTGCTATTGTCCACGGGTCCCTGAGGCCTGTGGTTTCTGTTTGTTTGGTTTTAGTCTATTTTCTCCCATTTGTTCAGGTTGGGTAAATTCTATTCATCTGTCCTCAAGTTTACATATTCTATCTTCTATTATCTTCACTCTAATACTGCCCAGGTGCCTTGTTGTGGCAGGATATCATTGCTGTTGTCTGGTGCCCCCTAGTTATGCAGTGTCTCTAGATGAAGTCCCACTGTGGAATGAGAACCCTTTCCCTGGCCTCTTAGGGTCAGCATGGCATTTGGATCAATGATTCTCCCTGTTAGTTTTGTAGAGTAACCTTGTATTTTTGAGTCCTGCCAAGGAATGAGCTTACCTGATCCACCATTGGTTGCTTGATCAGGAGGTGGAAAGCATGGGGCTTGGGTTGTCTTCTGTTGGATAGGGTTTTGTAAGAGTTGTGCTTCTACATCATTCCTCCAGTCCTGGACTCCCTACCCTTTTTCTTCCTCTTACTAACTATACTTATCCTTGGTTTTCTGTTAAGTCATTTAAGGAATTTAAGGAATTTATAGTTGTACTTGGAGGGAAGGGGCAAGCAGAAAAAAATTCTGCACCACCTTGTCTCTACTGGAAGTACTTTGTCTCTAATTAAAACCAGTGGTTCCCTACTGTAAGCAATTTTGCTCTCATACACAGTTGGCAATGTCTGTAGACATTCCTGATTGTACAACTTAGGGGCGTACTACCAGTATCTAGAAAATAGAGGCCAGAAGTGCTGCTAAGCATTGCACAATGCACAGGAGAGTCTCAAGCAAGACAGAATTATTCAGTCCAAATGTCAATAGTGCCAAGGTTGAGATAATTTAAACATTCTCCTTAGGATTAAAAAAAAAATGGCTACTTTTCAAATCTGCTGTAAGGGACATTGTCATCACTTTTTTCCTTTCTCATCATAACCACTAGTTCTGATGAAGAACTCTAGCTTTCTAAATGCAAAGAGCCTTTCTAAATATATGCCTGAGGATTTGCCATTTTTAATTTTTAAAAATGTCATTTTCTTTAATTTGATGCATTTATAAATCAAAAGGGTAGTTATTTTATCTCATGGCCTTGATACTATCTACATTACACTCAGTCAAGAAAATTTTTTAAAAGCTACTAACATTTGCTCCTCCCATCACATTTCACACAATTATATGCACAAAATGGTTTGGGGCTTTGGGCTTCATTAACATATCTTTTCTTTTGCATGCTAAATATAATTTGGCATACACTTTAACATTTATTATTCTAGTATCATTTGATGTTCTAATTTACTCTCTGTGCCAGCATCTACTTTACCACTAATTTTTTTTAAGAGTTGAGTAAAGATCCTGGAAACGTTGCTTTTTTTAAACACTGCTACAGATTTGGGAACTCCCAGAATCAAAGAACAACTTAGTGTGGCAGCTCATTACTGAACTGTGAGCTCTGGATATATAGAGTTACTGCCAAGAAATATTTGCACTTTATAGTCATAGACTTTATTCTTCCATCAATGAGATCTAAAATGGACTACCTGAATGTGGCTTACGCTTCTTGATGATCTTCCTTTGTACAGAGGAATCTTTGTCAATCTCACTGTAACTCTGCCCTTTAGGAGTGGTATGCTGGGGCCAATAAGCAGGCAGGTATTGCTTCTGAATAAACAGCTCATCAAAAGTCTGAGAACAGAAGGTTTCAAATGTATCAAAGCAATTGGCATAGTTGTTCACTTGTTAATTAGGAACACAAAGGCACTTTCATCAAGCTGCCCAGACCAGGGGGCCATCTGCATGACAGCATTGCGTCTCTGATGATAGTGCAAATAGAGCTTAGCCAGAACTCTCCAGGGAAGGCTTGCTGACCTTCCTGCTTTAAAATATATATAAAGCATATGGATGAAATAAAAAAATTGAATATAATCATAGAATAAGCCCCTTTTTTTAGTGTTTAGTCTTCTGAAGAATTTCCTAGGGACTTGTGTCCTATGTATGTTAGTTTTGATAATTGCCTTCTTTTACTGCTACATATTTTAGTAATAGTTGTAATTATTCCCAGTCTATGCGTGTCAAGGTACTTCTAATGCAATAACACACAATGAATTACAATTGCTTTTTAAGTCTTCTGTCTCGTCCATTGTGTGTAAGCTTTGTGAAGGGAGGAGCCATGTCTACCTTGTTTAATTTTATGTTGCCGCTACCTAGTAGAGTTCTAGAAAATAGTGAAATAAGGTGATGTTAGAAAGGATGTTTCATTTTTTTTGGCCGGGCGCGGTGGCTCACACCTGTAATCCCAGCACTTTGGGAGGCCAAGACAGGTGGATCACGAGGTCAGGAGTTCAAGACCAGCCTAGCCAAGATGCTGAAACCCTGTCTCTACTAAAAACACAAAAATTAACCCGGCATCATGGCACGTGCCTGTAATCCCAGCTACTCCAGAGGCTAAGGCAGGAGAATTGCTTGAACCCGGGCAGCAGAGGTTGCAGTGAGCCAAGATTGCGCCACTGCACCCCAGCCTGGGTGACTCCAGAGCAAGACTACGTCTCAAAAAATAAAATAAAAATAAATAAATAAATAAATATGTATGTGTATATATATATATAAAAAGAAAAGATGTTTCATTTTAAAAAAAATGTGGTTTGCTCTGACTTCATATATCTGCATTTTTCTTTGTAAACAAGCATATTCGTATCTCAAATTTTGTTGTATAACAATATTTTTGCCCCACAACACTCTCATATCTGAATGAGGTATAATGAGGTATATCTGAAAGCTATTGAAATGCCTTCTCTACAGCACTGATATGAAATTTTCAATATCACTTATCTCTGTTAATTCTATCCTCTTTTTAAAATATCTAAATTGCTGCCACCATAAACATCAGATGTTTACGCCAGAAAGATGCTGTATGAAGCCACTGCGTGTTTACTTTCCTTGTTGACAGTTCAATCACTGATAATGAATGAAATCTCATTCCTAGGACTCTTCCAGCTCACTGATATGTTTTCAAGAGACAAACAGAAGCAATGCACATGGATCGTCACCTATTATTTGGGTAACCTTTGTGCTTTTTTTGGTAGAAGTAGATGCATCTTCTCTGTGTCTTCACAGTTTTTAATATTTAAATTATAGTCCTATGTATTTGTATGCCTATTTATCCAAATATATTTAGCTGACCCTTCAACAATGGGTTGGAACTGCACGGGCTCAATTATTCATAGATTTTTTTTCCATAGATACAGTTGGTCGACCATATGGAGTTCTACATCTGCAACCAAATATTGGATCTAAAATATAGTATTTTCTGGGCAGGTGTGGTGGCTCACGTCTGTAACCCCAGGACTTTGGGAGGCCAAGACCAGAGGATCTGGATAATTTGTGGCCAGGTGTTCTAGACCAGCTGGGCAACAACATAGTATGACCAGTCTCTATAAAACACATTTAAACATTCTTCTTGTAGAGATCTTTCACTTCCTTGGTTAGATAAATTGCTAGGTTTTTTTTTTTTTTTTTTTTGCAGCTACTGTAAAAGGAAATGAGTTGTTGATTTGATTTATAACTTGGTTGTTTTCATGTATACCAGTGCTATTAATTTGTGCAGATTGACTTTGTAGACTAAGACCTTAGTGAATTCATTTATCTAATCTAGTAGTATTTTGGATGAGTACTCAGGGTTTTCTAGGTGTAGGATTATATTATTGGCACACAGTGGTAGGATAAATTTCACTTTTCCAATTTGGATGCCCTTTATTTCTTTCTCTTGCCTGATTCCTCTGGATAGGACTTCCAGTGCTATGTCAATAGATGTGGTGAAAGTGAGCATCCTTGTCTTGTTTCAGTTCTCAGGGGGAATGCTTCCAGCATTTGCTCATTCAGTATGTTTGCTGTGGGTTCATCATATACAGCTTTTATTATTTTGAGGTATGTCCTTTCTATGCCTAGTTTGTTGAGGGTTTTTTATAATAAAAGATGCTGGATTTTATTGAATGCTTTTTCTACATCTATTGAGATTATCATATGGTTTTTAAAAATCATAGATAGCACAAACAAATGGAAACACATCTCATACTCATGGATTGGAAAAATTAATATAATGAAAATGACCATACTGCCCAAATCAATCTACAGATTCAATGCAATTCCCATCCAAATACCAACATCATTTTTCACAGAATTAGAAAATACAATTCTAAAATTCATGTGAAACAAACAAAAAAAAGCCCACATAGCCAAAGCAAGACTAAGCAAAAAGAACAAATCTGGAGGGATCACATTACCTGACTTCAAACTATACTACAAGGCTACAGAAACCAAAACAGCATGGTACTGGTACAAAACAGACACATAAACCAATGGAACAGAATAGAGAGCCAATAAATAAATCCCAAATATTTACAGCCAACTGATTTTTGACAAAACATACAAAAACATAAATTGGGGAAAGGACATCCTACTTAATAAATGGTGCTGGGAAAACTGGCAAGCCACATGAAGAAGAATAAAACTGGAATAAACTTTGTACAAAAATCACCGCAAGGTAGATCAAAGGCTCAAATCTAAAAGCTGGAACTTTAAAAATTCTAGAAGAAAACCTGGAAAAACTCATCTGGACACTGCCTAGGAAAAGTATTCATGACTAGGACCCCAAAAGCAAATGAAACAAAAATAAATATAAATAAATGGGACCTAATTAAACTAAAAAGCTTCTGTGCAACAAAAGAAATAATTAGCAGAGTAAACACACAACCCCCAGAGTGGAAGAAAATATTTGCAAACTATGCGTTCAACAAAGGACATATATCCAGAATCTACAAGGAGCTCAAATCAGGAAAAAAAAAACAAAAAAAAAACCATCAAAATGAGGGCAAATGACATGAATATACATTTTTCTAAAGAAGATATACAAATGACCAACAAACATATGAAAAATAATACTCAACATTACTAATCATCAGGGACATGCAAATTAAAACCATAATGAGATACCACCTTACCTGTGCAAGAATGGCCATTATTAAAAAGATAATGTTATAAAAACAATATATGTCAGCATGGATGTGGTGAAAAGGGAACACTTATACACTGCTGGTGGGAATATAAATTTGTACAACCTGTATGGAAAACAGTATGGAGATTTCCTAAAGCACTAAAAGTTGACCTACGATTCAATGCAGCAATTTCAGTACTGGCTATCTATCCAAAGGAAAAGAAGTCATTATATCAAAGAGACACCGGCACACATATGTGTATAGCAGCACAATTTACAATTGCAAAGATATACAACCAACCTAAATGCTCATCAAACAACTAGTGGATAAAGAAAATGTGAGAGATATATATATATAATATACATACACACACTTTATGGAATACTACTCAGCTATTAAAAAGATTGAAATAATGTGTTTTGCATCAACTTGGATGAAGCTGCAGGCCATTATTTTAAGTGAAGTAACTCAGGAATTTTAAGTGAAGTAACCGAAAACCAAATACTGTATGTTCTCATTTACAAGTAGGAGCTAAGCCATGGGTATGCAAAGGCATACAGGATGATTTAGTGGCCTTTGGAGGCTCAGAAGGGAGAGGGAGTGAGGAAGATGAAGGATAAAAAAACTACATATTGGATACAATGTACACTAATTGGGTGATAGGAACACTAATATCTCAGACTTCACCACTATGCGATTAATCCATGTAACCAAAAACCACTTGTACTGCAGAAACTATTGAAATAAATATTAGGAAAAAATTAAAAATTGTCTGGACATCATGGTGTGTGCTGTAGTCCTAGCTACTTGGAAGGCTAAGGTGGGAGGATCATTTGAACCCAGGAGTTGCTGGCTGTAGTGAGCTGTGATCACACCGCTGCACTCCAGCCTGAGAGACAGAGAGGGATCCTATATCTAAAAAAAAAAAAAAAAAGAAGAAGAAAGAAAAAAAAGGTAAACATAGTATTTTCAGAATGTGAACTTCATGGATAAGAAGGGCCATTTTTTCCCGTAAGTGGGTTCCACACGGCAAACTGTAGAACTTGATTATGAGTAGATTTTTGTATCCATGACCTCTGTGTGTGTGTGTGTGTGTGTGCGTGTGTGTGTGTTTGCGTGTGTGAGTCCTATAATCGATCCCTGTCTATTCCTGGTAAGAACAAAGCAGGCCTTCTAGAAATAAATAGCTAACTAAAATAAACTCTAACTCAATCTCTTTAATCATAACTGCTGTTATCTTTTGTCCTTTAGGAGTCATTTCTTTCTTTCTAAATCAATTAGGCAAATGGCTCATATCCTTCCTTGTCATCAGCTTTTTGGCTAGACAGATAATAATTATGGGATCTAGAGATCTTATTCTGTTCTGCATTAACAGTGCTTTATGAACATTAACTAAATACATATACTAGTTAAATATATAGCTCTTTCTCCTCCCTCCCTCCTTCTCTTCCTTCCTTCCTTCTCCCCTCCCTCCCTTCTTTCCTTCCTTCTTTCCTTCCTTCCCTCTTTCCCTTCTTCCCTCCTTCCCTCCTTCCCTTCTTCCCTCCTTCCCTCCTTCTCTCATTTCTTTGTTCTTTCTTTTTTTTCTTTTTTTAGAGGCAGGGTCTAACTATGCTGCCCAGGCTGGCCTGGAACTCCTAGCTCAAGTGATCCTCTGGCCTCAGCCTCCCCAGTAGCTGGGATTACAGGCATGTACTATAGCACTCAGATTCCTTCTTCATTTTCTAACTTATTCTTCTAAACTATTTTCTCCATTTCTTTCTTTCTTTCTCTTTCTTTCTTTCTTTCTCTCTTTCTTTCTTTCTTTTTTCTTCCTTCCTTCCTTCCTTCCTTCCTTCCTTCCTTCCTTCCTTCCTTCCTTCCTTCCTTCCGTCCTTCCTTCCTTCCTTCCTTTTTCCTTCTTTCTTTCTTTCTTTCTTTCTTTCTTTCTTTCTTTCTTTCTTTCTTCTTTCATTGAAATATGACAGTTGTATTAGGGTCTCCAAGATCACGTTCAACTTCAGTGATATACTAGAAAGATACACAGAACTCAGAGAAAGCTGTTATACTTAGTTACAATTTATTACAGCAGAAGGACACAGACCAAAATCAGCAAAGGAAAAAAAGCACATGGGCAAAGTCCAGGAGAAAATGGGCATAAGCTTCCAGGTGTTCCCAGTCAGTGGAGTCGTGTGAGAATGCAATTACTTCTCCCCAAAATGATATCTGACAATACCTGCAAAGTGTTACCAAACAGGGAGGCTCAACGAAGCCTTGCTGCCCAGGGTTTTTACTGAGGGTCAGTCTCATAGACATGCCACACCCTCCAAACTGACCTCTGTTCTCAGGTGCCAGCCACCCAGCCTCCATCCCTATAGACATTTACCAGAAATTACAGTGTTAGGTAAATGTATTTGATCAAGCTGGTACAGCATTGCCTAAAGCCTCAGGCATATAAAAAGTATCTTACCAAGCATAATATTCCTAGGGCTCAGAAGTCATTTCCCAAAAGTACATCGAGGGCCGGTTCCTGAAGATAGGCCTTTCTTTGGAATGTGCAGTTTCTGAGAAACACAGGCATGCTGATTAATTCTTTCTGTCCCACAGTTACTAGGTGAAATACACAAAGTGCACTAATTTTATGGTGATAGCTCAATAACTTTTTACAAATTGTACAGCTATGCAATCGTGACCCATATAAAGACATAGTTTATTCAAGTATCCTCAAAATGTTCCTTTAACCCCTCTTTCAGAGGTAAATGTTGTTCTGACCTGTATTGCAATTGATTATTTTGATTTGTTCTTAAACTTTGCATAAACAGGGTTATGCAGCATTAAATATGTTGTATCTAAATTCTGCTCAGCATAACATCTGTAATATTCGTCAATGTAATTGCATATGAAATTTAAGCAAATTGAACCCAACAGAAAGAATGCATCATAATACAGTGACATTTATACCATGCATACAAAGTTGTATTAACATTCAAATTTTTTTAAAATTCACCACATTCAAATAATAAAGGAAAAAAATCATGTGATGATTTGAATAAATGCAGAAAAAGCATTTCATAAAATTCAAAAACAACAGTATACAGAAAATTTGTTTTATTGTTTGTTATGAATATAATGTGATCTATTTCACCTTGATCTTTTTCATAAAAGTTTGGAATTCTTTGAGTATGAAACTTTTATGAATAAATTAACTTTCTTGTACATTCTTGCAATTGCACGCACAGCAAAACATACACATATGCAATTATTTCTCTTGGATGTATTATTAAGAGTAAAATTGCTGAGTCATAAGGAATACTTGGTTTTAACAATTTGTATTTATACTATCAGTTTCTGACTATTGCAGTTGCTATACATCTATTGACAGTCTTTATTTTTAGCTATTCTGGTGCTTGTGTAGTTGTATCATATTGTGCCTTGAATTTTCATTTATCTGATGTGTAATAAATTTGAACAGGATTTAATATGCTTATTCATCTACTGGATAAGATACGATACTCTTTTGTGAAATGTCTGTTTAAATTATTACCAAAGACTTCTTTGTATGTTTTAGATATAATTATTCAAGATCTATAGACTGTTCAAATTTATATATCTATCCAGAATATATAAACAACTCTCACAAATCAATAATAAAAAAGTAGAATCTTTGACCTAAAAATACAAAATATATGGAGAATTGTGCACACAAACACATGTGCATTCTATAGATTCATATATATTGAATATATAGATTGTATATATGTGTATATCTTTATGTGTCTATGTGGTAAATGTATAGAGAGAATATGTACACAAACACATATATATTCTGTTTTTCATATTTAGGTCAAAGGTCAATTTCTAATTAATGTTTTAATATGGTACAATGTTGAAGGGAAAGTACATTATTTTACAATTTCATACATATAGTTAATTTAGGTAATAGTTTTTATAGAAAGATCTATTTATATCTGGCTTTAAATTGGGATTTTATATTGATCTATTTTGTTGGCAGATTTATCTGTTATACCTCCAGTATCATACTGACTTGATTTGCTGTAGTTTTATAGTAAGTCATAAAATTTGGTTGATCAAATCCTCTAACTTTGTTCTCTACCTTTCAAGTTAATTTTGGGTTTTCTAGACATTTCCATATAAATTTTAGAACAGATTTTCAACTTCCACCAAAAAAAAATAACTTGTTGGGTAATTTTTGATTGTCATTGCATTAAATACATGTTTTAATTTGGGAAGAAATGAAATCTTGATAATACTGAATCCTCACTTTCATGAATCTGGTATAGCTCTTCATTGACTTAGGTCTCGCTTTTTGAAAATTTCAGCTGTGTTTTACAGTTTTCATTATAAAGGTCTTTCTCATCTTTTGTTAGGTTTCTTCCTACATATGTTACTTTTTTATGTAATTAGAAAAATATTTTAAATACGCTTTTATACATGTTTGTTCTTAATATATATAACATCATTGTTTAGTTACTCAACAAACTTTCTAAATTCACAGTTATTAATTCTTATAGTTTATTTATGGATTTTTCCATATTTTCCATGTTCACCCTTTTGCTTTTGTTAAATAAAGACATTTTTAGTTCCTCATTTCTAGTATTTATAATTTTATTGGTGTTTCTTTTCTTATTTTAATGCTAACCCCGCTTGTATAATTTGAATAAGAATGATTATATAGGGAACATCCTTGTCTTGCTCATTGGGAAAATCTCAGAAAGAAAATGTTCAATATTCAACTCATGGTGTATATTTAGCACCATTTTTTATGATACCCTTTATAACATTGAGAATGTCTTCTTCTAGAGTGTGTTAATTTTTATAAGAATGAATTTTGAGTTTTATAAAATGAGTTATCTGCATGCATTAAAATAGTTATATGATATTTTCTCTTTTCTCTTAAAGTGGAATACATATATTTTTTAATGCATATACTTTTAAAATTTTAAATGTAAAGTCACCTGGTATTACTGGAATATACACCACTTTGTTATAATGTAATATGTCTTTATTGTTTGATTCTGTTTGCTAATATTTTACTTAAGGATTTTGTATTTTGTTATTTGTTTTTTCTAGTAATGTCATTATCAGGTGTTGGCAAATGGACTATTCTGTTCTCAAAAAACAAACTAGGAAGTTTGGCCTGATGTGTTCTCTTAAATAATTTATGTAATAGCGGTTGCATTTCCTAATTTAAATGTTTGTAAAAATTCGTTGGGGATTCTGAAATTTTCTTTGTGGAAAGGTTTTAAATTAATAATTTAAATTAATAATTTAAAAATTATAGAAAGAATTTTTTTAACAATAAGCCTATTTCCGTTTTCTACTTCTTCTTGGGTTAGTTTTAGTTAAAGATTTTTAAGGTATTTATCCATACATGTAAATTTAGTTGGGTCTAAATCTATTACCTTTTAAATTTATTTTCATAAATTTTTAAAAATGTTCTCTGCTTAAATTCCTAATATTAGTGATCATGTTTTATCTTTAATTTATTTATTTAAATTTTCTTGCTAGAGTTAATAATGTTATTAATCTTTTCAAATAACTTTTTGATTTCTAATTTTCTTGGATATACTTATTTTATTTGGTATTGATTTTTGCTCTTATGTTTATTATTTTTTTAACCTTAGCTGAGTTTAATTGCCTCTTAGTTTTTCCTAATGTCTTAGAAGGAAATCTCACTGACTTTCAACTTTTCATCTTTTTTAATGTAGGCATCAAACCCATAAATGATCCTGTAGTTGCATAGCACTTGACCTTTTGAGACATCATTTTATTCAATTCAATTCAAAATTTTTTTAAAATGTTCGTTGTTACTCCTTGACTGATTTATGGGTTAATTAGAATTGTGTTGCTTAATTTGCAAATATTTGCCCCTTTCTACATATATATATATATATATATATATATATATATATATATATATATATTAGATGGAGTCTCGCTCTGTCACCCAGGTTGGAGTGCAGTGGCATGATCTCCACTCACTGCAGGCTCTGCCTCCCGGGTTCACGCCATTCTCCTTCCTGAGCCTCCCGAGTAGCTGGGACTACAGGCGCCTGCCACCATGCCCAGCCAATTTTTTGTATTTTTAGTAGAGACGGGGTTTCACCATGTTAGCCAGGATGCTCTCGATCTCCTGACCTTGTGATCCGCCTACCTCGGCCTCCCGAAGTGCTGGGATTACAGGCAAGAAGCACAGCGCCCGGCCCTTTCTACCTATATTTCTATAATTTATGTCTAGTTCAATTATACTGTGGTCCTAGAATAATTTTCTGTATAATTTCAATTCTTTAAAATTATCGAGAATTTATTCACCTCTCTCCATATATTCTCTTTTGGTTAATATTCTATGTACATTTAAAAATAATTCATATTCTGTAATTGTTGAATATAGTATTCTATAAATGTCAGTACAACTTTGTTAAAATTTTATTCAAATTGTCTACATATTTACTGATTTTTTTTTTTGCTATTTTAAGCACTGCTAAAGATTTATGTTAAAATATCTCAAGGATTAGTGTAAAAGTTTATATATTTACTTATAGTTCTATGAACTTTGATTTAAATATTTTGAAATACATACTTAGACACATATAAATTTAAGATTATTATGTCTTCCTGTGGAACTGACCATTTCATCTTCATGCATCATCACCTGCCTCCCTCTTTTTGCTAGTAATAATACTTCATTTCAGACTATTTTCTCTCATATTAACTTGCTCAGACCAGCTTTATATTGGTTGATATCTTTTATTCATTCTTTTACTATTCACATCCTTATATTTTAAGTGAGTTTCTTGTCAATTTTATTTATTAGATATTTTTTAACCACTCTGATAATCTTGGCTTTTAGTTGGTATGAATTTATGCTTTAGTTGGGTTTATATCTATCACCTTTCCATATATGTTTTTTCTGTGTTTCCCAGATGTGAAATTCTTACTTATACTTACGACTCTCATGTAGCCACATTTATTTCCTATATCATGACTTTTCATATATTAGCCAGTAATATTCTCTGCTTGCTTCTGGGTGTAGGGCATCCAATGACAGATCGTATTTCCCATTTGGCCAGGTGTGGCTATGAAATCATGTCAAGCTCGTGGAAAGTTGGACAAAATAATGGGTGAAATGTGTAGGCTCTCATCAACTTACAATATATACACACACATACACACACATTTTATATATATACAGTCACTTTTTTCGTGCTTAGTCTCATTTTGCCTTCTCAGGTTCTAAAATATGAATCAATCAGTAACCCAAATTTGTCTGGGTAGATGAGGGTGATGTTCCAGAGAATGTCAAAGTGACAAGTTAGAAAGAATCCAAGTCCTAGAATAATTTTGTTCATCCCAGCTGCCCTACTGCTTAATTTGGCCACAATCTGTGGGAAAGAAAAATATACTCCCATCATATAAAGAAGCCAATGTATTTTGAAGATTTTAGTTTGTTTGTTTATGGCCAGTTAACATTGAAGTAAATATTAATAAGACCTATTATCCTATAGCCATTTATAAGGATTGTTTATCATTAGACATATTAGCATCTGTCACAGCTTGCAAGATAATTTTAAGGTGCGTATTATATATAACACATACATATTTGATATGGTTTGGCTATGTCTCCACCCAAAATCTCATCTTTTTTTTTTTTTTTTTTTTTTTTGAGACAAGAGTGTTGCTCTGTCAGCCACACTGGAGTGCAGTGGTGCAGTCTCAACTCACTGCAGCCTCTGCCCCCTGGGTTCAAGTGATTCTCCTGCCTCAGCCTCCCAGGTAGCTGGGATTACAGGCATGAACCACCACAACTGGCTAATTTTTGTATTTTTAGTAGAGACGGGATTTCACCATGTTGGCCAGGCTAGTCTCAAACTCTTGACCTCAAGTGATCCATCCAACTAGGCCTCCCAAAGTGCTGGGGTTACAGGCCCAAAATCTCATCTTGAATTGTAATAATCCACATATGTCAAAGGTGGGACCAGGTGGAGACAATTGAATCATGGGGTTGGTTTCACCCATACTGTTCTCATGATAGTGAGTGAGTTCTCATGAGATCTGATGGTTTTGTAAGGGGCTTCCCACTTCGCTCAGCTCTCATTCTCTCTCCTGCCTCCAAGTGTAAAAAGATGTATTTGCTTCCCTTTCCACCATGATTGTAAGTTTCTTAAGGCCTCCCCAGCCATGTGAAACTGTGAATCAATTAAATATTTTTCTATATAAAGTATGCAGTCTCAGGTATGTCTCTATAGCAGCATAAGAATGGACTAAGACAATATTCAATAAATTAAACTTTGACATTTTGACTCAGAAGGTTGTGATACCACCTCTCTTTTGTCCCAGTAAGTACACTTTTTAAAACTAAAAAAAAAAACTTTTCTGTTTTCATAGGCTAAAAAGATAATGACAGATTTCAAGCAGCAGAGAAACAGTATTCCCCTGAATAGTCCTATTCTTTGGATATGTAGTAATTACTGAGCTACATCCTAAACACACTTGAGATTCTATCCAGTGCTGCAATGCAGCAACCAGTCTTGGCTTTTCCGTATAACTCTTGTGCAACCAGTTGCTGACATTTGCTGAGCAATTATATCATGGGTATGGAGAAATCAATGAACTAGTCAGAAGTAAAGGTTTACCTTCTTATATTATCTTTGTTTCTTTCTCTCAACCTCTCTCTTTTTATGTGTGTTTGTGAGAGTACTATCTCTGGTTGGTTTTCATATCAGAGTAATACTGATAAACTGAGAAGCATTCTCTCTTCTTCTATTTTCAGGAAAATATTGTGGAAAATTGGTATTAATTTATCTCTAAAAGTTTTGTAGATTTCTTCAGTAAAGCTGTGATTGGGGACTCATTTTTTGAGAGCTTTTAAATTATAAATTCACTTTCTTCAGTGATTATAGGACTATACAAATTATTGTATCATGGTTGACTTGGTATTTTGTGATTTTTAAAAAATTGATTATCTTTTTCTAATTTTATGTGCATAAAGTTGTTCATAGTATTTCACTATTACCTTTACAATAGCTGCCAGTTCTACAGTAATGTCTCCTATTTGATTTCCTATTTTATTTTTGGCAACTTCTTTCTTCTCTCTTTGTATTTTTGTCTATCTTATTGTAGGTTTATCTATTTTTCTTTTTTCTTTTTTTTTTAAGGAATCAACTTTTGTTTCACTGATTTTTAAATTTGTGTTTCTATTTTTAAATTTATTCATTTCTTCTTTTTATTAGTTCTTTTTCTGCTTGCTTAATTACTTAAATATTGGATGTAGAATAGTTTTATTTTCATTTGGTTCTATGCACTTTTTAACATACCCTTTGAGACTTCAACTCTGACCTATATTTAGATGTATGTTTGTCAATATTCATATATGTATACTTTTTCTGTCGTTTTTCTGTTATTGATTCCTAGCTCAATTCCATTATAAAAAAAATTCACTCTGGTTCCAATTGTTTTACATTTTCTGAGGTCTGTCTTGGTGAATATTCCATAGGCATTTGGAAAATGTCAATTTTACTGGTATTGGGTAGATGTTCTATATATGCCAATCTAACAGTAGATTTTCTATGTCCTTGTTACCTAGCTACCACTTGTATCAGTTCCTGAAAGTGGGATTTTCAAGTTCCTAATAATAATTGTGAATTTGTTCATGTCTTTTTTCACCTCTGTTTTTGCTTCATGTATTTTATTTCAAGGCGCCATGTTTGCTTGGTACATTTTTAGGATTGTGTATCATTATGCAATGATTTTAACCTTTTATCCTTTTACGCTTTTATCTATGCAATTCCTATTTTTGTGTCTATTTTCTTTTCTCTGTAATTTACATATTTAATTTTCAATATAACCAGTCACTCATGCTTGCTTGAATAACATTTGCATGGTAAATCTTGTTTCATTCTTTTACCTTCAACTTACTTTTGTCCTTTAATTTGAAGATATTTTATTGAAGGGGGATATAGTTAAGTCATGTTTTACATCCACTCTGCTAGTCTGTGTCTTTTGATTGGTATATTTAGATCATTTACATTTAAGATAATTATTGATAAGTTAGAACTTAACTCTGACATGTTATATTTGTTTTCTGGTTTCTTTTCTGATTCTTGTCCCTAAATACATTTTGTATTATCTTTTTTAAAACATAGCTTAATATCTCATCTTGATTTATTTATAGTATATTTAAGTGTGTCTTTTTCATAGTTTTTAAAGTGGTAATCAGTCTTATAAAAAATACACATAAGTTGATATATAGGTAAAATGAGATTATATGTACTACTACTACTAATAAAAATTTTAAAAGTAGGTAGATGCTAGTGATTATTATTACCCTTGACAACCCAACTAGAAACCAGAGTTGTTTCACTTAAATCTATCTTCATATATCCATATATTTATCTTATAAAAAACAAAACAGTTTACTTGCAATTACAGAGCTTCTATTTTACATTAACCATGGAATAGACAGGAATTTATGGTTTCTCTAGGAGATAAACATAAAGTTACCATATGACCCTGCAATTCCATTTCTAGGTATATACCCAAAAGAAAACAAAATGTGTCTACAAGGAAACCTGTACACCAATATTTGTATTCAAGCCAAAAGGTTGAAATACCGCAAATGTCCATCAATGAATGGGTAAAACAACCGTAGTATACACACACACACACACACACACACACACACACATATAGTATAAATATAACATATATGTATATATAATATTATAATGCTATAAAACCATTATGCTAAGTGGAAGAATCCAGAACAGAAAATTTTATATTGAATCTTTCTTGTAAATATGATATATCCAGAATGGGCCAATCTATAGAGACAGAAAGTAGATTAAGGTTTACAATACAATGGGAGGTAGGAGGTGGAAGGAAATTACTTAATGAATATTGGGCATTTTTATGGAGTAATAAAATGTTTTGAAATGAACGAATAGAGCATATGGCTGTAAAATGTTGTGAATACACTACATATTACTAAAATGTACACTTTAAAATGGTAAGTCTTATTCTAAATCTGTATTTCATTCCATTAAAATATATTTTAAAGGTAATTAAGAAACAATGACTTGATTGCAAGCTCCTTGAGGGAAACTACATTTGTATCTCCTGCCTAAGACCCCAGTAAATTCAGAAACTGGACAGCTGAGCATAAATTCTTGTTGACCATAAATAAGCATAATAAACAATGTCATTGCAATAAGGACAATTTAAACTACAACTTGTTAAGCAACAACAAAAACATATGGTAACCATTCTGTGATGAAAAGAGTCAAATTCTGCAAAATATTTAGAGAGATTTATTCTGAGCCACATACGAGGACTATGACCCATGACACAGCTCCAGGGAGCCCTGAGAACATGTGTCCAAGGTGGTCGGCCTGTAGCTTAATTTCATATATTTTAGAGAGACATCAGACATCGATCAATACAAGTAAAATGTATGTTGGTTCAGCCTAGAAAGGAGGGACAACTCAAAGCTGAGGGAGGTGGCTTCCAGGTCATAGGTGGATTCAAAAATTTTCTTTTTTTTGTTTTATTTTTTTATTTTCAATTTTTGTGGGTACATAGTAGGGGTGTGTGTGTATACATTATATATATATATATATATATATATAGTAGGTATATATATTTATGGGGTATGTGATATGTTCTGATACAGGCATGCAATGTGAAATAAGCACATCATGAAGAATGGGGTATTCATTTTCTCAAGCATTTATCCATTGAGTTACAAACAATCCAATTAATCTTTTAAGTTATTTTAAATTATACAATTAGTTATTATTGACTATAATTACCCTGTTGTACTATCAAATAGCAGGTCTTATTTTTTCTATATTTTTGTGTACCCATTAATAATCCTCACCTCCTCTCTGCCCCACCCTCCTATGACACTTCCCAGCCTCTGGTAACCATCCTTCTACTCTCTATGTCCATGAGTTCAACCATTTTGAATTTTAGATCCCACAAATAAGGGAGAACATGCTGATTGGTAACTGCTTGAAAGAGTTAAGTTATTATCTAAAGACGTGGAATCCATAGAAAGGAGCATCTGGGTTAAGATAAAGAGTTGTGGAGACCAAGATTTTTATCATGCAGATAAAGCCTACAGGTAGCAGGCTTCATAGAGAACAGATTGTAAATGTTTCTTACCAGACTTAAAAAAGGTGCCAGGTTCTTAGTTAATTCTGTCTTGAGTTAGGAAGACCTGAAAAGGGAAGGAGATTCTCTACAGAAAGTAGATTTTCCCCGAAAGAAACAGTTTTGCAGGGCCATTTCAAAATATGTCAAAGAAACATATTTTGAAGTAAAATACTTCAATTTCTTTCAGGACCTACTAATCTCATGTTGGTATCTTATTGCTACAAATAGCCTGTTTTGTCAGTCTCAAGGTCTCTGTTTTAATGTTAATGCTAGTCAGTTGTGCTTGAATTCCAGCGAGGAGGGTATAGTGGGACCTGTTTGACCTTCTCTTTCCATTGTGGACTGAAGGAGTTTTTCAGGTTAACTTAGGAATGCCCTTGCCCAAGAGGAGGGGTCTATTCAATTGGTTGAGGGGCTTAGAATTTTATTTTTGGTTTACAATTCTTTCAAGTTGCCTACGTCTGTGAACTACAGTTGTACATTCAGAAGTCAGGAGGGATTCTCAAACGAATGCTGGCACCTTCTACGGTCTGCACTGCTGCTGCTCTCCAGATCCCTGTCAGTGGCTGTGGCTGTTCACCTGCCGTGACAGTCAATGGAGAGGAGCCCTAACTACAAATCCTCACTACCACCTGGCACTGAATTCCCCCTAGGCTTTTCATGTTTTGGAGTTTCTCTGCAGGTCAGCAGACACAGCAGTGCTCCTACTCCCAGGAAAGCAGTATCCCATTTTTAGATTGTCATTACCATGGCAGAAAATCATAAAACTAGGATACACGAATATCTATCCTGCCACCTAATGCAAAGCAAAATTGTTCCTTATAGCATAGTCTCATACACTTTGGTGCTGTCTAGTTTTAAATGATTCAGCTTCTACAGATTTTTTTTCTTCTTTTTTTTTAGTGTGTGGTATGGCACCCAGTAATTTGAGTCTGAAGCTTTGCCATTTCTGACATTCCCTGGAGAGAATTGGTTCTTCCAAGTCTGAATGCTCTCATTTACATAGGAATAGACTCCCAAGGAGTTGAGGTCACTCAACCCTTGCCAGCTTTTTTCTAAAAGAGGACCTATGTATTATAGGAAGGAAAGGAAGAAAGCAAGTTTGTAAAATGAGTCTCACTGGTTCTAAGTTTCTGTCTAAAATGTCGGAATTGTTAGCACATTGAAGTCATTGCCTTATTCCTTACTGTTGCTATTTTAGTTAACAGGTTTTCATAGGACTCCACTATATTATTTTCCTAGAAAGAAAACTCAGTGTTTTTAGGCACTGCTTAATCTCTTGAGTTCATTTTAGTTATCAATATATTGCTCACTTGCTTAGGGACACATTGGGAAAACACTAGTCAATGCTGATTTCTGGCTATTTGACATAAATAGGCAGATTACATAAACGTAAGTCTGTTTAAAATAATTCCAGTGTCAAAGTGCAAATGCTTGCTACTTACAGCACTAGATTCTAGAGATAGAAAATGTACAACACATGGTCTTAATTCTTATTTTGCTCCCAGAGCACCTCACCAAGAAAATGAAAAAGTGCTTCCTGTAATACAAGGAGATTATCAGCAATGAATAAAAGGCACTTGTGATAAGAAATCTGACTATCACTCTACCCTTGCAAAGGGCTAAGATTGGAGATTCCAAATCAAAGGAGAACTGAGGGAATGATTAACTTTGCTAAGGTCAGAAGAAGGGGTAAGCTTTTGTTCCTATATCTATTCCCCAAAAGAAGTGACAACTGGTAGATATGCAAAGTAGTGTTTAAACAGCATGCTTCCTGTGCCATGTTTCTTTAAGAGGTGCTGATTTTTTTTTTTCCTTTTTTGGCTGCTGTTATACATTTTTTTCTATGTGGGGCGCATTACTCTTTTATTAGAGATACACATATTATTAATATCCTGGAATATTTTATTTATTAATTAAAGACTTTTTTGGGAGAAGAATTACACACATTTAGAACACATCACAAAGTTACAGACATAGTTTATTTTTGTTTTTTTAAAAAAGGCTTTAGAAAGTTTCACTAAGCAGATTGTGTGTGGACAATGACAATCCAGTAAAGTCTTAGATTTTTGAACTGCCTCTCCCAGCAAATCCTGAATCAGGCAGGGGTGTGCTGACTTCCCAGAAGGGTCTTTGACCCAATCCTTGCCATACACTTGGCTTCTCCTGTCTGCTTTAGGGCACAGTTGATTGCTGCTTCCCTGCACACTTCTTTAATGCCTTCTCCAGCAGTCTCTGTAGTATTAGTATACTTTGTAAACATACTATGTCCCTTAGTGTAATTTTAAGCTCCTTTTCTTTCACCTCCTGGAGAACAGATGGTCATCTTTAGCACACTCTTTCCAATACCATTTTTATTGTCTTTCACTTTTTTTTGAAACATGGTAGAATATTTACTTGTGTGAGAAAAATATCTGTCTTTCAGTATTCCTAGAGATGGGTCTAAGAACTTGCATAGGATAATTATTTCTTCAAACCAAAATATGGATATTTATTTTTAGATTAGCCCCATTTCTATGAGGCCCGCTGTCAATGTACCTAAGCATGAAATAGTAGAAGAGCTTACTTGTTACATTCTATTTTGTTTTTCTGCATGACCTTTGGTTGATCTTCAATTATAGACCAGGTGAGGTTCTCATTAAGAGTTTAGAAAAATTGAAATTGGTGATTTTCAAATCCTGGTTTATTTGAGTGCCTTTTGTGTTTTTGAATTTTTAACTTTTTTTTATACTCTGAAATGTCTACTCCAGTGAGCATTTGGTGAGAGCCCAGAATAGATACAACAATCACAAATCAAAGCAGCCTGCCATCAATGTCTTCCTCAGAAACCTCACTGTCCAAAATCAGTTAAAACAGTTCATAGAATGTGTAATCTGTACAAAGTAGACTGCAAAGTACTGTAGGGAGGTCTCAGAGAAATAACAAATATTCTGTAATTTTAAAAGCTTTGTACCTATTAAGACAGGACAATTGTTTCAGATAAGCATCATTAATATAATGATATACAATAGTAACCTGGTTTGGCTGTGTTACCCCCCAAATCTTATCTTGAATTGTAGCTCCCACAATCTCCACATGTCATGGGAGGGACCCAGTGGGAGGTAATTGAAGCATGGGGATGGGTTTTTCCCCTGGTGCTAGTGAATAGTGAATACGTCTAATGAGATCTGATGGTTTTATAAAGGAGAGTTCCCCTGTACACACTCTTTTGCCCGCTGCCACGTAAAACGTGGCTTTTCTCCTCTTTCACCTTCCACCATGATTGTGAGACCTCCCTAGCCATGTGGAACTGTGAGTCTATTAAGCCTCTTTTTCTTTATAAATTGCCCAGTCTCAGGTATTTCTTCATAGCGTATGAAAATGGACTAATATAAATAGAAAAAATAGCAAAATGAATTTATAGAGTAAGGTGATGTGGAGTGATGGGGTTCAGGTCATGCTACACTGAAATATGGCAGCTTGGCATTTGGAAAAATAGCAGAAGCTAGGAGGTCACTCTCACCTTCCCCTTGCCCTTCTCCCCTCAAGCTGGTTATAAGACCTTATGTAAGAGGTACCCTCCTTATACCCAGAAGAAAGGCACATTCTCATCTCAAGACAAAGAGCCACACAGAAAAATCTGAACAAACAGGCCTTGCTGTTTCCCCAGTTTATTTCCATAACTTTTGTCCAATCATATTTCTCCATGACTGTCTACTCTTCATCAATCCAGGCATAAGCATACACAAGTTTAACTGTTTTTTCTGGTCTCCATTTTCTTGTGAGGGGTTCTGTGTTCATAAAACTTATTTAAAGAAATTTGTATGTTTATCTACCTTTGGTTATAGGTGTCTCAGCTAAGAACCTCGGATAGGCAGATGGGTTAGGAAAAGATATTTTTCCCTTCCCTACAAAAGAAAGAAAGTCACTGTAGCTGATTTAGATCTTCAAGAAAAGTTTTAAGATGGATATATTCTTTCATCAGGATCTATTTTTGTGCTCTCCATGGAAATATTACTCAAGATACAAATGTGAACCACTTGTGTAATTTTAGTTTTTTGAGCAGACACAATTAAAAACAAAAAACAAAAAAAAAAATAAGAAACAGGGCTAATTCATTTTAATAAAGTTTCATTTAACCAAATATATCCAACATACCATTTTAACATGTAATTAATTTTAAGAATATATTTAATATTCTTTTTGTCCTAATTGTTCAAAATCCAGTATGCAGTATTATACTTACAGTGTATCTCAGTTTTGAACTAGCCATATTTCAAGGGCTCAATAGTTGCATGTGGACACATATGGACAAAGTCACATATTGGACAGTTCAGATCAAAAGTAGTAAAAAAAGACAGAATAGGATTTGGGAGGAGCATTTTAAGAAGGAATGACAAGAAGATACTCTGAAAGGTAGAAAGGCTTATATGACATTGAGTAGGTTACTAAGGTATGGGGTACAAAATCCGTTTGAACTATACACAAGGTTGTTGTTGAAAAAAATTGTAAGCTTTATTTTTGTTTATATATTTTGTATATATTTTTAAGAGATGGGGTCTCATTATTTAGCCCAGGCTGGTCTCAAACTCCTGAGCTTAAGCCATCCTCCTGTTTCAGCCTACTAAGTGGCTGGAACTGCTACCCTGCCCAGCAAAAGACTGTAAGCTTTAGAACAAGTTAGCTCTAAAATCAAATATATCACATAAATTAGAATAATGTTCAGTGGAAAAAACAGAAATATCTCAGAAGCTTAACATAATGAAATTTCTGGTTTCTTGTCCACCATGGGTCAGTAGTGGGAGTGTGTATAGGAGGTCGTCTCTGCTCCATATCAGTCTAGAATTGATGGGGGCTTCACTGTCTCGAATATCACTTGTTGCTGCAGTAGCAGAAGAAGGTGGCATATGGAACTTCTGCTTGTTCCTCCTAACAGCAAGGAACAAATGTAATCATTCTGTGTACCCTGAAGCAAAGACAAAGTGTATACAAATTAGCATTAAAAGTCTCTGTATCTATCAAAGCCTCAAACATTTTTATGACTGTAGGAAAATTACTTTGTTTCTGAGCTTATGCTTTCTCTTCTGTAAAGTGAAGAAAATAACTGTAAAGTAGGATAACAGTAAGCAAAGCACCTTGCACGGTGTCTGGTATATAGCACTCAAAGAATTGGTAGCTATTATTTTTGTGCTATAATTCAGAGTTCTCCCCATGGATATTAGTGGTTCATAACTAAACTAGAATAATGTGCCCAATAAGGTCCCTAGAGGAATCTGGACCAGTTCGTTTTAATATTTTTATTAAATTTTGTAGAGCAAGTTAATTTTTTACAGAATTTTAATACCTGAAAATTTATGGATTTTTAAATGTCTACAGTAGTTACCGTATGTGTTTAGTGCTATCATTTTTAACTTGCCTTTAATCTCCAGCAATAGTTAATACAATTTCACAGAATAAGTATGTTGTCTTATCTATTATCACCTTAAGATCATATAAATACACCTTGCTTTATTGAACGAAAATACAATTTTGGATTCAAAATACTAGCAATTATAAATAATGTACTGACTCACCCACACCAAGATTAATTTTATCAAAAATATGGCTAAGTTGGTCTATTTAAAAATGCATATCAAACTACATTGACAAAAGTGGTGTAAAAATCAATGAAACAAAAGTACAGCAGGGTCACAGAGTCCACAGGCTGACTGTGACTTGTGCTTTCACTAAAAATGCCTATATAACTTAGGAAAATTGAAATGCAGAGGAAAGAATTAATTATTTTATGTATTTTTCCACTAGCCATGAAAATTTATTCAATTCTGACTTATGTTTTGTAAAAGAGTTGAAAAGCTGGAGAGTTGACGAATAAGATAGAAAAGTTGGTCATGCCAAAGACTCTTAGAAGCTAGGTAGGAGCAACTCAATCTGTCTACCAACCACCCAACAAATCAATATATAATGCAATAAAAAGGATTAGTTTCTTTTCACATAATGGGCAATTTCATTTGTGAAAGAGGAGGTTAAATGATTGCACAGTAGATATTTGCAAGCCCATAATTATGGACATAAGGATACTGTAGAAGAAAAGCAGAGTAAGAAAAGACAAATGAGAAATAATTTGTTGATACATCCTCTAGGGAAAATTAGCAAAGTGAAATTATGGAATAAAGGGATATGGAAGAATAAATCATTGTAGCTGAAATTTCCATTTTCATCTCTTAAAATGTTATTTTCTATTATTTTGAGAATTCATTGTGGATCTCTGTGAGATGGGGTTTGAACACATGATTGTGTGAAGTGGATTCCAGCTATGTGATTCCTTTTGTAGCCTTTTAGTGGGTTTATAGGGGTTTTAATTTTAGAGTTTCTAATTCATTAGAAAATCACGTTTTGTGAGTGAACTAAGACACACAGATGTACACCCAGATGCAATTATGAAAATGGTTCACAGATGTGTGATGTCTCACATAATAATTTCATTCTAGATGTAAGATTTATAATATGATTAGCAACTTCAGACTTTCTACAAATATTTTGAATTTGCTTGTTTCATAGTTACCCAAGGCAAGCAAAAAGTAGTTTTTCTCCAGCTACTTTTATAAGCGACTGAAATACAGCAAATGGGATCATTAGTAGTTTTGCCTTCAGCTCTGAGACTCATTTATTTGTGCTCTTGACCTAGTCAATACTTTTGAATCGGCAGGAACCAAATTAAACCAAGGTGCAAGGATTCCAAGGAGCTAGAATGAAGGGAAAGGCAAATTATTCAAACTTGCCTCACAAAGTGGGTATAAAAAAACAGAAGAGTGCCCAGAGGGGTCAAACTTATGGCAGAGATGTTAATACCATACTTCAAAGCCAACTGCAGAGGGAATGCGAGGAAAGGGAAAATGAATAGGGTGGTGGAAGGGTATACAGTCCAGAAAGGGGCAGAAGGATGTGTTAGGCATGGCTTGAGGTGAGCACTCTACACTAATAATGTGCTGGATGGTGTTAATAATTGATAACGTCTTTTTACATGATGCCAATACATATTTTTGGGTTTGACATGGCAAATGTAACTGGGCCCTTTCCAAAAGTAAGTTTCATAACTTTATTATTATTTTTGTTTGTTTTAGTAGCAAAATCATTCTGCCAAATTAATGATTATGTAGGTATCTATATGGAAGTAATAAAAGTTGGACTGTTTGAATTGAAGCAGGAGTTGTTTATTTACCTTCTTATTCAATTTCTCCCCTTCTTCTTTGGAGACATCTCTTTTTTTAATATGACTGTTCCATGTTTTGAAAGGTGAATACATTGATTTTGTTTAAGGAAAGTATGAGTCATCTCTTTCCCAACAACTTTGATTTTGACAAACCTCTGCTTGATTACAAATAGCACTTATTCTTCATGCTGTTTCTAAGATGTTGTTACTATATTCTCTCTCTTTTCCTAATGTACATTCTCCCATAATATTCCTCAGCTTCCTATGGTCACAATCAACAAATTTAGGTGTATTTTGAACAGGAAATGTCTTCCCAAGACTATTACTTCAGGCTGCTTCGTTTGAAGTTACCTGCCTCCTGCCACTTCAAATAATAATAAACTATGAAAAGACGCCCTCCAGGAATGTCACAGAGATGAACAGCTACATGTAAAGAAAGCTTTCAGTACCCTTGGAATAGACCTGAATTTTCTTCATAGACTGACTACTCATTACCATTATAGATTTGAATAAATCATGAATTCTACTTCTCCCGATGAAGGCTGTTCCTACACCTGCAGAGTCCATAATCAGGGTAGTTTTCTAGATAATATAAGAAAGTGAAAAATATATACTTCTTTTGCTTCAATTAGCAAGATATTCAAAATACATAATTGAAGGCATTTTTTTGCTTAAAATATCAACATAATAACTTCCATACTCTTTTTTTGTGTGTGTACAGTGTGTAGAAAAACAAACAATTTGAAGAAAAAAAGGTATTGTTTTCCCTCAGTGGACTTTCAAAAGACACATCAGAGTAGCTTCTGGGTATGTTATAGAAATGCATAGAAACTATAAAAAATAATTGAAACTTGCAGAGTGATTTCAGAGTTTTATTCACTGCTGAATTTTGCAAACTTCATCTTTGCTGTACTTGAACTTAAAGAACTAAATAATTTTCTTAGAATTTCTCAAGCCTACCTTTGTTTCCAAGGATATTTCAACCACAATCTAAGCAAAAATAATAAGCTGCTAATGATTTGTTTAGTCTAGTGGTTCTCAACCTGCCTGCAAATTAAAGTCACCTGGAGACTTTTAAAAAATAGTGCTGCTTAGGCCCCACCTGCAGAGAATTTGATAAGAAGGCCCAGGCATCAGTATTTTTTAAAGATCTCCCAGGTGATCCTAAAGCACAGCCAGTATTAAGAACCATTGAGCTAGTAAATATCTTGGGAGACTTTTACTCATTGCCTGATAATAAAATTCAACCTACTGTACTTGTTGTCATATTAGGACTTATTAATAGCATAAATTAATATGTATCAAGTGCATCTTAATTCAGAAAGCCTGAGAAAATAAACTTTGGTTTTGTAGAAAATGGTGGATCCTTCTTTCTGCCAGTCCCTGCCTTCTCCAACCCTCTTATCTGAAGTGACTACATCCCTCTACTTGTAGACTTAACATTACAGAAAATGCTGATTTGCGTAGGAAATATATCAGCCATCATGTCTCATGTGGAGGCATGGAATTGTTCTGATTGACAGTGACCTAATACATTGCCTCCAAACTGATATTCCTTTACCTCCATTATAATGTTACACTTTCCTCACATACCACTCTAATGCTCTTTTCTAAGTCTACGTCTGATGGGTGAGTTTTTGTCACCCCATTTATCTTCTACTAGCCCCATATAAAAGATGCTTCATCTCATCACCATGGCTTCTAGTTAGTGCCTTGTTAATGAACAGGTCACCTGGAACTGATTTCATAGAGTCCACATGCCTTAGGTATTGCCTGATGCACTAACTCTTGCTATCATGGTCCCTACCTGGTTGCCACCTGCCTAAAGGACATCTGAGACAACCATGCCTCTGGAACATTTAATTTGAACTTTGCAGATATACCTTAGCTGAGTAATTGCTTCCCCCAGCCTATGATTTACTGTTCTGGCTTTCTTGCTTCCCATATTGCTTTGTTTTGCTGAGATACTATTTTACTTTATACTTTATCATACATCTAAAGTTCCGTAATATTGATTTTTGGGACTAATAGTTTTACTTTAATTTTTTCTTATTTTTAGTTATATTTATAAACCTATGTATTCATTTATTTGCCTACTATGCAGTTGCTCTAGATTTCAAAATATGCCATATGTGCTGACAACCTGTAATTTTAGAATCTTAAGAAAAATGAAAGTTTCCAAACAAAAGAAAAAGTCTAGGCAAAGCAACACCCTGGAGATCAGACATGGTTTAGTCATTAAATCTAAGCCTGGGGCATTCCAATTGCCTTCCAGCAATTAGTTTTGTTTGTTTTTTTTTCCTGTTTAAACTTAATTGAACTTGCAAAATATTTTGCTTCCAAATTACATGCTGAATCCAAGTATGTAATATTTATATCATTGGTCTCTAAATAGGAATTCAAGAAGAGCAAATCCCTGAATTCCAGTATGTGGTTCTACTTCTCAATTTTGATAAATACATTTTTTGATCATTACAAAATGAATTTGAGTTAACTTATTCTTGCAACAATGTTAAAATAGAAAATATAAAAAATTATATGAATAAAAATGTATAAAAAAAGCCTCCCAGAATTATCAAGATATGTTAAAGGATTTCAATAATGATAACATGCTACTCAACATTGTATTATATTATCATTGGCTTATAAACTCTGCAAAATTAATTTGATATATAATAGTTTTATCTAATGATGACCATGCTCTCTTTTTCCCTGGAGTTTAATATTCCACTCTTCTTTCAAAACAAATGCCTTATACATATGTATTTAAATGATACATTATTATTGTATAACTTTTTTTATCTATGTCTAAACTATAAAACCTTCATACAATGCATAATACTACAGTGTCAAAATGAGTCAGTATAAGGCAAACAACAACTCAAAACTTAATCAACTATGAAGAGGGATAAATAGAAAAGGTGTATGTTTTTATTAATCTTTATGCAAAGGAAATTCTACTTTAATGTGATGTGTTAAACATAACCCTTGACTTCTACTGTCTCCTGTAAACTTACTTAAATGACAATAAAGGATTAGAAACTAGACAAATCCACCAAGCAAAAGAGAATAGGAAAGAAGATGACAGCAGATGAGAAATTCCAGCCAAATGTTGGAAAATGAAAAACAGATTTACAGAGTAACTAACTCAGCAGATGGGAAAAGCTGAACGCTAAGTGCCTGTAGGCTGGTGAGTGTCAAGAAGCTGGAGTGCAATGCATGAGAATGTAGGGTTGAAGAATAGCACAACTGGTTGAATGCCCGTATTTACTCTGTGTGGAGATCTGACTGCCTGCCCCCAAACACTAAACATACCTGCAGTTTTTTTTTCCTCTTCAAAGGTTGAATCAGAGGGCCTCTGAACTCAAGTGCACCAGGAACAGGTGAAGAAAATCTTCATCCTAATTATTTTTACCCCTAACACTTTCTACATTTGACTCCTAGAAAGCTGGTAGGCTGGCTTACATACAAAAGGAAGAAGAATAAGGAAGGTTTCTCTCAAAGAGCAGAGAACTGCATCTACTGAAAATTGTTCATCAACGAAATGGTTTTGTCTTTCTGCTTGATTCCCTACTTGGTCCTCTCTGCTTGATCTGCAGGATAAGGGTCCCCAAAGATGCCCAGTTTCTTTTTTTTTCTTTTTTTTTTTTTTTTGAGATGCAGTCTCGCTCTGTCACCCAGGTTGGAGTGCAGTGGCGCCATCTCGGCTCACTGCAAGCTCCGCCTCCCCAGTTGACGTCATTCTCCTGCCTCAGCCTCCCCACTAGCTGGGAGTACAGGTGCCCGCCACCACGCCCAGCTAATTTTTTGTATTTTTTAGTAGAGACAGGGTTTCACCGTGTTAGCCAGGATGGTCTCGACCTCCTGACCTCATGATCCACCCGCTTCGGCCTCCCAAAGTGCTGGGATTACAGGCGTGAGCCACCGCGCCCAGCCAGATGCACAGTTTCTTATCCTCAGATACTATCAATATGATGCCTTCTCTGACAAAAGGGACTTTGCAGATGTGACTAAGAGGTGATAAGGAAATTATAGCCTGCATTACCCAGGTGGGCCCAATCTAATCATATGGGCCTTTGAAAGCAGATAACCTTTCCTGGCTGTAATGACTGGGAGATGTGACTATGACACATGGCCAGAATGAACTTAATCTACCCTCTCTTGCTGTATTTGCAGATGGAGAATAAGTGCTGGAAGCCAAGGAATGTGGGTGGCTTCTTTCTAGAAGGTAGAAAACAGAAATAAATAGATTCTCCTAGAAGGCATCATAGCCCCACTGACGCATTGATTTTAGTCCAGTGAGACCTGTACTGAATGTCTAACCTATAAAATTTGTGTTGTTTAAACCACTAAGTTTGAGGTAATTTGTTACATCAGCATTAGGAGATATGTCCATATCAATACATCTCCCTTCACAATCCATCACTCAGCAAGCCTACGCATGCCCAGAGTTTCCAGTAGGCGTGTTTGTCTGTTTTTTTGTTTGTTTCTTTTTTGACAGAGTCTTACTCTGTCATCCAGGCTGGAGTGCAGTGGCAGGATCTTGGCTCACTGCAATCTCGGCCTCCCAGGTTCAAGTGATTCTCCTGCCTCAGCCTCCTGAGCAGCTGGGATTACAAGGCACCCGCCACAACACCCAGCTAATTTTTTTGTATTTTTAGTAGAGACAGGGTTTCACCATGTTGACCAGGCTGGTTTCGAACTCCTGACCTCAAGTGATTCACCAGCCTCGGCCTCCCAAAGTGCTGGGATTACAGGCTTAGCCATCACGCCCACCCTCCAGCAGGTATTTTGTTTTTCACTCAAAAACTTCAAAGAGCTCTGGATGACTAGGTATTTAAGGACAATCTCTATCATAAAAGAGAGAGCAAAATGAACAGAGGAAAGCTACATGTGATGACAAAAATAAAGCAGAAAGCAGAGCAAAACCTAAAGAAAAAAAAACTGTAATTACTCTACGCAGATAGTTAGGAGAAAATTATACATCCATTGTAAAACAATGCTTACACATAATAAAAATTATATTCAGAAAACAAAATGTTTTTAAGACTTCTTAAAAGTTTAATAATTGGCCGGGCGCGGTGGCTCACACCTGTAATCCCAGCACTTTGGGAGGCCGAGGCGGGTAGATCATGAGGTCAGGAGATCGAGACCATCCTGGCTAACAAGGTGAAACCCCGTCTCTACTAAAAAAAAAAAAATACAAAAAATTAGCCGGGCGCGGTGGCGGGTGCCTGTAGTCCCAGCTACTCGGGAGGCTGAGGCAGGAGAATGGCGTGAACCCGGGAAGTGGAGCTTGCAGTGAGCCGAGATTGCGCCACTGCAGTCCACAGTCCGGCCTGGGCGACAGAGCGAGACTCCGTCTCAAAAAAAAAAAAAAAAAAAAAAAAAAAGTTAATAATTGAGAACTGGCATTTATACATAAATGAACATATGTAAGTAAATATAGAATTGGCATATAAATAAACTTATATAATAGATAGACAGAAAGTAACAGGGGTAAAAATGATTAGGATGAAGAATTTCTTCAGCTATCCCTGCATCACTTGAGTTCAGAGACCCTCTGATTCAACCTTTGCAGAGAAAAAACTTGCAAATATGTTTAGAGTTTGGGGCAGGCAGTCAGATCTCCACACAAAATAAATTATTTATAGAATGAAGTTTAAGAAATCTCCCAGAAGACAGGAAAAAAGTCCAAGAAATGGAAAATAGAAAGGAAAATTAGAGGATTGACCCAGGAGCTCCATTTGTCTCTGATCCATTTTTCCTACTCTGTAACAGAAGCTCCAGAAAGATTAAACAAGAGAAAAAATTATCAAAGAAATATTAAATAAAGAGAACATTACTTTCTATTTTGAAAGGGTTTATTGAGAGCTCAGCAGCATAGGGAATGAAAAAAGACCACCTATATCAAAGCATACTGTCAGGATATTTTCCAGTAATTGGGGAAAAAAAAGATAATTTTTGAGGACAATCATGAAAAAAAAATTCACACACTAACTTAGACATATGGGATTAAACTTCTAAATATCAAAAAGCTACAACATAATGGAACACTACCTTCAAAATTTGGAGGTAATATTAATCCGCAAATAGCATGCTATACCAAGTTATATGTTCAAACATGTGTAGGGCTAAAATTTAAAAGAAAACAAAATTCAGGTATACATATTTACACATTTTTTTCATATTCATCCTTTCTTGTGGAGAAGCCATGTGATGCACTCCATATAAAAAGGCATAGTAATATAAGAATAAAAGGGGAAGGTGACAGTCCTCCTAGGATGACAGCTACGCAGCAGGCCTAGAAAGCAATTGGGCAAGATAGGAGAAAAATAAGAAAGTGTCTAGAAGGGAAATAGCCAAGAAAATAAGAAATGTTATAGAGTATGTGATATGTTTTAAATGTTTTGAACAGAGATTTATATTTCCCTTGTGGAGTTTCAGGCTGAATACTGATTATGACAAAGAAAATGAAGCAAATAAAGATGGCAATAATTGCCTCCAGGTCAATAGAAAATGGTTTGAGAAAGCAAATATAATCATAGTGCATTGCATGACTTAGCACTGAATAATATTAACATTGCGTTAATAACGCAAACACTAAATATTGCTTTAACCAAAATGGATATAGTTATATAAGGAGCTTGAGAGGAGAGGAAGTCTGTGCAGGTACGTAAGGTTGCACATCCATACACAAGTATGTGTGTGCTCACTGGATGGAGGTAGAGGGTAGGTTTCAGAACTAAATTCCCACCTCTATAGAAGCAAATTAGTAGATAAAATAGTTTAAAAAAATTAAAACAGGGCAGAATAAGCATACAACTTAGGAATCTGAGAATAAGTTTTACGACGAAATTAGCCAAAAAAGTTTAAAGGAGTTGTCAATATTCCATGAGGCATTGGACACAGGGAAAAAAAAAAAGTGATCAAGATACTTCTTTTTTCCCCTGAGTCAGTTAAAATATTTGAATTTGATTACTCCATAAAACAAACTTTACATATAAAAAATACTGTGTGAAAAAAATGTGGTAAAGATAATCATGAATAATCATGATATGATTACCAGTGAAAAGCTGCTATAATATGGTGTATTTCAATATCAAGTAATTATAACTGAACTAAAAATTTAGCAACCAGAAACTGCTTTATGGTCTGCACATAGGTTATGAAATAATCAAATAGATAATACTAAACTATTCCTTCTCACCTGCCAATGTAAGTCACTAAGAGTCCTCTTATAGTAAATTAATATTGACTTTCAGATTTAATGACTTCATTACAATAGTCATTAATGTAATACTGAAATTCATGGTGAAATATAAACTTGATTTAAGTAAGATATCTAAATTATACAATTAACCAATTACTGCTTTAGAAAGTACACTCATACAGATGGTGTCTGTTGCCATTCCTTCTTTTTATAATAAATAGTTCACATCTCTGTTTAATGTATTTTATCATGTTTTATTGGTGTGACAGATATGGATCCTTAACTGGACTTCTTATTATTTTATATCTTTACACGCAGCATTATGAAGATTTTATTCACACTTTAATTTAGGTATCACGCTGCTGTATCTCATAATTTTCCTTTATGTACAACTTGCTAATTTTGCATAGGTAAATAAAGGTGGTGTTTCAAGCCTGTATTTCACTGGAAACAATATCTACAGGTGCATTTCTAAATAAGAATTGCTGGCTACAATTATTTGTCAAGTTATACTATGAGAAATAACGCCTAAGTGGAGAGAAGTTAAAGAACTATCAACAATCTACATTCTATCTTTGGATTGCTCTGTATGCATTTTGGAGGCTCCTGCAACTCAAGATCCAGGCTTCTTTAGAAAAACCCCTAGGCCACTATTTTTAGATGATAATTACTTCTTGATTAAGCCAGTGGTAGCATTTATATCAAGCACTGCCCTTGAACATTGATATATAATCCAAATCTACCTTCCTGGTTCACAGATTGTTTGTAATTGTGAATATCTCAATAAATCTAGAAGGGGTTTTAGTAAAGTGAGTCTTAAATAAGTTATTCTGTATATTTCTACAGTGAATTTTCACTTTAGACAATATAGATCAGTGGTCCCCAACCTTTTTGGCACTAGGGACTGGCTTGGTGGAAGACAATTTGTCCATGGATGGGGGCAGGGAGGCGGGGGAGTGGTGGGAGTGGGGGATATTTTGGGGATGAAACTTCCACCTCAGATCATCAGGCACTGGATTCTCATAAGGAGCACGAAACTTAGATCCCTCTCATGTGCAATTCACAATATGGTTTGCACTCCTGTGAGAATCTAATGCCCCAGTTGATCTGACAGGAGGCGGAGCTCAGGCAGCAATGCTTGCACACCTGCCACTCACCTCCAGCTGTGTGACCCGGTTCCCAACAGGCCATAAGCCAGTACAGGTCCATGGCCCAGGGGTTGGGGAACGATGATATAGATCACCCATGCCCAGGGGCCACAATGATCTCCTTGGTATTTTCTAATTCTAGTATGTGTGCTATCGAAGTCAGAAAAGATATTCATTTGTCTAAAGAAAAACAAACAAAGAAATAACAGTCACCCAGAAGGCTCATCTTTCATAGCTCTATTTTATGTAAACATTCTCAGACAATTAGAAAACCATTTGATTCTATAAAGGATTTTGTGGCCCATTAAATTATGGATTATGTTATATTTATAGATACCATTATTTAATGAGTTGATTTGTGTGCTCCAGAAATGTCAACTCTCTTCTTCAAGCTTTCAGAGATAGGATTTGAATCCAGGACTGCATACACCAAAGCCTTTAGAGTGATTTACACCTTCAACAGCACTGGGAATGCTACTGGATTCAGTAAGAGCTCTTTCTGTACATCAACCAAGCCACAATGCTTTCTTCTTTCTGAAAGAAATATAATTGATAAACTGTCTCTACTGTGAACATTCCAGCCCAAAATATATTTTATCTATTTTGTTTAAGGGAAAAAAAAGAGATGGAAATATTTTTTTCTACCTGTCCTCCAACTAAAATTTTGTTTGCTTGCTACTTTTGTGTGTTTATTCTAGAGACTAAAAAAAATCCTTCTTTCAATGTTTCAAAAAAAGGAAATGTAATAATTGAATGCCATCACTGTCGAACATCTGTGTTTCAGAGGAGGACAAAAAAACAGTCCCTTTTGAAGCAGTTACTACATAGTAACCATTAAGCTTGACTTTGGCAAAACTCTTTGCCAATCTCTTTTGTTTTGGAAGAATTCCGAAAAAAGTCACTTGAAAAAAATTTTTTCAAATTATTTCTATCTAATAGTGTTCTGAAATTTCATCTCACTGCTTTGAAGAACTAAGCAATTAATTAATGGGGAGATTTGTGAAAAGGAGGGAGCCCTCCATGATTTTGGCTAGTTCCCAAAATGACATAGACTAGTGTGTTAAGAATTACAGCAGGGGTCTAAGAAAATTAAGTTAGTTTAAGCGATTACAAGTTATTCTACATAAGCAATGTGGCCAAGCGTAGGCTTCCCATTAAGGCTGACAGGTACGGCTGTGCCAATTGTGCCCTGCACAAAGATGCCTGGCTGAGAGCCTACAGGTGGGGGCAGAAGTTTCTCCCTCACTAACCTCAATCAGCTTTACACTCTAGAGTGAGCTGCCTCTTCTGGGAGGAGAGATGACTTCTATTTGAACTACCCGGATAAGATGGCTTTCGGCAAAGCGCTTAAAGACTTAGTATATGTTGGCAGTGGGTCCTGTTTTACATTGGGAGGAATAGGACAATAAATAAGAATCAGCAATAGAAGAGGACTAGACGATCAGGCTGCAAAGATATATATAGTTTGGCTCCAGCTTACTTTGGGAGAATGTTAACTCTCATTAAAAATTTGTGGTGACCGTGGTTGGAACTGAGAGTCTCGGGAAAGAGTGGCTATGGTGGGAGTTTTCACGCAGTTATGCCACACAGGAATAGTTAACTACAAAGTTAAGCAAGCTCTGTGAGAGTGGAAATGTGGCCCTCTCCATCTCCAGCTCTATACTGGTTTCACTGTGCTCTGGATTGGCCACTTTTCATGCCTTGGTCTGTAGCTATTTCTCTATTCTTGTCCTCTATATCTGCCTTAAACTAAATGCCCATGATTTGCAATTACTGGGCCATTTGATAGTTAAAATAAAATTTATAATTTATTCAATTATGCACAATGCAGATATATTTGTCTATATATGTTTATGAATGTATATCACACAAACTCATCAGATATGTACACATGTATACCTGTGCATTTATATGTATATATTTATATATTCATAAGTGTGCATGCATATAAGTATTCATCTGTTTAAGATATATGTGTGTGTGTGTGTGTGTGTGTGTGTGTGTGTGTTTAGGATATAAACATATATATAAATCCTAAACTTAGGTTTCTTTTTTTGGTCCAAACAGCAGGACTGATGTTAGAGAAAATCATGTTATAATAATGTCCTTTCAGTATGTTGTTAAGAATTGTTCTTGAATTTAAAATTAATCAAATATTGGTTTAAGGTGAAAACCTGAAGAACAAAATTTTAATATGTGGATATATATGTATATATGATCAAACTGTTTCTATTAGAAGATATTAATGGACTGACAATTCCCTCTGTCATAGAAAATCTTGTGTCTAAGAAAAAATAAAAGAAGTATCCTAAGGAAGATTCTACCTTAATCTTCTGTGAGACTTAAGTATGGGTAATTACTATTACAGTAGACAAAAAAAAAAGCTAGTGTTTGAACCAACACTTAAGATTTGTGGCCACTTCTTTGCAAAGCCCAAAAGTGGAGTCTTATTTAATCTACAGGGGCCAATCCTGTAGTAGATAAAGTATTAAAAGAACAGGGAATCCAACGTACATAAGATATCAAGCAGAAGTATGATTCAACTTTATCAAAAGTCACTGCTGGAGTCTTCTAATTGTGGTTCTCTGAATGTAGTTCCTATATGATTGAGTGAAATGCCTATTATAATATAAACTAGTTTATTAATATATAACACAATATGTAACATCAAATAAAAATAATTAATTTTAATTGGCTGGAAATGAGATATCTACATTTTAACCTGAGAAACGAAAGACTTCAAGTAGTCTATTTATACAAATTTGTTCTGTGAAAAAAATGTAATTTATTTAACTTATTAATCTATGAATATAAAGAATTTGGAAAACTTTCTGGATGAACCAAACACATGTCTAAATTTAGAAAATCATACCCAATCATGCATAAGTGAAATCTGCTACAATGATTTGTGAATGTTAAATGTCAACCGTGATGGATATTTATACAGAGAAGGAAGAAAAGGTGGAACAGTGGCATTATGGATCAAAGTTTTGCAAAGTGACATTGATATGTTTTGACAGAAGGGAGAAATAGTAAAATACTTCAAGAAATATTAAAAAGTAAAAAAATAAAAATTGAAGGAATTTGCATCATGTTCTATAGGCAACAGCCTGAAGGTCAGCACAGTTATTTATTCATGGGTAAGAATTATTTGTCAATTACATAGAGCATTTGCTTTCCAACCAGGCTGCTAAGGGACCCATGGGTGGCCCTGGAGGAAGAGTGTTGTTTCCAAAAAGCCATGAGTCGGCTGTTTTAGCTAATCATGTAAAACAGAAATGACTACTTTTTGACAATCCAGTGGATGCAAGTTCTATTCACAGCTCTCCCTTGAGTTGGATCTAATTTAAACGTGAATGAAATTTCACCCTTTTTAATTAATCAAGAACATTAATGCATTTATAAAATGGGAGACGATAAGCAAATACTACAACAGAGGATGATTTAAGATTTTAGGAGTGAAGTATAATTGTGATATTCATGACTCTCAAAGTTCTATGTATAGTTCTTTCATGATAAAGGCAATATTATCCCTAACAATATTTAACTGAGCCAAGAATGCCACTGTTTTAGGGAGAGAAGTTAAATATCTAAAATGCACTTGACTTTTTTTCCATAGAGCTAAGTAGAATTCTGAGAAAGAAGATTTAGTGAAATCAAGTAAGTTATACTTAGTAAACATAGATTAGGTACTTAAGAATACAATAATTTTTATCCATTAAAAATATTGAGTGTTTACTTAAACCAGATACTGGTCAAAGAACTATTTCTAAAATTAATCCATCCTCACAAAAACCCTGTTGATTTAATATATGGTATAGTACAAGCACTATGTTTCCACATTTTGTAAATGAAGAAATTCAAATTTAGTGAATTTCAATTACTTACCCAAATTTTCAGCAATGGAGTAGCTAGCACACATGGCATTTAAAACTTGACTTGACTTAAACAAAACCACATAATCTTATATACTATAATATACTACAGAAATAATGCTAGTACTCTAGTTTTTTAAGCATAATTGAGAAAGAGAGCTACAGATTGGGAATGGAAACTTGTGTACATCTACTCTAAAAGGAAAGGTCTCTAACATGATAACTAACTTTAAAATTAGCTAATTACAGATAATTAGAAGAGTAATTTACCTACAAAATTAAGGTTATTAGAATATATTGTGATCTAAGAAGAAACTCAAATATTTTAGAAAGAATTAAAGTTTACAAATGCAACAGTAGAAAATCTCATCTTTACAATATAAAGTGTGGCTGGACAATTTAGTTTATTTCCCTTCAACTTATTTTAATTAGGAGACTTTGTGTCAATGTTGCCTTATGTTTGCTATTAGCGTTCATCTGAGTAACTTTAGATTTTCTGATGAATAGTGCAGCTCAAGTGTTCTGTAATATTCAATAATAATGTCATCCCATGTGGTAAAATTCCCATGTAGATGCCTATGCATATGTCCAAGTATATGACAGTAGTTCACTTGCCATCACATCAGATAACCTTTTCAACTCTAAAAGAAGCTGTTATTACTCCCTAGCTTGCATCTTTATGTATCTCTCACTGTTGATGACACCAAAGACCTATAAATAATTTCTAAATGATTTGTATTAAGTCTATCAACTCATCTTGTTTCCATTTTCTCTAAAAATAACCCCTTTGAGTCACATATCCATAGCCATCAAGGAAAATGCAAACTCATTTTCCATGGTTATACAAGTCACAGAGAGTATGTTGGTGTGGGAGGCAGGCAGGCTGAGAACATGAATTGCTTAAAATCATTCCCACCAAGGTGGTGTCAGTAGCAAGCCAGTGTCTTGTTGCTAAGATAACAATGATAGACTCTCCTATCTGGCTATGAGAATGTAGCAGTAACTTAATGAAACAAGTCAGTTCTCCAAATGCTCTTCTTTTTTGTTAAACATACATTATGACAGATTTAGATACTGATGAGATCTCTAAGCTGCAAAACCATCAAGTATGCTATCAGTTTTCACTGATCTTTTATTACCCAGGCAAAAGAAAGTGTTTCATTATATTCATTCTTTGGACCAGTCAGGGTAAGTGACTATAGCTCTAACAAGGGACCCTGAAAAATGTAGCTGCTTAAATCTCACAGAGCCTTCTGTATGATCCATCACAATCAAAGCAAAGATTGTCCAGCAACTCTTTCAAGGCAAATACTGTTTCTCTGTTTCCCTAATATGTTCTAGTTCCTGAGATGTGCCAGAAAGTTTCACCACACAGGAAAATTGGAATTAAAAGCAGAACCCCATATTCCTAAGAAAAAATACTCCAGGACAAAGATAAATGGGAAAAGAGCATCTGTGTGTGAATGGAATGCTTCTTATTTGTACTCATGACATGGAAAAGATACTACTTTTTAGCTTTGAGATATTGCCCTTGAAATGTTAAAGCAATTTCTTCCCCAGCATGACTCATTCCTAAGATCTCTTAGCACGGGACCAGCACCTGTGACTACCACTAAGTGGCAGGCATCTTACTCAGTGAAAATATATTATAGATTCTTTTGGGGAAAATCAATTTCCAGGTTTATAATATCCAAAAGCATGTAGATGGTCAGAAGAGAAGGGACTTTATTATATAATGATAATCCCTACACTATGCAGATTCTGAAAGACATGCATGGTAGAGGACAATCATACTGATTTACTTGCAAAAAACTCAGGCTGTTATTGTTCTAGCAGAACTACCGAATTCATGGGATATAACACTATTGATCACTGTAGTGATCAATAAGCAAGCATCATATCTGTACATAAGTTATTCTGTTCCAGTTTGCCTGTATTTATCAATCAGTGAAAAAACAATAAAACAGGGCAATAAAGCAGATGTCCCTGGGACTGGGAACAAGTAACGGGGTATGAACAGGAAAGTTGGAATTTCAGATACCAAAAAATTTTTAAAAATCTGAAATATAAGCCATGTGAATAAATTTTTGAAAGTGATGTGATGTTATAAATACACTGTTACAAATGTAATGATAAAATGAGTACTTTGAGGCCTTGAGATGGCTCTTTGTGAGGGGGATTAATTTTCTCACTTCATTGGATCCTATTTCCAAGGAAGGGATCATATTCTAATTGACTGGGGTTCGCAATGTAAGCACTTCCCACTGGGTCCTCTGTGTCTTCCATAATTTGCTCCTATCCGCATATTCCTTGTCATTTATGGCTAACTTCTCCTTCATCTCCTGGGAGAATTCCTTGCTTCCTTATACACCCCACACTGATAACCTTTCCCATGTTTTATGACCTAATGTTTGCACAACCGAATTTAGCATCTGCTATGGTCTGAATGTGTTTCTCAAAATTCACGTGTTGAACATTTAGTCTGCAATGCAACAGTTTTGGAAAGTGGGACCTAACTGAAGGTGTTTAGGTGATTAAATCTCTGCCCTCATGAATGGATTAATGCTGCTGTTAAAAAGGGCTTGGGGCCGGGCGTGGTGGCTCACGCCTGCAATCCCAGCATTTTCAGAGGCCGAGGTAGGCAGATCACGATGTCAGGAGATCGAGACCATCCTGGCTAACACAGTGAAACCCCGTCTCTACTAAAAATACAAAAAAATTAGGGGGGCGTGGTGGTGGGCGCCTGTAGTCCCAGCTACTTGGGAGGCTGAGGCAGGAGAATGGCGTGAACCCGGGAGGCAGAGCTTGCAGTGAGCCGAGATGGCGCCACTGCACTCCAGCATGGGCAACAGAACCAGAATAAAAAAAAAAAAAGTGGGGGGCTTGGGGGATTGGGTTCCTTTTCTTCTGCTCTTCTGCTCTGGCGACAGAGCAAGACTCTGTCTTAAAAAAAAAAAAAACGGCTTTGCGGCCTGGGTTCTTTTTCTTCTGCTCTTCTGCCATATGAGGTCACAGAGTTGATCCCTTACTTGCCTTTCTGTTTTCTGCCATGTAAGGATGCAGCAAGAAGGCCTTCACAACATGCTGGTACCCTGATGTTGGACTTCCCACCCTCCAGAATTGTGAGAGAATAAATTTCTGTTCTTTATAAATTACTCAGTCAGTAGTATTCTGTTATAGCAGCAAAAAATGAGCTAAGACAGCATCTAATTATATAGCACACTATGCTATACCTTGCCTTTGTCATTTCTGTCTCTCCAGATAGATTATCCAGCATCTCCGTGGCAGTGACTAACACAATGCTATGAATATAGTAGATGTTCAGCAAATACTTGCTCATGAAATTGATATATCACATTAATCAGTGTGAAATAATAAATAATTATTATTCAATAGGAATAATCAACATATTCTTTTAGAATTCTGATCCTTTCAGATTGTTTATTTTACACAAGAGTAGTCTTTCTGATAAGCTTGTTACCTGGCCCATCTTCAATTCTTGAGGGATATCCATCATTATTCTCAGGAGACAAATTCTTCTCATCTCAGGTTTAGGCAGACCTCACTCCCGATTAATCTCTCCTAAAGAAAAACCTATGTTCCATTAGACCACAAGAGTAGTTGCAGTCTTTCTAATAGGTGCTGAACCCCACCCCCCAACTCATCCCGATCACCACCCATTCTGGATTAATGCACAGTAACCACTTGTGGAGGTGATGTTTATTTTCTGTTTTTGTATATGTATTTGTTTTTTAGGATCCCGGTAACGTATGATAAAGCAATGTAATACTGGAGGTCTAGAAGTTGAAAATTAAACTAATTCATTACCTGTAACACACAAAACCAGAGATAATAGTTTGAGAGTGAAAAAAAAAAAAAAAAAGGAAAATCAGACTACTCTTCTGGCTTCAGAGAGTTTCTCACATAGATCCTCCCTTGAAGCCCTAACTCTCTATTTTCCTAATCCTTATTTTAGATTTCTTGTAGTTTCGTCCATCTTTCTAGTTTTTGACTGGACTCCTTGTAGTCTTGCCTTTAAGCCCTCCTTTTGTACCTTCTCCACGGCAGTTCACATGATAATGGAGACCCAGTCCTATCTTTCTTTTCATGTTGTATGAACACATGTTGGGACTCAGAAGCTAGTACCCCAAAATATGGCGTATTGACATGACAACTGAGGAAAGCTTATAGTCTGTTTAGCCCTCCCCCCACCCCACTATCTTTCTTAAATAAGTTGAAGTTCCTTTATCTGCCTAGAATCCAGACCCAACAAGAACAGTTTATTCTTCCTCTCCCTGTAAGATAAAATGTATAACCACACCTGAACAGACCATTTTGCTGTCAAAAAAAAAAAAAAAAATTACTATTTACAAGTTAATCTCTGTTCCTGCATGCATTCATTCTGCCTAGTAATCCTTTATTTCCCTTCAGTGGAATTCCTCTTCTTCCCCCTCCATAATCTGTTTAGCCAGGATGGTATATAAGCTTCTGAATCACACTGGGAATGGGGTAGTGAGTGGGTAATCTGTGAGTCTCACTGTCTATACAGGTTAAATAAATTTATGTGCCTTTTCTCCAATTAACCTGCCTTTTGTGAGTTGATATTTCAATGAACCTTCAGAGGGTGAAGAGGAAGTTTTCTCTTTGCCACCATATACATCAGGTTTCCCAGGTGTTACAGCCATTTGCCACTTTCTGGCTGGCCTTCTGTAGGCTCCTAAGGAGGAGGAATAATTTCCGATCTTACAATGCATTGAAAACACTGGGAAGTTCACCTCAAGTTTAGTTACTTTTGCCGAAAGTTAAGTCCTCCATAAAGATTGCAGAGTCTAAAGGAAGAGGACAACTTTTCTAACTATACTGATTTCTAATTTTTCTAAATGGAAAGTCACTCATCTTGGCACCTACATGTATAGTGTTTTGCATTTTTGTTTAAACTTTTTTTTTTTAATCAGCCATTCCATCTTGAAAGAAGGGCTACTTGTTTTTCATTAAGGAATTTTTTTGTTTGTTTTATTGATTTTGCTTCAGTGAATGGGCCTTAACATAATATTGAAAGTTCAATACTGAATATATGGATATATTCAAAACATGTTTAATACTTTAAATCATCTATGCCTATTGAATAACTTCTTATCTTTACCTTTCCTCACTCACTTAAAAAGAAAAGTGTGTGTGTGTGTACAGTCACTAGTGACCTATAAAAATACATTAGAACAGTGAAGTTCAAATATTAGACAGTGGACCTCCGTGTGTCCATGAACTGTTTTATAATGGTCCACCATAAAGGAAGAGCAAAAACAGAGAAAAAATGTTCACAAATTTTTATAGCAGTATGACAAATTATTTTCCCATCTGCTTAATACTGTAACACTAAAAAATAAATAAAAATAAAAACAAAAGGCAACCACATTGAAAGAAAGAATGAAACTTTTTGTTTTAAGATGACATAATATTATAAATTGAAAACCCTGAAAAAAAAAGACCAAAAAAAAATTGTTAAACTGACAAATAAGTTCAGCAAAGTTGCAGAACATAAAATCAACATAAAAAATCAGTAGCATATCTATATATGAACAATGAACTATCTGAAAAAAAGCAAAAAATCAATTCCCTTTACAACAAATTCAAAACAGAAAATGCTTAGGAATTAATTTAACCAAGGAGGTTAAAGGTCTGTCCACCAAAAACTATAAAACACTGATGAAAGAAATTAAAGAAAACACAAGTAAATAAAAAAACTCATGTTAATGGATTGGAAGAATTAAGATCATCAAAAAGTCCATACTACACAAGGAAATCTACAGATGCAGTACAATCTGTATCAAAATTCCAATGATATTTTTTATAGAAATAGACAAAAGTAATCCTAAAATTTATATGGAACCACAAAAGACCTCAAATAGCCAAAGCAATTTTGCACAAAAAAGAACAAAGTTGTGTAATCACATTACCTGATTTCAAAATCTACTACAAAGGCATAGTAATCAAAACAGCTTGGTACTGGTATAATAATAGACAATAGACCAATGGAACAGAAGAGAGAGCAGAAATAAATACACACATCTAAAGTCAACTGATCTTTGAAAGAGATGACAAGAACACACAATGGAGAAAGGGCAGTCTCATCAATAAGTGGGGCTGAGAAAACTGGATATCCATATGCAGAAAAATGAAGTTAGACTCCTATCAGCCCACACACAACAATCAACTTAAAATAGGTTAAGGACTTAAATATAAGACCTAAAACTGTAAAACTTCTAGAAGAAAACACAGTGGAAAAACTTTAATATTGCTTACGCTTTTGAAGTCATATGAGAAAAAACTTTGCCAAGATTAAGTTCTTCTGCATTTCACCTATTTATTTATTCCTCCATGTGGAACCCCTGGCAACAACTGATCTATTTATTGTTTCCTTCGTTTACCTTGTCCAAGACACCATACAATTAGAATCATATATTATGTGGCCTTTTCAGATTGGCTTCTTTCATATTACATATTACTAACATTACATACTAAATATAATGTACATTCAGGCTCTCTCCTGCCTTCTCATGGCTTTATAGCTTATCTCTTTTTGGTGTTGAGTAACATTCCATCTCCTAGATGTACTACAGTTTATTTCTCCAATCACCTACTGAATGATATTTTTGTTGCTTCCAAATTTTGTCAATTATTATTAAAGATGCTATAAACAACTGTGTGTAAGTTTCTTTGTGGACATAGATTTTCAACTCCTTTGGGTAAATACCAGGGAGTACAGTTGCTGGATCACATGGTAAGAGTGTGTTTAGTTTTGTAAGAAACAGCCAAACTGCTTTCCAAAATTGCTGTACTATTTTCTTTCTTACCAGTAATAAATGAGAATTCTCATCACATCTTCAACAGTCAACGTTTCGGACTTATGCCATTCTAATAGGTGTTTGGCCATTCTAATAGGGACACAGTGGTATCTCATGGTTGTTTTAATTTGCAATTCCCTAGTATATAACATATGACTTTTTTATTTGCTTATTTGCCATCTGTATTTTTTCTTTGGTGAAGTATCTGCTAAGGTCTTTGACCCATTTTTAATACAGATTTTGTGTTGTTATTGCTGAGTTTTAAGAGGTTTTTGCATATTTTGGATAACAGTCTTTTATCAGATGTGTATATTTTCAAATGTTTTTCTCTCAGTCTGTGGCATGTCTTTTTATTCACTTGACAGTGTCTTTCACAGAGAAGATATTTTTAATTTTAATAAAATTTAACACGAATTACATAATTCATGATTGTACTTTTGATGTTGTGTCTAAAAAAGGCATTGCCATAACCAAGGTCATCTAAATTGTCTCCTAGGTTATTTCCTGGGAGTTTTATAGTTTTGTGTTTTACATTTAGGTCCATAATTCATTTTGACTTAATTTTTGTGAAGAGCATTAGATATGTGTCTAGATTCAATTTTTTACATGTGGGTGTCCAGTTGTTCCAGCACTTTGTTGAAAAGACTGTATTTGTTCATTGTATTGTCTTCACTCCTTTGTAAAAAGCAGTCGACTATATGTAAGTGTTTTATTTCTGCACTCTTTATACTGTTTCATTTATTTTTCCGTCTCTTCTTTCACCAGTACCACACAGCCTTAATTTCTGTAGCTTTATAGTAAGTCTTGAGGTTTAGTAGTATCAGTTCTCCATCTTTATTTTTCTCCTTCAATATTGTGTTGGCTATTCTGGATCTTTTGCCTCTCAACATAAATTTTAGAATCAGGTTGTCAATATCCACCAAATAACTTTCTGAGACTTTGATTGGGATTGCATTGAATCTATAGATCAAATTGTGCATAATTTACATCTTGACGATATTGAGTCTTACTCATAAACATGAAATATTTTTTCCATGTATTTCTTTCATCAGAGATTTTTCATTTTCCTGATATAGTACATTTTTTGTTAGAGTTATACATAAATGTTTCATGCTTTAAGTGCTCATGTAAATGGTCTAGTGTTTTTAATTTTAAATCCCACTTGTTCATTGTGGCATAGAGAAAAGCAATTTTGTATTAATATACTAACCCTGTATCCTGCAACTTTGCTATAATCACATGTGCTCTAGGAATTTTATTGTCAATGATTAGAGACATTTTACTCAGATGTTTATTCATCTGCAAACAAAGACAGTTTCATTTCTTTTTTCCAAACCAGTAAGCCTTTTATTTCCTTTTCTTATCTTATTGCATTGGCTATGGCTGTCTGTTATGTTGAAAAGCAGTGGTAAAAGGGGATATCCTTACCTTGTTTCTGAGTCATTATTTCTCCTTCAGTTTGAAGGATAACTTCACAGAGTACAAAATTCTAGTTGGTGGGTTTTTTTTCTTTCCAAGTTTAAATTTGTTACTCCTTTCACATCTTGCTTGCATTATTTCTGAGGAAAATTCAGATATAATTCTTATCTTTGCCCATATGTAGGTAAGCTGTCCCCCATTACACTGGCATTTTTCAATTTTTTCTTTATCTTTGATTTTCTGGAGTTTGAAAATAACATATTTAAGTATAAGGTTTTTGAAGTTTATCCACTCAATGTTTTCTGAGCTTACTATTATGTGTGGTTTGCTATTTGACTAATCTGGAGAAATTCTCAGGTATTATAGTGTTTCAATTATTTCTTCTTCTTTCTCATTTTCTTCTTCTTCTATTATTTCCATTATGCCTATGTTATATCTGTTGTAGTTGTCTTTAAGTTCTTGTATACCTGTCTTGTGTTTCTGGATTTTTCCTGTTTGCTTTTTAGTTTGGGAGTTTTCTGTTGAGATATCTTCAAATTCAGAGATACTTTCCTCAGCCATGTCCAGCCTACTCATAGTCCTGTCAAAGACATCCTTCATTTCTGTGGAAGTGTTTTTTTATCTCTACTACTTCTTTTTGTTATTAGAATTTCCATCTTTCTGTTTACATTGCCAATCCCGTCTTTCATGCAAGCTACTTTATACATTAGAACCCTTAGAATACTAATTATAGTTGTTTACAATTTCTGCTCTAATTATTTCAACATCTCTGCCATATTTGAGTCTTGTTATGATGCTTGCTCTGTCTCTTCAGACTATGTATTTGTTATTATTATTATTGCCTTCAGTATGTAATGCAAATTTTTCTCTGTAGCTGAACATGATGTCCTGGGTACTGCTGTAAATAGGCTTTCAGTACTATGGGGGTAAAATATGGGGGTAGGGAGGTATTCTATAGACCTATCATTAGATTAAACATGACTCTTTTAGTAAGTCTTTGCCTCTGAACTGTGGGCTTCACTCTTTTTTCTCAGTGCTTCTCTGACTTACATGAAACAGGATAACTGCAGTGGACTGGAGTTTGATGTTTCCCTTCTCCCACGTGGAAGGCTAGCTCTGGCTGAAGCTGAATGTTTCTCTTCCCCCAGGTCACCTAAGCTCTGATAAAATTCCAGCAGTTAGGTTCTGGTTAAGCAGTTTCTCTTAAGGGCAGACCTTGTTCAGAAGGACACAGTGATCTGGCATGTTTCAAATAGATTCTTTACCCCTCCCCGTTAGAAGCAGGAGATGTTTCTCAGATATTCACTATGAGAACCTGGTAGAGCTTCAGAAGGTAAAAGTCACCAAAGTGTGGGGGTGACCCCAGTGACAGGGTTCCCCTGGATCCTTTAACCCACACTTGTTCACACTGAGCCTCCAGTGATTTGTCAGTTCCAGTTCTGGTTTCTCTACACCAGCTCTGGTTCCCATGGAGGTTTCAGCTCACACATTTTTGCTTTGTATTTGTCTATTGGTATCTTCAGTTTGGGGGCAGTGCTTCCTCTATGACCTCACTTCTCTTAAGGATGTAAAAAGGGTCGTTGATAGTTTAGTTCGTACATGATTTTACTTGTTAGATAGAGTGGTGACTTTCAAGCATCTTACATGCCAGACTGAAAACCAAAAGTGTAAAATATCTTTTTCAAAATCCAACATAGGGATGGAGTTTGAACATACTAACATTTATTAAGAGATAAATGTTTGCCAGACACTATGCTAAGCATGTGAGTATTTTAATAGATAATTTTAACTCTTACCATAAGACTATGAGGTAAGTGTTACTAGCTTTATTTTACTAATAAAGATATTATTAAGTTTTTCATATATTAAGAACCAAAATCAGGATTTGAACTCCTGGTCAAAACAACACTAGTGCATCCCTTGCACTATGAGCAAGAAAGTGTCAGAGCAAGAATGAAAGGGAGAGAGGGATTGAGACAGAGCAAGAGTGAGAGCAAAGACAGAGAAAGAAGGAGAGGGAAATAGTGACTCTCTGCATATGCTCCATATGTTTTTTTCTCTCAGCTGTTTATCCTATTTTGTGAAAATAAAGATAAGATTATAAGATTCTAAAGGCCAAGTTCTCTGAATGTATTTCAAATTGGTTTACAGTGCACATCTTCTGATAGAGCTGAGTAAAATGTTGTCACCTAGTGAGAATCAACTTGTCATGATTAGTTCTAGAGAGATGGAAAACTTTGAAATGCTTTTCCTCGCTACATGTGAGAGAACAAAGAGGCAGTTCATATCTTGAATTAGACGTGCTGTTGTCTCAGTGATATATAATCTTATCAACAGGAATGAGGATGAGAGAAGGTGGCTGTCCTCTATGCCTGGCTGGTTTAATGTTGAACAGAGTTGGTGTTTTATCACCACTCTAAGAAGGTGTCATCATCTAGGTATATAAGAATTACTCAGATAAACTTCAGTCCAGTTAAAACCAGGAGGCTTGAACATTCTATAAATCAATGAGTGAGTCCTTACTATTCCTTTAGCTTCTGCAATGTGATCCTTGGTAAGCTGAAAAAAATTAAAAGCAATATACCTAGGTGAAATGAAAGGAGACAGTTGACTGATGATAGTGGCTCCAATTCTCACCAATAAATTTTATCTTGAGTTATTTCATAATGCTTTTTCTTCCCATGTGTATTTATTGACAGTTGCATACAGCCATTGCTCTGGTTATCATCAAAGCACTGAGTACATTAAAAATCCTATCTCAGACCAACAGGGTTTCTAAAGGTTGAAAGAGGTCTATTTAAGAAAAAAACATCATTTTTGAACTTGAGCTTCTGCTGTCAAAGCATTGATAACAAATGGGAATATACCTCACTTTTATTTGCATAAGGACAGTAGTCACTGTTATTCTAATAAAGAGCCATTTATTTGGATGAGAAATAGAATATTAAGGGAACTAGGAAATAGGAGTAACTATTATTATAATTTATGTTTGGTTAACGAATAAACAACCTATTTTAGCAGAGTGAATCAGCATCTGTTTAAAATTGTTACTTGAAAGAAATTAAGCTAATAGCTTAATTTATGTACAAATGCATTGTTTTTCTGCTTCATTATGTATACCAAGACTTTACAACATTTCTTTTTACAATAGCATAGCTAGGCAAACAATGAACAATAGTTAATAGAGCATGAAAGTTTAAAAATGACCTAACAATCTACACTCCTACCTGTTAAGCACAAGTTGATACAACAAATATTTTAGCATTTATCATTAGTAGCTGTAAATATTTTCATGGGAAGTGATTGTCATTATTTATCTGGAGTAATTATCTTGCAATCTTGATAGTATTTAGTGGCAGAAAGGTTTTCTGATGATTCAACATAAAATTCTATTGCATGTTTACCCACTTGTATTAGTTTTTTTTTATCAGGATGTCAGTCAGATTGGATTAGGGCCTATCCTAAGGACCTCATTTTAGCATAATTTTCTCTCTAAAATACCTTATTGCTGGCCAGGCACTGTGGCTTATGCCTGTAATTCCAGCACTTTGGGAGGCCGTGGTGAGCGGATCACCTGAGGTCAGGAGTTCGAGACCAGCCTGGCCAACATGATGAAACCTGGTCTCTATTAAAAATAAAAAAAAATTAGCCAGACAGGGTGGCATACGCCTGTAGTCCCAGCTACTCAGGAGGCTGAGGCTGGAGATTCACTTGAACCTGGGAAGTGGAGGTTGCAGTGAGCCGAGATTGTGCCACTGCACTCCAGCCTGGGCAACAGAGCAAGACTCCTTTTCAAAAAATAAAATAAAGTAAAATAAAATAAAATAAAATACCTTATCTCCAAATGCAGTCACATTCTAAGGTACTGGGGGTTAAGGTGTTGACATATGAATTTTGCCAGGATATAATTCAGGCCATAACATTACTATTTAACAATTTTTATGTGATTTAATCCTGTGAAATATACCTTTTTTTGTATTCTTCTCTGTCTAAGGGTATGTATATTTATTTTTTATGATGCATTTTTATCCTTTATTCTACTGATTGTCACTTTCCTCTGTTTTAAAGGACATGTAAAATAACTAGATCCATGAGATAGTATGGGTAAAGGTCTTCAAACTAAAACTTAGAAATACCTATAATATGAATGATTAAACTTTAAAATTAATTGGAATTAATATAATGATCTTTGCTTCCCTGGAGTAGCTAAGGACTTCTAACAGCAGAAACAACAAAGGCAAAAAACAAAAGTTAAAATATTGAAAATTTGATTATTACAAAATTAAGCATTTTATATGTGGAGCAAATAATGAACTTCTATATGGCAACAAGGAAAAGACAGAAATCGTATTAGAAAGAAATGGGTACAAGACACAAACATGCAACTAACAGAAGGTAAAACACAAAATGTTAACAAACTTATCACAATCATGATTAAATTACTTAGTAGGTAAATAATTGAAAATTAAAGCACAATGAAGTATTATTTTACATCCATTATATTGCAAGTGTGGGTGAAGATGTGGTATAGGAATGTCCGTGCACTGCTAGTGAAAGAGAAGGCTGGTGTATTCATTCTGGGGAATCAATTGTTGATGATTGTATAAATAAGATAACTTATAACCCCAAAATACCCTTCTTAGATAATTCTTATAAAGATTTCTAATGGAAACAAACAAGAGTGCTTGCCACAGCATTACTGTGGGTGCAGACAATTAGAGTCAATCAAATTGTCCATCATTGTCACAATAGACAAGTAAAGTGTAATCAATGCACAACATGAAATTCAAGTAGAAAATAGAAGCAATAGATCTATACATAAAAACATAAACATAATTCAAAAGTACAGTGCTTTTTGCAAAAAAAATGAGATCTGTGGCACAATTTATATACATTAAAATATATGCACACAAAACAACAATACACAATTCACGAAAACACATAGAAAACTTCTCAGTGGGAGCAAGTAAAGAAAGAGCAGTAAGCCTCAAAGAAAAAAATACAGTGAGCCCAGATTAGATCCAAGGAGTATAATGAACCCAACCTTATGCACTAAAATATGAAATAAAGGAAGAGAATTTCCAAGAGCTTTTCCTACAGAGTTGAATTTATACTTGCATAAACTCCTTTATAATAACATATAAACATTTTTAAAAATCAATATCTTATCTCTAAAAAAAACTTAAATAAAATGATGAGTACCATGACCTTCTGCCAAAAAGATAGTTTTGATAGATGAGTTTAGCTTCCTCTAAATCACACTATTGAAGCTTCCACCCAGTTGCACTCATAAGCCTAGTGCTTTGGGGTTTTACTTGTTTTCTGACAATAGGTTCTGGGACTTATTTTTGCCTCTATTTCTTTACCTGATAACAGAGTATATATATTCTTTGATATATATACATATATATGTTCAATGTGTTTTCATCCTGTTTTTACAATTATATAATTCAGTTGAATTCACTCAAAATAAATTCACAATTCATTTATATTGTGACATATTGTTTTAGTCAAATTGGAGACATGAAGAATATGACCTAGCTTAGAGAATTTAATATTTAAGCCACCAAGTTACTTCTTCAGGCATCCTTTTCTTTCAGCAACTTTCTGTAAATCACTATAAAGAAAGATTTCAACTTCCTCCAACCTCTCAAAAACTAAATAAATAAGACCATAAGAAAAATATGAAAGTGAGACTCTGTTTAGTCCACGTTTCTAAGAGCAATTACTTTAGAAAACTTGCAATTATAAATTCTTTCTCTTTAGATGTAAACCTTCTCCCAGCCTCTTGCCAATTTTACAACCCAGAAATTTCTTTCTGACAAACCTGGAATGCATCTTTTCAGAATGTAAAACATAGTGCCCTTATGTCTAAATCTCTTTGAGTGAGTGGAAGCCTACCTTCAGTGGGCACCTCTTAGCAAACACAGATGACCTAATTACGTTGACCAACCTCCCATCAAAAGCCCTCCAGTATTTTTCCATTAGTTCAGTCCAGTGCTTAAAAACTCTTACAGTCTTTTGTTTCAGTGAAGTGGAGTTCAATTTCTCTTCTCTACTGCAAGTCTTGACCCCTATTTTACTAGCCTTGAGTAAAACCTTCCTTCCTGTTTAATGCTAGTGCAATCTTTCTTTGACACTATCAAGGAAAAAAAAAAGATGAACCAAAATGTTAAGTATTTTAAGAAAAATGGAATAAAGTATATTCCTAAAGAAAATAAAGACTATTCCTATATAGTCAATTAAGCCACTTAATTGAGCCTATGAGTAACAAATTAAACTCAGTCTGCTTTGTTCGTTTAGATACCTGCCTGGCTTTGTCAGTTTGAATTTGCGACCCCCAGTTTGTACTTTAACAAAAACCCGAAAAAGAGGTTATTTTCAAGTACTTTCTGCTTTAGGCCCTGAAAATCCCCTGAGGCAAAAAAAAAAAAAATCTACAAAGACCCTCACAGAACATAAGAAAAAATGCAGAGCACAAAACACAATGAACTCTCTCATTCTTTCTGATTGTTCCTCAGCAGAGAAAATAAAACACAAATGAATTTTCCAGTAAATTATCCTGCCACACAGTATTAGTGAAGTGCAGTGTTTTCTGCTCATCTTCCCCATGTATGTGTCTGTGAATAATTTACCAAGAGAGATTCATTAGTAGCTTTCTTTCTGTTTTGTAGTTCTCAATAAAGTTAGGACACTTTGATTTTTATTTTGATCTGTAGGATTTAAATTACAGTGTGGATACTTTAGTATGTGAAAGTAAATTTAAAATCCATTTAAATGTACTGAGATTCTTGGACTAAAGAAACTAGATAAACACAAATTCTTTCCAAGACTAGTAGGCACTTGAGTTTCCTTTGTGATTTTTAAATACCTTCCGTCCTAATTGTTAATCTCTCTGGAATTCTGCACACTATTTTCCACTAATCTGTTTTGTAGTATCATCTTAATTTACATTTGCTATTGCTAAAGGTGCTCTCCAGGAAGAAGTGATAAATCACCCATGGATTCTTATTTATCATCCTCCTTGCTCAACATGAGTTTACTCATTCAATTTCAAAAATACAGAACTCATACTAATGCTTCTAATTAAAAATTGGCCAAATAGGCCACAATGTAATAATTTCTTGATTTCTATAATACACACTTGAGTTATCATAGGTACACGCCTGCCATGCTGCTTTGTGTCATCTTATTTATAGAATTGCTGCTTGAGAGGTCATGACACAACAGACAATCTCTTCTTTATCACTGAGGTATTTTTCTGAAACCTAAGCCCTCCCTTCACAGCCTGTGAGTTTTCAAGATTCATGCTTGAAAAGAAATACATCATGATTCTGAGAGACTTGCAAAAATCAGACAGCCCAATGTTATCTAGACTCATCCACTCATTATTAATCACTGACTGCATATTGTAACTCATTAATTAGGCACACAAACAAACTAGAATTCACATACATATAAAACTTGCTGTATAAAACAATTTGGCTTTAAATTGAGATTGTCTTGCTTTTATTGTACAGAATTTAAAATTAGGAAGTAAATTCAACTCAGTAGAGCTCGCATTGTCTGACAGCATCGTATTTGCTCTAATCAACTGAAGATAAATGTATTTGCCAATGTAAATGTTGATATATACTTATTTTTCTTTTGTTTAGTATTCGATCCTGAGAAGCAAAGTAGCCACGATTTTGCATCTACTGTATAATATGTACTATGGTGAGTTCATTATATTTAGCCTTTTTTTATCACCGTAAACTCTAATTATGGGCCACTAATTTTTTTGTAACTTTTATTATAGGTCAAGGATACATGAGCAGATTTGTCACATAGGTAAATTGCATGTCATGGAGGTTTTGTGTACAGATAATTTCATCACCTATGTAATAAGCATAGTACCTAATAGGTAGTTTTTTTGATCCTGTCCCTCATTCCACCCTCCACCCTCGAGTACCCCCCAGCGTCTGTTGTTCCCCTCCTAGTGTCCATGTGTTCCAGTTGTTTAGCACCCACTTATAAGTGAGAATATGCAGTATTTGGTTTTCTGTTGCTGCGTTAATTTGCTTAGGATAATGGCCTCCAGCTCCATCCATGTTGCTGAAAAGGACATGGTTTTTTAACAGCTGCATAGTATTCTATGGTTTAAGTTGAAGAATTCAAAGGCAGAAGAAACTGGATTCTGATGTTCAAGAGCATGAGGAACATAAGGAAGCATCCAGCATGGGGGATAGATGAAAGCCAGAAGACTCGGCAGGCCAGCTTATCCCACCTTCTTCTGCCTCCTTTGTCTCAGCCGCAGTGGCAGCCAATTGGATGGTGCTTCACCCACATTTAGGGCAGATTTCCTCTCCTAGTCTACTGACTCAAATGTCAATCTCCTCTGGCAACACCCTCACGCCCCAAAACAATGCTCTATCAGCTCTCTAGGCATCTTTCAATCCAATCAGGTTGACACCTAATATTAACCATCACAGTGTGTGAACAGTCTCACTGTCTCCTGTAAGGCCAGGATGAAAGAGGTCTCATGAAGCTTTTCTCAGTCCCCAGTGGTGTACACTTTTCCCAGAATTTTTTTTCAATGGGTTGAATAGTTCAGTCTTCAGGCTATTAGGAGATGCTCATGGATAAGAACTGGCTGCACCTGAAACAGGTGGGTATACGCAATACCCCAATGGTGAGTAAACCCTCAGCCCAGACAGAGGAGGCTCGGGGAGCTCCTGGTAAAATGTTGTTAGGTCTTCTCAGCAGGAAGGAAAGGAGCTGCTCTACTATCAGGCCAATAGGAAAGCAATCTGCCTCCTTATGATGCCTCTGTCCCCGTGTTCCAGATATTCAGATCAGGCGAACACCTCTGTCCATCACTAGCAATGCTGATGTTCCAGGGAGAGAGGGATCGGGACCCTGCCCCTCTTGCAAGCCTGAGACTAAAGAGCATACCTCCTGTGGGACTGCACCTCAAAATGCTCCATAAATGCCATCTACAGGTGCACCCAGGCTGAGTTCCAGTTGAAGAAGCCTTGGATGTGTCTGCAGTGATGGGGAGGGAGAGAAGTCCCCTTCTACTGATCCCTTCATTAGCACTGGGGCTGCATGACTGATGGGGCAGAACCACAGTCTTCTCCACAATGAACCCAGAACTGAGTTTGTACTTTTGCTGAAAGAACTGCAACTGCTCCCTGCCCACAAGTGGGAAGTTCCGGGACACACAAAACTCACGCGCTGGTTTCTTTTGTCCCACGGGGTGCTCCCTTGCTGTGGTGCACTCCCTCTTCCCTGAAGAGTGGCAATTCCTGAGGGCCAGACTACTGTTGACTCCTGCTGCTATTCTGGGTCTAGCCACCCTGGGGGGCTGCCACAAGCCAGGCTGGTGCTAGGGAAGGTCTGCAAAGGATTCAGTGATGTGAAGACACAAGAGTTCAAGGTCACTGAGAAGATGTTCTGAAACTTTTCTGTAGTTTTATGTTATTTTTCAATCCCTTTATAATTCCTCCCAAGAATTCTTACTTTATATATATTTGTTTAGAATTTATTAGTAAGAGTCTCTTTTTGATATGATTTTAGAAAGTATATTAGGCCATGTTTTTATAACTACCTGAGGCTGGGTAATTTATAAAGGAAAGGAGTGTAATTGGCTCATGGTTCTGCAGGCTTTGCAGGAAGGTGCTGGCATCTGCTTCTGATGAGGCCTTGGGAAGCTTACAAACATGACAGAAGTTGAAATGAGAGCCCACACATCACATGGCAAGAGCAGGATCAAGAGAAAGAGGAGGTGGTGCCACACACTTTTAAACAACCAGATCGCAGGAGAACTCACTCACTATAATGAGGATAGCACCAAGCAATTCATGAGGGATGAGGCATCTGCCCCCATGACCCAAACACTTCCTACCAGGCCACACCTCCAACACTGGGGATTACATTTCAACATGAGATTTGGAGAGGACAAACATCCAAACTATATCAGAAATCTTCTTGCAAAGGTAGTCTATAAAGATATAACATTTATGCTATTATATAAATTGAATAAAATATTTACCAATTGATAAGATTTTCAATTAATTTTAACCCTTTATCTAATAATGGAAATAAATTATTTCATTAACTTTTTTGTTTACTTTTCTTTTTATTACTTTGAAATTGCCCTTATGCATTTTATTCATGTCTGTGGCAGTGTGTTCTAGATTTTAAATCTCTAGGATAGGCTTAGTTTTGCTTCATCTCTTGAATCAAAGTAAAGATTACCTGTGGAAATAATATTAAGTCTGGTGATAATAGTAGTTTTTATTTAAAAAAACCTTTATATTCAGTTATCTGGTTTCTGAACACATGTATTCATATGCCTTGACCCCAAGAATCCCACAGATGTAAACATAAAGTTTTAAAAGATGAAATTGTTTGTATTAACTGTTGGTAAATTACAGAGATGGAATGATTAGTAAATTAAAGAGATGGAATGTATTAGTCTGTTCTCACACTGCTAATAAAGACATACTCAAGGCTGAGTAATTTATAAAGGAAAGGAGGTTTAATTGACTTAGAATTCCACATGGCTGGGGAGGCCTCACTGTCATGGCAGAAGGTGAAAGAGGAGCAAAGCCACGTCTTACTTATAAGGTGGCAGGTAAGAGAGCATGTGCAGGGGAACTCCCCTTTATAAAACCATCAGATCTCATGAGACTTATTCACTATTACAAGAAAAAGAAATACCCGTCCCCATGATTCGATTACCTCCCACCGAGTCCCTCCCACAACACATGGGAATTATGAGAGCTACAATTCAAGATGAGATTTGGGTGGAGATACAACCAAACCATATCAGTTACTGAAGTGGCTTCCAATTCAAGATGAGATTTGGGTGGAGATACAACCAAACCATATCAGTTACTGAAGTGGCTTCCAAGGAAACTGACTTCACATTTATGTAGATAGAAGACTTCTAAAACCATCTAACCATATCTCTCATCAGCTTAATGTTTTGGGGATTTTATCAACAATTTCCCAAGTGGTATGCCTATGAACCCTTTTTATATCTCTGAGTTTTGAAGCAGGGTGTTGGAATCCATTCTATTTTGCTGTTCTTTATTTTACCTCTCACTTGGAATGTCCTTAGAAAATCTTAATCATCTATGCACTTCACTATATGTCATCTATTATGGTATCTGAAATTTCTTCAATAAACCACAGATTAAGATAATGCCTAGAAATGCCTGTTATAATGAACATATACTTTCAAATGGGGTGAGCAATTAACCTATGACTGATCATTAGCATGGATACGTTTTTCAGCTTAATGGATTTGACCTAGCCCAGAAAAGAACCTTCTGTTGAGAAATGGGTCAAACGGAGGAATTCCATTTTGAAGGCAGAGTACTGATATAACAAGTAGAACATGGATGTTACCTAAAAGGGTAAACTGACGCTACATTGGACACTTCAGTGGTGAGCGGTGCATAAGAGAACACAAAATGGCTGCACAACTTTCTGAGGAATATGGGTGACCAAGGGTCTAGGAAAGAGTAAAAGCCTGTGGAACATCAAAGAAAACTTTAAGGTTTTACTTTGTTCATGTATAAACTGAAATAATTAACTTTGCATATCATTCCATATTATAACAGACCATGAAATAGTGTTTCCGGAATTGGTGGGTTCTTGGTCTCCCTGACTTTAAGAATGAAGCCACAGACCCTCCCAGTGAGTATTACAGTTCTTAAAGATGGTGTGTCCGGAGTTTTTTCCTTCAGATGTTCAGATGTGTCCAGAGATTCTTCCTTCTGGTGGGTTCGTGGTCTCGCTGACTTCAGGAGTGAAGCTACAGACCTTTGCGGTGAGTGTTACGCATCTTAGTTGTTCATTCCTTCCACTGGGTTCTTGGTCTCGCTGGCCTCAGAAGTGAAGCTGCAGACCTTCGTGGTGAGTGTTACAGCTCATAAAGGTGGCACGGACCCAAAGAGTGAGCAGCACCAAGATTTATTGCAAAGAGTGAAAGAACAAAGCTTCACAGCGTGGAAGCGGACCCAAGCGGGTTGCCACTGCTAGCTCAGGTGGCCTGCTTTTATTCCCTTATCTGGCCCCACCCACATCCTGCTGTTGTGCATTTTACACACACCTGATTGGTGCATTTTACAGAGAGCTGATTGGTCCGTTTTGACAGAGTGCTGATTGGTGCATTTATAAACCTTTAGCTAAACACAGAGTGCTGATTGGTGCATTTACAATCCTTTAGCAAGACACAAAAGTTCTCCAAGTCCCCACCCATCCCAGAAGCCCAGCTAGCTTCACCTCTCGCTGGCACTTGCTGCAGGACTTTGTGGCACCTAGCCCAGGCACTCAGGCAGCCCAGAGGGAGCTCATCCCCCAATCCAGCCCAGCAGGCGCTGGCTGGCTGCACTGAGTGTGGGGCTCGCAGAGACCACACCCACCAGGAACCAGCACTGGCCCGTGAAGGCCATGCACAGCCCAGGCTCCTGCCCACACCTCTCTCTCCACACCTCCCCATGAGCAGAGGGAGCCAGCTCCAGCCTCAGCCAGCCCCAGAGAGTGGCCCCCATGGCGTAGTGGCAGGCTGAAGGGCTCCTTGAGCATGGCCAGAGCGGATGCCAAGGCTGAGGAGGCACCAAGAGCAAGCGGGGGCTGCCAGCACGTTGTCACCTGTCAATCGCCCCTCTAAACAGGACACCCCAACTGCTGTTGGGAATTTGGCCGATGACCGCTCTAGCTACTTCCTGCTGGATAGGGGTGAAAAGGGGGCCTTGTAGTTGTAGTGTTCTCCAGAGGGGAACTCTTTAGACCAGTGGAAGGGCCAGCGGATCAGTCCAGAGGTCCTCAGTAGAAGTTATTAGTTGAGCTAATTTGGGGTTCCATTTGTAAGACCATCTGTAGCTTGATGGCCTGGACTCTAGAGGAAACAAATTTGACAAGAAGGTTGAAAATACAGGGTCCAAAGGTGAGTAACAGCAAGATGGCTGCTATGGGACGTAGAAAGGGGAGAAGCCATGTTGCCCGACTCCAGAGGTTGGTATAAGAGTTTGAAAGGCATTGTCTGATTTCAGAAGCCTTTTCCTGTAAATGCCGTGTAGCATCTCGTACTATCCCTGACTGGTTAGTGTAAAAACAACACTCTTCCCCTAAGAAGGTGCAGAATCCTCCTTTCTCAACAGTGAGGAGGTCTAGGCCTCGGCGGTTTTGGAGAGTCACTGCTTCTAAAGAGTCTATTTGAGACTGCAGAGTAAGGATAGATTTCTTCAGTAAGGATAGATTTCTTCATTTCTTGCAGACTGTCTGAGAAATCCTTTGAGAGTGTGTGGTAGCAGGATAATGAAGTAGATAAACTGGCTATTCCGGTTCCTGTAGCAGTAGCCATTCCTAACCCTATAAGTAGGGGTATTAGTTGTATGGCTCTGCGCTGATGGACTTAAGCTTTGAGGGGTACTTATAGTGTTTGATTTCCATAAGATTAAAAGTTAGGATAATATATGTTACACTGTGAAATTTTAGCAAACTTACTTTAGGTTAGTAAGTTTGGGATTTCAATTATTATTCTTTGCTATTAATAAGACCTCGTTCAGTCCATATTAACTTAGAATTAGTATAGATGGCTCCTTCCTGATTCTGTAAGTACTTCAAGGTTTGGCTGAGTGCAAACAGCTCACACATTTGAGCAGACCAATTATTAGGCCTACTGGCCTAATTATTAGGCTACTGGCCTTCAGTGGCCTCAGCGCTCTCGGGCCACGCCCCTGAATACACTGACAGCAAGGTGGCATTGGAGTGTCACAGGGTTACAGAGATCTTCAATTATCAATTATTCATTTTAAATTTACCCTGGCTTTTAAAGGAATAAGGTACACTTTTTTCTCCCCACTACCTCCATTTCTCCTTCTCTCTTTGACTTTCTGTCTGTCTCTTCCTCTCTGTCTCACTCTCTTTGACTTTCTGTCTTTTTCTCTCTGCAGGCATTTCTCTGCCTGTGCCAGCCACTTATGCTGCTGTTCTCCCCTCTCCTTCCCCTTTTTGATGGCTTTGGCAGTATAAGCCGGGCGGGGGTGGAGAGGGGCTGGCTCTCACTCCCCGTATCACGGAGGATGCCTCACATGCCTGCAATATGGGTCGTAATGGCCAGCGGGGGAGAGGGGCTGGCTCTTACTCCCCGTATCGCGGAGGGTGCCTCACACCCCTGCGATGTGGGTCGTAATAGCCGGGGCGGGGGAGAGGGGCTGGCTCTTACTCCCTGTATCGCGGGGTGGGGGGTGCCTCACCCCCCTGTGATCTCTGTCCTTTATTAGCATTCTCTTTTTTCCTGCTCTTAGGAACAATTTCACAGGGTGTGTGTACGCAGCCTGTGATATGAAAACTAATATCATCCTCTGCACCTCCGCATATTAGGAACCATATCACACAATGGGTGTACACTTTTTGTGGGATTTGCGGTCATGTCATCCTGGGTTTCCCTGAATAGTCGGGGAAATATCACAGGGCAAGTGTCCACCCACTGCTCTATTGGGAGGAACATCCTACTTTAGCTGCGGGAAATTAGGAGCAATATCACAGATGGGGTGTAAAGCCACTGTCATATTTCGAGTAATATCATCCTCTCCCCCTGAATATAAGAAACAATATCACAGGAGGATATATACCCCCCGCGATATTGTGAGTAATATCATTTTCCCCCGTCAGGATATTTGGAACAATATCACAGTAGGTGTGTACAGCCCCTGGGATATTTCCACTAATATCATCCTCTCCCTCCCAGGATATAAGGAACAATATCACAAGGGGGTGCATACCCCCTGTGATATTGGGGGTAATATCTTCCTCTCCCCTGCTGGCTATTAGGAACAATGTCACAGAAGGGGTGTCCATTCCCTGCTATATTGGGAGTGATATCATCCTCTCTGTCCCTGGATATTAGGAACAATATCCCTAGGGAGTGTACACCTCCTGCAATAGTGAGACTAAGATCATCCTCTCGCCCCCTGGATATTAGGATCAATATCACAGGAGTGGTGTACAACCCCTGCGAAACTGGAAGAAATATCATCCTCTCCACCTTTGGATGTTAGGGACAGTATCACGGGGGAGGTCTATGCCCTCTTCGATATTGGGATTCATATCATCCACTCCCACCCAGGATACTAGGAACAAGATGACTGAACGGATGTACATCCACTGCGATATTTTCAATAATGTCATCCTCTACGCCCTGGCTATTAGGAGTAACATCATAGAGGGCTGTATACTTTCTGCGATATTGGGAGTAATATCCTCTCCCCCACGGATATCGGGAACAGTTATATTATTAATATTAATAAATATAACAATTAATAGTAATCATCGATATTAATAATTACAATAGAGATAGTAAAAGTTAATACGGATTAAAAATATTAATGATTACTATTAATAATAGCAATATCACTATTAATAATGAAATAATGATATAATTAATGTTGATTAAATCAGTCATAAGTATTTGGTAATAAAACTATAATATTACGATTAATAACTAATATTAAAAATGACATCAATAGCAATAATTTAATCATGCATAATCATATATTTAAAATAATCATTAATGATTAATAACGTATATTATGAATTAATATTACCATTGATATTATTAAGACTGATGTTTAATAATTAATAATATTAAGACTGTTTAATAATTAATAATATTATTATTCCTAATACCGCAGGGGATGTACACCTACCTGTGATAGTTTCTATTATCCAGGGATGGTGAGCATGATATTAGTTTTAATATCACAGTAGGTGTACACTCACCCTGTGACACTGATCCTAATATCCAGGGGGTAGAGTATGACATGACTCCCAACATAGCAATGAATGTACAGCCACCCGGTGATATTGCTCCTAATATTCACGGAAGAAGTGTATGATATTACTCCCAATACCGCAGGGAGTGTACACCTCTTCTGTGATATTGTTCCTAGTATCCTGAGGGGGAGAGGATGATAATAATTCCAGTATCGCAGGCTGTGTCCACCCACCCTGTGATATTGTTATTAATATCCTGAAAGGGAGAGGATGATATTACTCCCCATGATAGGTATTACTCCCCATAATAGAGCAGGAGGTGTACACCCACCCTGCGATATTGTTCCTAATATTCAGAGGCGGAGAGGTTGATATTACTCCCAATATCGCAGGAAGTGTACATCCCCGTGTGAGATGGTCCTTAATAATATTCCAAGGCGGAGGGGGTGATATTACTACATATATCGCAGAAAGTGTACACACCCCAGGGATATTGTTCCCATGATCCTGGAGGGAAGAGGATGATATTACTTTAAATATCACAGACGGTGTACACGCCCCCACTGATATTGTTTCTAATTTCCACGTGGGAGAGGAGGATATGACACCCAATATCGCAGGGAGTAGAAACACTCCTGTGATACTGTTCTGAATATTCAGGGAGGAAGAGGATGATATTACTCCCAATACAGACGGGTGTACACCCTCTGTACACGGAGGGTGTACACTCGTCTGTGAAATAGTTCATAATTTCCAGAGGGGGAGATGATATTACTCCCAATATCGTAAACAGGCTGTGAGTCCACCGTGGGTCGTAATAACCAGGATGGGAGAGGGGCTGGCTTTTACTCCCCGTATGGTGGGGGGTGCCTCACCCCTTTGCGATGTGGGTCTTAATAGCCGGGGAGGGGGGGGGAGGGGCTGGCTCTTACTCCCCGTATTCACCCTTATCTGGCCCCACCCGCATCCTGCTGATTGTTCCATTTTACAGAGAGCTGATTGGTGCATTTACAAACCTTTAGCTAAACACAGAGTGCTCATTGGTGCGTTTTCAGTCCTTTAGCTAGTCACAAAAGTTCTCCATGCCCCCACCTGATTAGCTAGACACAGAGTGCTGATTGGTGCGTTTACAAACCTTTAGCTAGATAGAGTGTGCTGATTGGTGCATTTACAATCCTTTACCTAGACACAAAAGTTCTCCAAGTCCCCACTCCATTAGCTAGACACAGAGCGCTGATAGGTGCATTTACAATTTTTTAGCTAGACACAAAAGTTCTCCAAGTCCCTACCTGTTCCAGAAGCCCAGCTGGCTTCACCTCTCACTGTCACTCACTGCAGGACTTTTCTGCACCTAGCCCGGGCACTCTGGCAGCCCAGAGCAAGCTCATTCCCTGATCTAGCCCAGCAGGCACCGGCAGGACGCACTGAGAGTGGGGCTCGTGGAGCCTGCACCCACCGGGAACCTGTGTTGGCCCGCGAGCACCACATGCAGCCCTGGCTCCCGCCTGCACCTTTCCCTCCACACCTCCCCAGGAACAGAGGGAGCCGGCTCTGGCCTTGGCCAGCCCCAGAGAGGGGCCCACATGGTGCAGCGGCGGGCTGAAGGGCTCCTGGAGCGCAGCCAGAGTGGATGTTAAGGCGTAGGAAGCGCCAAGAGCGAGCCAGGGCTGCTAACACGTTGTCACCTTTCAATAGTGTCTACTTCTAACCATTTGGAAAATACAATCATGTTTTGTAGTCAATTTGAAGATGACATACCCAGATTTTTCAATAGATTAACAACAGATTTGATAAATTATAGTAGAGTATCTCTACATATCCATTTTACCCCATGTTTATCTGATTTGCTCTTCCATGTTTATTTACATCACTTTTTACTTTTGCATTCTACCCAAGGGTATTTGCTGGAGTAGGTAGGAATGTTAACTCCCATCTCTAATAATTTCTGAAATTGCATGATCCCTAAGGAAAAATATGGTCATGTACTGTACTTCTATATTAATAATGCTTTTTACTTATGGAAATTTGACAAGCCATTGAAGGGTAGAAATGATTAGTATGTTGGATATAATGGAAAGTACTCTCTACTTAACTGATTCTTCATTTGTTTTATTGCATTAAGGGGAATAGAGCTAGCAATGAATTTACCTCTGCTTGAGTTTTATTCCTTTGATCTCTTGCTTCATGGAATCTAGCTCTTCCTTTCTTTTAATGATTCAGTAATTGCTTACCATTCCATTTTTCTATCCTTTGACCTAAGCTAACTAGTTTTTTTCAGTAGCATAACACTACAATAACTGTTATTTCTACTATTTCCCTTTAGAGTTATACAAGTATAATGAGGAGTCCATTGAATTGTATTTTAACTGTATAAATACACAAAAATGTGAAATGTTGAGAAGTGAGTCAAGTTTATATGTTGCATGTAATGTATCATACATAATGTGTTTCTCATCTTAGATTTTCATAGGACAACATCTTCAACCTGTAAAATGATATTTTGAGGAGAGCAGACATTTCAGTGAGTCTAATTTTAAAGTTAGGTGTTTATCTCTAGGGTTGATCTATTAGAATTACTTATCTGAGCCAAAGTAATTCAAGTAATTCAGGTGTAGTGAAACACTTCTAATTTTAAATTCAGAAGCACTGAAGAGTGAGTTGGATTATTGGCTGTAGCACTTACTTGATCCTCTTTCTTATCACCCTTGACTTTTAAAGCCTGGCTTTAAAAAAATATATGCTTCAGAAATTCATGTGCTCACCAGCATTTGATTCATTAATTTTGAAAGACTATTACAAAGGACTCTTAGCGATGATAAGTTTAGAGATACCAAAAACCCAAGTCTGAACTTTGACAATTAAAAGACATGTAAAAATGCCAGAATGAATCATAGGTTCCAAAGTAAATCTTGGGTAAAGGTGACATCATAACAAGCAAGTCATAGGCAAGTCACAATTGCTTTTAAGTCTAAATCCTCACTCAGTGACTTCTTCGATTTAAAGGTGGGGAGAGACTAAAGAACTTTCATTTTGTCAGTGTTACATAGGTTTTCAGTGTATACATTTGAAAGACTTTTATCTTTGTGATTCATTAGCAAGTGTTTCAAAAGGTTAAAGAGAACACAGATTTTATAGGTATCAAACTAAACTTCTATGTGTCAGGCCTCTGAGCCCAAGCTAAGCCATCATATCCCCAGTGACCCGCACGTATATATCCAGATGGCCTGAAGCAACTGAAGATCCACAGAAGTGAAAATAGCCTTAACTGATGACATTCCACCATTGTGGTTGGTTTCTGCCCCACCCTAATCTCCCCCACCCTTACAAAGTTTCTTTGTAATTCTCCTTATCCTTGAGGATGCACTTTGTGAGATCCACCCCCGCCCCCAAAACATTGCTCTTAACTCCACCGCCTATCCCAAAACTTATAAGAACCAACGATAATCCCACCACCCTTTGCTGACTCTCTTTTCAGACTCAGCCTGCCTGCACCCAGGTGAAATAAACAGCCTTGTTGCTCACACAAAGCCTGTTTGGTGGTCTTTTCACACGGACACGCATGAGGCACTATGTGACTAGGCACTTAATGTTGATTTTGGAGACCTAGGGATAAACTTAGTTAACTTTTTGGATATCCTCTTTCCTTTCTCCCTGCCTCCCTCCCTCTCTCCTTCCTTTCCTCTTTCTCTCCTTCTTTCTCTCATTTCTCTTCTTTAATATGTAACAGCATTTAGCAAGAGTTGGGTTAACATTTCTGGCATTATTATAATCACAATTTCCATCCAGTATTCCTTATTGCAGTGTATTTATGTGTGTGTGGTATAATGTGTATACCTACAGATACACACTAATATGAAACATATAATATATAATTTTATACTATGGTAGAATTGATACTAAAAAACACTGTTTAATATTAAAGAATTACTTATAAACTGAGTTTTTAATGCTTACCAAATTACATTCCAGTACTGATGTAAACTGTTTTCAAATGGGAAACAACAAAAAGTTACACATTTTAGTGCATTATTACCAAAATAAAATATATTTAGTTATCTTTGTCTTCCAATTTTTTATAGCTTGCTGTTTACTCTCTACTGTGTTGGCACAGTAGAGATTAGAAATACATCATTATGCTGTTTTACATGTAAATAATTCTGAATAATAATAATTCTGAATAATTCACCATTCCACTGGGGAAACAAGCCAGAAACTACTACTTGATATAGTCCTTAGATGGAACTAGAATTATTACAGGGAGAGGAGAAGGGAAAAAAGGTGACTTCAAGATAGCTAAGAATTTTAAAAAACAGAGAAGGGACAGAACAGCTCTGATGTGTTAGAGTGAGTGGAGAGAGAGCCCTTTTGCGAGAGAAGGGGCTCTTGGACTTGGTGGGAGGCAGTCTGCATGCAGATGGCTGTGTCCCCATCAGGGAAGATTTGAACAATTAGTCCAAGTGGTGGGTAAACAAGTTTCTAAGCAAAGAAAAAATAAATTTAGTTAAATGAGAGGAATAAGTTCAAGAGACCTGTTGCACAATATGGTGACAATGAATTGTATTCTTGAAGATTGCTGAGAGTAGATTTTAAGTATTCTCACTACACACACAAAATAGCTGTGTAAGGTAATGCATATGTTTATTAGCTCAATTTAACCATTCCACAATGTATACATACTTCAAAGTGTTATGTTGTACATGATAAATATATAAAATTTAATATGTCAATTTAAATAAATATGTTTTTAAAAATAAGAAAACATCAACCCTGAAAAAAAGAAAAAAATAAGTCACCAAATTTCAGAAAACAAAAAAAGAAATATGCTAAAAGTAAAGCAATGTAAAGCACATCTCAGGAAAGTGAGTATGCACAGACTTTGGTCCTACTGCATACTTCCACTTCTGCCATTTATTGCAGTCATTGCTTATTGACCATAAGGTTTTTCCCTCTAGAGTGTCGACTTGATTAGCCCTAGAAATATTCACAAGCCAGTACTCCCAGAACTCATTATTAGTGGCACATAAGATGAAACTTATTTATCATCTTAGAAATAATGTGTAAGATAAAAGAAGAATTATAGATAGAAATCACTAACGTTAACCTTTTTAACTTGCAATAATATAAATAAACCATTTTATTTTATTTATTTTATTTTCCTGAATGGATAGATTATTCATTACAAAATAATGGGGGTTTGCCTACTACACAGAGTTTATATAATTGTGTTCTTATATTATGGTCTACACACTACCTTCAGCAGTTTCTCCAGAGTCCTCTGCTAAAGGTATGCTAAATGAAAACCCAGGGTATTCAGGTGAGAACCTTGAATGAATCTGTTACACAGAAATGTTTGGAAAGTATGAGTAACACTCATCTGGGTACCTTTCTGAGTATCAACACTGAAATAGCAAATCCTGATAGAGTCAACCTGGGTAACTTACTGTTCCTTAACACTGTAATACTTACGGAGTTTAATTCACAGCTCTAGAGGCACCAAATATAATGGATGAGATAAAATGTAACACAAATACATGCACAAGTATATATGTACTTATACAATAAGAAAATAATATATTGACATAACTGTATTGTTTTTGCTGTTTACTACCAAAGCTGCAGACTAGATGACAGTGAACACTTGACCAGGCATAATCATGCAGGGCCTCCTCCCTGGACCCCCTTTCTCTTTTGGCCTGGTGCTGCTGTGTCACTGTGTTAGTCTTATTCCTTCTGCTTATGTGTTCTATAAGCTTAATAGAGTGCTGCCCCTTGTAAGTTCTTAATAAAGACTTGTTAAATTCAATTGTGCTTGATTTTCCCCTTTGGCTAAACAAAACAAAATAACACACCATCCAGGGCTGTGAAGAAAGGAATGCTTTTTGTTATTATTATTTTTATAGCTTTTCATAGGTAGCCAGATTAGATTCAAGCCATTTCTTGTTTAACATCAAATTCAAAGCTACCAATAACCAAGCTATATCATAAAATGTAAAGGTACATCCCTCTATATTTTTCTTCATTTCCCCCCCACATATATATTTTAGCTTTTGTGCCTTTCCTCGCCTTATTACATCTGCCTGAAACATCTTTCTTCTCCTTACGTTCTTTTTTTAATTTAAATTTAAAAAAAAACTCTAGAAGTTATTGTGTTACAGATGGTATTTGGTTACACGAGTAAGTTCTTTAGGGGTGATTTGTGAGGTTTTGGTGCACCCATCGCCCAAGCAGTAAACACTGCACCATATTTGCAGTCTTTTTTTTTTTTTTTTTTTTGAGACAGAGTCTCGCTCTGTCCTCAGGCTGGAGTGCAGTGGCGTGATCTCAGTTCACTGCAATCTCAGCCTCCCAGGTTCAAGCGATTCTCCCACCTCAGCCTTCCAAGTAGCTGGGATTATGGGTACCCACCACCATGCCCAGCTAATTTTTGTATTTTTAGTAGAGATGGGGTTTCACCATGTTGGCCAGGATGGTCTTGATCTCCTGACCTCATGATCCATCTGCCTCGGCCTCCCAAAGTGCTGGGATTACAGGTATGAGCTACCACGCCCGGCCATATTTGCAGTCTTTTATCCCTTGCCCCTGTTCCGCTCTTCCCTCCAAGTCCCCAAAGGCCATTGTATCATTCTTATGCCTTTGTGTCCTCATAGTTTAGCTCCCACATATCAGTGAGAACATTGATGTTTGGTTTTCCATTGCTGAATTACTTCACTTAGAATAATAGTCTCCAATCTCATCCAGGTCACTGCAGTTGCTGTATCCCAGAGGTTTTGATAGGTTGTGTCATTTAATTTTTTAATTTCCATCTTGATTATGTTTTTAACCCAATGCTCATTCAGAAACAGGTTATTTAATTTCCTTGTGTTTGCATGGTTTTGAAGGTTCCTGCTGGAGTTGATTTCCAGTTTTATTCCACTGTGGTCTGAGAGAGTGCTTCATATAATTTTTAAGTTTACTGAGGCTCATTTTATGGCCTATCATATGGTCTATCTTGGAGAAAGTTTCTTGTGCTGTTGAATAGTATGTGTATTCTGTGGTTGTTGGATGATATGTTGTGTATATATCTGTTAAGTCCATTTGTTCCAAGGTATAGTTTAAATCCATTGTTTCTTTGTTGACTTGCTGTGTTGATAACCTGTCTAGTGCTGTCAGTGGAGTATTGAAGTCCCCCACTATTATTGTGTTGCTGTCTATCTCATTTCTTAGGTCTATTAGTAATTGTTTTATAAATTTTGAAGCTCCAGTTTTAGGTGCATATATGTTTAGAATTGTGATATTTTCCTGTTAGACAAGGCCTTTTAGCATTATATAGCTTCCCTCCTTGTCTTTTTTGTTTTATCTGATAGAAGAATAACAACCCCGCTCTCTCGCTTTTGGTGTCCATTTGCATAAAATGCCTTTTTCCAGCCCTTTACTTTAAGCTTATGTGAGTGCTTATGTGTTCGGTGAGTCTCCTGAAGGTAGCAGATGGCTGGTTGGTGAGTCCTTATCCATTCTGCAATTCTGTATCATTTAAGTGGAGCATTTAGGCCATTTACATTCGGTGTTAGCATTGAAATGTGAGGTGCCATTGCATTCATTGTGTTCTTTGTTGCCTGTGTACTTTGTGTGTTTTTTTTTTTTTCTCTTTAACTTGCGTTTGTGTTTTAAAGAGGTTCTATTTTGATGTGTTTCCAGGATTTATTTCAAGATTTAGAGCTTCTTTTAGCAATTCTTGTAGTGGTGGCTTGGTAATGGCAAATTATCTTAACATTTGTTTGTCTGAAAAATATTGTATTTTTCCTTCACAGATGATTCTTAGTTTTGCTAGATACAAAATACTTGGCTGATAATTGTCTTGTTTGAGGAGGCTGAAGATAGGGCTTCAATCCCTTCTAGACCGTAGGGTTTCTGCTGAGAAATCTACTGTTAATCTGACAGGTTTTCCTTTATAAGTAACCTGGTGCTTCTCTCTCACAACTCTTAAGATTCTTTCCTTCGTCTTTGCATAACCTGATGACAATGTGCCTAGGTGAAGATCTTTTTGCAATGAATTTCCCGGATGTTCTTTTTGCTTCTCCTATTTGGATGTCTACGTCTCTAGCAAGTCCGAGGAAGTTTTCCTTGATTATTTCCCCAAATACGTTTTCCAAGCTTTTCAAATTCTCTTCTTTCTTAGGAGCACTGATTATTCTTAGGTTTGGTAGTTTAACATAATCCCAGACTTCTTGGAGGATTTGTTCATATTTTCTTATTCTTTTTTCTTTGCCTTTATTGGATTGGGTTAACTAAAAGACTTTGTCTTTGAGCTCTGAATTTCTTTCTTCTACTTGTTCCTTTGCTGAGACTTTCCAGAGCATTTTGCATTTCTAAAAGTGTGTCCGAAGTTTCCTGAATTTTTTAGTGTTTTTATTTAAGTTGTCTATTTCCTTGAGTATTTCTCCCTTTACTTCTTGTATCATTTTTTTTGGATTTCCTTGCACTGGGCTTCATCTTTATCTGGTCCCTCCTTGATTAGCTTAATAACTAACCTCCTGAATTCATTTTCAGGTAAATCAGGGATTTCTTCTTGGTTTGGATCCATTGCTGGTGAAGTAATATGATTTTTGGGCAGCACTGAAGAGCTTGTTTTGTCATATTACCAAGGTTGATTTTCTGGTTCCTTCTCATTTGAGTAGGCTTTGTCAGAATGACAGTCTAGGGCTGAAGGCTGTTGTTCAGATTCTTTTGTTTCACATGGTGTTCCTCTGATGTAGTACTCGCCCCCTTTTCCTATGGATGTGGCTGCCTGTGATCCAAACTGCAGTGATTGCTGTCTCTCTTCTGGGTCTAACCACCTGGCAAGTCTACCTGGTTCTGGCTGGTACTGGGGCTTGTCTGCACAGAGTTCTGTGATGTGAACTGTCTATGTGTCTCTCAGCTGTGGATACCAGTGCCTGTTCCAGTGGAGGTGGTGGGGGCATAAAATGGACTCAGTGAGGGTTTTTAGCTTTGGTGGTTCAATGCTCTGTTTTTGTGCTGGTTGGCCTCCTGCCAGGAGGTGGCGCTTTCCAGAGAGCATCAGCTGTGGTAGTATGGGGAGGAACCAGTATTGGGCAGGGCCCTAGAACTCCCCAAATTATATGCCCTTTGTCTTCAGCTACTAGAGTGGGTAGGGAAGGACCATCAGGTGGTGGCAGAGCTAGGCCTGTTTGAGCTCAGACTTTCCTTGTGCAGGTCCTACTGGGGCTGCTGTGGGGGATGGGGGTGAGATTCCCAGGACTCTGGAGTTGTGTACCTAGGAGGATTATGGCTGCCTCTGCTAAGTCATGCAGGTTGTCAGGGAAGTGGGGGAAAGCCAGCAGTCACAGGCCTCACCCAGCTCCCATGTAAACTGAAGTGCTAGTCTCACTCCCATTGTGCCACCTGCAACAGCCCTAGTCTGTCTCCAGGCGGATAGGAATAAGGATCTGAAAACTGCCCCAGGTTACCCACCTCCCAGCTGTGAAAGAAAAGGGTTTGGTTCTTCCTCTGCCTGTGGAGTCTGCACAAGGGATTTGCACCCTCCCCCAAGTTCTGGCCAGGAAGCTTCTCAGGCGGTACAAATTGTTACAAAGTTCAGCTAGAGCTTTCCTTCTCCCTGTGTACTTTTACCCTGTGCTTCTCTCCCATTGCATCCCTGTGGTGCCAGGCAGGAATGGCCTGCTAGGGGATCCATCAAGATCCTACGGCCTTTCTGCTGCTTCCTCTATCCCTGTATTTCATTTGGCTCTCCAAATTGACTCAGCTCCAGGTAACGTCGGAAACTTCTCCTGTAAACAAACCTTCAGCTTTTCCAGTGGGAGTGTGTGTTCAGGAGAGAAGGATCTTCCTTTCCTGCTTCCACGGTTGGGGTACTCACAAGTTTGGGGAGGTCTCCCGGGTCTTGTAGGAGCAGTCTGCTTCATTCAGAGGGTCTGTGGGTCCTCTCAGGATTGCTGGTTTGTTGTTGCAGTCGACCTGGAGCTAAAATTCACAATGTGAGCCCCCGCATACGGCTCTGTCTGGAGCTGCAATCTAGTCCTGCCTCCCGTCTGCCATGAAGATCCTTCCCCTTACATTCTAGCTCTTCCTCACCTCTGCCTGTCCAGATTTCAGACTTCTCTGACCTTTCTTGTAAAAATAAATGTTTCATTTTAAAATGATCCATATATCTCTATGTTTACTATACCTCTTTTATAACATAAAAATGTATATTATTGGCCAGGTGAGGCGGCTCATGCCTGTAATCACACCACTTTGAGAGGCCAAGATTGCTTGATCTCAGTAGTTCCCAACCAGCCTGGGCAAAATGGCAAAGCCCCATCTCCATAAAATATACAAAAAAATGATCAGGGCATGGTGGTGTGTTCCTATAATCCTAGCTACTTGGGAGGCTGAGACATGAGAAGCACTTGAACCCGGGAGGCAGAGGTTGCAGTGAGCCAAGATTGCACTACTGCACTCCAGCCTGGGCGACAGCTAGACTCTGTCTCTGAAGAAACAAAAGCAGAAAGAAACAAAAAACCACCAAACCAACCAACCAACCAAACAAAAAAATCCCACAGTTATATTTATGGGGTTATGGTTTCTTGTTTATATATAAATGCCTACAAGAGGAGATTCTGTTTGCTTCCTCAGCATGTAGGAGTATATTGTATATGTTCAATTATACTTGCTAAAATTAGTGAATGAATAAATGACCAATGAAGCTAGCTTTGAGGATTGTGAAAGGATTTTTGTTTTGTTTTGCTTATTTTTACTTTTCAAAAAAAAAAAAAATGCCCTGAACTGTAAATGGAGCCACTCTATCAGTCCTGATGAGTAACTGAGTTACATTTGGAAAACTCTGATGGATATTTTTGAGATCTTTGTGTATAGAACCATGCCTAGCATGGAAAGAAAACACAATGGATATAAAAGAAATTCAATTATATCTTTGTGACTCATTTCTATTCTACCTAAGTAACCACTGTGCATTTGCTTTAATTATTCTATCTAGAAGATTTAGAGATAGTTAAGAAAATGAGTTATAATGCCTACAAGTCTTTAACAGAAAAAAAATTAACAATGCAGTATAAAATTTTATGATAAGAGTGAAAAGTTACATAGGGAGGACATATTATGTTTTAAAATGTATTTGAATCCACTGTCAAAGCCATTGTATGAGATATACTTGGCCTATTGATAGGCATAAAAATGAGTGGAAAGACTCGTGTTCAGTAAAGCTCAGCCAAGTATTCCTAATAACTCTGAAAAAAAGTTTACAACTTTCAAATAGCTTTTGAAACTATAAATTTAGGGGAAAATACATTTATTAGACTATTTCAATCTAACGTCTTGATTTGTTATATGTTACTCCAATCAAAATTCCACTCTCTTACCTAAATGACAAAGACAAAAGAGTAATTTATTCCCTGAGGTACTGAATGTTGAGAGTTTGTATTATGGGATTAAAGACTACCAAAGATAAAATATAATTATTTCACTGGATTTGTTTTTCTCAGAATTTGTTATATTGTACATTACCCTATCCCCCTAATTCAGATTATAACACTAAAACATACCTGGATTATTACATTTACCTGTGGATTACCTTCTTGTCCCTAGAAACACTGGCATTCCAGAAAGTAAATTTATTTTTCACTTTTGGTTTTAGATTACTCACTTTTGGTAAACTGTTTGTGCTATATATTTCTGGTGAATTGTTAACTGATGAGTCTCATAAAACACAGTTAAATGCTACAAAGACAAGTCTCTTGGCTTTATCAAATATCTTCCAAAAATTGTGAAGCCAAATGAATAGATTTATCCCGTCTCCTCTCACCCCAACATAAAAGGGGGAAAAAAAAAAAAACAAAAGTATTTATCTTATTGCTGCATAATAGCCTTATACTGTCCATACATAGCCTCTTTTACATCTAGTATATTTTATTGAAATATACAAAACATTTAAAAATTGTAAAATATGCTAAAAAAATACAGCAAAATGCAAGTTATCCGTCAATGTCACCCTTTGGAAAAAAGGAAGCTATTCTACATATTTCCTCTGAATTTGCTTTGAAATATGAATAAATTCCCATGACATTTTGGTAAATGTATTTTCCTTAAAAAGATGCTGTGAATTTCTGGAAGTCTACGATTTGGCAATTACTAAAGAAAGTATTCATTTCTCATGTATAAAAAATAAATGGTTGCATTAAATACATGTAACCTGTCAAAATGTGACTTATGGTTGCCTCCAGCAATAGCAACTCATGTGCTCTGCTCATTCAATTTAATAATACATTTTCAATAATAAATAAATTAGGCAATAAATTTGTGTTATGTACTGAAACCTAGAAATACTTTTTTTCTCTCTATCTTCTATCTCTCGACCACTTTTCTCTGTCTTTTCCTCTTTCTCTCCCCTTTTCTTGCTCTCTTTTCCAATGCTTAGTACTCCACTGAAATCAACATCTTTTGAAAAAATATGTAAAACAAGTATTATACCAAGAGAAAAATAAACAGTCCATAAACAGGGCAATAATCTATATAATCAACACTCCTTGAAGGAGGTGGAACAAGATGGTGGAATAGAGCCTTTCGGTAATCATCACCACACAGGAACAACAAATTGCACAACTATCTATGCAAAAAATATTCACAAGAGTAAAGAAATCAGGAGAGAGATCACAGTATTTGATTTTGACATAATAACAATAAAAGGAACATCGAAGAGAATGTACTATCGCACATTGCTTATATGATCCATCCACAAACTCCAAGCAGTGCAGTATGGAGAGAAAATCCACCCGTTTGGGAGACGGAGAGAAAAGTTTGCATGGGACTTTGCCTTGGAACCCAGTATAGGCCCAGCCAAGGTAAAACATGGCATCATGTGTCTTCTGATTCCAGGCTGGTGCCCATGGACAGAACTTCTAGAATCACCCTGGGCCAGAAGGGAATCTGCTACCTTGGTAGGATGAACCCAGTCCTGACTGGCTTTGCCACAAGCTGACTAAAGTGGCCTTGGGTCCTGAATAAATGTCAACGGCAGTCAGGTAGTAGCAGATACGGGCCTTGGGTGAGCCCTGGTGTGATGCTGGTGTGGGAAGACTTCAAGTGCAACACAGCATGGTGCCAGCTGCAGTAAACATAAGGATGCTTGCATTACTCTTCCCCCCAACTCCAGGCAATGCAGCACAAAGACTTTTTATGTTTGTAGGAAGGAGAGGGAAGTGAATGTGGAACTTTGCTTGGAAACTCAGAAAACTCTCCCTGATCTTCTCCAAATCCACTAGGAGTGAAGACCTAGGAATCTGAAAGGTATTTGCAGTGAACCAGGATTTAGGGTGCTCTCTAGTGTTAAAATGTATGCAGTGACCACAGGCTTGGGGAATTTAGTAGTCACTCTCCTTTAAATTTCTACAAGGCCCTCAGAAGAGGGGCAGATACAAACAAGGCCAGACTGCAAAAATTAGAAGAAATGCCTAATTTTTCAATATCTAGACATCGACATACATCCACAAGCATCTAGAACGTTCAGGAAAATATAATCTCACCAAGTGAACTCAATATGATACCAGTGACTTACCTGAAAATATGAAAATGTATGACCTTACAGAAAAGGAATTCAAAACAGCTGTTTTGAGAAAACTCAACAAATTTTAAGAGAACAGAGAAGCAACTCAAATATTTACTAGAGAAATTTAACAGAGATTAAAATAATGGACAATCAAACAAATTTTGAAACTATAAAGTACAGTGGAAAAAAGTGAAAATGCATTAAAAAGTCACAACAGCAGAATTAAGCAAAAGAAAGGATAAGTGGGCCCAAAGACAGGCTATTTGAAAATACATGGTCAGAAGAGAAAATTTAATAAAAAAGAAGAATGAAAAGTAGCAAAGAATTCTCTATGGGATAGAATCAAAAGAGCAAATGTGAAAGTCACTGGTCTCCAAGAGGGAACAGAGAAAGATAAAGCAGTAGGAATGTTTTCAGGTCAATAATAATGAAAAACATTCCAAACCTTGAGAAAGATATAAATATCTGGTACAGCAAGCTTAAAGATCAGAAAGTCATCAAGTAGATTGAACCCAGTAAGATTACTCCAAGCATACAATAATCAAATTCTCAAAGGTTAAAGACAAAGAGATAATCCTAAATACAGCAAGAGAAAAGAAGCAAATAACATTTAAAGGCACTCTGATACATCTGGCAGTAGGCTTTTTAGTGAAAACTTTAGAGGCTAGGAGGGAGTAGGATGACATATTTAAAGTAATGAAGGAAATAAAACTGCCATCTGATAATACTGTACCCAGCAGAGATATACTTCAAACATAATACAGAGATAAACACATTCACAGATAAAAGTTGAAGAAATTCATCACACCAGACTTGTCTTACAAGAAATGCTAAAGAGAATTCTTCAATCTGAAAAAAAGGATGATAATGCACAATAAGAAAACATCTGAAGGTCTAAAACACCCTGATAAAGGAAATATACAGAAAAATTTATAGTATTCTAACATTGCAATTGTGGTTTATAAACCACTCATATCTTTAGTATAAAGACTAAAAGATAAAACTATTGAAAACAATAACTACAACAATTTGTTAAGACATAGGTAATATAAAAACATGTAAATTTAGACATTAAAGAGTCTAAATAGAGTTAAGGTTTGGAGTTTCTTAGCTTTTGTTTGTTTGTTTATTCTTTTTACAATCAAAGTTAAATTGTCATCAATTTAAAATAACTTGTTATAACTACAAGATGTTTTGGTAAGCCTCACGGTAATCACAAAGCAAAAATCTACAACAGATGCCCTAAAATGAAAATGCATTAAATTAATACATACCACAGAAGAAAAATAGTTGACCACAAAGGAAGACAGTAAGAAAGATTAAAAAAAAAAAAAAGACAAGAGTTACAAAACAACTAGGAAACAAGCAACAAAATGGCAGTAGTAAGTTGTCACCTATTAGTCATAACCTTGAGTGGAAAAGGACTAAAATATCTAATTAAGAGACATAGAATGACTCAATGTATTTTTTAAAGACCCAACTATGTGCTGCCTACAAGAAATCACTACATCTATAAAGACAGACTGAAAGTGAACAGAAGGAAAGATATATTGCATGCAATTAAAAAAGGAAAGATAACAAAAGTAGCTATATTTATATCAGACCAAATAGACTTTAAGTAAAAAGTAATTAAAAAGACAAAGAAGGCCATTACATAATGACAAAGGGGTCAATACGAGCAGGAGAATATAACAATTATATATATATATGTATACCCAGTACTGAAACATGTAAATACATACAGCAAATATTAACAGACCTAAACAAAGAGATCTACTGCAGTACAATAATAATAGGGAACTTGAGTAACTTACTTTCAGCAATGGACAGAGCATCCAGACAGAAAATTAACAAATAAACATCAGTTAAACTCTGCTGTAGTCCAAATGAACCTAACAGTCATTTACAGAACATTTCACCCAACAGCTGCTGATACATTCTCCATGATATACTATATATTAGGTTACAAAACAAGTATTTTTTTTTCTTTTCAACTTTTATTTTAGGTTCAGGGTGTGTATGTGCAGGTTTGTTACATGGGTAAATTGCACTTTGTAGGGGTTTGGTGTACTGATTATTTTGTCACTGAGGTACTGAGCATAGTACCCAATAGGTAGTTTCTTGATCCTCACCCTCCTCCCAACCTCTACCCTTAAGTAGGTCCCAGTGTTTGTTGTTTACCTATTTGTATTCAGATGTACTTAATGTGTAGCTCCCACTTACAAGTGAGAACATGCAGTATTTGGTTTTCTTTTTCTACACTAATTCTGCTCAGAATAATGGCCTCCAGCTCCATCCATGTTTCTGCAAAGGGTATAATTTCCTTATTTTTTATGGCTGCATAGTATTCCATCATGTATATGTACCAGCTTTTCTGTATCCAGTCCCTCGTTGATGGGCATATAGGTTGATTCCATGTCATTATTATTGTGAATAGTACTGCAATGAACATACATGTGCATGTGTTTTTATGGTAGAATAATTTATATTCCTTTGGATAGATACCCAATGATGGCATTGCTGGGTCAAATGTTAGTTTCCTTTTAAATTATTTGAGAAATTGCCAAACTGCTTTCCACAGTGGCTAAACTAATTTATATACCCACCATCAATGTATACATGTTCCATTTTCCTCACAACCTTGCTAGCATTTGTTATTTTATGATTTCTTAATAATAGTCATTCTGACGGGTTTGAGATTGTATCTCATTGTGGTTTTGATTTCCATTTCTCTAATGATAAGTGATGTTGAGTTTTTTTCTTATGTTTGTTGGCTGCATGTATATCTTCTTTTGAGAAGTTCCTTTTCATGTCCTTTGCCCTTATTTAATGGGGATACAAAACAAGTCTTAGTAATTTTTTTTTTTTTTTTTTGAGAAGGAGTCTTGCTCTGTCGCCAGGCTGGAGTGCAGTGGCACCATCTTGGCTCACTGCAACCTCCGCCTCCCGGGTTCAAGTGATTCTCCTGCCTCAGCCTCCTGAGCAGCTGGGACTACAGTCACCTGCCACCATGCTCGGCTAATTTTTTCTATTTTTAGTAGAGAAGAGGTTTCACCATTTTGGCCAGGATGGTCTCGATCCCTTGACCTTGTGATCCACCCACCTCAGCCTCTCAAAGTGCTGGGATTACAGGCATAAGCCACCACATCTGGCAGCATAAATTTTTAAAAACTGAAATTATATCAAGCATCTTTTCTGGCAAAAATGGAATAAAACTAGAAATCCATAACAAGAGGAAATTTAAAAACTAAAAATACATGGAAAGTAAAGAATGTGCTCATAAACGACCAATGGATCAATGAAAAAATCAAAAAGAAATTGAAAATTTTCTTATGACATATGAAAGTGGAAATAGAACATACCAAAATCTATGGGATTCAGCAAAAGCAGATCTGAGAGGGAAATTTATAACAATAAATGCCTACATCAGAAAAGTAGAAAGATCTCAAATAAACTACCTAGTGACATACCTCAAGAAACTAGCAAAACAAGAACAATCTAAACCTTAAATAAGTGAAATAAATATGTAATCAAAATCAGAGCAGAAATAAACCTAGTAGAGACTTTTAAAAAACACACAAAAAATTAATATATCAAAGAGCTGGTTTTTTGAAGATAAACAAAATCAGCAAACCTTTAGCAAGATTAACTAAGAAACAAAGAAAACTCAAATAAAATCAGAGATGAAAAGGAAACATTACAACTGATATAACAGAAATACAAAAGATTATAACAAACCACTACAAATACAACTATATGTCAACAAATTAGAAAACCTAGAAGAAAGGGATAAACTTCTGGACACATACAACTTACCAAGATTGAATAATAAAGAAATAGAAAACTTTAATAGACCACCAACAGGCAACAAGATTAAAACAATAACAAACAATCTCCCATCAAAGTAAAACACTGCACTTGATGTCTTTATTGCTGAATTCTATCAAAACATTTAAAGAAGAGCTAATATCAATTCTACCGAAACTATTTCAAAAAGTTAAAGAGAGTGGAATGTTTCAATATTCATTCAATATTCGATATCGAATATTCATTCAATATTCAAATATTGAAACATACAATGTAGCTTTTAGGATGAGAGTTACTGAGATTTTTGTAAGTAGGAGCTGAAAGCAAACCAAAAGCAGGGCTCTGGAATGGTTCGATTCTAAGGAGAGTCCTGGTATAGTTAGTGGCTTCCAGTAAGTTTCAATAGTTTCTTAAGGTAAAGCCATTATGGGTGAGGTCTGAGAATAAATTCGTACTTATTTGCAAAGGAAGTATTTGGGACTATGTAAGGCACATGAATACACGTGTGGAGTATAGCATAGTAAAAGCAGCATAGGTATTAGGATGAGACAAATATAAATCTTAATCTTAGTTCTACTAGTCACTATCTATGTGGTCTTGGAAAGCTGAGGTTCAAATTTTCAATAAATGATGAAGAGTTGTAATAAAATTTAAATAAGTCATGCAGGTGCTTACTAAATATGTATGCTGAGTACTCTCATTTTGCTTCCTGTAGATCCAATCTTGTGCTCTCTACCTTGCATTTTATGAACACTATCAACCAGTCTCCTCTCTTGGGTTCATATGAAGGAAGGCATCAGCAGGAAGAGAGTGGAGAATAATTCAGTCTGGATAATTATATTTCTTCCTACGGGGTTGGCAAGGACTACCTTTCTGCACAAAAGGAGAATCTTGATGTCACATCAGGTGCCCTCTCTTACCCTACAGTTTCAAATTTTTCTGGGTTCCATTGAACCCTCCCATCCCTTAACCTCTTTTGGTCAAAGGTGATAGTGACTTTCCTGCTGTGGTTACTCACCATTGCTTGTTGGTTTTCCTTAAACCACCTCACACCTTTGTAAATAGTCCCTTTATTAAACTCCCTTCAAGCAACTCTTTTCCGTGGGTCATATTCTCCCTGACTGGGACATTAATAGAATTGTTATTATCATGATGATGATCATAATTATTTAAGGGTGGTCTCACCGAACGCCCTGCCAAGTGTTGTTATGAAGGAGATTCATAGTAACTGGCTTGACATTGTGAGAGCTATCAGGTGTCACATGAATATACAAAACAATCCATCTTGTGAGGCTGGTGGATAATTATCTAAAGCATCAGATGTCAAAAAGGGACTCAAAAGTGGTCATATCTGTTGAGAAATATACTAATTTATTATTATTTATATTTAAGAGGCTATTGTTGAAAATTTCAAAAATGACATATCTATTGACTTCTGTAAATAACTGCAAATGTAAAACTAAGGCAAAAAGAATTTTATCTTTTGCATTTTTTTAGAATCCATAAAAATGTTATTATGTCTTCCTGGGAGTGGCTAGTATGTGGCTTGCTGAGAGACAAGCCCCAGTGTGAGAGGCACCTGTGAGCCAGCATGTCCATCCTGACCTCATCATTGCTTTTCCTCCAGTGACCGATTCACCACGGGGACTGGCTCCACTCAAACCCAATAGGAGCAGTAAGAAAAGTCCATTCAATTGCATGACAAAAGTCGAAGATATTGAGTGTTGAATAAAACATTTTGGCAAAAGATAAGAAATAGAATTAAACCAAAATATATTTGTAATTTAGAATGCTGCAGACCATATAAGTTAAATAATTTAAGTAGTCTGACTTAAAAAAATTACACACTGATGTTTTTCAGTGATTTTTCCCTGAAGCAGTTTAATATATTTCAGAGAAAATCAACGGATTCACTTTTACAGAGCCAGAGCAAAATAAATTAGGATGAGGTATTCTCCTCCTAGTAAATGTCAAGAAGATGAACATTCATTTTCCTGGTGTTTCCTATCAGTGAGATTTCCAATAACCCATAGTTTCAGGCAGCTCTCTTCTTCTACCTCGATTGAACCCAGGCATTGAGATTGATTGCTACTGGTTTAGTATAGCTACGAGTAATGGCTTGCAGATTGTTTTATAATCAACCCTCTTGAAATGTCTATTAAAGTTTGCCACAGGAATCAGAATGTCAAGGTACCAAGGACAAATGACTTTTTCCAAGTCAGGTATAAAAACACTTCCTAATAAGAGAGTATAGTTGTTTATTTTTGAAGCTACTAAGAGTAATAAAAAATTAAAATAAAATAACTTGCAAATGTTAAAAGAGATCAGTAAAATTTTGGAAGTTCTCTAGAAGAAAATTATGTTTCACAGTCTTTTGATGACATAAAAGGTAACAGAAAATCCTGAAGGTGTGTTGCTTTTCACTTGTAATGTTCGCCTGAGGTTTGTCATCAATGTACATAGACTACAAGATAGCAATCTAATAACCTTGAATTTCCTTCAAATGTGACTATTTTTAGATCATTTGAACTTTAGTTTCTCAAGCACCTCATGAATTTAAACATCAAAGATGAAGACAATGAATTGAACCCCATTTTCTGGGACTTACTTATAAAGGAGTCAACATTTGTTTTGCCTGATGATATTTTAAAATAATTATTGGTATGTTGTGCCTATAATTTGTTTCTTATAACCTTCATTGACATAATTAACTTTAAGATGTCTAAAAATTTATTTCTTTTGCCAAGACCTCAGTTAATATATTTTAAATATTCCAAGTAAATACATATGTATATACATATATATAAAATTATCTAAATTAAGCCTCTGATTTTTTTTTAAGTAGTGACAAAAATAAAAGGAAGAACAAAAAGTCTCAAATAGACTCTTTAGGTATAAATTGACTGAGCAGGAAGAATTAGTTAAGAATTTGAAATATTAGTTGGAAAAGATTCTACTGAAAGAACCCAATTTGATTGTTTTTGTTGAGGCTAATAATGTCCTGATCTGGTTTAATTAATATAAGACCAATTATAACTTGCTCCCTCTGACCAAGAGAAAATCATGGCAAATTTTGAACTGCTCTGAAAGAGTCAAAAACAAATATTGTAAGTTCAATTGAGTAGGTTTTAAAAATGTATGTAATGCAACCAAATAGTTGTAAATGTATGTATTTTGAAATACAATACATACAAGTATATTTCATTGGATTTTGATACATCTGACAGTATATCAAAATGCAGTGTGAATATAGCTAAAATGTTAAATTATGAAATAATGACATCAAAAGAGGACTAAGATCAAAATGTTGAACTATATTGTTCCTGGTTTAACATCTTACATCCAAATATTCTTCTAAATGTATCTAGTGTTTTGACTAGTGCATTAAAAAGCTAGTTTGCATATTCAAGAGATACAAGAATCAAAATTTCTTTACGTCAGTAGGTTTTCTACTTATTTGTATAAACTCAAACTAATAATCGAGGCAAAGAAAAACTTTTTAAAAATAAAATTCAACTCAAATTCAAATTAAGTCTTTGATTATTAAATTCAAACTAAGAATCAATGAAAAAAAAAGGGTCAAAAAAGTATGCTTTCAGAATACTTGGGTAAGAGGTAGGGAGAGGATGTAGAAGAATAAATTTCCCATTAACTCCCAAAGGGGTGGGGAGGTGGCTGTGAAACCAGTTACACTGTCAAACTAAGATACAGCATTATTTCTGTGAATATGCGAAATCATAACTTTTTCATTAAGTTACATAAAAAAAGAAAATTATGGGCACTATTACAGCTTGTCATTTTGCTTTAAGCACATATTTTCTACCTACTTGTGTTTCGGCTTGCCCACTGGATTTTATTTATTCATTTTGATATAAACAAACTTTTGTATCTCATAATACATACATTTTTCCATCATTTTTTAGTAATTGGTTATTTTGGCCATGGTTGGTTGAAGGTTTTGATTATATTTTCTTGCTGTTTGATAACTTGATCTCTGTGATTATTTGAAATCAATATGAAAAGTGTAAAAGTATGTGTGGGGTTTTTGCTATTATTGATTTTTTTTAGTGCCTAATCACACCTCAGTGCCATTTGCCATTTTTGGGGTAGGGAAATTGGGATGGGAGAGAAGAAAGGTGGAAAAAATATAATATGAGCAATAAATATCAAATGTCTTTATAGATCAAAATTTGCTTCATTTAAATGATTTAAAGTTACATTATTAATAATGCTATTATTTTAGTTCAAAATTAATATATTTGATGTATTTATGGGTGGGAATATACAGTGAAAAGCTACAAATAGGCTTTGAGTAAATATTTTGAATAGCCCTTGTAATGGTTGGAGAGGAGTGTGTTAAAAGACATTAGACAAAAATCCTTCCTTATTATTTTCTCAACCTTTTTATATTTTATTCGAGGGGTCTTGAGCTTTTGAGGACTAATAATTCTCCCTGTCATGCATTAGCATTAGAATTTTGACAAACCATAAGTCTGTTCTGAAAAGCATAAAAATAGATAAGCTTATCAGGATATTCACATTCACACCCTTTTAAAATAAGGTCTTATGAAGTATTTTGTAGTAGTTATAGATGGACTATCTAAGAATAGTCCTTCTTGAAATGGTTTTATCCTTTAAATAACATAAAACTAATTAATGTGTTATATATTTAAATACTCATACTACTTTATAGAAACTTTGGATTATTTAAAGAAAAACATATAGATAAATAATTTTAAAAATTTAGAATATATTATTTATTGTCAACTGTAGCTGAAAGGTTAAATGTGCTGATTGATTAGTTGCCTGTAACAAGCAAGAAAGCCCTCTCTTACCACTCCTATTCAACACAGTATTGGAAGTCCTGGCCAGAACAATCAGGCAAGACAAAGAAATAAAAGACATCCAAATAAGTAGAGAGGAAGTCATATTATCCCAGTTCACAGGTGACATAATTATATATCTAGAAAACCCCATAGTCTCAGCCCAAATGCTCCTAAAGCTGATAAAAAACTTCAGCAGTTTTAAGATAGAAAATCAATATGCAAAAATTAGTAACACTTCAATATACCAAAAACATACAAGCTGAGAGCCAAATCAGGAACACAATCCCATTCATGATTCCCACAAAAAGAATAAAATCCCTAGGAATACAGCTAACCAGGGAGGAGAAAGATTTTTATGAGAATTGGAAAACACTAGTCAAATAAATCAGAGATGACACAAATAAATAGAAAAACATTCCATGCTTATGGATAGGAAAAATTAACATTATTAAAATGGCCATACTGCCAAAAGCAATATACAGATTCAGTGTTATTCCTATCAAACTACTAATGACATTCTTCACAAAATTATAAAAAAAACTATTTTAAAATTTTTATGGAACCTAAAAGGAGCCCAAATAGACAAGGCAATCTTAAGCAAAAGAACAAAGCTAGAAGCATCACATTGTCTGACTTCAAATTATACTACAGGGCTACAGTAACCCAAACAACATGGTATTGGTATAAAAACAGACACATAGACCAATGGAACAGAATAGAGAACCCAGAAATAAGTCTGCACATCTACAACCATCTGATCTTTGACAAACCTGACAAAAACAAGCAATGAGGAAAGGACTCACTATTCAATAAATGGTGCTGGGATACATGGCTAGCCATATGCAGAAGATCAAGCCTGGGCCTCTACCTTACCCATCATATAAAAATCAACTTAAGGCCAGGCGCTGTGGCTCATGCCTGTAATCCCAGAACTTTGGGAAGCTGAGGTGGGTGGATTGCCTGAGCTCAAGAGTTCTGGACCAGCCTGGACAACATGGTGAAACCCTGTCTCTACTAAAATACAAAAAATTAGCCGGGCATGGAGGTGTGCACCTGTAGTCCCAGCTACTTCGGAGGCTGAGGCAGGAGAATTGCTTGAACCCGGGAGGCAGAGGTTGCAGTGAGCCAAGATCGCGCCACTGTACTCCAGCCTGGGCAACAGAGCAAGACTCTGTCTCAAAAACAAAACAAAACAAAAAAAAAAAACAAAAAAAAAACCCATAAAAAATAAAATAAAAATAAATAAATAATAAAAATAAAAATCAACTTGAGATAGATTAAAGACTTAAACGTGAAACCTAAAACTATAAAAACCTTCAAAATACAATTCTGGACATAGGACTTGGCAATAATTTCATGACAAAGATGCCAAAAGCAATTGCAACTAAAACAGAAATTGACAAATGGGATCTAATTAAACAAACAAAAGAGCTTCTGTACAGCAAAAGAAACTATATACAGAGTGAACAGAAAACCTACAGAGTGAGGGAAAATATTTGCAAACTATGCATCTGACAAAGGTTTAATATCCAGAATCTATAAGGAACTTAAACAAATTTACAAGCAAAAATAAACGGCCCCCTTAAAAAGTGGGCAAAGACCATGAAGAGACGCTTTTCAAAAGAAGACATATTTGTGGCCAACAAGCATATGAAAAAAAGCTCAAAATTATTGATCATTAGAGAAATGCAAATCAAAACCACAATGAGATACCATCACATGCCAATCAGAATGGCTACTATTAAAAAGTCAAAAAATAACAAATTCTGGCAAGGTTACAGAGAAAAGGAAATGCTTATACACTGCTGGTAAGAGTGTAAATTAGTTCGGCGAAAAGCGGTGTGGTGATTTCTCAAAGAACTTAAAACAGAAGAGTGTAAATTAGTTCGGCCACTGTGAAAAGTAGTGTGGTGATTTCTCAAAGAACTTAAAACAGAATTACCATTTGACTGAGTAATCTCATTATTGAATATATACCCCCCAAAATATAAATATACATATATTTGTTTTATATATGTATAAATATATGTGTGTATATATATATAAAAAATACATTGACACATACCGAAGACTGCCCTGTTGGCTTCCCTGCTTTTGAGGCTTTTGAACTTGGATGAACCACTACTGGCTTCTTTCTTCCCCAGTGTGCAGAAGGCCTATCATGATGGGACTTCACCTTGTGATTGTGTGAGCCAATTATCTCTAATAAACTACCTTTCATATACACATATATCCTGTAAGTTCTGTCCCTCTGGAGAACCCTGACAAATACACACACTCAGCATATCATAACTATGAGCAGCATCTGAGAAAGCCATTGCACATAGTTTCTCTATAACCAAGAAATTCGTAGAGAAACTTTGCTACTAAAGCATCCATAACCAAAGTTAGGCAATATTAACATTATAGTTATATCCTTGGTGGGAAGAAAAGCCCAATCCAATCAAAAATAAATTAAAAAATAATAACAAGTAATAGCCTACTTAGACAAGAAAAAAAACAGAAAAATAATTCTAGGCAATATGAAATAACAGAGTTTTACATCACCAGAGAATCACACTAACTCTAGCAATAGATCCAAACCAAAATGAAATCTTTGAAACACTAGATAAAGAATACAAAATATTGATTATAAAAGTGCTCCGTGAGATGCATGAAGCATATTAAAACTAACATAAAGAAATTTTAAAAATTCAGGATATGAATTTAAAAATTTCTAAAGAAATAGATAGTTAAAAGAAACTAAAAGAAACAGAACTTCTGGAAATGAAAGACTCATTTGGGAAATTACAAAATGCAGTGGAAAATTTAGTAACAGAGTAGACCAAGCATAAGAAATACTTTCACAGCTTTAAGAAAATGCTTTTGGGCCGGGCGCGGTGGCTCACGCCTGTAATCCCAGCACTTTGGGAGGCCGAGGCGGGTGGATCATGAGGTCAGGAGATTGAGACCATCCTGGCTAACAAGGTGAAACCCCGTCTCTACTAAAAATACAAAAAATTAGCCGGGCGCGGTGGCGGGCGCCTGTAGTCCCAGCTACTCGGGAGGCTGAGGCAGGAGAATGGCGTGAACCCGGGAAGCGGAGCTTGCAGTGAGCCGAGATTGCGCCACTGCAGTCCGCAGTCCGGCCTGGGCGACAGAGCGAGACTCCGTCTCAAAAAAAAAAAAAAAAAAGAAAATGCTTTTGGACCTGGCACAGTGGCTCATGCCTGTAATCGCAGCACTTTGGGAGGCTGAGGCAGACAAATCATGAGATCAAGGGATTGAGACCATCCTGGCCAATGTGGTGAAACACTGTATCTACTAAAACTAACAAAATTAGCTGGATGTGGTAGTGTGTTCCTGTAGTTCCAACTACTCAGGAGGCTGAAGCAGAAGAATCACTTGAACCCAGGACCTGGAGGTTTCAGTGAGCAGAGATCGCACCACTGCACTCCAGCCTGGTGACAGAGCAAGATTCCATCTCAAAAAAAAAAAAAAAAAAAAAAAAAAAATTTGAATTAACCTAATCAGATAAAAGTAAAGAAAAATTAAAAGAAATAACCTGAATCTCTAAGAAACATAGTATTATGTAAGACATCTATGCCTAAGAATCATAGTTATTTTGGGGGAGGAAGTAGAAAAAGCAAAATGTTTGGAAAACCTATTTGAGGGAATAATTAAGGAAAACTTCCTGTGTCATGCTAAAGATTTAGATATCTAGATACAAGAAGCCCAAAGAACTCCTGGCAGATTCATTGCAAAAAGGATGTCACTATGGAATAAAGTCAGCAGTCAACAGGCTATGTAAAGTCAATAGAAAGAAAAGGATTCTAAGAGTAGTGAGACAACATCATCAAATAACTTGTGAAAGAAAAACTATCAGACTAATAGCAGACTTCTCAGCAGAAATATTACCAGTCCAAAGAAAATGGAATTCTATCTTTAGTCTTCTCAAAGAGAATAACTGCCAGCCATGAATTTTGTATCCTGAAAAGATAAGTTTCATAAATGAATGAGAAATAAATTCTTTCTCAGAGAAGCAGATGCTGAAGGAATTTGTCACCACTAGACTTGCCCTACAAGAAATACTCAAAGGAGTTCTAAATATTGAAATGAAATGTTGATCCTACCCATATAGAAATACTCAAAAGTGTAAAACTCATGGTGTTTATAAAACAGTAACACAGCAGAGAATACAAAGCAACCTGATAACAATCAGCATGATGACTAGAACAGTAGTAGACATATCAAAATCAACTTTAAATATAGATGAACTAAATGCCCCACTTAAATCACATAGATTGGCAGAGTGAATTTAAAAAATACAATTCAAATATCTGCTGCCATCGAATATTTGCTGCCACCAAAATACAATTCAAATACGTGCTACCTAATTCACAAAGATTCTTAATAGACTCAAGGTAAAGAGGTAGAAAAACATTCCACACGTATTAAAATCAAAATCAAGCACCAGTAGCTATTCTTATATCAGAAAAAAAAGACTTTGAATTAACAACAGAAGAAAAAGAAAAAGAATGTCATTATATAATGATAAAGGAATCAAGTCAACAAAAGTTGTAATAATTATAAATATATATTAATCTAAAACTGAAGCTCCTAGATTCACAAAACTAATATTACTGGACCTAAGAAAACACATTGACAGCAATACAATAATAGTGGTGGGGGATTGCCAACTAGAAGCAGCAGCAATTGGAGGCTCCCATCAAAAAGAATCATAATAGCATGTGAATCCTGCACTGGCAACAGAGGTATCTAGGTTCTCTGCTCAGAACTGACTAGGCCGCTAGCGTGACCCATGGAGAGGAAGAAAAAGCAATGTGGTACTGTGGCCCACTTGAGAGCCACACGGGGCGGTGGAGGCCCACCCCTCGCCAAGGGAGGCAGTGAATGAGCATGCTACCCAGCCAGGGGAACTGAGCTTTTTCCAAGGAACTGTGCAACCCACGGATCGGAAGATGCCACTTGTGAACCCGTGCCACCAGAGCATACAGTCTCAACCCTGGAGCCCTGCAGATTCTCAACAGTCTCTCAGCTAGAATCTGCTTAAGCCTGCCAAGTTCCTGGGGGAAGGGGCAACCAGCACCACAGCTGTGGCTGCCTGCTGTCTAAGCCCTTTGAGCTCCTTGGGGGAAGGAGGGGCAGCAGCAAGACCTGAGACTCACAACTGCCTAACATGCTAAGCTCCCTGAGCAGGGGGAAGGGTGGCAGCCATGTCTATAGTTCTAGGCCACATTTTTCCCTTGCTGGAGCCAGGGAGGCTGGACGGCTTGGTCCCAAGAGGTGTTCCCCACAGCCCAACACACCAGCTGGGGAAGACTGCAGCCAGAGCGTCTCTTCAGGCCTGACCCTGACCCATCACTCCTCACTGGGCAAGGCTGCCCTGGAGGAACTCCAGCAACTCCAGCCAGGTGCTCAGGGACAGAACTCTGATCTACCTGGGCCTGAGCCCCTTGGGGGACGGGTGGCCACAGTCTCTATGGACCAGCAGACTTAGCCTTTCCTCCTGGTAGTTCTGAGGAATCCAGGCTGCCCAGACCAGTGGGTTTTACCTTCAGCGAAGCACACCCTCTTCACCAAGGGACACTCAAAGTGCTTCACTAAACGGGTCCTGTTCCCCACACCACCCAGCTGGGTGAGGCCCTCCAACAGGAGTTGTCAGGAACCCTATACAGGAGCAATCCTACTGGCATCAGGTTGTTGCCCCTTGAGGTCAGAGATCCCAGAGGAAGGAGCAGACACTCATCTTTGCTGTTCTCCAGCCTCTTTGAGTGACATCTCCAGGTGTGAGAGCAAACCAGATGAATAGGACCTGAAGTAAACCCCCAGCAAACTGCATCAGCCCTACAAAACAGGGACTTGACCATTGAAAGAAAAACAAACAGAAAGCAACAACAACAGCATCAAAAAACCCATCCAAGGGTCAGCAGCCTCAAAGATCGAAATGAGACAAACTCATAAAGATATGAAAAAATCAATTAGAAAACACTGAAAATCCAAAAGGCCAGGGTGCCTCTTCTCCAAATGATTGCAATGCCTCTCCAGCAAGGGCACAGAACTGGACGTAGGATCAGTTGGACAAACTGACAGAAGCCGGCTTCAGAAGATGGGTAATAACAAACTCCTCTGAGCTAAAGGAGCATGTTCTAACCCAATGCAAAGAAGCTAAGAACCTTGATAAAAGGTTAGAGGCTCTGCTAACTAGATAGAATAACCAGTTTAGAGAGGAAATAAATGACCCGATGGAGATTAAAAACAAAGCACGAGAACTTCGTGAAGCATACACAAGTATCAATAGCTGAATCAACCAAGCGAGAGAAAGGATATAAGAATTTGAAAACCACCTTGCTGAAATAAAACATGCCAACAAGATTAGAGGAAAAAGGAATGAAAAGGAAAAAACAAAGCCTCCAAGAAATATGGGACTATGTAAAAAGACTGAACCTACGATTGATTCGAGTGCCTGAAGGAGACAAGGAGAATGGAAACGAGCTGGAAAACACACTTCAGGATATTATCCAGGAGAACTTCCCCAACCTAGCAAGACAGGCAAACATTCAAATTCAGGAAATACAAAGAACACCCCAGGATACTCCACAAGAAGATTAACCCCAAGACATATAATCATCAGATTCTCCAAGGTCAAAATGATGGAAAAGAAAATGTTAAGCACAGCCAGAGAGAAAGGTCAGTTCACCTACAAAGGGAAGCTAATCAGACTAACAGCGTATCTCTCAGCAGAAACCCTACAAACCAGATGAGAGAGGGGCCAATATTCAACATTCTTAAAGAAAAGAATTTTCAACCCAGAATTACATACCCAGCCAAACTAAACTTCGTAAGTGACAGAGAAATAAAATCCTTTCCAGACAAGCAAATGCTGAGGGATTTCATCAACACCGGGCCTGCCTTGCAAGAGCTCCTGAATGAAGCACTAAATGTGGATAGGAAAAACCAGTACCAGCCACTGCAAAAACACACCAAAATATAAAGACCAATGACACTATGAAGAATCTGCATCAACGAATGTGCAAAATAACCAGATAGCATCATAATGACAGGATCAAATTCACACATAACAATACTAACCTTAAATGTAGATGGGCTAAATGCCCCAATTAAAAGTCACAAACTGGCAAATTGGATAAAGAGGCAAGACCCATCAGTGCGCTGTATTCAGGAGATCCATCTCAAGTGCAGACACCCATAGGCTCAAAATAAATGGATGGAGGAAAATTTATGAAGCAAATGGAAAGCAAAAAAAAGCAGGGTTGCAATTCTAGTCTCTGACAAAACATTTTAAACCAACATAGATCAAAAAAAGACAAAGAACAGCGTTAAATAATGGTAAAAGGATCAACTCAACAAGAAGTGCTAACTATTCTAAACATGTATGCACCCAATACCGGAGCACTTGGATTCATAAAACAATATCTTAGAGACCTACAAAAAGACTTCAACTCTGACACAATAATAGCAGGAAACTTTAACATCCCACTGTCAATATTAGACAGATCAATGAGACAGAAAATTATCAATAAGGATATCCAGGGCTTGAACTCAGCTCTGGATCAAGTGGACTTAATAGGCATCCACAAAACTCTGCACCACAAATCAAAAGAATATTCATGCTTCTCAGTGCCAGAAGGCACATATTCTAAAATTGACCATGTAATTGGAAGTAAAACACTCCTCAGCAAATGCAAAAGAACTGAAATCATAACAAACAGCCTCTCAGACCACAGTGAAATCAAATTAGAACTCAAGATTCAGAAACTCACTCAAAACCACATGAGTACATGGAAATTGAAAAACCTGTTCCTGAATGACAACTGGGTAAATAATGAAATTAAGGCAGAAATCAAGAAGTTTTTTGAAACCAGTAAGAACAAAGAGACAACGTATCAGAATCTCTGGGACACAGCTAAGGCAGTGTTAAGAGGGAAATTTATAGCACTAAATGCTCACATCTGAAAGCTAGAAAGATCTCAAATTGACATCCTAACATCACAATTAAAAGAGCCAGAGAAGCAAGAGCAAACTAATCCAAAAGCTAGCAGAGGAAAAGAAATAACTAAGAGCAGAGCAGAATTGAAGGAGAATAAGACACAAAAAATATTCAAAAAATCAATGAATCCAGGAGGTGGTTTTTTGAAACAATCAACAAAATTACAGACCACTAGCTAGACTATTAAAGAAGAAAAGAGAGAAGAATCAAATAGACACAATAAAAAATGATAAAGGGTATATCACCATGACCCCACAGAAATAAAAACTACCATCAGAGAATACTATAAACACCTCTATGCAAATAAACTAGAAAATCTAGAAGAAACGTTTAAATTCCTGGACACAAATTCCCTGCCAAGACTAAACCAGGAAGAAATCAAATCCCTGAATATACCAATAAAATGTTCTGAAATTGAGGCAGTAATTAATAGCCTACCAACTGCAAAAAGCCCAGGATCAGATAGATACACAGCAAAATTCTACCAGAGGTACAAAGAGGAGATTGTACCATCCTTCTGAAACTATTCCAAACAATTGAAAGGGAGGGACTCCTCCCTAACTCATTTCATGAAGCCAGCATCATTCTGATACCAAAACCTGGCAGAGACACAACAAAAAAGAAAACTTTAGGCCAATATCCCTGCTGAACATCAATATGAAAATCCTCAATAAAATACTGGCAAACTGGATCCAGTAGCACATCAAAAAACTTATCCACCATGATCAAGTTGGCTTCATCCATGGGATGCAAGGCTTATTCAACATATGCAAATCAATTAATGTAATCTATCACATAAACAGAACAAACAACAAATATCAAATGATTCTCTCAATAGATGCAGAAAAGCCCTTTAATAAAATTCAACATCCCTTCATGTTAAAAACTGTCAGTAAACTAGGTATTGATGGAATGTATCTCAAAATAATAAGAGCTATTTATGACAAACCCACAGCCAGTATCATATTGAATGAGCAAAAGCTGTAAGCATTCCCTTTGAAAACTGTACAAGACAAGGATGTCCTCCCTCACCACTCCTATTCAACATAGCATTGGAATTTCTTGCCAGGGCCATCAGGCAAGAGAAAGAAATAAAGTGCATTCAAATAGGAAGAGAGGAAGTCAAATGGTTTCTGTTTGCAGACGACGTGATTCTATATTTAGAAAACTCCATTGTCTCTGCCCAAAAACTCCTCAAGTTCATAAACAGCTTCAGCAAAGCATCAGGATACAAAATCAATGCGCAAAAATCACAAGCATTCCTAAACACCAACAAAAGACAAGCAGAGAGCCAAATCATGAATGAACTCCCATTCACAATTGCTTCAGGGAGAATAAGATACCTAGGAATACAGCTAAGAAGGGATGTGAAGGACCTCTTCAAGGAGAATTACATACCTCTGTTCAAGGAAATAAGAGAGGATGCAAACAAATGGAAAAACATGCCATGCTCATGGATAGGAGAAATCAATATCGTGAAAATGGCCATACTGCCCAAAGTAATTTATAGATTCAATGCTATTCCCATCAAACTACCATTGACATTCTTCACAGAGTTAGAAAAATCTACTTTAAATTTCATATGGAACCAAAAAAGAGCCCATATAGCCAAGACAATCCTAAGCAAAAAGAACAAAGTTGGAGGCATCACGCTATTTGACTTCAAACTATACTACACGGCTACAGTAATGAAAAAAGCATGGTACTGGTACCAAAACAGACATATAAACCAATGGAACAGAAGAGAGACCTCAGAAGTAACACCACACATCTACAACCATCTGATCTTCGACAAACCTGATAAAAACAAGCAATGGGGAAAAGTTTTTCTATTCAATAAATGGTGCTGGGAAAATGGCTATCCATATACAGAAAACTGAAACTGGACCCCTTCCTTACACCTCACATAAAAATTAACTCAAGATGAATTAAAGACCTAAATGTAAAACCCCAAATCATAAAAACCCTAGAAGAAAACTTAGGCAATACCATTCAGGACATAGGCATGAGCAAAGACATCATGACTAAAACACCAAAAGCAATTGCAACAAAAGCCAAAATTGACAAAGGGGTTCGAATTAAACTAAAGAGCTTCTGCACAGCAAAAGAAACTATCATCAGAGTGAACAGGCAACCTACAGAATGGGAGAAAATTTTTGCAATCTACCCATCTGACAAAGGTCTAATATCCAGAATCTACAAAGAACTTAAACAAATTTACAAGAAAAAAACAAAATACCCATCAAAAAGTGGGCAAAGGATACAAACAGACATTTCTCAAAAGGAGACATTTATGCAACCAACAAACATGAAAAAAAGCTCAACACCACTGATCACTCAAGTAATGCAAATAAAAACTACAGTGAGATACCATCTCATGCCAGTCAGAATGGCAATTATTAAAAAGTCAAGAAACAATAGATGCTGGCAAGGCTGTGGAGAAATAGGAACACTTTTACACTGTTGGTGGTAATGTAAATTAGTTCAACCATTGTGGAAGACAGTGTGGTGATTCCTTAAGGATCTAGAGCCAGAAATTCCATTTGACCCAGCAATCCCATTACAAGATATATACCTAAAGAAATATAAATCATTCTACTGTAAAGACGAATGTTTATTGCATCACTATTTACAATAGCAAAGACATGGAACCAACCCAAATGCCCATCAATGATAAATTGGATAAAGAAAATGTGGTACATATACACCATGGAATACTATGCAGCCACAGAAAGGAATGAGATCATGTCCTTTGCAGGGACATGGATGAAGGTGAAAGCCATCATCCTCAGCAAACTAACACAGGAACAGAAAACCAAACACTACATGTTCTCACTCATAAGTAGGAGTTGACCAATGAGAACGCATCGTCACAGGGAGGGGAACAACACACACCTTGGCCTGTTGGTAGGTGAGGGCAAGAGGAGGGAACATAGAGAATGGGTCAATAGATGCAGCAAGCCAGCATGGCACACGTATACCTACATAACAAACCTGCACGTTCTGCACGTGTATCCCAGAACTTAAAGTAAAATAATAATAATAATAATAATAAAAAATAGTGGGGGACTTCAACACTCCATTGACAGCCCTAGACAGATCATCAAGGCAAAAAGACACATAGAAACACTGGATGTAAACTGGACTCTAGAACAAATAGACTCTAGAACTAACAGACATTTACTGAACATTCTCCCCTAAAACTGCAGGATATACATGCTTTTTATCAGCAAATGGAACATTTTTCAAGATAAACCATGTGATAGACCAATGGAACAGAACAGAGAGCTCAGAAATAAGGTCTCTGTAAAGAAGTCTCAATAAATCACAAAAAAATGAAAATCATATTAAGTATCTTCTCAGACCACAGTGGAATAAAACTACAAATCCATTCCAAGAGGAGCTCTTAACACTCAATGCAAATACATGAAAATTAAACAACATGTTCCTGAATGATCTTTGGGTAAATAATGAAATCAAGATAAAAATTAATACTTTTTTCAAATGAATAAGACTAACACAAGCTATCAAAATTTCTGGGATATGGCAAAAGCATTACTAAGAGGGAAGTTAATAGCACTAAAATATCTACAACAAAAAGACAGAAAGATCACAAATTGATGACCTAACATCACACTTCAAGGAATTAGAGAAGCAAGAACAAACCAAATTCAAAGCTAGCAGAAGAAAAGAAAGAAAGATCAGAGCAGAACTAAATTGAAACCAAAAATAAATAAATAAATAAAATGATAAATGAAATAAAACGTTGCTTATTTAACAAGGTAAACACAATTGATAGACCAGTAGCTAGATTAACCATGAGGAAGAAAGAGGATTCAAATAAGCTCAATCAAAAATGAAAATGGGGACATTACTACTGATAACACAGAAATACAAAAGCTCACTGAAGACTACTATGACCACTTCAGTGAACACAAACTAGAAAATCAGCATGTGGATAAAATCCTGGAGGCATACAACCCTCCAAGTTTGAATCCTGAAGAAATGGAAATCCTGAGCAGATCAATAATGAGAAGTGAGATTGAACTTAGAATAAAAAATCTTCCAACAACAGCAAAGCCCAGGACCAGATGGATTCAGAGCTAATTCTACCAGATGATTAAAGAAGACTTGATACCAATACTACTAAAACTATTCAAAAAATCAAGAAGAATGAAATTCCCTTCTGACTCATTCTATAAAACCAGGATTACCCTGATACCCTGATACCAAAGCCAGAAAAGGATGCAACAACAGAAAATAAATCTACGGACCAATATCTCTGATGAACATAGATGTAAATATCCTTAATAAAATACGGGCAAACCAAATCCAACAGCACACCAAAGAGATAATTCACCACAAGGTGAATACCAGGGGTGCAAGGATGCAAGGATGATTCAACATATCCAAGTCAATAAAAGTGATTCACTACATAAACAGAATTAAAAACAAAAACTATATATAATTTCAATGGATGCAGGAAAAGTATTCAATAAAATCCAACATGTCCTGATGATAAAAAAAAACAACAAACTAGGCATAGCAGGAACATACTTCAAAATAATAAAAGACATATATCACAAATACACAGTCAACATTGTACTGAATGGGGAAAAGTTGAAAACATCCCCCCTCGGAACTGGAAAAAGCCAAGGATGCCCACTTTTACCACTTCTATTAACAAGGAATGGAAACTCTAGCCAGAGCACTAAGGCAAGAGTAAGAAAGAAAGGGCATCCAGATTGAAAAAGAGGAAGTCAAACTCTATTTGCTGATAATATAACCTTATACCTAGAAAACCCTAACGACTTCTCCAAAAGACTCCTAGTTTGAATAAATGAATTCAATAAAGTTGCAGGTTACAAAATCAATGTATATAAATCAGTAGTACTGCTATACATCAACAACTATCAAGTAAGACTCAAATGAAGAAATCAATCCAATTTACAATAGCTACAATAAAAATAAAATACCTATGAATATACTTAAGCAAGGAGGTGAAATATTTCTATAACGGGAACTACAAAATGCTGGTGAAGTAAATCATAAGTAACACAAACAAATGAAAAAACATCCCACACTCATGGAAGGGAATAATTTACTTTGTGAAAATGACCATACTGCTCAAAGCAATCTACAGATTCAATGCAATTCCAATCAAAATACCAATGTCATTTTTCACAGAATTAGAAAAAGTTCCTAAAATTCATATGAAACTAGACAAGAGCCTGAATAGTCAAAGCAATCCCAAGGAAAAAGAAGAAAGCTGGAGGCATCATGTTGCTTAACTTCAATGCTGTACAATGCTGTAGTAGACACATAGACCAATGGAACAGAATAGAGAATCCAGAAATAAAGCCAAATACCTACAACTGCCTGATCTTCCACAAAACAGATAAAAGCATACACTGGGGAAAGGGCACCCAACTCAATAAATCCTAGGAAAATTAGATAGCTAAATGCAGAGGAATAAAACTGGATCCCTATCTATCTCTCAATGTATAAAAAATTTAACTCAAGATAAATGAAAGACTTAAATGTAGAAGCTGAAACCATAAAATTTCTAGGAAAAAAAAAATAGAAAAAACTCTTCTAGACCTTGGCCTAGGCAAACAATTTACAACTAAGACCCCAAAAGCAAATTAAACCAAAACAAAAATAGACAAGTGAGACGTAATTAAACTGAAAAGCTTCTGTACAGCAAAAGAAAAATCACAGAGTAAACAGACAACCAATGGAATGGGAGAAAATATTTGCAAACTGTGTATTCGACAAAGAACTAATATCCCGGCCAGGCGCGGTGGCTCAAGCCTGTAATCCCAGCACTTTGGGAGGCCGAGGTGGGCAGATCACAAGGTCAGGAGATCGAGACCATCCTGGCTAACACAGTGAAACCCCGTCTCTACTAAAAATACAAAAAATTGGCCAGGCGTGGTGGCGGGCACCCGTAGTCCCAGCTACTCAGGAGGCTGAGGCAGGAGAATGGCATGAACCCGGGAGTCGGAGCTTGCAGTGAGCCGAGATTGCGCCACTGCACTCCAGCCTGGGCGACAGAGCAAGACTCCGTCTCAAAAAAAAAAAGAACTAATATCCAAAATCTACAAAGAACTAAAACAAATCAGCAACAAAAACCAAATAATCCTATTAAAAAATGGTCCAACAACATGAATAGACATTTTTCAAAAGAAGATACACAAATGGCCAACAAACATGAAAAAATGCTCATTACTAATCATCAGGGAAATGCAAGTTGAAACCACAGTGAGTTACCACGTGACCCCATACAGAACAGCTATGAGTGAAATGTCAAAAAATAGATGTTGGCACGGACACCATGAAAAGGGAATGCTTACACACTGTTGTAGAAATGTAAATTAGTACAACCTCTATGGAACATGGCATGGAGATTTCTCAAAGAACTAAAAGTAGATCTACCATTCGATCCAGCAGTCCCACTACTGGATGTATGCCCAAAAGAAGTTGTCATATCAAAAGACACCTGCATTTGTACTTTTATCACAACACAATTCACAATTACAAAGCTATGGAATGAGCCATGTGGTATATGTATATATCATGAAATACTACTCAGCTATTAAAAAGAACAAAAGTGTTTCTTGCAGCAACTTGCATGGGACTCTCAAGGCCATTATCCTAAGCAAAGTATCTCAGGAATGGAAAACCAAGTACTGCATTTTCTCACTTATTAGAGGGAGCTACACTGTGGGTATGCAGGAGCATACAGAGTGGTATAATGGATAAGGGAAACTCCGGGTGCAGTGGAGAGGGATGAAAAACTACTTATTGGATACGATGTACACTATTCAGATGACAGGTACAATAAAAGCCCAGAATTTACCACTATACAATTAATCCATGTAATAAAAAATCACTTGTACCCCTAAATCTATTGAAATAAAAACAGTTTCACATTAGTGTAAAGGTAGAGGCCACAATTTTATGTCTAAATTAAGGCATTTATGCTTGGTTTTACTGCAAATTTGTCATATGGAGCCCTCTTTTTCAATGAATATGTATAGATCTTAGATATAATTATTTAAAAAATAAAATAATAATGAAAATAATTTGACAACTATATATTCATAGAAAAAAATAGAAAACCCTATATGAATTGAAATGCATTTTTTTTTTTTTTTTTTTTTTTTGAGACGGAGTCTCGCTCTGTCGCCCAGGCCGGACTGCGGACTGCAGTGGCGCAATCTCGGCTCACTGCAAGCTCCGCTTCCCGGGTTCACGCCATTCTCCTGCCTCAGCCTCCCGAGTAGCTGGGACTACAGGTGCCCGCCACCGCGCCCGGCTAATTTTTTGTATTTTTAGTAGAGACGGGGTTTCACCTTGTTAGCCAGGATGGTCTCGATCTCCTGACCTCATGATCCAGCCGCCTCGGCCTCCCAAAGTGCTGGGATTACAGGCGTGAGCCACCGCGCCCGGCCTTGAAATGCATTTTAAGCTAAATGGTACTTTACCCAAATAAAACTGTTTTTAAATTTGTTTTGAATAAAGTTTTATATTGTTTTTATTTATATGAAGTATATTTTTGCGATTCAATAAGATCAAATTTTTGATTTAAAAATATTTCCATGAATACTCATTACCCTGCTAAGCTTTGTTGACACAGCATTTAATTATGAGAAAATAGGCCGTTTTAAAACTTCGTAATAGCAGTCATCTCCTTTGCAATGGTAGTCATTAAACTTGGGAAAGGGTACACCATAAATCTCACTAACTGGGAAAGATGGCATCTTGAAACTCATAATGTTTAAATCAATAATAGTAATATAAATGTTTTTAAGATTGAAAAGTCTAATTCAAACTGTAGTTATTTTATTCACAATGGAAAATAAGTGTACAGTTCAACCTAGAAATATAATATGGTGAACATTTTAAAAATATGCCTGGTCTCCAAATTAATTATTTTCAGAATCAGGCAGGAAGGATGAGAGAATATTACCCATTGCTTTCTTCATTTGTCATTAATAAGCATTATGCTGTTTATAATTTAAATGGACCTAAGAAGAGCACAATGAAATACTTTTTATTTCATTTTGAAGTGAAAGTAAAACCATCTCATTAAGGAAATCATGTTATAATGACTGAAGAACAACTGGTCTTACATAACTGTATTGGGAGCAAAGGCTATCTTTAATAGACGCAGTGTAAGAGCATTACTGAATTGATAGATTTTCTGTCATGCATTTTCAATTAAAGCCAATTTGTCACCAAAAAAGACATTTCTTAAGTCATTTGCTAATTATGAGTATCAAAAGTTCTTGGAATAAAGAATCACAGAGATACAAAAATGATAATGATTATATGAGTACCACTATGTAATAATATACCAAAAAGGGATCTAAGGAATGTTCTTTTTTGACCTACATTGTTATTTAATAGTGGGGTCTTTAATCTCCCAGCATCTGGGGATTTTCCAGGTATCTTTTTGTTATTGATTTCTAATTTAATTCCATTGTGCTCTGAGAACAGACATTGTATGATTTCTATTCTTTTAAATTTGTTAAGGTGTGTTTTTTGACCCAGAATGTGCTCTATACCTTGGTGAATATTCTATATGATTTTGAAAGAATGTGTATTCCACAGTAGTTGGATGAAGTAGTCTATAGATGCAAAATTTTTAAAAGAGGATACTTTTCCACCAGGAGGATCTTGTTAAAATTTGCCTGTCAGTGAGTAGAGAATATCAGCATGATTTACTTTCATATATTTAATTTCACCCATCTTTATACAAATACTTTCTAAACTCATATTCAACTTATCCTTAATTCTCATTGTGTTTCCAATTATCTCACATTTCAAACCACCTACTTTTCCATTACCATGTCCCCTGTTAACCAATATACAGTCTAAAACTATTTTCATCCTCAACTGCTTACCACCATCAAACTTTATATTTTGACCTCCCTATCTCTGCTAATGAATTACCATTCTCTCAGTCACTTATGCACAAAAACTCAGAGTCATTTTTCTTTCTTTTATATACCCTATAAATAATCCATTGCCACAATTTAATTCTTCCACAGTTTTCTATCACTTTTGTTCCTCTCTCTACATTTTTTATTGTGAACAACGTAGTTATTACTGCATTATTGAGCAATTATAGTAGTTTTCCAATGGGCCCTTTGCTTCTAGTTTTCTGATGCCTAGCAGAGTCCCTCTAATTCACTTTTTATAATACTAGCAGATAAATAATTATAGCACACTAGTGTCACTAAATTACTGCTTCAGCCACAATGTCTTAGTTGCCTAGTCCTTCAACTTACAGGATTCAATATTAAGCAATTTAAATGGATTCAGGATTCTATACACATTTCTTACTTCTTATGCTTCCAACAGAAGCTAATAATTCTACTCAATTTCTTCCAAATAATTTTATGCTATCTTATATCCACACCTGTAAATTTGTCCTTTTTCTTTGCCCATCAAATCTTCCATATTATTTAAACTCTCCATGAATCTTTCCATGTCCATCACAGATCATACTGGCCACTTTAATTTTCTGAAATATCATTTTTAACTGTAATGCCCAATTATTTTTGTACCTCAATTTGCTAACTAAGGTTGAAAATATTTGAGTTCACATTTGCATGTTATGTCTCCATCACAATTACCAGCTTAAGGTAGAAAGAATATTTTAGTTTTTACTGCATTCCTTATAGCATTTAGTAGCATATTTTAGATATTGTAGACATTCTATTATTATTATTTTGACTTTCTGTTTCTGCTTCTGAGGCTATTGTAATTAATATTTTTATTCCGATAAAGGAACTTGATATTATGAGAAGCTCTAATTACTATTACCATTAACTTAAGTATTTACATACTATTAGATGATATAACGTCAGAGACACAGGGATGCCTGAATCCTGGTCCACAAATCACAGCTGCCTTTCTATAGGGTACTTAATGTTAGAAAAAAAATACCAAGTATTAATAGCTACAAAAGTGGGTCATATGGAGTATTATTATAAAAGGCTAAATTGGAGCATTTCTATTAGTCTTTGGTATAAAGGAAGTATTATCCTCCCTTTCCCTGTCCCAAATTTTATTACTTGCATTGGCATGTTTAGGCATTTCTGCCTAAAGAAATGACAAGAAAAAGACAGAGTGGAACGTGCTTCAGAAAAAGCTCTGTGCCCATTTTCCCTTCTATCTATATTGAGTCAAATATATATATATACATATATATATATATATATACATATATATATATATATATATATATATAGAGAGAGAGAGAGAGAGAGAGAGAGAGAGAGAGAGAGACAACAGGACTCCAAGGGTTCCAAACTCAATATATTTATCTTATTATGTTATGATAGAAAAAAATTCCAGATAAAATAATACCAAATAGGGATACATCCATCAGCAATCATAGCACAGTAAACGTTCCTGAGTTGGACTATTTAGATTAGCAACCAATCCCTGTGTGGGGTTAGGGGAACTGGGGGAAAGGGGAAAGAGGAGAAGAAAGGATACTTTTTAGATCACTAGAGTTAAGCAGAGAACAATGGATTCTCTCCTTCCTAACGCATATCTCATCCACACCATCCTGTTTTGTTTATTCATAAGTTCAGTGAAAATCATTTATCATGGAATAGATTGTGTAAATGATATTTTGTGTTCTCAATTCTAAAACTTACATTTTATTTCAGGTTTTTACATTTCTAGGCCAAGGCATGTCTTGCAATTTGTGTGTGTTTTTCATGTGGGCACAGTTATTATATATATTTTTAAGTATGTGACTTTCAAACCTGTGATGTACCAAAAACAGTCACAATCTTAGTATTAAGGAAATGTAATATCATATTTATTGATGTTATATGTGGTACACTTCTCAAGACAATGAAGGAATAGAAGCTTAATCTGAATCGATATATAATCTGTTGGAATCTTCATGTGTACTAACCATTAAACATTATTCTCAGAGTTCCATTTTCTTATGGTTAAAACTACAGTAACTCTTATTTAAAAATTATAGCTGTAACACATACTCAGCTGTAAATTATAAGAGTGGTTTTGTTCATAATTTGTTTTAGCTGAAAAAAATAGGGAGCATTTTGTGTAATATTAGGATGAAATGGTTAAGGGAGAACATTAGCATCCTGAACATAGTTTTTTTTTTTTTAATTTTTCTACTACAGTTGTGGAGCACTGCTACTATGACTATTAGAATTACTAAATTTTATCTTTAGTACATGAGTGGCTTATCAGAGAAGTGGAGTAGAAATTAGTTTCAAGGAGCCAGGCCATCAAGGTTGAGTGTGTGGACCGTGTGAATTTCCTTAGGGATTCCTATAAGTGAGAATATGGGTCAAAAATTAATTAAATGAAAATTAGATTTTCTCAATTTATGCAAAATCAGAGGGCACAAAGTGGCTGTAATTTGGAAAGCTAATGTAAACACTCAAGTTTATAAAACTGTAACATACCAGTTACTACTATAAAATAGATAATAAATTTTAAAGGGATTTTAAAAAGTGGTTCATTAAAATAAAAACATAATAATGGTAGCTGAAATTCAAACAGATAAGATGTTTTAAAATATTATAAAATTTCATAGTCTTTAAAGAAGGAATGGCCATTAACAACAAATGAGTTCTCAGATATAACAAATAAAAATACAGTGTGTATTAAATGTGAATTTCATATTAGACATACTTGTACAAAAAAAATTATTGCTTAGATGGACGTCCTGTATTTTTTTTTTCCGGCAACCCTATACTAAAGCCTTTCTCATTAGAACACAGAAACAACAGATATATGACTTTCTCTAAAATTGCAAGTTGTGTTAAAAACAGTGACAAATATACCAGCCAGCCAAATTTCTTAGCAACTAAGATAAGTTACCTTGCACATTTACCTTGCGTAGTTAATTGCATGTTCTGATTAACAACACAAATAGCAGAGAAAATTAAATAGCTCTAAATCTGTGTAAGGGTCCATTGCTTTAAGCACTTATTTCAAATTACAAAATTCTTTGAAGTCTCTTTTTTTAAAAAAAAGTATACATTGTATTTCATACATATATAAGTTGTTTGTATAAAAATAATGCTCTATATTATTTATAGTTGAATAAAACTGAGAGCCTGGCCAGAGTGTCATATTTATCCCAAAGCTTCTCTTTCACCCTGGCACACTGGAAGGGCATCAACACCCAGTTAGTGAATTGCTGGTACAATGAAGTTAGCACAAGCCTGAAATTTGGCTTAGAATAGCTTCACTGTTTACTTACTTTTTCATCAGTCTGGGAGCAAATTTTTCCTATTTCCTTTTCTCTACTTTTTACACCTTTAGTCTTATTCATACTCCTAAATATTTACCTTATCAATTACCTCTCTTATATTTCCAGCTCCTTATCATTTCTTGCCTAGATATCCACAAAAGCATGTTAATTGTTGTTCTGCTTTCAGCCTATTCCTCTCTTCCTGCTCCAATCCAACCTCCATACTGCACCAGAACCATTTTTCTGAACAGAATATGTATTACTGCATTATTGTATTACTTCTCTGTTTAAAATACTTTAATGATTCTCTTTTGTTTTCAAATCCATATGCCTTACTTGAATACACAAGTTGCACCATGATCAAAGCCTAGTTATTTCAACTTTTTTTTTGGATATATCCCTTTAGATTACACCTACTTGCCTCTCAACCTATGTTGTTTGCATGAATCCTTTCCTTGATCCCAACAGAATGACTTAAGTTTCATCTCCTATGTCCCTGTTGTACCTTGTATGTAACTTTTCTTGGGAGCTCTTTTCATTTAATCTACATTGCAATTATCACTAAATTTTCAGCCACTCCTAGTAATTCCAAAGGCCATCAGAGAAGAATTTGTCTTTTAATTCAATTATAATACTTAGTACACTGCCTGGAACATTGTAATCACTCAATAAATGCTTGTGGAATGAATATATTAAGTGAACAACCTGTGTTCTAATTTCATATTTAACAGTAAACATTCAACATATCTGATTTTTTTTAACCATAACATAAGGTATGGAGCCAAGGCTGGTCAATAAAGTTGTTTTTACTGTAGTATTCTAAGCCACTTATAAATTTGCTGCTTATTTTTCTAACACATTGAATTTTTCTGAAATATATAATTCATCGAGCAATATTTATTGCACATTTGCTACCCCCATGGCAGTTCCAAAAGTACAATGGCAAGACATAAATGATGTATCACTGCTCAGGTAGTATACTGATCAGGGATGAGGATCATTTATCATACCTCAACTAGGCCTTAAATTATGATAAAAATGCACTGAGGCTCACTTTTGCTGATTTCATTAAAATGTAGTCCTATCTTCCTTGGCAGGCATTTCAGCTCAGACTCCCCACTGGCAACTTAATGATATTAAAGGACAACAAAATGAGTCATGAATGATGAAAAAATAGTTACAAATAATAGAATACTTGGAGGTGAAATATGTTCATTATTTTGTTTATTTTTAAGTGAGCAAAAGCAGTTGTAAACATTATTTGTTTCAATTGATAGATGTTTATTGTGCATTTATATTTCTCAAATATTCACTGAGCAACAGGGTGTGAATTAAATAGCTTATGTCACAGAATGCTTGTAGCCATAAAACAGACTATGTCAAGACAACATAGTTAGAGATTATATGGTATCTGGAATAATGTGGGAGGCCGGATTAAAGTCTGGGCCAGGAACAACGGTAATTGTGGGAGACTCAACAAAGAGTGAGTACAGCTGAAGGAGCCGGGAAGCAGAAAGTATATGCGGCAGGTATGAGGAAGAAAATAGATTTTGGAAGTTATGAGAACTGTACAGAGTGAGTTGAGCATAGTTTGTGATTTTGAGGGCCTCTAAAAGTATTAAAGCAGCGGCAGCCGCTGCACGCAGACATGAGGGCTAGGCTAAAACAGTAAGGTCAAGTTGTTTGGACAGAAAGGCTACAGGGTGTGGTCCTGGCTCTTGTGTAAGAATTCTGACCGCACTAACCATGCCTAGGAAGGAAAGGAGTTGTTGTTTTGTAGAAGGTGCTGGGGTTTGAGAGATCAGTCGGACACGATTGGCAGGGAGAGCAAGTGTGTTTTTATGGGAATTATGCTGAGATAGGTAACAGATGAGGATGAAATTTGGGCTTGATTGAAGTAATGGGGGCTGTCTGTGAAGCTTTGCGGCAGTACAGCCTAGGTAATTTGCTGAGCTTGATGGGTGTCAGGGTCAGTCCAAATGAAAGTGAAGAGAGACTGGGATTAAGGGTGCAAAGGAATAGTAAAGAAAGCATGTCTGAGATCTAGAACAGAATAATGGGTTGTAGAGGCAGGTATTGAGGATAGGAGAGTATATGGGTTTGGCACCACGGGGTGGATAGGCAAAACAATTTGGTTGATAAGGCGCAGATCCTGAACTAACTTGTAAGGCTTGTCTGGTTTTAGGACAGGTAAAATGGGAGAATTGTAAGGAGAGTTTATAGGCTTTAAAAGGCCATGCTGTAGCAGGCGAGTGATAACAGGCTTTAATCTTTTTAAAGCGTGCTGTGGGATGGGATATTGGCGTTGAGTGGGGTAAGGGTGATTAGATTTTAATGAGATGGTAAGGGATGCATGATCGGTCGCCAAGGAGGGAGTAGAGGTATCTTATATTTGTGGGTTAAGGTTGGGGGATACAAGAGGAGGACGCAAAGGAGGCTTTGGATTGGGAAGAAGGGTGGCAATGAGATATAGCTGTAGCCCAGGAATAGTCAGGGAAGCAGATAATTTAGTTAAAGTGTCTCGGCCTAATAAGGGAACTGGGCAGGTGGGGATAACTAAAAAGGAGTGCTTAAAAGAGTATTGTCTAAGTTGGCACCAGAGTTGGGGAGTTTTAAGAGGTTTAGAAGCCTAGCCGTCAATACCCACAACAGTTATGGAGGCAAGGGAAACAGGCCCTTGAAAAGAAGGTAATGTGTAGTGGGTAGCCTCCGTATTGATTAAGAAGGGGACGGGCTTACCTTCCACTGTGAGAGTTACCCGAAGCTCGGCATCCGTGATGGCCTAGGGGGCTTCCGAGGCGATTGGGCAGTGTCAGTCTTCAGCCGCTAAGCCGAGAAGACCTGGGAAGGAGTCAGTCAGAGAGGCTTGGGCCAGAGTTCCAGGGGCTCTGGGAGTGGCTGCCAGGTGAGTTGAACAGTCCAATTTTCAGTGGGGTGCCACACAGATGGGACGCGGCTTAGGAGGAATCCTGGGCTGCGGGCATTCCTTGGCCCAGTGGCCAGATTTCCAGCACGTATAGCAAGCTCCTGTGGGAGGAGGTTCTGGAGGAACGCGTGGCCGCTGCGGTTCAGGCGTTTGGAAGTTCTTGTGTGCTGGAGATGTGGCTGGGGTTTGTCTCACAGTGGAGGCAAGGAATTGCAACTTTTTTCTATTATTGTACACCTTGAAGGCGAGGTTAATTAAATCCTGTTGTGGGGTTGAGGGCCAGAATTTAATTTTTGGAGTTTTATTTAATGTCGGGAGCAGATTGGGTAATAAAATGTATTTTGAGAATAAGATGGCCTTTTGACCTTTTAGGGTCTAGGGCTGTAAAGCATCTCAGGGTTGCTGCCAAACAAGTCATGAACTGGGCTGGATTTTTATATTTGCTGAAAAAGAGCCTAAACGCTATCAGATTTGGGATAAAGAAAAAGGAGCATTAACCTTGACTATGCCTTTGGCTCTAGCCACCTTTTTAAGAGTAAATTGCTGGGCAAGTGGGGGAGGGCTAGTCATGGAATGAAACTGTAAGCCCGACCAGGTGTGAGGAGGGGAGGCGATAAAAAGATTATAGGGTGGAGGAGCAGAGGCTGAGGAAGAATTGGGACCTAGCTCAGTCTGGCGAGGAGGGGAGAGGTCAGATGGGTCTGCAGGTGGGCTGAGTCGGAAAAGAGAGTCAGCGAAGGGAGATAAGGGTGGGGCCGTTTTATAGGATTTGGGTAGATAAAGGAAAATTAGTCAAAGGGAGTTTGTTCTCTGGCGGGCAGGAGTGGGGGTCGCAAGGTGCTCAGTGGGGGTGCTTTTTGAGCCAGGATGAGCCAGGAAAAGGACTTTCACAAGGTAATGTCATCACTTAAGGCAAGGACCGGCCATTTACACTTCTTTTGTGGTGGAATGTCATCAGTTAAGGTGGGGCAGGGCATATTCACTTCTTTTGTGATTCTTCAGTTACTTCAGGCCATCTGGGTGTATACGTGCAAGTCACAAGGGATGCGATGGCTTGGCTTGGGCTCAGAGGCCTGACACTGGTGAGCATTGATCTTTTTGCTGTCTTCATAGTTTTGTCTTTTATAAAGTGCCATATAGTTGGAATCATACATAATATAGCCTTTTCAGACTGGTTTCTTTCACCTAGTAATATGCATTTAAGGTTCCTCCCAGTCTTTTCGTGGCTTGATGTTCCACTTCTTTTGTGCTGAATAATAATTCCATTATCCAGATACACCACAGTATTATCCATTGACCTACTGAAGAATATTGTCGTTGCTTCCAACTTTTGGCAATTATGAATAAAGCTGCTATAAACATCTGTGTGTAGGTTTTTGTGTGGACATAAATAATCATCTCCTTTGGGTAAATACCAAGAAGTTGATTGCTGGATTTTATGGTAAGAGTATGTTTGTGGGGAAAAGAAACAGAGATCAGATTGTTACTGTGTCTGTGTAGAAAGAAGTAGACATAGTAGACTCCATTTTGTTCTGTACTAAGAAAAATTCTTCTGCCTTGAGATGCTGTTAACCTGTAACCCTACCCCCAACCCTGTGCTCCCTGAAACATGTGCTGTGTCAACTCAGGGTTAAATGGATTAAGGGCTGTGCAAGTTGTGCTTTGTTAAACAAATGCTTGAAGGCAGCATGATTGTTAAGAGTCATCATCACTCCCTAATCTCAAGTACCCAGGGACACAAAACACTGTGGAAGGCCGCAGGGACCTCTGCCTAGGAAAGCCAGGTATTGTCCAAGGCTTCTCCCCACGTGATAGCCTGAGATATGGCCTCGTGCAAAGGGAAAGACCTGACCGTCCCCCAGCCCGACACCCATAAATGGTCTGTGCTGAGGAGGATTAGTAAAAGAGGAAGGAACGCCTCCTTGCAGTTGAGACAAGAGGAAGGCATCTGTCTCCTGCTAGTCCCTGGGCAATGGAATGTCTCAGTGTAAAACCCGATTGTATATTCCATCTACTGAGATAGGGGAAAACCGCCTTAGGGCTGGAGGTGGGACATGCGGGCAGCAATACTGCTCTTTAAGGCATTGAGCTGTTTATGTGTATACATATCTAAAGCACAGCACTTAATTCTTTACCTTGTTTATGATGCAGAGACCTTTGTTCACGTGTCTACCTGCTGAACTCCTCTCCACTATTATCCTATGACCCTGCCACATCCCCCTCTCCGAGAAACACCCAATAATGATGGATAAATATTGAGGGAACTCAGGCCGGTGGGATCCTCCGTGTATTGAACGCCGGTCTCCTGGGCCCCCTTTTTCTTTCTCTATACTTTGTCTCTGTGTCTCTTTTCCAAGTCTCTCGTTCCACCTAACGAGAAAAACCCACAGGTGGAGGGGCAACCCACCCCTTCATATGTTTAGTTTTGTTTATAAACCACAAAATTGTCTTCCAAAGGATCTGTATTATTTTGCATTCCCACAAGAAATGATTGAGAATTCCTGTTATTGTACATCATTGCCAGCATTTGGTATTGTCAGTGTTCCAGATTTTGGCTATTCTAATAAATGTGCAGTGGTATCTCTCACTGTTTTAATTTGTATTTCCCAGAAGACATATAATGAGGAACAGATTTTCATATACTTATTTGTAATCTGTAATCTTCCTTGATGAGGTGCCTGCTAAGGTTTTTGCTTATTTTTAAATTAGATCATTTCCTTATTGTTGAGTTTTAGGAGTTCTTCATATATTTTGGATAACAATCCTTTATCAGATGTGTCTTTTGAAAATATTTTATTCCACAGTGTAGATTGTCTTTTCGTTCTCTTAGCACTGTTTTTCACAGAGAAGAAATTTTTGATTTTAATAAAGTCTAGCTTATTGATTCTTTCATGATTATGTTTTTGCTGTTATATCTAAAAAGTCTTATCATACCCAAGGTTTTCTCCTATGTTGTTTTCTAAGAGTTGTATACTTTCATGTTTTACACATAGGCCTACGATATGTTTTGAATTAATTTTTGTGAAGAGTGTAAGGTTTGTGGTGTCTAGATTCCTTGTTTTGCCTTATTTGACATGCAGATGTCTACTTGTTCCAGCAGCATTTGTTGAACAGATCATATTTGCTTCATTGTACTGTCTTTGCTCCTTTGTCAAAGATCAGTTGACTAGATTTATGAGTCTATTTCTAGGTTCTTCGTTGTGTTCCATTGATTTATTTGTCTCTTCTCTTGCCAGTATCATGCTGTCTTAATTTCTGTAGCTTTAGAGTAAGCCTGGAATTGGGTAGTGTCAGTTCTCCAACTTTGTTATTCTCCTTTAATATTTTGTTTGATATTCTGAGTCTCTTACCTCTCCATATAAACTTTAGAGTTAGGTTGTGAATATCCAAAAATGCCTCACTAGGGTTTTGGTTGAGATTGCATTGAATTTATAGATCAAGTTGGAAAGAACTGCCATCTTGATGATATTGAGACTTTCTATCCATGAACATGGAAAATCTCTACATTTATTTAGTTTTTTGTTTATTTATCAAAGTTTTATAGTTTCTTTTACAAACTTTTTGATATAATTAAGAATGTAAGTGGTATTGTGTTTTTAGTTTGTTATACTTAAGAATGTAAGTGGTATCATGTTTTTAGTATCAAAATATACTTTTTCATTGTTGGTGAGGAAAGTGATTGACTTTTGCATATTAACCTTGTGTCCTACAATTTGTTATAATTGGTTATTGGTTTTATAAGTTTTCATAAATTCTTTTAGATTTCTACATAGACAGTCATGTCATCTGTGAGAAAAGTTTTATGTTTTCCTTCTCAATTGGTATACTTGTTGTTTTCTTTTCTTGTCTTATTGCATTAGTACTTCCAGAATGATGCTAAAAAGCAGTGATGGGGGTGACATTCTATACTTGTTCCTAATCTTACTAGGAATGCTTCACATTTATCACCATTAAGTATGAAGTTAGCAATAGGAATTTTGCACTTATTCTTTACCACATTGAAGTTCACTTATATTCCTAGTTTACTGAGAGTTTTTTAATCAAGAGTTAAGTGTTGGAATTTGTTAGATTCATTTTTTGCATTTATTGATATGATCATGTGATTTTTTTAACCTATTGACATGACGGATTACATTAATTGGCTTTTGAATGTCAATTCAGCTGTGTATAGCTGGGATAAATCCTACATTTTTCTTTTTTTATATAAGACAAATATTTTTAAATAATTTATAATTTGTTCATGACAACATTTTGCTAATGAATGAACATGTTACTAATGAACTAACATTTAATGAATGTAAAGAATTGGAAAATGCAAAAAGAAAGAATTTCAAGTGCTTTTGAGCCTTTAATGGGTCTTGATGCCCTTTGAGAATCTAATAAAAGATTATGAATTCTAAAGAATAATGCAAATTGCACAAATAAACACAATTTGGCATTAATTTGTACTTTGTGCCACAGAAGTAAATGTGCTCCACTTGCCTGTTTTAATAGGTAAGTAGGCTCTGAAGAGTTAAATATTCTAAATGAAATGGAATAAATACAATTATGACTGATGCTAGAAGAAGGATGTGTGTAAATTGGCTTTGGGTTAAATTAATTTATGGCAATTAATGAAAGAATATAATAGAGTAGTTGCTTTTAAGGAGATTTTTAAAATGCAAAATTACATGTACTTACTAATTTGCAGAAGAGGTAATTATTTCTTTGAGTTGTATATTGAAAATTGTAACTCTTACATCATTTTATAAAAAGGCTGAAATAGAGAAATAGCTTCACCTGCAATCCAAATTTTAAGGGTGTCATTCCCATAGCAACTCTCACTATATCTTAGACATTTCCACATTTTTGATAATATGATGTTGTTTCCTAAATTAATATTTAATGGTTATTAAGGCTGGTTTATAATTCTGAAAAGTCACTGAACTTGTCTACCTGCCGTCCTTGACTCATGCTATCTTTCACTAGAATGTCCTGGGGAGATCTTAGTTAGCAAATTAGTTATGGGCTCAGGTAACAAATAGCTTTCCTTGTGAATTATTCTAAAGCCTCAGATAGACAACATTGCTTCTTTCTTTGTGCTCCCACAGACTCAGGTCACACAATCAGGCTACAGTTCATTCATTCAAGCTCTGCAGTCAATATCTTCTGATAGATTATGAGTTCTCTAGGGCAAGAGCAGAGTCTCATCCATCTATGTTATTTCAGCCTCAGTGCTTGTCAAGAGAGTAAACCTTCACATTGGTTTGCTGAATCAAAACACTTCATGGTTTTTCTGTCAAATGTAAGCATACTATCAGTAGCTGTTAAGAATATTTACCTTTTCTTACTAAATTCTAAGAAGCTGTATAAGCAAAGAAGCCATATTTATCTTATGCACCATTAAAAACACAACATTGGTCATGGAGCCTGGTACACTGCGGACAATCAATAAGTAATTGCTGAATGACTATTGAACAAATTAATTCAAAGTAGCATGAAGGGTACCTACAGAATATATTACTCCCAGTAAACATATTTTAAATGCTGTAAGTTACAGAAAGGCTTTTCTTTCAATTCATAAAGAAGCTCTTTTGTCATTTATTTATTCAGTTCTTCACAGCTATCACAGCAGAGAAGGAAAAAAAGTCATTACAATAAACTGTGATGAGGGTCATGAAAGAGAAGTACAAGGTCTGAAGTAAGTGCATAGACCAAGCAAACATCATTGTCTAAAAGTCTAGAAAGACCTGGAGAAAATGATATTGAAAATGAGAACTGAAGTCTGATGAATTAGACTGGGAAGAAGGCATGGGATGAAGGTGAAGAGTGCTCTTGGAGAACAGCTTTCCTTAAAAGCCAGAAATTAAAAAAGCAGAGAATTCCAGAAAATAAAAGTAAAGGGATTACCTATAACTATGACTCACTGCTACCCCCACACACTCAGTCCTTTCAAGTACAGTATATTCCAATATTTCTTAGCTTAAAAATAAAAAGAAAGAAAATTTAAAACCAACCTGTTGAGAAGCACCCCCAACACACACAATGCAATCATTTTTTCACTCTCACATTCTTCCATTTCCTACTGAAATGTCACTTTATCAACAAGGCCTTTCCTTACCACCCTGCCCCCTAGACTTTGTATCCCCCTTTGCATTTACTGCCACCTAAAGAGGTGTATGTTATGTTCAACTGTTCATATCTGTCTCCTTTTACAGTAAAACGAAAGCTCTTTGAGGGACTTTTGTCTAGACTGGAATAACTAAATGAATGATTAGATTAAGGCAAAGAGTCTGATGCTTTCAATATTGTCAGCCCCTTCAAGCCATAGAGCAACCTTCTAGATATTTAAAAAATGCAAATTTTTTCAGGCCATTCACTTATTTAAACCTGCCTATGTCTTTGCACTACATGAAAAATATGAGCTGCAATTCAAAACTTGGATTGATAAAATGTTTGTAAAATCTGGCTTCAGGTTCCCTACAAACTTAAGCTTTGCTCTCCAGCACCAAGGAGAAAGGCTTTTTTCAATTTCTTGAACAAATCATGCTTTTCCCCTCCACCTGGCATTTCCAAAAGGAATCCTCTTCCCTCCTTAGGAAGCTTCTTCTTCCCACCTTCTTCCTTCATAGAACTAATTCAGATTTCAGAACTCCACTTAGGCACTTGAAAAAAAAGTGCTGGAATTTAGAGCATATGTGTGAGCACATTTATTAGATATTTCCAAAGTTTCTTCAAAGAGACCTTGCAATCCCAAAAGCAATGTTTCTACAAGGACTTCTTTATGTCTTATGAGATTATTCCTTTCTACTTCGTCTGTCTTGGCAATGTTAATAAACAATACCTTCTTTTAAAATTACATTTTATAATTGTGTATGGCTTTTGGTTTGTCGTTGGTGGTGGGGATTTATTAAATCACCAATTGTGTTAGTCCACTTTGCGTTCCTATAAAGGAATACCAGAGGCTGAGTAATTTATAAAGAAGAGAAGTTTACTTTGGCTCATGGTTCTGCAGGCTATATAGGAAGCATGTCAATGAAACGTGCTTAGTTTCTGGTGAGGGCCTCAGGGAGCTTCCAATAATGGCAGAAGGCAAAAGGGGAACAGGCATGTGACATGGAGAGACAGGGAGCAAGAGAGAGTAGAAGTTGCAGTTAAGAACTCACTTAACTCACTCATTGTCATGAGGATGGCACCAAGCCTTTCATGAGGGATTCGTTCCCATGACCCTAGTGTCTCTCACCAGGCCCCACCTCCAATATTGGGGATCATGTTTCAACATGAGATTTGGAGGGGACAAAACATCCAAACCATATTATGAAGTGTTTATTTGTTACAATCACTCTTAGTTTTCTATTGCTGCCATGACAAATTACCACAAATTTAGTGGCTTAAAACAATACAATTTTATATTACAGTTATGGTGGTCAGAAGTCCTAAAAAAGTCTCAGTGGACTAAAATCAAAGTCTGACATATTCCTTTCTGGAGGCTTTGCATTTAATTGCCTTTCCCAGGTTTGAGAAATCAGCTGCATTCTTCAGCTCATGGCCCCTTCTTCAATCCTAAAAGATAGTAACAGAGGACCAAGTACTTCTCATGCTATTGTATGTTTGCTTCTCCACAACCTGTTCAAGTCTCTACCTTTAAGGAATCATGCAATTAGATTGGGCCCACCTGCATAATAAAGTTTTTAAAACACATTTTTATTTCTTCATTTGGCTGAAAACTATGTATTCTAATTATTTTCTTTTGACAGTTACACAGTTTTATTTTCACTGCTTAATTTTACATAATCTAAATTTAATCAATAAAATGATGTTAAAATGCAATCTTTTTAAATGTTATCTTAATTCAATAATGTACTTCTGCCTTGTCTTATACCACACAGATTTGCCATTATAATTACTACTGCATTATCATGCTTATTTTACATTTGCTTAGGTTTTTTTTTTTTTTAAATCACTACTTGCATCTTACTCCATTTTCAAGGTAAAGTTTTCTTCTTTCTAAATTGCACACAATTTTACTTCCTACAGTGAAGGTCTATTAATGATAAAGATTCACTCTTGTGTCTCTCACTATATATGTAGTGTCTATATATTAACATATATACACACATATAACCTACATTATTGTTTTATAAGTTTTAGATTATTGCTATTTTCTTGTGTTGTATTATCATTTGGCTCTGTTGTTGTTGTGGATAGCCACATGTCAGTGTAATTACTGATTACCAGGGGTAATGCTGTCCTTTTTTTTTATTGCTGTTACAAACTTATTTTTGTATTTCATCTGACTGAGTGTTGTTTGTCTTTTAGAGTGCATACTTTGTGTCCTGATTTTGAAAAATTATGTGTTTTTTTTTCCATCCTGGGAAATTATCTATAAATTTTTATTTTAATACTGTCTCTATCACATTTCTTTTATATTTCATTCCAGAAATATTTTCAAACATAATTAACTTTCTCAATCTTTCATTTTTTTCTTTTAACCTCTGTTTTGTATTTTTAATATATCTCTCTTTTAGTTGGCTTCATTTGCAGTTCTGTAAAAGTAATTTGATTTTCAGTCATTTCTAATGTATTTTTACTTTTATACCATTTAGTACTTAATTTTTAAAATTACACTTTTTTATTTCTACAAGTTGTGTTGTACATTTTGTGTTTATTTTGTATAGAATTATGCTTTAATATTGGAGTCCTTTTATATTTAATTTTGTTAAACATAGAGAAAATCTTGTGATGTGGCTCTTTCAGTTTTATAAAATTTAAATTAGCATAATAGTATACAGTCATTTTAAAACTAAGATGAATTTCGGTCATGTCTTATAGATTTGTAAAATTTTTCTTTGAAATCACCAAAACTGAGGTGACATTCTGGTATAATTGAGCTGTACTAAGTATATAATCTATGTGAAAGCAACCAGACTCAAATCAGGGGTGGTTAGACTAGCTCAATAAAACAACCTCACAGCTTACAACTTTAAGGTGATAGTTCTCTGAATATCCGTCCGATTTTTCATTTAAGAACTGTTGATCTTAGACACATGCCTCACAATTTTAATGAGTTCTAATACTTTCAGTATAAGATAGAACAGAGAAATATAGAAAAATCACAAATGTCTAGATGTAGAGAATATTGGAAGGATGACAGAGAGACAAATCAGGCTGAAATATACTAATGGCCAACAATGAAAGGCATAAAATTGTAGTAAAGGAGTTGCAATGTGATCCTTTAGAAGAATACTAAACTATTTTGATGGTGTGAATGCCATGATCAAATGTCTATTTTAGAAAGTTAACATTGTTTTCAGTGAAAATGTGGATATAAGTTTGGGAGCTATTGTAATAGTACATTTATCATATATATGATCCATCATCTTCTGTCCACTGTGAACTTCCCAAAGAAGGACTCAGTGATTTATATATCGACAGGTATCCCCAGAACCTTAATTCAGTTACTGGAACATAATAGTTAATCTCTAAGTGATAGTTGAGTTGAACTAAAAATAAAAAAAGAATGGCTTTAAATGTCAATGTTTTGAAAATGTAATAAAAATAAGATTATAATTTTTTACATGTGCTTTTTATATACCTGTCACTATTAAAATTTAAAACCTAATAAAATGGCTATGTATAGTAAGTAGTAAATATTTGAAGTAGATATTTAGTTTCTACTATAAAAATTAAAGTGTTTGATAGATATTGGGTTCTATTAAGATTTTAAATTATCAAGAAAAAATAGTGACATGTTGTATATTTTGATTATAATATTTAGCTACACTGAACTATTTTTGTACTAGTAAGATACAACAAAACTGTGTCTATTAAAATGTGTTCTACAAGATACATCATTTTCATCGAGATAAATGGATTGTGGGAGCAGATAGTGGAAGGGGCAAAAAGGCTACTTCAAGCCTCCTTTATACTGGCACCTAATCCGATTTATGTGGGCTCCACTTTCATTGCCTAATCACTTTCCAAAGTCCCTACCACTCAATACAATAATTTTGGGGGTTAGGCTTTAACATATGAGTTTTGCAGAGACATAAACATTTAAATCATAGCAGTGATGAACCCTTGTATATCCCTATGCAAAAAAAAAAAAAAAAATTAACCTCAACCCATATTTTTCACTGAAGTTAATTCAAAATGGATCATAGAGCTAAATGCTACAGTTAAAATTATGAACTTCTAGGAGATGACGTAGCAGGCTATCCTTGTGAAACCGGATTGAAAAATGTCTCTTAGATACAAAGCAAAAGCCATATTCCATTTAAAAATTGACAAATCAGACTTCACCAGAAAAAGAAATTCTGATTTTCATAAGACACTAAGAAAATGAAAGAAAAGTTACAGACTGAGAAAAAATATTTACAAATTAGTATCTGATAAATGATTTGTATCCCGAATGTATAAATAACTCTCAATAATAAAAAAGCAATAATCTAATTTTAAAATGCTAAGAATTTAAGCAAACATTGGCCAAGAAGCTATCAGATGACAATATAAAAAGCATTGCTGAGAACACAGATCAATCAGCATTTTTACACTCTGTGGCTAGAAGTTGAAAACAGTGCGACTTTGAAAAGCAGTTAGCAGTTTCTTAAAAGTTAAACACACATCTATCATGTGAAGTAGTTATTTCATTCTTAGATATTTATTCAACAGAAATGAAAGCATATGTACACAAATATTTAGAACAGCTTCATTTGTAAAAACAAAATTTTGGAAACAATGCAAAAGTCCATCAAGAGGTGAATGGAAAAAAATTCTTGATATATACATAAAATTGAATCCTATTCACCAATTTAAAAAAGTAACTGTTTATACAGAAAACACATGGATGAAAATCCAAATAAACTATGCTGAGTGAAAAAAATTACAAGAAAGTATATAATATGTAATTATGTTTAAATAAAATTGTAGAGAATTCATTACTAATTGTAGTGACAGAAAGCAAAACAATATTTGCGTGGAAAAATTGAGAGAGAAAGAAGGAAGTGGAAGGAGGAAAGGATTACAATGGAGCTTGAGGAAATTTTAGTCAGTGATGGCTAAGATCACTATTTTGATTGCGGTAATGTTTTAACATGTGCATGCATATTTCAAAGCTTCCCAGATCATAAACTTTAAAAATATGCAGTTTATGTATTAAATAAATCATTTCTTAAAGATTAAGATTTTTGGTATAACACTCACCAACATTAAAAATTAACTGATTGGACAGGAAATATAAAAACAAGTCTGGAGCATTTTGATGTATTAAAGAAAAATCCACAATGATGAAAATACGTCAAAAGAGCATAGAAGTCAACGGGAGTTCTCAATATCGAAGATGAAACAATTGGAACAATAAAACAAATAAAATAGTGATTGAATTACAACCTGAAATATAAAATGAATATCACATACTTAGATGACTAAATGATTGAATAAATAAACAAACAGGAGAAAACACAAATCTCCTGTGCAGAAAAATCCAAAATAACTTGTGTAGATTCTCTACCCTCAGGAGGTGGAATATAATTCCTTATCCTTAACTTGTGAACTGTGCATAGTGACCTTCAAAGAGTACAGTGTGGAAGTGGAGGAGAAGGGAAATTTACAGTATAGAAACCTGATGAACATTCTCTCAGCCAAGTGAGCAAGAACAGCTTTAACAAGTGATGGATAAGTCATATTAATTGTATGCACTGCTGATATGATGTAAAGAAAATGGCACTTTACCTCTGGTCTTCCTCCTAACAACTTGTAACACCAGGTTAATCATAAGTAAAGCATAAGACAAATCCAAATTGAGGAAAATTTTACAAGACCTGACCATTACTCTCTAAATTATCAGGAACATCAAAAACAAGGAAAGCTGGAGAAACTGTCATAACCAAGAAGAGCCTCGAGCCACATGATAACTAAATGTAATGTGGTATCTTAGCTGATAGCATAAAGCAGACAAAGGGCATTATTAAAGAAATCTGAATAAAGAATGGACTTTAGTTAATAATCATACATTTTAAAAATATGCAGTTTATACATTAAATAAATCGTTTCTTAAAAATTAAGGTCTACAATATAACATTCACCAATATTAAAAGTTAACTGACTGAACAGGAAATATACAAAATGAGTATGGAGCATTTTGATGTACTAAAAACAAAACCACAATGCTGAAAATATGTCAAAAGAGCATAAAAGCCAACAGAAGGAGTTATCAATATCAAATGTTTGTGTCTCTCCAAATATTGAAAATGTATCAATATTTCTCCATTAAAATTGTGATAAATATACCATACTAATGCAAAATGCTAATAACAGGGGAGACAGGATGTGGAGTAATATAGAAACACTCTGTACTATCTTCACAATTTTTCTCTGAATATAAAACTATTCTAAAGTTTTAAAAAGTTTACTTTTAAAAATGTTAACCGAAGCACACTACCGAAAAGTGCAGAGACACCAAATGTGTAGCTCCAGTGGCACAATTTTTTAGAACATGATACTTACAAGAGACACCAAATTTGTTCTCCATAACTTCTGCCCCATGGTCAAGACTGCCCTCTACGCTTATCTGTTTAATTTTCCCAACTTCCTGTGGGCTCTACCCAATGAGTGAATACACTAGCTCTAAACGAAGGATTCATCGTTAAGTATTCTTTTTTGTTTTTTACAAGTATTCTTAATAGAAAGTTTTCTATATTTTTGAGGAGAAAAATGGACACTAAACATAAATATGAAAAAATGGCTGAGTAGTAAAAATGTGGATGATACTTCTCTATATGTCTCACAAAATCCATGGTGCGGCAGTTATACATCCAAACACTAGAAGCTTCAATCCTAGCTGTGACACTAGCAGCTTGACTTTCATCCGTTGCTTTAAACATCTGTAGGAAAATGAGTGGAAGCTACTTATATCATGCAGGCTTTAAAAGGTGTAATTTGTGCAAAATGTTTACAACTCTGTAAGGTTAGTCACTAATACTACTTCGTGCCTCCCAGTTATTCCACAGCGTGGTAAACTGTAGAATAATGCAGCCACAAATTCTATGCTCTTTTCTTTTCTTTAACGTTTTTAATGTTAACCCTCTTTATACGGTTACATCCCAATTATTTTTGCTTGGAAACAGAGTGTAATGTGTCTGGAGACTGAATTTAAGCCTCATGTTAATTGTCTGAAATCCAGTTTGTTGTCTGCATCCCTTTAGAAATGTGAGCTATGTAGTATGCAATATTCATTATATGGCTAGATACCTCATATGAGAGTAATTTAATTGTCAGTGCTGCTCAACCATTGTTTAATGAATTCTTAACAATTTGAAAGGCAAGCTGTTGGAAGACCATTATTACATTTCATATTTGCTCTGCAGTTTTCTTCACCATTGCTTCATCTATTTAGGATTATGATAACATTAACTTTTGAATTCCTTGAAAAAATATGACTTTTTGCATAATGAAAAATTTGAACTTTTTATCTACTTGGAAAATAGGGTAAATTTATTTTGAAGGCAGGCTTGCAATTAGGTCAAAGAGTGATAATCACACTAGTCTGTATAATAAAACAGATTCATAAAACAAAAGGAATGTTTGTTCACTCATTTACACAGTAGCACAATAAACAACATTATGGTAGACACAGAAGGAAAATTCATGTAATTAGAGCAAAAGTTAATCTAAGCTTATAAGTAGCTTAATAAATTGTAACCACTAATATCTCAAAAAGAAAATTAAAGCATGTTCTATTTATATTATTGATTATGCCACAAAGCGTAATAGCCTATGTATTACTGTGTTCATTTGTTGTAATATCCCAAGAGGCACACAGGAAAATAACATATTTTGGGTGGTTCATATGAAAATCAAATAAGTTAAATTTGAGAAAGAAAACTGATTAGATCAATAACTTTAGGTGTCCAGAACAAGCAAAGCCAGTCTACATGAATATTTCCAGACTCTTCAGTATTATAAACCTTGAGTCTTACAACGCATTGAATAAAATTAAGTTCCTTTGTACACATTTGGATACTTTCTGAATCTCCAAAATATCTCCTAAAATAACATTTACTTGTTATTTAATCATGGCCAAGAATACTGACAAAGCAGAAAATCATGACTGAGCCATGTTGTATATATGTACACCCTTCCATGGACTCAGTGGGCTTTTATGAAAAATATAAAATAAAATGCAAACATGTCTCCCAGATTTTAGGGAGACATTATTAATGAGAGGGATTGCTAAGCACACTGCAATTAAAAATTGATAAAATAAATAAAAAGTAGCATTTGGGCTGTTTGCTGAATTAATAAAATCTAACGTATTTAGGAAAATCTATCAATTCAGTGTTGCTTTGATGGAGCTTCAGGAAATTCTTAGTAGCACTAGGTAAAATGTTGCCAATTATGAAGAGAAGTGAGATTGCCAAACACTTATATTTTGAGAACCAGTATGAATTCTCTGTCCTGATATTCAATACCAACTGCCAGGATTCATCATATAAATATCCATAAAATTAAAATAGCAGGATGGCACAGTGGACAGACCATGCATGCTGCAGTTAAAGAGACACAAATGTAAATTCTCATTAGAACTCTGAAGTTTTAAAATTACTTATTGTCTCAGAATGCTAACATCCCATCTATAAATAAGGAGTTTTGGTTACATGCTGTGGTAGCCATCTTTCTTGGTGTCTAGCAGTACTTCCTGCATTCTTCATGTTACAGATACCATCCTCATGGACACAGAATGGCCATGTCACATAGGCTAGGCTAGTCAATCCTCTACCCTTTTCCCAACCTCCAAGAGTGATTGATACCTAAGGATGAGAACCTCACTGAAGCTGGGTCAGTCAGATTTTCCCAATTCTTTCGTACAAACTAGAGTTGAGGGACACCAGGCCCCTGTTCCCTTTGGTCAGGAATCTGCACGGCATTAAATCTGGAATCAACTACAGACATGCTTCTGATAAAGAGAAGCATAACTATGATAGCAAAACAACAATAAAAACAGATATGAGATGTGAAATAAAGATACTCTGGGGTCACTTCCATCCCTGACAGCCCCATGGCTTCAAATGTATGTCAACTAATCTTCCTTTTCAAATCAAGCTAGTTAGAGAAGCATTAGCCACTTATAACTAGATTTCTACTGATATTCCTTCCTTGGGGGGTGTTTTTGGAGATAAGAGAGAGTGCATGTAAAGTATCAGTCATAGATTAAGAACATTGTGAACTGAGGATATTTTTATTATAATTTTTTTTACTCAGTTTATATATAAAGATTCTGATTTATTATTGGACTCAGGCTGGGGTAAAAATAAAAGTAAAACTGAAATTTTCCTTTTGATAATTTAGGCCAAAATTTGATAGCACAATTGTTATGACTAGTACTCCCACTGTGACTTAGACTACTATTGCTAGCACATCTATTATTACTACTACAACTACTACTTTATCTACATTTACTGGATGACTAATACTTCTTTTTGTTTTGCTTTTTAACATTTATTTTTTAAGTTCACGGGTACATGTGCAAGTTTGCTACATAGGTAAACTTGTGTCATGGAGATTTGTTGTACAGGTTACTTCATTATCCAGGTATTAAGCCTAGTACCCATTAGTTATTTTTCCTGATTCTCTCCTTCCACCCACCTTCCACCCTCTGATGGGCCTCAGTGTGTGTTGTTCCTTCTATGTGGTGATATGTTCTCATCATTTAGCTCACACTTGTAAGTGAGAACATCTGGTTTTCTGTTCCTGTGTTAGCTTGCTAAGGATAATGTCCTCCAGCTCCATCCACGTCCCTGCGACAGACATGAGCTCATTCTTTTTTATGGCTGCATAGTATTCCATGGTGGGTATGTACCACATTTTCTTTATCCAGTCTATCACTGATGACCATTTAGGTCGATTCCCTGTCTTTGCTAATGTGAATAGTGCTGCAGTGAACATACACATGCATGTGTCTTTATGACACAACAATTTATATTCGTTTGTGTATATTTCTTTTTGTAAATACCATTCCTTTGAATGATATTTCTGTTTTTGAGGAATTGCCACACTGTCTTCCACCATGGTTGAACTAATTTTCACTCCCACCAACAGTGTATAAGTGTTCCTTTTTCTCCACAACCTCATCAGCATCTGTTATTTTTTTGTGTTCTAATAGTAGCCATTCTGACTGGCATGAGATGTTATCTAATTGTGGTTTTGATTTGCATTTCTCTAATGATCAGTGATGTTGAGTTTTTTTTCGTATGCTTGTTGGTCGCATGTATGTCTTCTTTGGAAATGTGTCTGTTCATGTCCTTTGCCCACTTTTTAATGAGGTTGCTTCTTTTTCTCTTGTAAATTTGATTAAGTTCCTTATAGATTCTGGATGTTAGACCTCTGTTGGATGCACATCCAACAGTTTACAAATATTTTCTCCCATTCTGTAGGTTGTCTGTTTACTCTTGTTACTTTTGTTGTGCAGAAGCTCATTAGTTTAATTAGATCCCATTTGTCAATTTTTGTCTTCACAATTGCTTTTGATATCTTCATCATAAAATCTTTGCTTGTGCCTGTGTCCTGAATGGCACTGCCTAGGTTGTCTTTCAGAGTTTTAAAGTTTTGGGTTTTACATTTAAGTCTTTAATCCATCTTGAGTTAATTTTTGTGTGTAAGGAAGAGGTCCAATTTCAGTCTTCTGCAAATGGCTAACCAGTTATCCCAGCATCATTTATTGAATAGGGAATTCTTTTCCCATTGCTTGTTTTTGTCAGGTTTGTCAAAGATCAGATAGTTGTACATGTGCGGACTTATGTCTGAGTTCTCTATTCTGTTCCGTTGGACTATGTGATGACTACAATTTCTGGGACCTATGCTAACGGATTTTTTTAACATCATCTCATTTAATCTTCACATAATTTACTTTATTCTGTTAATTTTTGTCATTATCCCAGTGTATAAAGAAGAATAATAGTACCTTAGTGAAGTTAAGGGGCATACCCTGAATTCATGTTCAGATATGCTTCACTCTAAACCAGAGTACCGGATCATTGAGTCATGCTTACCGACATTAATATAATTCAGATAAAAATTGGCTATTTGCTGAAATCATACAGACAACTTTTTCATTTTTCTGTTTCTCTGTGTGTACAAATGCAACATGAATCCAAGTGGCAGGACCACTGAACATTTCAAAATGAAAGCAGGGAAGTGTTATCCCAAGCTGTAACATGAATGTCAACTCTGTTTGAACAAAATGCTGTGAGATGTAAAGAAAATCATGCTTCATATTGTTGATTCACCTTTAATATATTTATAGAATATATAGAAATTTAGTAGATGATATTTACATATTTAGGATTTATGAAATGAGGAACTAAATGTTGCTATTGTTTCTACAGTCTAAGTCTTGAGAGAATTAGTCATAAGCAATACATCTAATAACTGCTTCTGCTAAGAAAAAATTGAAGTTGTCATAAACCCAGATCATGCTAGAAAAAAATAAAATTATCATTAAACTGAATGGAAGGGTAGAATATAGCTAGAGGGAGAAATGGTTTCCAAAGGAGCCAGAAAATGGCAATTTAGTGAGTTGTTCCCTTCATCTATTCTGCATCCAATTTTTAAATGTTCTTTATCTGGCTTTAGTACTACACTGGTCATATACTCTGCAACTAAATCTTTTAGTCATTTTTGGGTCAGTTTCAGTGTCCTTTTCTTTATATGAAGTTTAAAAAAAAATTTAAAAACTACCTTCTGGGAAAACTCTTCTCCCTTTTCAGCTGTCAAAATGATTTAAAGTGTGACCTCTCAATCAACGGGCAGTGGCCACTTTGTCTATAAATGATTTTTTTTTCTGATTCTCTTTTGTCTTTTGTTCCCTAAATGTGCCATCGAAAGCAGTGCCTTTGAGTTGCTCAAATTGGTCCATTTCTTGAATTGTCTTCCTCTTTCAATATTTCATTTAATGTTTCTCTAATGGTTAGTTACTGTCAGTAGCCTTGCAAAAAGGTATGCCTATGAGTTTATGTCCTCACTAATGCACATAATCTTGAATATTTAATAATACAATTCTTTGAAAGGATGCAGTTTTATCTAATTGCAGGCTCATTTTCTTGTCCTTCTTGTGGAATATGCTCTGTGAAATTTCCATTGGTATTTTTAATCTTAATTTAGACTTCATAATATTAAAAAAAACTTTAGAGGAGACATATTTTCTGAATGTCAAGCATAATTTTACTTTCAATAAATACTGAGTATGGACAACAAGGGAAAGAAAATATAAAAATTTCATTTATTTAGTAACATTTTTGCCATTTTTTTACTGTACTAGATATTACCTCATTTAATGTTTACCATGACTTTATGTAATTTGAAAAATGTTCAGCCACAGTCAATGAATAGGTGTATTTTTGTGTATTAATTATTGCTTCATTGTAAAGCTATAAGCCAAGCATTTGCAAATTTATACATATTAAATAACGTACAAGAGACATTTATTATAAAACTAAATATGAAAAAATATAAACCGTTATTTGCCAAAAATACTGTTCAAAATAAATAAACTTTGTTTCCTCTTGCCAATTTTTTTATTGCAAATGTATCACTTGTTGAGCACTCCACACAACCTCACTGGTGCCAGATTTTGGTTCACTAGACTTAGGGTAGCTATTCAACCAAGGCTTGCCTGGAAAACATATCTGTCCCCACTACTGTTTTTGTTTAGGCCCTTCTCAGATTGTCCCAGGACAATTTTTCAGTTTTGCAAAGATCTCCATTTCTCAGTCTTCTTTATTTTAGCTTTACTTTCTCTTTACCACTGTTCAGGTATTTTTGTCAAGTGTAATTCACAATATAAATGCCAAATATTTTAAAATCTAGTTTTAGTGTATCTTTCCAAATATACTCTGAGATACTTCACACAAAGCCCTATACTTTTCCCACCGTTCCCGTGATTTAGAAAACATTCCTGTTTAAAGGATGCATGACTTCTGGGAGGGCAACATGAGGGGATCAGCACACCCTCCATATGCTCACCAAGAACATCCGAAAATGAGGTTAAGAAAAACAATTTCATTCATAATTTCATCAAAAAGAATAAAATATTTGAGATTACATTTTTTACGAGAAGTTCAAGGCCTGTTTTCTGAAAACAACAAAACATTGCTGAAAAAAAGTTTTAAGAGATCTGAAATAAATAGGCATTCTATGTTTATGCGCTACAAAGCTCAACATTGCTAAAAAAGCAATTCTTTATAGTTTCATCAATGGGTTTAACACAATCCCTGTTAAAATCTCAGCTGATGGTTTTGTAAATATTGACTAGTTTGTCTTGACATTTAAATGAGAATGAAAAGGGCTCACAATAACCAAAACAATTTTGAAAAGAACCATGACAAAGCTTACTATACATTTACAATAATCATGACACTGATACTGGTGCAAGAAAAGATCCCTAGATAAACAGAATGAAATTGAAAATTCAGAAGTAAAAACTTAGAATTTATGTTTCATTGACTTTTAATAAAGCCACTAAGGCAGTTGAATGGGGGGAAAAGGTAGTCTTTTCAACAAAAGGTTCTGAGAAAATTAGATAATCCCATTAAAATTCCTAATTTAGGTACTTTACTCATATCATAAGACAAAAATTAACTTAAAATAGATTATACACTGAAATGGAAAGGCTAAAATGTAAAATTTTAGAAGAATATATAGGAGAAAATTTTTGTGAAAGTAATTTAGAAGACAGATTTTTAGACATAACACCAGTAATGGTACATAAAATAAAAAATATATATATTGGATTTCATTAAAAATAACTTTTCGTCCGCACATACATGACTTAAAGAACTTAAAGAAGAATAAAATAAAATATAAAATAAAATAACTTTTTGGCCAGGCGCAGTGGCTCATGCCCATAATTCCAGCACTTTGGGAGGCCAAGGTAGGTGGAACACCTGAGGTCAGGAGTTCGAGACCAGCCTGGTCAATATGGGGAAAACTGTCTCTACTAAATACAAAAAATTAGCCGGGCATGGTGGCAGGAGCCTGTAGTCCCAGTTACTCGGGAGGCTGAGGCAGGAGAATTGCTTGAACTTGGGAGGTGAAGGTTGCAGTGAGCCAAGATTGTACCACTGCACTCCAGCTTGGGCAACAGGAGCAAAAACTCCATCTTAAATAAATAAATAAGTCAATAGATAACTTTTGGGCTTCAAAAGACATCTTTAAGGAAAGAAAAAAATAAGACATTGACTGGGAGGAAATATTTGTGAAACATAACATCCATTTAAAGACTTATATCCAGAATATATAAAGAATTCTTATAATTTAAAAAGGAGACAAACAACATAATTTAAAAATAGGCAAACCAATAGAATAGGCATTTCACTAAAGAAGATATATGAATGACTAATAAGCACATATTGTGGAGAAACTATATTCTCGCATAGGGAAGAGAAGAAATGTAAAATTTTGAAAGCCTGGATTCAAACCTGGAAGACTCTCATTTTTTAAATGGACAGATTTGTGACTAGAAAAGCATCTCTCAGGAATAAAACGAAATTGACTTTTCCAGAACATAGTTTAGTACAATAATAGATGTAACCAACAGATTTTATATTTATTTCCTTTTGCTGTTAAATTTCTTGATTAATTTATTATAATGGTCTCAAGGCCCTGAGAGATCATGCTTGCACCTCATCACTCCTGCCCTTTCTTTCATTATACTCCAGACACAAAATAAAATATTTGCAGCCTCAGCACCTTTACACAAGCTGTCTGCACGGTTTGCTCTTAGGTCACAACTCTACTGTCACATCTTCAAATGATCGTTCCTGATGCCTTCTCTAAAAGGCACCCCTTTCCTGACTCAGTGACAATATTGTTTTTTTTTTTTTTAATTGTTGCAACATTTTTTAAAATTATACTTTAAGTTCTAGGGCACATGTGCACAATGTGCAGATTTGTTACATATGTATACATGTGCCATGTTGGTGTGCTGCACCCATTAACTCGTCATTTACATTAGGTATATCTCCTAATGCTTTCCCTCCCTCTTCCCCCAACCCCATGACAGGCCCCGGTGTGTGATGTTCCCCTTCCTGTTTGGTTTTTTGTCCTTGTGATAGTTTGCTGAGAATGATGGTTTCCAGCTTCATCCATGTCCCTACAAAGGATATGAACTCATCCTTTTTTATGGCTGCATAGTATTGTTTTTATCGCCCTATCCTGGTTTTTTGCATTCATCTCATTTCCAATTATAGAATATTCAGAATGAAAGAAAAGTTGTCATACGTGCTAGCAGCTTCATCTTGGCAACCAAAGCGACTGTGGTTGAGAAAGTTGGTTTAGAAATTTCAGGGAGAAAGGCTGGAATTAGCCTCCCTCTCCCAGCCACAACATGTATTAGAAAGTCTGCCACATGAAAACTGCACTGTTGAAGGGCTGGCCCCAATATCAAAGTCTCTTTCAAGGGGCTTATCATCACTCCATAAGAGTCTCAGAATTTAGCAGCCCTGTGTCTGGAACCCATGTAATCCACTTCTCTACTTTTCTATTTTTTTTTTTTTCAGTTTCATTTCTTTTTTCACAATTTGCAAGATATGAAAAGCGAGAAAAGCACTTCAAGAAAAAGGAGATGCAAAGTTTGCTGCATTGACCAGGGTTAAATTGTGACTGTAATATACTCAGTGATTAAAAAAAAAAAAAAAGTGTTCCACTATGAGCTTTGAATATGCCTTGTTCAAAATATCTGAAAATATCTACTTTGTGATCTCCTTTCTAAGTGTTACAAGTTGAAATTTAAAAAGGTGATTGAAAAACGTTTGCACACTTAAGTATGGTATAACAGTTTTTTATTAGATCTTACATGAATGAACCAGGCAATTACTTTCTCCATTCAAGCCACCTACTTTTAGAAATGCACTGGTTTTCTCTGATATGAAGAACAACTGTGACGTTTGAAACAACTCCACTGCTCCATTTTATTAAATAGGATGGGTGGTGATTGTGGCAGTAAGTCTTTTTAAAGACTCACTCCTGCATTGCAAGCTTCTGCAAACATTGTAAATGTGAGTTAACATTCTGGAGACCAGTCTTTCACAGACAGTGGCTATGCAGAGTTAAACAGCATGAATCTGCTAGAGGTATAGCCATATTTCTATCAAGCAAGAGAAAGATTCATTATTTTCCTGGCCAAGTGAATACCTAGAAAAGAAGACCTGGTGTGCATATTCAATCTTTGATGAATATATTCTTCTTAACTAATCATTTAACACATCTCTATCTAAAGACCAATCATTCTCATTAAAAACTAAGAACAATGCTTAGTCCTCCAATTCTGTTTAGATAGAAAATTAAATTGTTTTATGTCTTAATTCTCCATTTGTCATTAACAGCTCAGAACCAAAGGGAGAAATAAATAATGCTATGAAAATGTGTAATTGTTGCAGCATTTATAATACCCAGCGGGAATAGTTAAGATATGAGGGACAAATTGTTAATTATTAAAAATAATATTCCATATAAATACCAAGGCAGGTCCGGCTCCTGGAGGCTTTTAACGATGTTTTACTTGGTGATGCTTGGGGTTGAACATGAAAAGAAATGAAATAATCATGATGATTTATATTTCATGATGTGATTTAAAAGCCATTGTAAGAATGATCTTTTTCATCCTCGGAACAACCATGAAGAATATTATTATTGTCCTATTTATAGATGTAAAAACTAAAGCTCAGAGAGGCTGACTGACTTACCCAAAGTACCATAGCTGTGATGATGGTAATGAACTCAAGTTGTCTTTATCTAAGATCAGAAATACTACCACTATACATAAAATAGTGCTTGTAACTTCCACATATTATTTTCAGTTATGTGTTAAACACAAACATGAATAAATTAGATGAGTTGTGAAGATGATATAACTAGGATATTAGCTATAACTTTAAGAACAAAATGCTTCTTGTAGCTTCTGAGATATGTTCATAATACAGTTACATTGTACAGTAGGAACTTGTTATTCATTTGTTTCTCCAAATATTTATTGAGTACCTACTGTATACCAGCATTGGCAGTAGCCACTGAGATGAAAAAGAATTCCTGTGTTCCAGTGCCCCAGAATCTAGTGGAGAGAAAAGCAAAAACAATCGCAAATAAATGTGACAAGTGTGACAGTGCTGAGCAAGCAGATGTGTTTTGTATTCAGCCCTCCTGGGAAGGCCAAGGCAGAATCCTTTGAAAAATGATGTCGAGGTCAGGTGAAGGATGTTAAGTTAGGGGTCTAAGTTTTGTGTAGAATGCAAGGGAAAGTGCCAGACAGAAGGAATGCTATTCGGAAAACATGGATATATGCAGAACCATAAAGTGTTAAGATCTTGTGGAAATATCTTGTTTAGACAGTCTCAAGCAGCACACACAAAGTAGACACTTTGCAAGAACATTTATTTAAAATGCATTTGGTACTTAAAAATGAATCATTTGTAGCTTGTTATTTAATTAACAACTTAACAAAAGAGAGATGGTAATGGTAAAGTTCTGCAATTCTTAAACTATGAATTGGAAATCCTCAAAGACCTAAAAAACTAACTTAAATTATTAATGCTTAATTAGGCAAACTATGGAGAATATTATGGAAAAGAAAAGTATATTCAGGTTAGTGAAATATTCATTAACTCTACCATTAATATATAATGTTTCCATGTACTCTCTATAGGGGTAGAATTGCCCAAGTATAACATCATCAAATTCTTAAAAGAACTTGTCTCTCTCCACAGGAATGGCATGCTTGCGATCAGCTGGACCTTCTGAAACACATTAATGTACATGTGCCTCATAATGACACATTTTGGCCAGTGATGAACCGTATATAGGATAATAGTCCTATAAGAATTTCTTTTTTTCTTGAGACAGGGTCTCACTGTGTCACCCAAGCTGGAGTGCAGTGGTGCCATCCTCCTGGGTCAGCCTTTCAAGTAGGTGGGACTACAGGCATGTGCCACTAAACCAGCTAATTTTTTTTTTTTTTTTTGTATTTTTTGTAGAGATAGGGTCTCCCTATGTTGCCATGCTCATTTTAAACTCCTGGCCCTAAATGATCCTCCTACCTGGGCCTCCGAAAGTGCTGGGATTACGGGTGTGAGCCACCACAACAGCCAAGATAATAATTAAACTGAAAATTTTCTACTACCTAGTGATGTCATACCCATTATAATGTGTCAGTGCAACATATTACTCACGTGTTTGTGGTAATGCTGGTGTAAACAAACCTACTGTGATACCAGTCATATAAAAGTATAACATATACAACTTATATATAGTATATAATACTTGAAAATGATAATAACTGTGTTACTGGTTTATATATTTACTATACTATACTTAATGTTATTATTTTAGAGTGTACTGCTTCTACATATATATAAGTATATATATATATAGTTAACTTTATATATATATAATTTGTGTGTGTATATGATATATATATACGTATATATATATAAATTTAACTGTAAAACAGCCTCAGGCAGGTTCCTCAACAGATATCCAGAAGATAGCACTGTTATCATAGGAGATGACATCTCCATGCATGTTATTGCCCCTGAAGACCTTCCAGTGATACAAGATGTGAAGGTTGAAGGCAGTGATATTAATGATCCTGACCCTGTAGTCCTAGGCTAATGTCTGTCCTTTTTTCTTAGTTTTTTAACACAATTGTTTAAAAAAATTCAAAAATTTTAATTTAAAAATAGAAAAAAGCTTAAAGAATGAGGATCTATAAAAGAAAACATTTTTGTACAGCTGTACGAGGTGTTGGTATTTTAATCAAAGTGTTATACAAAGGAGTCAAAAAGTTAAAAAATTCAAGTTTTATAAAGGAAATAGTTGTAAGCTAGGGTTAATTTATTATTGAAGAAAGAAAAAAATTATAAATTAGTGCAGCCTAAGTGTACAGTGTTTATAAAGTCTACAGAGTGTACAGTGGCATCCTAGGCCTTCACATTCACTCACCATTCACTCGGAGACTCATCCAGAGCAACTTCCTGTCCTGCAAGCTCCACTTATGGTTAGTGCCCTATGCAGGTGTACCATTTTTTATCTTTTATACCATATTTTTACTATACATTTTCTATACTTAGATGTGTTTAGATACAGAAATACTTTCCATAGTGTTACAATTGCCTATGGTATTCAGTATAGCAACATGCTATACAGATTTGTAGCCTGGGAGCAATAGCCTATATCATACAGCCTATGTGTGCAGTAAGCTATACCATCTAGGTTTGTGTAAGTACATTGTATGTTGTTCACACAAGGACAAAATTGCCTAAAGAACACAATTCTATTATTAAGCAATGCATGACTGTACTTTTTACCATTATTCCTCTTTCAACTTTGAGAATATTTCCCAGTTTTTAGTCTTCCCATTACAGCTCATTTCCTACTACTCTTATGTACACTCATCCCATACATCATTCTTTTTCTGCTTATATTCAGCCAGCATCAAGTATGGGAATCAGTGTTTACCTGCCGATACAAACTGAGACCTGAACCTTAAAGCAATCAGTTTATGATTGTCAAAAAAGTACCTAGTATTCAGAGAATAAGTCTTCTCTAGGGATCAAGCTTAAAACCAATGGAAAAAATAAGGTCTCATGTAGAAAAAGTTGGGCTAGAAAAGATGAGTTAAACCTAATATGGGTAGCAAAGTTTGGGTTGAGATGAATAAATTCATGTACTGTATAAAAGAAGTTGCAGAGTATATTCTAGTTATTTTGCTGAAATTCTGTAAAATGGGTGTGAACCACTTTTTTCTTCCTGTCTTTGAGATCCAGTGGACCTTCTCTGTGATCTTATGCTATGATTTCCATCTCTTCACCAGCTGCTACGGAAATTATTTTCTGAAACAGGGGTCAACCAACTACAGCCCATGGGCTACATCAAGCCCACCACATGTTTTTGTCAATAAAGTTTGATTTGAAATAGAGTCACACCCATTAGTTTACTTATTGTTTCTGACTTCTGTTGTTCCACAAGGGCAGAGGTGAGTAGATGTAACAGAGACTATTGGCCCACATGGTGTAAAGCATTGACTGGCCCTTTGTAGAAAAGTTTGCCTGCTCTGAAAGACTCATTAAATAATTATAAATATTGCCTTTCTTTATTTTCTTTTCATGTGATTTATTCCTCTCCAGTAAAATTGTGTGCCTCTTTGAGTAGATGTCATGAATTGTGTGACCTGGTATCACAAAGCCAAGTAAAGTAAGCTTTAAACAATAAGTACTCAAGTTCTAGGAGTTTAGAAATTATATATCTTATTTATTGTTGTACCCTCAGTATCTTGCAGTATGTTGAGTGCATAGATGTGCAAGAGAAATGTAAAGAAATGAAAGAATGTTTGTTACAGAGCTTGGGATATAACTAAAATATTTGATTTTAAGGACAAAACCAAAATATACATATGAGTCAAATCCAATTGCAGATGCAAACTGTACATTAATATATAAGGCAGAATCAAGTAGTCAGCTTCAAACATGGAGTCCAGCATGGGTCATTCAACCATTCAATAGGTTGTGACCTATTATATTTGAAGATAACTGTCTTTATATAAATAAGCAATCAGATGGAGGATATTTCCTCTAAATAGTAAACATTCTTCCACATATTTTTCTACCAACATAATGTTGATTCTTTCAGACAATTTCCGTGCTTGGTCCCAACTTAAGACTAATTTTGCCTCCAAAAATATGCAAAGCCTACCAGGAGAGGACTTAATTGTTAGGAAAATAGTGCAGGTTTTTTACTTCTTAGTTGCTATTTTATTTTTTTTATTACCTTGCCTTAGCTCTTGTTATACCTTTTCTCATGCTGATTTACAGGATCTAAAAATGAAGCTAAAGGAACATATTCTGAAGTCTGGAAATGTGGAACCTGCTGATTTTCTAGAGGAAAACTCAAAACCTGTAGATATCTGTTGACTGTTTAAGAGCTTTCACATCAAAATAAGAGTCGATGTGGCATTCTAGGAAATAATTTTAACAGAGTGTTTTGTTTGGCTTTCTATTATTTGGCAAAAAAATCATTTTATGTGAAAATTATAGGCCAAGATGGATTCTCTGATGCTTTTGTGCTGTACCAGTCTACAACTAGTTGGTATCATGATGCTCTAGGTGTTGTTTCACAGTCCTTTAGCAAATGTTCTAACATCTACACTCCTCCTTCCCTGCCCACATTCATTTGGGCCACTTCAGCTGATCACCTAGCAGCTGTTTCAGCATCCTGCTGTCATTCATCCTCTACATGTATCCAGCCCAGTGGAACTACATTAAAGTGAGCAGGACTTCACTGCAGGAAGATTGGCTGCCTGCCAGGACTTCATTATTAGTGATCTTTCTTACTGCTCATGTTTCATAGCCTCTTGGGTAACACTGAATCAGGTTTTTAAGAACTAGATGGAGAGTTGTGGCAAGCCCACATTTCACTGCCTCCACTCTGTAGATGCCAAGCTTGACTGGTGACAAGTATGTCCCCTGAACAAAGCAAATGTATGTGCAGATAACGTGGTATTTCAATTTCTGTGCACTAAGATGATTTGGCAAGAGTGATGGTGACTGCACCTGTTTAGCAGAAGAAAAATGTCTCATCACAACCCCAAATAACATTATGTTATGCTATTATGACATCAAGGATCTAAAAATGAAGCTAAAGGAACATCGAGGATGTTATAATAGCATATTGGTATAGAATATTGGTACCTACTTTCTCCATATCAACCAAACATCTATTTTCTAATCCCTCTTTTTAACAACCAAGATATGTGCATTTTAGTATGACAATGCCTTTATTTTATTTAATAATTTCAACTCACCAGCAAAATTAGAAAAAAAACTCTGAAGAATATGAAATTAAACAGAAATATATGTGGAATTCATGTCTTATTTTTCAAACAAATGAAAATGAGTATCAAAAAAGCAGAAAAAAGAAGCTTTGAAGTGCTTTCCTTCCTTGATTTTGGCCCAGCAGGAAATAAAGATTCATAAATGGAGATTATGATCTCGTTTTATAATCCAGCTTGCCAAATCATCTCCTAGAAGATTGCATCAGCCAATAGATTTTGAATAATGTTAAATATGAAAAATACTTTAGCATTATTAACTCTAATGTTTTCATATTTCAAATGAGAAAACAAGTCAAGCAGCGTATTAAATGTCACACAGTTAACAGCAGATTTGGGCCTACAATTCTTTTCATTTTACTCTACCACTGAAGAGATATGTTCTTTTATTTTAGACAGAAAAAGTCTCAGATTTGCTCACCACCATCCACTCCTTCTCCCCGTTTTTTAAAAAATTTTTTCCCAAAGTATCACTTTCACTTTGCCATGGAAAGCTTTATTATAAGTAAAATGGAGAGAGGAATCAATGAATTTTACTTTTTCTTAGTGTTTGGCTAGAGCACACCATGAAAACTCAATAAGATTCACTGACTGTGGCCCAGGTAACTCAGTATACTTTCTTGCTTTCCTTCAAGAATCATAGAGGACAAGCATAGTGAAAAGCATACAGTATAAAAATAAAAGCACAGGACAAGGGGTCAATAAAACCTGGATCTAAGAGCCAGGTCTTTTATTAACCATATTATCTGTACACATCTGAATCTCATTGGCATCCTGTGTAAAACATAAACGACACCTATCTCATAGAGTTATAAATGTAATGAAATGATTCATTCATTTGGAAAAAAATATTTATCAAGAAACTACTATGTATTAAGGATTATTCCAGATTCAGGGGCTATTATAGTGAACAAAACAAGTACAACTCTCTATCTGCATGGAGCTTTTATTCTGGTGTAGAAATCAGAGAGCAATCATAATAAATGTGTAAATTACATGGTATTCTAGGATGTAATAAATACTATGGATACATTTAAAGCAGAATAAGGAGGATGGAACATGCTGGAGGAGGAGTGGTGGGTAAGATAGAGCGGTCAGGGTAGGCTTCAATGAGAAGGTGGCATTTGCAAGAAACAAGAGGGGGATATCCAAATGGATACCTGGAAATTAATATGTTCAGCCATACAAAATGTTTGATGTGAAAACCCAAAGGCAGAAATATTCCTACCCTAAACTAGGAAGAATGAGGGGGGACAGTATGATATGAGTGAAGTGAAAGAGGGAGTACAGGAAATGAAGTCAGAGATAGTGTGAGACTCAGGTCACTCAGGCCCTTGAGAAAACTGTAAAGCTTTTGGTTTTACATTGAGTAAAATAAGGAATTAGTGATAGAGTTTTATGTGGAGCATGATATGGTCTGATTAGTTTTTAAATGTTTCACTTTGGCTTTTCTATAGACAGTAGACCAAGCAGAAGTGAAGGGAAAATGAAGGTGTTGGAAGCAGGGGGCCAGTTAGGAGATGAACGAATTCATTCAAGAGAGATATTATATCTCAAAAGAGGATGGAAGCAGAGGCATTGATGAGAAGTATATTAGCCATAGTCCCCCTCAGTGTACATGGGGCATTGGCTCCAGGTCCCCTGCCCCCGATACCAAAATCCACAATTACTCAAGTCCTGAAGTCTGCACTTCAGACACTGTGTATACAAAATGTCCCATAGAGGCTGGTTTTGTAACCTGCAAATACTATATTTTTCATCTGCCTTTGGTTGTGGATATGGAACCCACTCATATGGAGGGGCAACTACATTTTTTTTTTTAATCCATGTATATCTGAACCCTCGCAGTTCAAACCCATGTTGTTCAAGGATCAACTGTATATATTTTTGAAGGTAGAATCAGGAGGGATTCCTAACAGATTGGATAGAAATAGAAAGAAATTTAATCATAATGCCAAGATTTCTGGACTGGGAAACTACAAGAATAGAGCACCAGAAGAATTGAGATCAGGTGTTTGTGGTAAAATCAGTTGAAGACCAGGAGTTCAATTTGGACATCTTGAGTTTGACATGCCTGTTAGGAAACCAGTAGGAGATGTTGAGCAGGCATTAGATGAAGGAGTCTGAAGTTCAGAAGAAATATAGAGGCTGGAGATATAACTTGGGGAGTCATTCACTGATAGATTGCATTTGAAGTCATATGAAATACTTGTTAATCTGATTATTCTGTTTTTCCCTACCTTCATAGACTGTATGAAGTTACTATGCTGCATTGTGTATTTCGTAATATTGCCTGTGAGCTCATTTTCAAAAGAACTAAATCTGTGGGATTATGTTGAAGTCATTAAGTTAGAAAATATTGACTTGAAGTTGTGCAGACCTCAGGAGTAATATATACTCAGGTTAAAATGAGGACCAGCTTTAGGTCATTCATTTTTGTATTTTACATTTGCTTACTTTTATTGAATAGAAAATGATTTGTTTTAGTCACCTATGTACAATATTACTAGAAAACAAAATACCCTTAAGTAAAATAATCAGTAAAGTAGCTCCAACAAATTACATCAAACACTGTACCCTGACAATGGTGACATTTAAAACGTGTGACATATTTAATAACTAACCATAATATACCACACAAATGAAAAAATACAACCTTCTCAGAGATAGAAATATTACAGATAACATACTCTGATTACAATGCAATAAAACTATAAGACACTACCATGTGTGGAAAATAAATAAGTTTTAAAGCATCCTATAATTTGTAAGTAAAATGTATAAATACATAATACTAGGATCAAAGAAAACAGGCCTAAACAATGTGATATCTAGAAGACAGCAATTATAAAAGTATTAAATATCAAAAGGAATATAATACAGCTAAAGCAGTACATGGAGGAAATTTTAGATTCTTAAATATGTATGTTGTAAACAAGGAAATATACTAATCTTTGAATTCAAGAAGCTATAGAAGATCAAAAAAAATTATAGCATTCTGTGTCAATGGCAATGAAGGTGACAGTATACTCTTTAGATCTTCCCAAACCCCCACATAAAAACTATCAGAGAAGCTCAACAACAAAATCCCAAACCTGGGGCAAACATTTACAATTATTTGTATAGTCAAATAATAATTTCTATTTATTTTCAATAATTATAAAAAATAGTATTAATATTGTTACTCTGAAAACATTTTTATGCAATAAGCAATAAAGCAAATTATAGTTATGGAATATTTTAATTTTATTGTTATCTGTGTTCTAGAGAACCAAGCTTCTCATTCTGAAAGGAAAGAGATACTGATGTATCACAGAAGAAATAAAGTTAAAAAGTATATATATATATTTATACATATGCATGTTTACACACACACAATAAATTGACTCATGAATTCACACTATATCCTATTGGAATATACACACACATGCAAATACATAGGTAAACAGTTATAAGATATGTATATATGTATATGTAGCTATAGGTGTACGTATAGAGATATAGATATGCACAAAGGCAAAAGTCAGCATCATGTATAATAGAGAAAACTTAGAAGCTACACTTGGTAAGGCAAGAACAACTAAAGGAGTTCCAATATCATAAATATATTTTTTGTGAGAGTTAATTTTACACATTTAGGCTGGAGAAGAAAAGCAAACGTATGAATATTTGAAATAATGAAACTGTAACTTAAAATACAAGTAAACAAACATCTTATTATGGAATATAAATTAATTTTAATTAGGTGGTTGAAGAAAAAAATAGGTACAACTACCTCAACATAGTAAAAGAATTTATGTAAAGCTCACAGCTAACATCCTACTCAGTGGTGAAAAACTCATTACTTCTCTAAAATCAGGAAAAACACAAGGATATCTGTTTTTGCCACTTCTATTCAACATAGTACTAGAAGACCTAGCCAGAGTAATTAGTCAAGAATAAGAAATAAAGGTATTAAAATGAAAGAATGAAGGAAACTTTTCTCTGTATGCAGATGACATGATCTTAGAATGCATTAACGATTCCACAAAAAAGTTATAACTGAAAAACCTCACAAAGTTGCACACTCTATCATCAATACATCAAAATAGGTTCTATTTCTGTACAGTAACAATAAACAATCCAAAAAGAAAATTTAGAAAACAATTCTATTTATAATTGCCTAAAATATAAATTACTTAAAAATAAACTGTCAAGATTAAAGACTTCTAACCAAATATTATAAAATTATAAAACATTGTTGAAAGAAATTTAAAAACATACAAACAAATGAAGAGACACCTCATGTTCATGGATTAGAAGATAATATTGTTAACAATATCCATACTACATAATGTGATCTACAGATTAAATATAATACCTTTCAAACTTTTGGTAGCATTATTTTTTTTTAGAAATATAAGAAACTCATCCTAAAATTCACATAAAATTTGAAAGAGCCCTCAATGGCCAAAACAATTTTGAGAGAAAAAAAGTTGAAGAACCTACTTTCTGATTTTAAAATATATCACAAAGCTACAGTAATTAAAAGAGTGTTGTACTGTTATTAAAATGGACATATTAACCAATGGAATGAAATAGCACAGAAATAAGCCCTTGCATATACAGTCAAATATCTTCAAAAACAGTGCCAAGGAACCTCAATGAAGAAAGAACAGTCTCTTCAACAAATTGTGTCAGGGAAGCTGGATATTAATATAGAAAAAAATGAATTTTGTCCTTGTCTTAAACTATACACAAAAATTGACTCAATGTGTGTGGAAGACCTAAACTTAAATCCTAAAACTATAAATTTCCTGGAAGAGAACATAGGAAAAAATCTTTAGGCCATTAGACTAGGCAATGATTTCTTGAATATGAGACCAAAAGCACAGCCAATAACAACAAAAAAAAATAGATTGAGCTACACCAAACTTAAAATCATTTGTGCATCATAGGACACAATCAACAGAGTGGAAGGGCAACCTACAGAATGTAAGAAAATATTTTCAAATCATTTATCTGATAAGAGGTTAGTATTCAGAACATATAAAGACCTCATAACACAAAAACAAACAAAAAATCAAATAATTTAAAAATAAGCAAATGACTTGAATAGACATTTCTTCAAAAGTGATATAAAAATGGTCAACAAGCATATGAAAAAAATGCTCAACATCACTATTCATCAAAGAATTGCAAATCAAACCCACAATGAGATATCACCTCCTAGCCATTTGGATGGCTACTGTAAACAAATAAGCAAGTAAATATAGAAACTCTTTTCTCACAAGTTTTGTCGAAGATGGGTAGAAATTGGAATTTTTGTGCGTTGTTGGTGAGATTGTAAAGTGTCACAATCATTGTGGGAAAAATTATGAACATTCTTCAAAAAACTAAAAGTAGAATTACCATATGATCTAGTATGCCACTACTGGGTATATATCAAAAAGTGAAAGCAGGATCTCAAGAGATATTTGAACAGCTATGTTCATAGAAGCATTATTCACTATAGCCGAGATGTAGAAGCAACTCAAATGTTTGTAGACAGATGAATGGTTAAACAAAATTTAGTATATACATACAACGAAATATTATTCCACCTTAAAAAGTATGGAAATAATGTGACATGCTACAACATGAATGAATCTTAACAACTTAGGCTAAATAAAATTAGTCAGCCACACAAACACAAATATGGATGATTCCAGTTATATAAAGTGTCTGAAGTAGCCAAATTTATAGAAGAACAAAGTAGAATAGTGGTTACTAGGTGTTGGGGGAAGGGGCAAAGAAGATTGTTTAATGGTTATAGAGTTTAATAGTTATAGAGTTTCACATTTGCAAGATGAAAAGGTTTTAGATATCTGTTTCACAACAATGTAAATATAATTAAAAATGGTTCAGATGGCAAAAAGAAGGCAGAGAGGGAGCTTATATATGAAACATAGGCAAAAGTATATATATAATTCCTATATAAAAACAACTATAGAAAACATAATGGAAGTAAAGAAGTCATATTCAATAGTAGCAAAGTAAGATCAACTGCCTAGGCAAAATCTTTAAAAAAAATGTACAGGATCTAAACAAAAATGCAACGAAAGACTTAAAAGAATGCCTGAACAGAAAACTGTACATTTCTCTTCACTCTCTAATATAAGGGTATCAGTTTTCCATAAAGTAATACTAAATGTTTTGCAGCAGCAATAAAAACACCAAAAGTATTTTTGTTTGCAGCCAAAAAAGCTAATCATAGGATTCACTTGGAATAAAAATCTGGCAAGAATTGTCGGAAATTCTTCAAAAGGAGAATAATAAGTAAGAAATAGCCCTATAAGATATAATGTTTATAGCTGTAGAAACAAAGACAACTGGATACTTGCATTTAAATATACTGAGAAATGAATAAAATAGCATAACAACCCAGAAACAGATGCTCAACTAGCAGTTTAGTGTATAAAAAATGATATGACATTTCCTGAAGAAATCCTTTTAGAATAAATAGAATTGAGAAGGGCGGACACAGTGACTCACGCCTATCATAATCCCAGCACTTCGGGAGGTGGAGGTGGACAAACCACTTGAGCCCAGGAGTTGGAGACCAGCCTGGGAAACATGGTGAAACTCCGTCTAACAAAAAATACAAAAATTAGCTAGGTGTGGTGGCACACAGCTATTGTGAGCTTAGGAAGCGGAGGTTGCAGTTAGCCGAGATCAGCCTGGGCGACAGAGGGAGACCCTGTCTCAAAAACAAAACAAAACCAACAAATAAACAAAAATATAGAATTGAGAAAACTTGCTATCAGGAAAAAATAAAACATAAAAATAAATTTCAAATTCTATATCACCCCTGAAAACAAAATAAACTCAGGGTTAAAAAAAATACAGAAAAAAAAGAATTTATAAGAACATTACAATTAAATTTGAAGAACGTGTTTTACAATATTAGAGTGAGCAAATATTTTCTAAGTATAGTGCAAAATTAAAATGTCATAAAATAAGTGCAGATTAATTGGACTACACAATTTTTAAAATTGTGCCTGAAAGTTATTATCCAAACAAAAAGTCAATAACAAACGCAATAAAAACATTGGGATGTTGGATAGAGAAAATTTTAATTCTCAATCTTTTATAATGGCCAATTACAAATCAATGAAAAGCTGTGAAAATTCCTATAGAAAAATGGACAAAGAATATGAAAAGACAGAACATGTAAAAATAAGTGTAAAAGATTTGAAAACATGAAATATACTGTATAAAACCCCAACTATTAAAATTTATTCATGATTTAAAATATGAGACATTATTTTTCAACTAACACAATTGCAAAGTGTGAAGGTTTGATTATAAACTGTGTTGATGATGGAGTGGAGTACATGGACTGACATAATAAAAACTGACTTGCAAGGAAATTTGTTTATAAATAGCCAAATACTAGTTGCGTGTAACATTTGATAGTTATTTCATTTTGAGGATTGTATCCAACAGATATTTTCACACTTTAGCACAAAGATATTTGAATAAGGATATTTATATAAATATTCTTTGTGGTAATAAAAGATTAAAAACAACATAAATCACCAAGAGATCATTTGCTAAATACATTATTTATTCCCAGGCTATGTTTTGTTATATAATTATGGGTATTGAAGAAATAAAACAGATCTATATAAACAGATATCAATGACACCCAATTTGTATTAGAAAAAAAGCAAGTTGCAACAGAGTGTATATATTACAAAACCACTTAGATATTCAGAGATATATCTGAAATTTTAATAGGCCACTAGTAGCTGGATATTTCTGAGAAAAGATTGAAAATACTGAAAGAGGGCATTGAAGGGAGATACATTCCCTATTAACTTTATTATTTGAATTTTCTTGTTTATATTATTTGAATTTTTCACTGTGAACATATAATGCCTACCAATGAAAAACAAATACAAGGCCTTAATGATGGAAAAGGCATTGTAGGGAAACTACTGTCGGTGTATTCTGTTGGTTTGCACTGTATGCTTTTTAAATCTTGAAGCATGAACACTGTCTGTGTGAGGACAAGTTTTTTGAAAGAGCTAACTCTACTGATGTTTCCCTGGAAATACAGCATAAAACTGCTTGTGGCGAGAGGAAAAGTAGAGAACAACCTAATGACTCCAAATAGTGTAAAAAATATGCAATGCATGGATTACTACTTTTTTCCCACCTGTACTCAGGTCATTTAAGTATTATGAAGGAGAAATTCTTTCATTCATTCACCAAGTATTTATGTGAGATTGTATGAGCTAGTTACTGTTCTAGGTACTTGAGATACATCAGTGAATAAAACAGGCCCAAATCACTGCCTGGCACCTTGGGGGATCTGCAATCAGCCCTCCACAAGTGGTCACTTTTATTGCCTGCCAGAAACATAACTCTCAATATTCTTGAAGGACTATATGAAGTACTTGGAATCAATGCACTAGAAATCGTGAGTGCATAATTTATTGGACTAACATGATGATAAAAGTGGATTAGCTGAAAGATGATATTCAGAAAGACATTTTAGCTGACCACATTTGATGTATGATACATTATGTCAATAAGCAAAAATCAAACCATTTTTCAAAGTACAACCTAACAGACATTAAATAATTACATTTTATTTCTGAGTAAAGCTTCACAGGTTTAAAATACTTTCATATATTACTGTCATTTTCTTCTAACAACTCGGTTATAGGAGGGAAGCCGGGCAAGTATTTCTCGCCCCATTTTATAGATGGAAATACGACCCTCATAAATGTTGTGAATTTTCAAAGGTTAATTGGCTGGTAAGCGGCAGATCTTAAACTAGTTCCCAGGTTTAAAAAATCTTAGTTCAGTTTTCAGCAACACATTTATCCTTTAAAATACAGGAAAAGTCCCATAGCGCTCCAACACAGGGGCAATTCATTAGGCCATAAAGTTTCACTGACAGTACAACGGTGGTAGATGCCATTAGACCATGTTAAAACGCAGAAAGGCAGTCTTTAAAAGTTTACATACGTAATGTTATTAAGAACATCAAAGATGCAAATATTTTGCACTAACATAACAATAAAAGAGATTACTTTTCCACAGTTTCATTGGTTCATTCTCTCTGGGAATGAAAGACTGAATAATGTTAGCTTCCATTCTTTTGAATGTTTCTTTGTTTTTATATAAAACGTGACTTCAAGAATTTTAATGAAAAATGTAATATTTATTTAAAATAATCTTTTAGAAACTATCAAGTAGACTAAATTACTTATTCGTTTTTAGCAGATAGTATTGAAACTGAATTGACAAATATAATCATCGTTTCTACTGAAGTATTTAGAAATGCTTGACTAGTCATTAAATACAGTCTTCTGAAAATGCTCTAGAAGATACAATGGAATTGTGACTGATTTATTTTCTATGTGACTAGCATCACAAATCCATTTGAGAATCAGATATGGTGGTTTCTCAACACTCTTCCAAAATAGTGACACTGAAAGCATCATCTTGGAAAACGTGATTTTGAAATGACATATTCAATGTAACAACAGAGTTAGCCAGTGCCATACATATCTGAAAATGCACTGTACGAATCACCAACACCCTTACTGATTGATGAGCAAGGTAGGGCACAGACTGCACAAAACCTGGTCTCTCAAGAGAGTCTTTGGGTGTGGTTGTCATACTCTCTGTCTTGATAGCTCCCTCCATGTATTTCCTGTACATAAAATCATCACTTAGAGACTGGACATGTCTTCAGTAATCACCAAGGGGTTCTCTGATTAATCCACATGGTTGAGAATACACCTCCACTATGTTGTTGCAAAGAGACACCCTTGATTGAAGGAAGGATTAAGGGCTCAAATTTAACCTGAGCCCAGGGAGAAGTCATCACCTGCCCCATGATTGAGCCTGGAGCTTGTCAACCTGAAGAAAGGGGCTTCTACTTTTTACAAAATTTCAGTGTTAAAAATATCATCTGTTTTTCTGGTAATTTATACCCAAGCAGTCGTCTCTTTTAGTTGCAGTTCTGGTTGAGATGTTAGTAAAATTGAAAACCAATAAAATTACTTAGAGATGGTTACTTTTTAAAAATCTTCACCATACTTTTGCAGAGCCAATTTCATAATAAAAAACAAAAATTATTTCAAATTTTACAAAATCTTAACACATGCCACAGGCAGTTGTTCTGGTAAGCCAAGTAGGGGCAGTGCTAAAAATTACAACCGATCTAAAAACAGTCCATATTGTCCCAGAAGCCTAGACCTACATAATTTTAGCTTTGTAGGATCTAATGATATCTGGTTCAGGTGTGCAAACTAACTCAATCACAGAGAAAACACTGACTTTGTTAACCAGAATCATTATGTGGAAACATCCAATAACATGTAAACATGGATTAAAACCATGCACTTATGCTTACTTTGGGATTGTTTCCCTTATAAGACAAAGTACAGAAATCTAACAGACTGTTGGCTTCTGTTTCAAAGCCTGTATTACTTGAATGAAAATTGAGACATATTAAAGAACTAGGAAGGGAAGAGCATAGCAAATATGTCCAAGGAAGGATGGCATAGTATAATGAAAGGGGTGTGTCTGGAGAACAGGTTTAGTTTCTGGCTCAGCCAACACTGATTTTGCGTGTACGGCCTCAGGTTCTCTAGGCTTGAGTGCCTTGACCATATAGAAAAGAGGCTAGATGAGGCATCTTGTAAAAATCTCTCCGAATCTGGAGATCTAGGATTTGATGAAACCGGCAATTATCACAGCAATGGTGGCAGCACTGGCTGCCTCAGAAGGTTAAATGTGGAAATAAACTGCCATACTCACAAGTAAGACAGAATTTGTCTTTCTCCCCCTTCCCTGTATATCAAAATCCCTTGGAAGAATAAGCCACCTTTACAGTGCAAGCAGTACTGAAGTCAGGAAGAACAAAAGTTTGAAAATCAGAGAAGACCGAGTTTGAACATGGCTTTTCTATTCACTATGATTTGGTATAAGTCAAATTATTCAACATTTCATAGCCCCAGTTTTCTCATGGGTAATAGAAGTATAATACTCCATCTTGTGGAATTGCTGGGTTTGGCTGGACAGGGTTGGCCAATACAAGCTTTTCATTCTGCTCCAATATAAAGCAAGCTTCTTGAGGTCAGAGATTAATGTGAAGATCTATGAAGATCTAAGACACTGACCAGTAATTGACACTCTGTAGTTGCCTTATGAGCGTTATGTTCATTGAGTAATCAATTATATAATTAGTAGCAAGTGACCCAAGGACAGACTGTTATCAGAGTTGTTTTCTAAGGAGAGCTGATGCAATCAGAATCTCTTTTGGATGGCATGCAACACAATTGACATCAGTTCAGCGTAATACTTACAGCAATGGCCAAACGTTGAGGATTGTAGTGATCACCTTGACAATAAAGCAAGGTTTAAATTATGCTCAGGTGTTCTGTTGTAGAGCCAGGGGAAAAGTTGCATATTTTAAAACCGTGTCCTTTTTAAAGCACAAGGACAAACACTAGTGATTAAAATATTAACTCCTAGCTATTTGGAAAATTTGACTATCTCATTTTCTCTTTTACAAAACATTCCAAAAACAGAGGCTTACAATTCTGTGATAGAAAATGTTTAACAAATCTCATTGACAAGCAACCCCTGGAAAATATGAATATAAAATAGACATGGCATTTGTAAATTTGTTATTTATTCGTGCTTAGATAGCCCTTGAGTAAAACATGTAGAGGTTACTCTTAATTTATAGATTGGTCTATTCATATGACAATGGTCAAATATTCTGTGCTTCACCTTTGAAAAGTATTTGGCCTATTAAATTACAAATATAACTTAAAGATTAATTAAAAGAGATCTATAGTACAAAGAATTCATTAGAAATTACCTGTGAGACCTACACAATGTGGAAATACTGCTGGGATGATTGGATTAGGAGGACTTGTTTGTGCATATGTTGATGTGAATGTGAGTTTGTGTTTTATTTGCTTTGCCTATTTCAAGAGGGAAATAATTTGAACACGCTTAAATAAATTTTATTTGCTAAGATATTAACATCTTACAGACTTTAAGTGCCCAAATTGTTCACTCAACTTTTTTAAATGTGGGAGATTTGGACAGATATTGGTTAGGCAAACAGTAATTTAGCATTTTTTCTACAATTTTAAAGTTTTTTGTTGTTGTTAAATTCAGTCAAACCAAAATTTAGTCATTTCTTTTTCAAACTTTTACATTTGATATAGTAAGTTTCACATTATTTCTTATATCTAGTTAATAAATCTTAAATCTAGTTAATGTGATTTCATTTTCCTAATAGAAATAATCATGTATCATATTTTATTTGATTTTGAGGTTGGTATGATTCCTCAGAATTGAGAAATTAAAAGTTCTAAGATTAGTTGGTCTACCAAATCTCTTATGCAAACCTCATATGTCTGAATGTGAGTTAATTATTCATGATCCATTCTTCATTGCCTCACTCCTTGTAGTAGGGGGGAGTGAATCTATGTATCTAGATAAAAATGATGTTTTATTGAGATGATTGTATAACATTATCTATCACCTTGGCCAAACTGACTTTTATAGAACACTGAACCCAACCAGAGCAGAATAAGCATTCCTTTCCCAATCATGCACGCAAAACATTCTCCAAGATAGATTGTATGTTGATAAGTAAACAAATCTAAACAAACTGAAAAGAATTCAAGTCCTGAAAAATGTGTTCTGTGACCATAAGAGAATTATATTAGAAATTAATGCAGTAAAATATCTAGAAAATTTCCGAAAGTTTGGAAATTTAACAACATAGCAGTAAATAATACATAAGTCAAATAAAAATTATTAAGTATATTATTTAAATTGAATGTTAATAATACACAACATAAAATTTGAGATGTAGCCAATGCAGTCCATAGAGGGAAATTTATAGCTACAAATGCCTACATTTAAAAAACTGTAAGATCAATGATCTTAATATTCCTTCTTAAGAAACTTGAAAAAGAGAACAAATTAATTTAAAAATAAATTAAAAATTTTATTTAAAAATAAAAATTTAAAAGTGAGTAGAAATTAAAAATCATAAAAATATGAGTGGAAATCAATGGGATACTAACTAGATAGTAACTTTAAAACACCAATTTGTCAAAAGTTGGTCTTTTTAAGAAAATGAATTGTTCTCATAAATGTCCAGCAAATGTATTAAAAACAAAAAACTAGAGTGAGAAAATGAAAACTACTAATATCAAGAAAGAAATAAAAGACATGAGCATAAATTCCACAGATGGGAAGAACATAATAGGAAATATCAAGGAAAAATTTATGCCAATAAATTTGACAGCTCTGATGTAATGGAGAAACATCTTGAGAAAAAAGTTTGCCAAAATTCATATAAGCAGAAATAAATACTCTAAATATTATATCTAATAAAAATGAAGAAATAATCAAACACCTCCACCCACACACACAAAAAAACATATCCAGGAATCAGATGGCTTAATAAGTGAATTCCATCATTTATTTCTAGGAGAAGTAATACAAATCATAAGGAAGTTTCTTCCAAAGATAGACAAGAAGCAATACTTTCCAACTCAATTGATGAGGACAGTATAACCCTGATACAAAAATCTAACAAAACATTACAGTATATGTAAAAAAAAATCAGAAAAAAGTGACCTTCATGAACATAGATGCAAAATATTATCAAATTGATCTAACCATATGTAAAAAGGTAATATATCATGACCAAGTCATGACCAAATTGCAGAATGGGGTTAATCAAGGAATGCAAGGTTGATTTAACATTTTAAAATTAATTATTATAATTTATGACATATAACTATGATAAAATACATGTAGAAAAAAATGAAAAAAATAAACATTTATGATAAAAATAAAAGAAACAACTTTAATCTCTAGGTTTCGAAGGGAAGTTTCTCAATCTGAAAAAATATATCTATTTTTAAAAATCTACAGCTAACATCAGAGTTAATAGCAAGTATTGAATATTTCCTCCCTAAATAAAAAAGAAGACATCAAGCAGAACCTTGTATACCAATACTAATACCTGGGGAAAACTCCAACTACGTGGAGTACAGCAAAGATCACCGAAATGCCAGCCACCCAGTACTAAAGTCCAAACACTTCTGCCCACTGCATCTTAATATTCAAGTCACTGAGAAAAACACAACACAGCACTGGATGGAACAAGCTTTTACTCACATAGAGGACAGACAGTAAAATCAGCTCCAATAGTGTGCATTGGTCCCACATGACACGTGTCCCATGACAGCTGATGCAGAGCAATTAGCTTAGTCACACCTCCCATGCCACATGAAAGGACTCCTTCTTCTCCCACATGGAGTCTGGAATACTGAAAGCTGGAGGCATGACTGAGGGCCATTGTTGCACACAGTTAAGCAGAACAAAGGAGGACAAATGGAGCCTGAAGCAGGGAAAGATATTCATACTTGAGTGATAAGCCAGGCATAGGCTGTGTAGGGTCTTTATCTCTTGGTAAGAAAGTATTCCAGGCCCAAGACCCATTCATATGTGGCCTAGTGAGGTTCAAAATACCGCACCCATGAAATTGCCTGTCTCAATAGAAGACAAGGATGTCTGCTAGGTTCTTACCTCTTCTAGTCAACATTGTACCAAAAAGTCTACCAAATGCAATTAGACAAGAAAAATAATGTTTAAAAAGCATAAATGGAGAGAGAAAAAAGCTGCAGTTATGTATTGGAAAACCATTTGGGATATACAAAATAACAATAAAATTAGGAAATCTTTAAGATACAAGATTAACATAAAATTAATTTTATTTCAATATTTAATCAATAAACATTTGGTATATAAAACTAAAATAACACTATTATAGTACCAAAAACATAAAATCACTAAGAATATATCTAAAGAGTGTTCAATATCTCTATTCTGAAAAGTACAAAACGTTTTCTAACATAAATGAAATAAGATATAAAGACAGGAGAGATATGTCATGTTCATGGATTGCAGGGCTCAATATTTTTACATATTCTTTCTCCTTACATTGATGCATAAATTCAATGCATTCATAGCCAAAGTCCCAGGAGGCTTTTAAAGACAAAATTGATAAGTTCATTCTAATATTGATACAGAAATACAAAGGATCCAAAAGAATCAATCTTGACATTTAAAAACACAAAGGCAGAATTAGAGGATTTCTGCCTTCTGATTCACAGACTTATTGTGAAGCTACTAAAACAAATAGTGCTCTATTGGTCTAAGGATAAACACATGGATCAATGTAACAGAACAGAAACCCTCAACCCACACATATGTAGTCACTGTATGTGCATGAAAAAATATTGTTGGAACAACTGGATATTTATGTTCAAAAATAAAAACCAAAAAGAATCTCAACCCTTGCTTTATTCTATAATAAAAATTAATTTGAAATGGCTCACTCCTAAGCATAAAAGCTAGGGGAAAACAAGAGACTGTCTTCATAATCATGGTAAAGTATTTCTTATGCATAAGACAAACATATTAATCCTAAAAAAAGAATTGCCTTTGTCAAATAATTTCTGCTCTTGAAACACACCATTAAGAAAATGAATCTGCAAACCACAAACTTAAAGTATATGCATTCAGGATATATAAAGAAAGAATTTCAACAGTGTAATAATGAAAAGATAACCCAATTCAAGGCAAATAAGTTGAAAAGAACTGAGAGAAGATGTCCAATATACACATAAAAAGCTGCACAACATTATTACTCCTTAGAAAAATCTAAATTAAAGCTGTTGAGGTTCAGAAATAATACCACAAAAGGAAGGTTTAAGAAGCATACGTTTTTCTTTGACCTTCTCCAGCCCTCCTATCTCTGGCCCCTCATTCTCCCCTGGGGCTAGCCATGGAAACTAGAAACTGTCTTCCCAAGGTGGGTTAATATAAATCAGAACCCCTTTCCCTAAAGCCAGTCATAAAAACTAAAAATATTACTCTAACTTTCCCCCCACCATTTTGTGTAAAAACTGGCCATAAAGCTATGCTTTGACCTACCTTGTATGACTGTGGGTCATGAGACCTCTATTACAGAGAGGATCCTGCCCTATACCCAGAAGGAAGGAATGCTGCCCGGAGAGAACAAAAAGAATCTAGACAGACAGGATTTGCTCATTTATTTAAATCAGTCTTTCAATATTAGGTCCTGTCTTTTTCTTTCTCTCTTTTCTTTTTCTTTCTTTCTTTCTTTCTTTCTTTCTTTCTTTCTTTCTTTCTTTCTTTCTTTCTTTCTTTCTTTTCTTTCTTTCTCTTTCTTTCTTTCTCTTTCTTTCTTTCTCTTTCTCTCTTTCTTTCTCTTTCTTTCTTTCTTATTTATGTATTTTTTACTATACTTTAAGTTCTAGGGTACAGGTGCACAATGTGCAGGTTTGCTACATATGTATACATGTGCCATGTTGGTGTGCTGCACCCATTAACTCATCATTTACATTAGCTATATCTCCTAATGCTTTCCCTCCCCCTTCCCCCCACCCCACGACAGGCCCCAGTGTGTGATGTTCCCCTTCCTGTGTCCATGTGTTCTCCTTGTTCAATTCCCACCTATGAGTGAGAACATGCAGTGTTTGGTTTTTTGTCCTTGCGATAGTTTGCTGAGAATGATGGTTTCCAGCTTCATCCATGTCCCTACAAAGGACATGAACTCCTCATTTTTTATGGCTGCATAGTATTCCATGGTATATGTGCCACATTTTCTTAATCCAGTCTATCATTGATGGACATTTAGGTTGGTTCCAAGTCTTTGCTATTGTGAATAGTGCCACAATAAACATATGTGTGCATGTGTCTTTATAGCAGCATGATTTATAATCCTTTGGGTATATACCCAGTAATGGGATGGCTGGGTCAAATGGTATTTCTAGTTCTAGATCCCTGAGGAATCGCCACACCGTCTTCCACAATGGTTGAACTAGTTTACAGTCCCAACAATAGTGTAGAAGTGTTCCTATTTCTCCCCATCCTCTCCAGCACCTGTTGTTTCCTGACTTTTTAATGATCACCATTCTAACTGGTGTGAGATGGTATCTCATTGTGGTTTTGATTTGCATTTCTCTGATGTCCAGTAATGATGAGCATTTTTTCATGTGTCTGTGGGCTGCATAAATGTCTTCTTTTGAGAAATGTCTGTTCATATCCCTCACCTACTTTTTGATGGGGTTCCTTGATTTTTTTCTTGTAAATTTGATTAAGTTCTTTGTAAATTCTGGATATTAGCCCTTTGTCAGATGGGTAGATTGTAAAAATGTTCTCCCATTCTGTAGGTTGCCTGTTCACTCTGATGGTAGTTTCTTTTGCTGTGCAGAAGCTCTTTAGTTTAATTAGATCCCATTTGTCAATTTTTGCTTTTGTTGCCATTGCTTTTGGTGTTTTAGTCATGAAGTCCTCACCCATGCCTATGGCCTGAATGGTATTGCCTAGGTTTTCTTCTAGGGTTTTTATGGTTGTAGGTCCAACATTTAAGTCTTTAATCCATCTTGAATTAATTTTTGTATAAGGTGTAAGGAAGGGATCCAGTTTCAGCTTTCCGCATATGGCTAGCCAGTTTTCCCAGAATCATTTATTAAATAGGGAATCCTTTCCCCATTGCTTGTTTTTGTCAGGTTTGTCAAAGATCAGATGGTTGTAGATGTGTGGTATTATTTCTGAGGGCTCTGTTCTGTTCCATTGGTCCATATCTCTGTTTTGGTACCAGTACCATGCTGTTTTGGTTACTGTAGCCTTGTAGTATAGTTTGAAGTCAGGTAGCATGATGCCTCCAGCTTTGTTCTTTTGGCTTAGGATTGTCTTGGCGATGCGGGCTCTTTTTTGGTGCCATATGAACTTTAGTTTTTTCCAATTCTGTGAAGAAAGTCATTGGTAGCTTGATGAGGATGGCATTGAATCTATAAATTACCTTGGGCAGTATGGCCATTTTCACGATGCTGATTCTTCCTATCCATGAGCATGGAATGTTCTTCCATTTGTTTGTGTCCTCTTTTATTTCGTTGAGCAGCGGTTTGTAGTTCTCCTTGAGGAGGTCCTTCACATCCCTTATAAGTTGGCTTCCTAGGTATTTTATTCTCTTTGAAGCAATTGTGAATGGGAGTTCACTCATGATTTGGCTCTCTGTTATTGGTGTATAGGAATGCTTGTGATTTTTGCACATAGATTTTGTATCCTGAGACTTTGCTGAATTTGCTTATCAGCTTAAGGAGATTTTGGGCTTAGATGATGTGGGGTTTTCTAAATATACAATCATGTCATCTGCAAACACGGACAATTTGACTTCCTCTTTTCCTAATTGAATATCCTTTATTTGTTTCTCCTGCCTGATTGCCTTGGCCAGAACTTCCAACACTATGTTGAATAGGAGTGGTGAGAGAGGGCATCCCTGTCTTGTGCCAGTTTTCAAAGGGAATGCTTTCAATTTTTACCCATTCAGGATGATATTAGCTGTGGGTTTGTCATAAGTAGCTCTCATTATTTTACGATATGTCCCATCAATACCTAGTTTATTGAGAGTTTTTAGCATTAAGGGCTGTTGAATTTTGTCAAAGGCCTTTTCACCTATTGAGATAATCATGTGGTTTTTGTCATTGCTTCTGTTTAGGTGATGGATTATGTTTATTGATTTGCGTATGTTGAACCAGCCTTGCATCCCAGGGATGAAGCCAACTTGATCGTGGTGGATAAGCTTTTTGATGTGCTGCTAGATTTGGTTTGCCAGTATTTTATCAAGGATTTTTGCATCAATGTTCATCAGGGATACTGGTCTAAAATTTTCTTTTTTTTGTTGTGTCTCTGCCAGGCTTTGGTATCAGGATGATGCTGGCCTCATAAAATGAGTTGGGGAGGATTTCCTCTTTTTCTATTGATTGGAATAGTTTCAGAAGGAATGGTAGCAGCTCCTCTTTGTACCTCTGGTAGAATTCGGCTGTGAATCCGTCTGGTCCTGGACATTTTTGGTTGGTAGCCTATTAATTATTGCCTCAATTTCAGAGCCTGTGATTGGTCTATTCAGGGATTCAACTTCTTCCTGGATTAGTCTTGGGAGGGTGTATGTGTCCAGGAATTTATCCATTTCTTCCAGATTTTCTAGTTTGTTTGTGTAGAGGTGTTTATAGTATTCTCTGATAGTAGTTTGTATTTCTGTGGGATCGGTGGTGATATCCCCTTTATCATTTTTTATTGTGTCTATTTGATTCTTCTCTCATCTTCTTTATTAGTCTTGCTAGCGGTCTATCAATTTTGTTGATCCTTTCAAAAAACCAGCTCCTGGATTCATTGATTTTTTTGAAAGGTTTTTTGTATCTCTATCTCCTTCAGTTCTGCTCTCATCTTAGTTATTTCTTGCTTTCTGCTAGCTTTTGAATGTGTTTGCTCTTGCTTCTCTAGTTCTTTTAATTGTGATGTTAGGGTGTCAATTTTAGATCTTTCCTGCTTTCTCTTGTGGGCATTTAGTGCTATAAATTTCCTTCTACACACTGCTTTAAATGTGTCCCAGAGATTCTTGGTTCTCATTGGTTTCAAAGAACATCTTTATTTCTGCCTTCATTTCGTTATGTACCCAGTAGTCATTCAGGAGCAGGTTGTTCAGTTTCCATGTAGTTGAGCAGTTTTGAGTGAGTTTCTTAATCATGAGTTCTAGTTTGATTGCACTGTGGTCTGAGAGACAGTTTGTTATAATTTCTGTTCTTTTACATTTGCTGAGGAGTGCTTTACTTCCAACTATGTGTTCAATTTTGGAATAGGTGCAGTGTGGTGTGGAGAAGAATGTATATTCTGTTGATTTGGTGTGGAGAGTTCTTCAGATGTCTATTAGTTCTGCTTGGTGCAGAGCTGAGTTCAATTCCTGGATATCCTTATTAACTTTCTGTCTTGTTGATCTGTCTAATGTTGACAGTGGGGTGTTTAAGTCTCCCATTATTATTGTGTGGGAGTCTAAGTCTCTTTGTAAGTCTCTAAGGACTTGCTTTATGAATCTGGGTGGTCCTGCATTGGGTGCATATATATTTAGGATAGTTAGCTCTTCTTGTTGAATTGATCCCTTTACCATTATGTAATGGCCTTCTTTGTCTTTTTTGATTTTGTTGTTTAAAGTCTGTTTTATCAGAGACTAGGATTGCAACTCCTGCTTTTTTCTGTTTTCCATTTGCTTGGTAGATCCTCCTCCATCCCTTTATTTTGAGCCTATGTGTGTCCCTGCACGTGAGATGGTTCTCCTGAATACAGCACACTGATGGGTCTTGACTCTTTATCCAATTTGCCAGTCTGTGTCTTTTAATTGGAGCATTTAGCCCATTTACATTTAAGGTTAATATTGTTATGTGTGAATTTGATCCTTTCATTATGATATTAGCTGGTTATTTTGCTCGTTAGTTGATGCAGTTTCTTCCAAGCATTGATGGTCTTTACAATTTGGCATGTTTTTGCAGTGGCTGGTACCAGTTGTTCCTTTCCATGTTTAGTGCCTCCTTCAGGAGCTCTTGTGAGGCAGGTCTGGTGGTGACAAAATCTCTCAGCATTTGCTTGTCTGTAAAGTATTTTATTTCTCCTTCACTTATGAAGCTTAGTTTGGCTGGATATGAAATTCTGGGTTGAAAATTCTTTTCTTTAAGAATGTTGAATATTAGCCCCCACTCTCTTCTGACTTGTAGAGTTTCTGCCGAGAGATCGGCTGTTAATCTGATGGGCTTCCCTTTGTGGGTTTCCTGACCTTTCTCTCTGGCTGCCCTTAACATTTTTTCCTTCATTTCAACTTTGGTGAATCTGACAATTATGTATCTTGGAGTTGCTCTTCTTGAGGAGTATCTTTGTGGCATTCTCTGTATTTCCTGAATTTGAATGTTGGCCTGCCTTGCTAGGTCGGGGAAGTTCTCCTAGATAATAACCTGAAGAGTGTTTTCCAACTTGGTTCCATTTTCTCCATCACTTTCAGGTACACCAATCAGATGTAGATTTGGTCTTTTCACATTGTCCCATATTTCTTGGAGGCTTTGTTCGTTTCTTTTTACTCTTTTTTCTCTAAACTTCTCTTCTCTCTTCATTGCATTCATTTGATCTTCAATCACTGATACCTTTTTTTCCATTTGATTGACTCAGCTACTGAAGCTTGTGCATGCCACAGTTTTCAGCTCCATCAGATCATTTAAGTTCTTCTCCATGTTGTTTATTCTAGTTAGCCAATTCGTCTATTCTTTTTTCAAGGTTTTTAGCTTCTTTGTGATGGGTTTGAACATCCTCCTTTAGCTTGGAGAAGTTTGTTATTACTGATCATCCAAAGCCTTCTTCTCTCAACTCGTCAAAGTCATTCTTCATCCAGCTTTGTTGTGTTGCTGGCAAGGAGCTGCATTCCTTTGGAGAAGAGGCAGTCTGATTTTTAGAATTTTCAGCTTTTCTGCTCTGGTTCCTCCCCATCTTTGTGGTTTTATCTACCTTTGGTCTTTGATTATGGTGACATACAGATGGGGTTTTGGTGTGCATGTCCTTTCTGTTTGTTAGTTTTCCTTCTAACTGTCAGGACCCTCAGCTGCAGGTCTGTTGGACTTTGCTGTAGGTCCACCCCAGACCCTGTTTGCCTGGGTATCACCAGAACGGCAAATGTTGCTGCCTGATCCTTTCTCTGGAAGCTTTGTCTCAGAGCGGCACCTGGCCGTATGAGGTTTTAGTCAGCCCCTACTGGGAGGTGCCTCCCAGTTAGGCTATTTTGGAGGTCAGGGACCCACTTGAGGAGGTAGTCTGTCTGTTCTCAGATCTCAAACTCCATGCTGGGAGAACCACTACTCTCTTCAAAGCTGTCAGACAGGGACTTTTAAGTCTGCAGAAGTTTCTGCTGCCTTTTGTTCAGCTATGCCCTGCCCCCAGAGGTGGAGTCTGCAGAGGCAAGCAGGCCTCCTTGGGCTGTGGTGGCCTCCACCCAGTTCGAGCTTCCTGGCTGCTTTGTTTACCTGCTCAAGCCTCAGCAATGGTGGATGCCCCTCCCCCAGCCTTGCTGCTGCCTTGCAGTTCAATATCAGACTGCTGTGCTAGCAGTGAGTGAGGCTCCGTGGGCATGGGATCCTCTGAGCCAGGCACGAGATATAATCTCCTGGTGTGCCATTTGCTAAGACCGTTGGAAAAGCGCAGTATTTTCCAGGTACCATCTGTCATGGCTTCCCTTGGCTAGGAAAGGGAATTCCCCGACCCCTTGCACTTCCCCTCTGAGGCAATGCCGCATCCTGCTTCAGCTCATGCTACGCAGGGTGCACCCACTATCCAACAAGCCCCAGTGAGATGAACCTGGTACCTCAGTTGGAAATGCAGAAATCATCCGTCTTCTGAGTCGCTCATGCTGGGAGCTGTAGACTGGAGTCATTTCTCTTTGGCCATCTTGGAACCTCCCTCCCACAGTCCTATCTTTTTAGTGCAGTCATATTTTCACAAGGCTGTCCACATTTTGTTCAACCTAATCATAAAAATGGACAATCTCCCCTGTACTTTTGGATTCTCATTCTAAAGGCTCTCATGTTATGTAAAACTATGATCAAATACATTTCTATGCTTCATCTACTATTAATCTTCCTCTTGTCAGATCATTTTCCACAAACCTTCAGAGGGTGAAGGGGAAATTTTGCATTGACCCTACAAAACCAAGATAAGATACCATGTTTCACCTGTTAGAATGGCTAATATCAAAATATTCACAATGCTCACAAGAAATTAAAGTAATTGGAGCTCTTATACATTGCCGATGAGAGTGTTAATGAACAAGAACTTTAGAGAACTCTTCAGCATTTTTAATGAAATTATAAATGCCTCCACACTATGATGAAACAATTCCACTTCAGAGTATTTAACATATTGTATGAGTCTGTTCTCACACTGCTAATAAAAACACACTTGAGACTGGGTAATTTATAAAGGAAATAAATTTAACTGATGCACAGTTCCACATGGCTGGGAGGCCTCACAATCATGATGGAAGGCCAAAAAAGAGGAAAGCCATGTCTTACATGGTGGCAGGCAAAGAGAGCTTGTGCAGGGAAACACCCCTTATGAAAACATCAGATTTCTTGAGACTTATTCGCTATTACAAGAACACCATAGGAAAGATCCACCTCCATGATCAATTACCTCCTACCCGGTCCCTCCCACGACACATGGGAATTGTGAGAGCAACAGTACAAGATGAGATGTGGGAAGGGCCCCAGCCAAAGCGTATCACATATGTCCACAAAAAAATTGTACATAATGTTTTTAGCAGCCTTATGTATTATTGTCCCAATTTGGAATGACCCAAATATCCATCAATAGAAGAACTGATAAACACATGGTTGTGTGTTCATACAAGGAAATGCTCATTAGTAACAAATTGGAATAAAGTAATGCCATATTCAACAACATGGTGTATCTCTAAAACGTATTTTTCAAAAGAAACCAAGCACACACAAAAACTACAATCTCTATGATTCCATTGTATAAAAAACAGGAAGCAAAAGTGGTAAAATAATGAAGAAATCGGAAGGTGGTTACTTCACAGAGAAAGGGCATTTGTTTAAAAGGCATATGAGGAACTTTGTGTGGTGATAGATATGTTCTATATCTTGATTGTGGTGGTTGTTGCATGCAGATATACATTTGTAAAAACTCATCAAACTGAAAACAAAATATATTATGTATGTAAATTATATCTCAACAATTAAAAAGATCTATATATCAAATGAAAATATCTGTGTTGATTCTTGGTTGCCTTTAGAATAAATTTAAAATACTTTTCAACCGATACAAGGTTCTATATAATTCACATCTTTCATTTAGCCTTCCTTCTCACCTGTTTCTCCACTTGCTTATGCTTTATAACCTCCAGTGATTTCCATGGACCCTACAAAACCAAGATGAGACAACCTCTATTACACATAAAACTCCCCAATGTGGCATGCTTCTCAAACATTCATACTATTACTCATGCTGCTTCTTTCATCTGGAACTTCTTCCATCTATAACTTTTATTCAATATGTTTTAATTATTTTTCAGAATTCAGCATGTTTCATTGTCTGAGATGCCTTCCCTAAACTTGCCAGTCAGTTTAGATGCACCTACTATGTGCTATTAGAGAACACTGTGCATTCCTTTTAAAACACTTGTTTGCTATTTTGCTGTTGTCTATTTGACAGCCCCCCAAAAAAGTCTAGTTTAATCATTGAAAATTAAAAACAATTAATTCCCTTCAAATATCTGATTTATCTCTAGAAACTGAAAACCAAGTGTTTCTATAGAAAAGCTACAGAACTTTTTTAAATTATGTGAATGACTTGTTACTAGCTTACATTACATCATCATCACAAAAATTGATATCATTACAAAAATTGGTGATGATGATTATAATACAGCAAATATCAGCAGTTATTGAGTGATTGTTATATGCCAGATACTGATGTAAATATTTTCATTTTAATTTGATACACACAACTTATGCAATAGTGAATATTACTTATGAAATAGTGAATATTACTATAGATTCAGAAACTGAGATCAATAACTTAAAATGTTTGAATACTAGAATAGGGTAATATATACAACATAATAAAAACAATATTTCTGTGAGAAGCAAATTTTCTCATGAAAAAAATGAATAATAAAAATAAATACAGATTGAAATATTCCAAATTCTAAATTAGGTAATCTGGCTCAACTTCCATAGGATAATTAATATTCAAGAGTAAAGATTTTCTGTTTTTTACATGTATTGCAAAGTTAATGAATAATGAATCTGCTTAACTTACATTTTAAGCAGATTGCTGAATATCTATTTAATGTGTCTCATTAGTTAATTAAATTAATCCCAAACTCCTTCTTTTCTAGTACATGTGCTTTTGTGCATAGCAGCAATGAATATAGTCATTACCACAATGTAATGCCATGCCAAGTTTGTTTGAAAACATGTTTGTCAACAAAAAAGACAGAAAGATAATGTATGAAAAATTCCCCAGAATTTCCTGCCAGCAGCCATCAATGTAGAAACCAAAACAGCAGCTTTCATCATTAACATATTCCAGTAATGTGTTTAATTTTGCCTGTGTCTAAACGGTATGTGCCATCTTCTAAAACATGTTTTTGTCTCAAACTCGAAGTGTCAGAGACACAACACACAATACACCTTTGTTTTTAAGTGCAAATCTACATATACACAATTATGTATTTCTGTAGCTGCATCTGTATGTCTCAATTATTTTGTCCAATTATCGCTTGTATACAAATGAGAGTTTAAAACCTACTTTAACTTAGATGATTTTCTTTAAATGATATCTTATCTGACTTTTCTACAGCCCAGTTTACCAATTCAACAGACATTTATTGAGTTTTAACGACTTCAGATTAGGGCACTAAACGTGAACAAGAATTTTCTCATGGAGTATATATATAAAAAGAAACTCTTAAATAAGATAAATAAATGTATTTACAAAATAAATGCTAAATACACAGTGCTTAAATAGGAAAGAGAGGAGTTCAAAGGAGAAATAATTTTGTTTAGTGGACAGGGTAAAGATGGTCATAGGGATGTGAAAAGAACCTCTTACTCAAATTTTTCTTTGGAATGGCAGCTAACACAAAATTTGTGCTTTGAATATTGGTCTTCCATGATAATTGATACACATCCTGTTAAAATATTTGTTTCAAAAATGTTTATAATTTTGTTGGGGGTAGAAGAACCAAAAATACTGAGAGAAATTTATTCATTTAAAGGCTTCTTCAACAAGCTAAATAAAACAGAAGATCATTCCAGAAGATCCCTAGCATCTCTTTATATACATGTTTATCACATGGGAAATTGGATAGGAAGAAGCAACTATTCCGAGTGCCACATTACTTGGAATGTTTACTTTTTTGGTTTCTAAATTTGATTTCTCCTTAGTAGATATTCAAATCCAACATCACAGGCTAAATATGTGTGTTAGTTCATTTTCATGTTGCTGATCAATACATACCCAAGGCTGGGCAATTTACAAAAGAAAGAGATTTAGTGGACTCACTGTTCTATGTGGCTGGGGAGGCCTCACAATCATGGCAGAAGGTGAAAGCCATGTCTCATGTGGTGGCAGACAAGAGAAGAGAACTTGTGCAGGGAAACTCCCCTTTATAAAACCATCAGATCTCATGAAACTTATTTACTATCATGAGAATAGCATGGGAAAGACCTGCCCGTATGATTCAATTACCTCCCACTGGGTCCTTCCCACAACAGTGGGAATGGTGGGAGCCTAAATTCCAGGAGAGATTTAGGTGGGAACACAGCCAAACTATATCAATATGTTACACATTTTTATGACTACTGATAAAACTTTTAGAACTAAAATCCATCATGTATTTAAAAGAGATTTTAAAATAAGAACCATGTTTGATTTATTTTTGATTCCCCAGGAAAAAAACAATTAAATGCTTACCTGGCAACTGGTGTGCACCTAATGAAATATTTTGTTTTCTTAATTTAAAAAGATAGTTACATAAAAACTAAAGAAAGTATGTTTCTCCTTATTCTAATTAACAGTGTTATACTTAAATTTTTACAACAAAAAAGACAAAAATTATTGTGTTATCAACCAACTCTTCTTTAAAAAAAATCCCAATGTTGAAGTCTCTTAAAAAGTATTTTATTCCTATACCATCATTTTCTATTTTCTCATGCTAAATACACTCCACTGAATCCACTAGTTGCTTCCATTCTTCCAAGATATTTAGATCTTCCTTTGTTGTTTAAACATGAATAAAATTAAGTGGAAGGTTGTGTAATGTTTCCCATTTTATACTAAATAAATTATGTACGTAAAGTATATCTCAACAATTTAAAAAACTGTATATCAAGTGATAAGAACTGTGTATCAAACTATCCATCAACTATTTTTTTTCTTCTTAAAAGATTCAAGACAGGCAATATATACGCATTAACTCAGTTTCTGTAGCACACTTTCAGTGATTCCACTTCACCATATGTAAAATCACAACATGTAATACCATCTCAATCCCACAGTCTTACAGTAAATTACAAATCTACTAGATTTGTAATCCTGAGTTCAGGAAGATTTTGATGGCTCAGAGGTTTATGTTATTATTTTCTTTAGTACCAGTGTTACAGCTCTTTTGCTCCTGTAGTTTGGTGAGTAGGAGCGTTACAGCTCTTTCACTCCTGTAGCTTGGCAAGTTCCGAGTTCTTGTCCCATGACTGAGAGTAATGGGGTATGTGGACACTGGACAGTGAGTAAAGCAGAGTAGAATTTGTTGAGCAACAGAAAAGCTCTCGGCAGTGAGAGGGGACCCAAAAGTGGGTTGCTGACCCAAAGGCTGAGTCCAGGGGTTTCTATGAGCTCGGAATGGGGAAGTGTGTGTTGACTGGCCTGAGTATAGGCTTGGAAAAAGCACCATTCAGAAAGAAGCATCATAGTGTAAAAGACCAACTGGGGGAGGGTAAGTATATGTAAAATAGGTAAAGGATAAGGACCAATTAAAAGGGAGCACACCAAATGGGAATGGGAGTTCTCAGTCTGGTCCATGGATTTTATCTGGAATTTGTAGCTTGGTTTTCAGGTATTAGACTGTCTTTGGCTTGAAGGTTGAGTTTCACTGAGGACCCATCTCTGTCTTCCTAAGAACTTGTTTGCCTCCTATTGCTATCACCAGTTCTTATTATAAGAAGCATGTGCTTCAGTAATCTCCCTTTGAGAGTCTTTGCATCTCACTCCCCTTTGCAGATAATATTTTAGCTTATTCCTTATAAGGTATGGTAAGATTCGAAGAGTTCTTCATTCTTCCCATTTAAAAATTACAGCCACCTTACGTTTAGGATGGTGATGTTTTCCTAAGGGAAATGTATGTTGTCTTTAAATTGAAACGTCTTAGAATGCTTGGACAGTCATTAATGAAAATTATGTGTAGCTCTGTATTATGAACACTGTGTCTTATGATAAATTTCCAGCTGTGTTGTTTTTTCTTTTAAATCAGTTAAATATAGCTGTCTTTGTGTTTCTGACTTTTTGAATCTTCAAAGGCTGTAATTTAGACTTTCAGATAAGCTTTTAATGTGGTTAATTTCATTAGTAATCTAAATTTCTTCTGACTTTTTCAATAACAATGCAATGATGGGGGTCATCGAACACAGCTCTACTTAGCCTCCATCTAAGTGGTTTGAAGAAATTGCTTGAAAATTAATACTTAGGTTAATAACTATGATGCAACCATATATACATTATATATTAATACAATTTGACAACTTTTCACTGTTTCTGTGATTACTTGTGGTTTATATAGCCATATTTTCAAAATACAAATAGCTATTTCAGGAATAAGGAATCAAAATCTAAAAATAGTGTGTCTAGAAAAACTCATTTATTTTTAGTTGGAATTAGAGAATGCTGTAATTGTCTCACTTCTTTTTATTTTATACACATACACACATTTAATTTTTGAGCAATATTAGACAGTTTTACATGCATATATTTTCATACAATTTAAAGCATACTACTGTAACAAAGTTTCTCTGTTTACAATTATTTTACATTTAAAGATAAATATAGCATTACTGGAAATTCTTAAGTCCAGATATGTATTTTTAGTAACATTTTATTTTGCAAATCTTTAAAAATAATTCTATTTCTCCATAATCATATAACTTTGGTCTGTATTATGAATACAGACCACATATTATAAATCTTGTTTATATAGACTACTTCGTTTTGTAGGACACTTCAACACAATGGAAGGAAGTATAATCTTCAGAGTCAAGTTAATTGTTCAAATTTTGGCTCTGGCTGTTCCTACTATCTCTTAATCTCTGTAAGCCTGAAAATTCTTCACTTATAAAGCTTGAAGATTTGGATAATTCACATGCCTGCGGTACTGAATGGTCATATTGTTTCTTTTTATAGTAGTTAAATGCATGATCTTGGACTAGTTAAATGTATGATCTTGGACTCAGGCTCTGAGCTTTAATTTTCTTATCTGTAAAACAGAAATATACATGTCTATCTTGCAGTGCTTTAGAGATAGTGGGAGAAAAACAAGTAGGGTTAATAATCGAGCATAGTAGTGTTAAAGGGAACTAAATATGGCCTGAGAAGGACTCCATACTTTTATATTTGTGTCCTTAGGGACAAACCGTAACCTAACCTAATAGGTAGACAGGATTAAAAACCTAATTTAGAAGTATTTACCTGTAACAATAGCTGAGTCTTGGCCAATCCCAGCAGCCATACTTCAACCACTCTTATACTGCTGAATGTTCAACTGTGTTCAAATAAGACAAATGCCAACCTATAACCAATCCAGCTGATCCGGACTTCACTTCTGATTTCTGTACATCACTTCAGATTTGTTCTGACCACGAGGCATCTCTGGATTCTCTGAATCTGCTGCGATTCTGGGAGCTGCCCAATTTGTAAATTGTTCATTGCTCAATTAAACTCCTTTAAATTTAATTTGGGTGAAGTTTTTCTTTTAACAATAGAGAAAACCATTTTCATAAAATAGTACTTGTATGCTTTTCCTTAACAATAATAAACTTTGAAGTCCAGGAGCTCAGAGCCTCTTATCCATTCTTTATAGGAAGTAATCATAACCCTTTGGATTATAAACTAATAATTTCACTTTGTTTGTGTCAAGCGCATCCGTGTGAAGAGACCACCAAACGGCTTTGTGTGAGCAAGAAAGCTTTTTAATCACCTGGGTGCAGGTGGGCTGAGTCCGAAAAGAGAGTCAGGGAGGGGAGATAGGGGTGGGGCAGATTACCCTATTATAGATTGGCAGATTACCCAAATTATAGAATTTGGGTAGGTAGTGGAAAATTACAGTCAAAGGGGGTTGTTTTCTGTCAGGCAGGGGCGGGGGGTCACAAGGTGCTCGGTGGGGGGGCTTCTGAGACTCACTGTCCAGGAGAAGGAATTTCACAAGGTAATATCATCAGCTAAGGCAGGAATCGGCCATTTTCACTTCTTTTGTGGTTCTTCAGTTGTCTCAGGCCATCTGGATGTATACGTGCAGGCTTGGGCTCAGAGGCCTGGTAGTTTGTTTCATTTTTTTCATTAGCCCACAAACTTCTTGAATTTCATTAGCCCACAAAATTCGTATCTCAGAATTTCTCACATGTAGCACAGAATTTGATTATAGTAAGAGAGTTTAATCAACTCTTTTTATTTACCAATTCATTTCACCCTAATAAATGCAATTTAACTTTGAAATGTTTTACTTTGATTTTTGGGAATATACAATTTTGTTAGGTCTCCCCAAGACCATCCTCAGGCTGGATGATTTGCTAGAGGTATGTACAGACTCAGAAAAATTGTTGTACTTATGATTATGGTGTATACAATGAAAGGGAACTGTTTCAAATCAGCAAAGGGAAAAGGCACATAGGGAAAGGTTAGAAGAAATCAGGTGCAAGCTTTCAGTGGTGTTCCCCAGCAAAGTCACCCTGGGGCACATTCCATTCTCTTACCAACAATATGTGAAAATATGTGCAAAGTGTTGCCAACCACAAAAGGTTACCCAAGACTGGGTGTTCAGTGTTTTATTAGAAGTCAGTCACACAGGCATGTATTTCCTGCATTGACCTCACACAGGCTCCAGTCATTTCTCACTTTCTTACTACCCACTCCCATCCTCTCACCCCCAAGTTTCCCACCCCTCCACTCTACCCCACATTGTTGGGATAAATTTATCTGGTCAAACTGGTAGAGCATGGCACAGTGCCCTAGGCATACAAACATAGATATTTACCATAAAATGCAGTGTGGTCTAAGTCTTTAGTTACACAGAATCACATTTCTCAGGCAGATGGTTCCAAAAGCTGAGAGGTTACCCACTGCGAGACACAAAGGGCCAGTCCTAGAGACGAGCTTTTCTTCAGAATCTGCAGGGTTTGAACAATTCAGGATTGCTGAGTTAATTCTTTCCTGCCCAGTAATATTTTCACAGAATGGAAAATTTAAAATATATAAGGGGAAACATTGAAAATTATTTCTCCCACTGTTTTCTCATCTACCCAGTTTCCCTGAGCTTGATAAAAAATAATCTTAGTTTCTGTTACATTTTTTTTCAGAGGTATATGTATACTTCTTCCTCTTCTATATACTATTCCATACACTGGTACCTCACTTTAATTAGCACTAAATCTTAGAAAACTTTTCATATTTATACATAAACAAGCAACCTCCTTATTTTCTATGACTACATAATTTTCCATTTTGTGATTATACCATAATTGATTCAACCCATCTTGTATTTATATATATTAATGTAGTTTCTAATATCTTGGCCTTTCAACATTTTGAAATATTTACAAATAGAATTTCTGGGTCAGTTTCAATAGATATTTCCAAGTGAACTTCCATTAGAGTTTTGTTAATTTATACTCAACCAGGCTATGATTATGATGATATTAAGTCAAAGGTTACAAAGGCATATTAATTATACATTTCTAAATACCAGCAACATTCTAAAGTATAAATTTGAAGCATCACATTTCAAACTTAACAAACAAATCTTACCAACACAATTTAATATAGTAACAAGCATAATATTAATGTTAGTAGAGGAAAATTAAGGGACAGCACTTGGACTTTTTTACGTGTTGAATTGTATAAATTTTCCTGTATCAGAAAATGAGAGCATTATTGTAGATGATTTTTTGTAATTGAGTTTCCAAATCTTGATCTCCCACTTGCCTGGATGTGAGAAAATACAGTGGTAGTTGCATTCAGGCCAGATAACAAGAGGTAATGAAATAAATTATTGCAAACTGTAGATTTGACTATTAATCTAACTGTTGAGATTATCGAGACTGCAACTTCATGAAGTTGTTTGTTTTCTGTAAGGAGAGCCTTTGCCCAGAAAGATCAGACTTTTCTCCAAATAAAGCGTGCAAAAAAACTATCTTATATATAGCATAATCACATTTCCAACTAATTTTAGACAGTATGAAGAAAACATTTCAGGAAGATAAGCTCGTAGTCTCTTCATAGTTTGATGACATTCTCGGTCATTTTGTGTGATCCTATGGTTTTTGTAATGGCAGTGGATTCTTTTCTATTCTTGTCATTGTCATTTCTGACACAAGAACAAGACATCAGCATTTTAATATCATGTATATATTTTCAGCGATTCTGGCTTAAGCTAAATTGCCAGCAGGCTATATTATTGTAATTCTCTCTTTGCAAGTCTCACAGATGCAAAGTTCTTGTCATGACAAGTTTCATGAACATATTTTCCTTGTTGGAACTTCTAGACCAGCTGGCTACCTGTGGCATATTTTATAAATTCTAAACGAAATCATTTACAGGCTTTCATACTTTGAGATTTTTCCACTCTGATGACGTGTGTATATCAAGCCTTCTGTCCTTTACTTAGGTTCAGCTATTTGAGTCCTAGAGAGCTTATCAATAGCAGTATTTTTGTTTTAGTATTTACTTCTATTGGACAGAAAAACTAATTTTAATATGGCCAAAGCATGATATTAATTCAAATTAATTATTTTGATCCTTTGCATTTTTATCTGTAGCATTTGGGAAGATTTTATTGTTATTCTTTCAAGTTGCAGTAAGCCACATTTTATTAATTAGTTAGTAGTAGCAGTAGTAATTTGGAATATTTACTTCACATCCTATATATCAATTTATCATTTTTATTTTGATTTTTCATTGACATTTGGCTGAATGTTTCTAAGAAAAATAATTTAGATAGATGATTTATTTTCTTTCTAATTCACAGGGGAGGAAAACATCTGCTAATATCCTTCACTTAACACGGCCTTCTTAACACTTGTTGGGAATGTTCAGAAGTTTGGATGCAAGTTCCCTCCCATCTCATATTAATCTGGGGCATGTTTTTCCTTAACTTTATAAATGGTGGTAAGACTATCCATCTTTCATTCTGGAGAGAACACATAAAACCATGAAAAATACTGAACACATAGTAGGCATTTATAAAATGTTTATTTTCTAGCTCTTTCAGAATGAATTAAATCAAAGCATAATTTGGGTCACTATATCCAGATCATATTTGTACTGGAATTCTTGGCAACAGTGAGTTTGTACTAATTGATCAAGAGCTGCAGCCCCACTTTTTGGGCTAAGAAATCGTTTAACATCTTTCCTGCTGAGGCAGTCAGTAGTAGTCATAGAGGAAGCCTGGCATTTAAGGCAAGCTGGAAATCCAGAAAATTCTCTCCTCTTTGGAAAAAGCATTCACAGAGTAGCAGGACTTATTTGTTATGAATAAAAATTTATTTCATTGGTGGCTTGAGGAACTTTGAGGATTTTTTTGAGAAATCGGGTTACCTCTGTTCTTTACTGATTTTGCCTTCTAATGTCTTCAGTGCTTATATAATGCACAGCTTCCCTAAAGATCAGAATAATGAGGTTATAAGGATATACAAAGCTTTGATGAAAATAACAATTCACATAAAACATTTTTACGGCTAAAGAAATAACAGAGTTTGCAAAAGAGAAGGTAAAAACTTTCTTATATCTTGGCATATTTCAGGTCACTTCCTCCTCTGATAATGTTTCATAATGTAAATCATATGTGCATTTAAAGTATTATTAATAGTCATCATAAATATGAATAATTAATTTCATATCATCAAAGTGATTGGTATATCCTCTAAGAGAAGGACTAAATATGTGGTACCTATTTGCTGAATTTGAGATGAAGGGATGAGAATGATACTAGCCAACAGGGCAAATATCGGCTCATACCTCATTTGGGTGTTCATAAAATAGCTACTCTTTATTGAGCATTCATTACATGTCAATTATTGTGTGAAAAATACACCTTAGAACACTTTAAAAAATTATTTTAATATACTTATTGGGTACATATAATTATTTACAGTAGAAACATTAAATTTTTTAGATTTCACAGCAAATAACTTCCAAAGACAGGATTTTAACGACAACAAAGAAACCAAAAAAACAAAACACTGCACTTTGCCTTAAGGCAACTTCTTCTCATACTGGTGACTCTTCTCTCTCTCTTTGATAATGGCCTGCATACTAGTTTGTCCTCACTGCCCTGGAGTCTCAAAAAGAAGTGTACTTCTTTCGGTTCTGCTTTTATGAATTTAGTAATGCATTCTTTGCTGAATATTTGAATTTATGAATGTTCATGTATTGAGGATTTTGTGAGCTTTCTAATAAATCATTTTACCCACATGCATGTTTATTATATTAGAAAGCAGCAAACATACGGAAATCTTAAGTGAATTGAAAGAAAGACTACATTTAAATCCTTCATTTATATTTCAAATATTTTTATTGACTTACCTGATGAAACAATAACCTTGAAGTTACATCCCTTAATTTTAAATATATCCATACAATTTTGCCATATTTCCAAGCCCTGCTTTAGTTTGTTCTTCATCTATGAAATAAGTACAGAGATGGCCTTCTATTTTTCCAGGGTGCTGTGAGGAATAACTACTATAAATTACTGTGGCATATCTTTGTTAAAATGGAAGTGCTATATAAATGCTAAATAAGTCCAAGGGTCCTAAAAACACAATGAGAGGTGTGTTCATAACAAAGAGTAATACATTCAAGTAAATGAATGGCATATCCCACACACAGATATAAGAGAACCTTTAGTGCTTAGGCAGCTTGTAATACTTTTCAAAGGAGTTCTCTCTGGGGTAAGAGGCTGATACTGACTACTTTCAGAATATAATTCCCTGTAAGTAAAAACGATTTTATATTTTACTGACTAGTGATTATGTCATAGTAGAAGACAAAATAAAAACTCAGAACTGCTGAATTTCTTTTTGACCACTAATTGTCAAATAAAGTAAATGGTCTAATGTGTTTGCTCTTTTTGCCACATAAAAGATCCCAAGATTTTCCTCTGGATTTATTCAGAGAACAAAAATAAAAGGCCTATTATAACCATAAAAGTCAGTTATGAGTAAACATATGAGCGTTTTTACAAGTCAGGAATGGGCTCTGTTACAATATCCTACTAAATTAGCCCCTTTAATTTCCTTTTCATTTTTGAATTCAATTTTGGAAAAATATAAATTCTTTATAATTTATTTACCCCCAGCATTACTCCTACTTATGGGAATTTGTATTCAGAAAAAAATATATGCTACAAGCAATGGTCAGTGACAAAATAGACATCACACGTTCACATGCTAAAGAAAGAACTGAGCAGGAATATCCATCTACATTGTGTAACAAACTCTAAAGGTATCAACTTTGTTCTTAGTCATTGCTACTATTTTATTAACTTTAGGTAGACATTTGCATAGACTCCTATTATGAGAAGATTACAAAGAAGAGTGGAGGTTGTCTGTTCTGGTGCGAGAAACTGGGAAGGAATTTATTTAATACTTAGGGACTTTAGTACTTAGTCCTTCAAACAATCCTCTGAAGAAATCCTCACAAGGAAGTACTTTCAATGCCACTGCAAAATTGAGCTCAGTATTCCTGTATTTACCTTGTGTCTTTTGTCTGAGTATTTCAAAATTTCAAATGACTTTATAAACCTCCACATTATAATTCTTCCACTGGTACTATGATATAAGGGTGTGAATCTTCTACCTTCCCTCTATTTTTTTTTTTTAACAGGAAAGAAAAGTTTTCTTTAAAGAACTCTTACTAGGAATGGCCATCCTGTTCAAAAATAGCTTCACTGACAGCTTCATGCCTTTTCAGAACTGAACTTAAGCTGTGTCTTCTCCCTTTCTCTTTAAAGGCTCTGAAATAATTGGAAGAATATTTTTATTATGCCATCCATCTGGAAAAGGAAGGTTGGAATACTATGAGAAGGGCCATTTTTTTCTTGTGGTATTTTTGGCCATGACTCAGGGTGAAATGTCTGATATGTCATGAGAAAGATGGCCTTCATTAAACTTCCAGGCCATTTGCACAGGCACACACACAAAAAAGCTCAAAGGGAGAAAGATCAGCATCTGATCAGTAACCTATAAAACTTCTGCCTTCTGACTTTTCACTCTCATTAATTCTCACACAGCATTTTTTTTGTTAGTATTCTTTTCTTTTTTCTCTCTTTTTTCCTTTACTGCTTTTTTACACTGAGTTTCTTAGTAGCCAATTCACATGCGAAAGACCATTTGCCACTTTATAATAATAGTAATAACCCATGCTAATGCTTAGGAGCTCTGAGAACTTCATAGATATCATCCTTTTAAATCTGATAACTTATCTGATGGATGAGCACACAGTATCTTCCAATTTCCCTGACTTTCTAGACCAGGAACTGAGAAGTGTAGAAATTTGTCCATATTCATTCTTATCAAGACAATTGCTGGTTTATTGTGCTGAAGCATGACATCATAAAACAAATCCAAAATTTAAACAATACTACCTTATTAGCTATATTAGTTTCCTTTCTATAAGTATGTCATTTGGACAGAATTTTATGACACCTTTCCTGCTATTAATTAGAAGCATTGACCGGGCATGATGGCTCACACCTGTAATACCAGCACTTTGGGAGGCCGAGGCAGGTGGATCACCTGAGGTCGGCAGTTTGAGAACAGCCTGCCCAACATGGCGAAACTCTGTCTCTATTGAAAATACAAAAAATTAGCCGGGCATGTTGGGGGGTGCCTGTAATCCCAGCTGCTTGGGAGGCTGAGGCAGGAGAATCTCTTGAACCTGGGAGGCAGAGGTTGCAGTGGCCTGAGGTCAAGCCACTGCACTCCAGCCTGGGCGACAAGAGTGAGACTCTGTCTCAAAAAAAAAAAAAAAAAGAAAAACGAAAAAAAAGAAGAAGCATTGGTTTCTGCCCATTAATCGTCATTTATCTAAGACTAAAGAGTATAATTATGTCTAGATCAATCTCTTCTTTGAGTTTGCCAACAAACTGAGAGTCGTTTGAAGTAGCTATAAGGGATTTTAAACTGATTATTTTAAATCAAAATTTAACAGGGGTATCAACAAATTCACATGCAGATATAAAATATTAATATTTAGATTTTAAGAATGAAATAAAAACATTCACATTACAGTATGTATTTTAGGTGTTGAACCTTCTTTGGTATTGTTTCTGAATGTCATCATTGATAAGAAATTTGCACTTGAGGATATAAAAAATTATAAAACCATGATAGGTTAAAAGTCATATAACTCATATTCACATGCAAAAGTCACAGTGAAGATATAGTGAGAACCAGAAGTGGATGTTTATAACACTTGTACTTAATATCTTTCTCTTAATAATTTGTCTTTTGGCCCCATTAATAGTCCTCAAACTCTCCTTGGCCCAGCACTTTCATGACTGGAAATTAAGTATAATGATCAAGATAATGAGCTTTGGAGCATCACAGCCCTTTTTACCTTTTATGGATAATAGGCAAGCTATCTTCTATGAGCCTGGGTTTCATCATTGGTAAAAAGTGGGTAATGAAAAAATTCAAAAACAAGACAGAGTTGTTGTGTGTATTAAAGGTGAGTAAAGGGATTGGCATGTATCAAGTCTGTATTCAATAAATGATAGCAAAGTAGTAACATTTAAAAAAATTCTTTAGTTATTATGTCTCAGGTTCTGACTTGAGCTTCCCTTCCCTAGTGGGCATCCAAGGCTCTGCCCCAACAATGCATGTATCTCGTGTTTGTTGCTCTGGATTTCATTGAAATTGACTGAGAATTTATGTTATCTTTATGATCTGAGATGCATAGTGTCTTTGATGGGGACTATTAGCTAGTCTGATAACCATTGTAAACCCACCAGTAAGTAAAAGCCAAGTAAGATGTCCAGGCCTTTTCCTTTACCCATTTTATCAGCAAGTGCATTTTTTCAAGAGACAAACTCTGAAGGCCATACAAGACATCATAGAACTTATAGCTGACAGGAACCTTGGTTTTGTCCAGAAAAAAAAAAAATCTTTTTAGTGACAAGAAAATTGTCTCTGGTATTTTTCAAAGCCATGCATGTAGTGTTTCAGTCTGAGTCTAGTTAAAAGACAGAAATCACATTTTTCTAACCAAGTCTATGTATATGAACATTGTTGAATAGGTACTGAAGAGTAAAAAAAGAGAGCTAGCTATCACAGAGGTGGCAACTACAGGGTGTAGCTTTTACCCCAGGGCAGAGAAGAGGTCAACATGATTGAAACATAGAAGCTTTAAAAAAAGGATTCTGCCTTAGGGAGGTAAGAGGAAAACAAATGTTATTGGCAGTTCCAGCCCCATCATCACATACTGCTGAAGAGTGGAATAGAAGCTGAGATACTTTATTAACTGGCTAAAATAGTTAATCGAAGGGTCAAATATACCATCAGACCAAATAGAATAACTCTAATGGGAGATGTTGGAAGTGGCAGATGAAAGGTGTATCTCCAACTTCAATTAATCTCTCTGTCTCATTTTTGTGAATGAGAAATTTGCACTGCTCTACCAATTCTGCTCACAGAATTTTCCGTTGCCCTACCAGTGGGCTCTCTTCTTCCTCATAATTTATAACAGTTCACACCTTGACTTCTCTCATTTGGCCTATTCCCAGTGTCATGATGATTTAAAAATCATACTTCAGTCTCTCATCTTATGATTATTTTAAAAATCAAGAGGCAAATTCCTGGAGGCAGGAACTGCAATTTTTAGCAGATTTTACCCTGGTTGGGAGAGATTAAACTTGAATGCAGACCAACACTCAGGGGTCCGTCCATACTCTCAACACAATCTTTAGTTCCTAAAAATTCTTCATTTGAGATTCTTTCTTCAAGGCCAGGCATGGTGGCACTCACCTATAATCCCAGCATTTTGGGAGACTGAGGTGGGAGGACCACTTCAGGATAGGAGTTCAAGACAAGCCTGGGCAACATAGCAAGTTTCCATCTCTGCAGAAAATTAGCCAGATGTAGTTGTGTGTGCTTGTATTCTTAGCTACTCAGGGGGCTGAGGTGGGAGGATCCCTTGAACCTAGGTGTTTGAGGTTACAGTGAGCTATGATTGTACCACTGTACTCCAGCCTGTGAAACAGAGTGAGACCCTATCTGAATAAAAATACACACAAAAAAAGAAAAAAAATTTAAAAAGAGATCCTTTCTTCAGCTTTGCCAATTCACATCCTTCCTTGCAATTCTCTCAGCTGATGTCCCTCCAGTACCACTCTCCTGTCTGGTCCCCATGCTTTTGTGTACTCAGTTCAATTGACTGGCACTGCAGATACTGACCCCCTCATCATCTCATGGCCAAAATTTTCACTGTGGTAAAGTATCTCTAATCAGCTGATTCATACTTTTCTACACATAGTTGCCATTATCCAGCAGTTTTGGTTAGGTTATATTTTATTCATAACCTATTACCCTAATCTTATATCTCTACTTTAAGATTAATATATCTTTCATAGAAAAACTGAAAGGTAGTGGTTAAGAGTGTGGCTTTAGTGCCATGATGCCTGAGCTTGAATCTTAGTTCTGTCATATCCTAGTATGCGATCTTTAAACAAACCTCTGTGCTTCAATGTCCTCATGCATAAAATTTCTACCTCATTGGTTTGTTGTGAGAAATAAATGACTTAACACATGTGAAGTGCTTAGAACACGAACCAGCATTGAGTAAACACATAAGAAATATTAATGTATTAGTCCATTCTCATATTGCTATGAAGAAATGCCTGAGACTGGATAATATATACAGAAAGGCTTAATTGGATCACACTTCTGCGGGATGTACAGGAAGCATGATGCTGGCTTTTGCCTAGCTTCTGGGGAGGCCTCTGGAAACTTAACAATCATGGCGAAAGACAAAGGGGGAGTAAGTATGTCACATCCCTGAATCAGGAGCAAAAGAGAGGGAGAGGCAGGTGCTACACATTTTCACACAACCAGATCTTGGGATAACTCACTCAGTCACTATCAAAGGAACAGCAGCAAGAGGATGGTGCTAAACCCCCAAGTTCCAAAAACCTCCCACCAGGCCCCACCTCCCACATTAGAGATTACAGTTTGACATGAGATTTGGATGGGAACACAGATCCAAACCATATCAATTAGGTGTTTTACTAGTATCGGAATTATTTTCCAAGCAGGTAAACATTTTGGCTTTATAATTTACTAGCTATCTGACTTTGTAAAAATTATTTAATTTTCTTGAGGTTTAGTTGCTTGACATGCTAAAATGTGGCTTGAAATTGAGATAATATCTAAACTTACATGATTGTTGTATTAAGTGATAGTGCACAGGTGAGAAGTTAATGTGCTTGAACCAGAGATAAGACTCAGATAGACCAGTGGGGCAGCATTACACAATGACCACTTCTTAGAAGTCTTTGTGCTCTAAACAGACCAATCTCTTGTATATAATAGATATTTCTAGCATTAAAAAATGTTACAGATTGTTATAGACAAGTTCACTGCAATGTTATCTAGCCCCAAGTGTTAATTTATACACGTCCAGAAACACAGTGTGAAAGAACATGAACTTATCCTTATTAACAGACTTACCTGAGAACAAGAAGTTGTTGAAAGAAGCCAGATGAAAGGACAGAATAAGGAGCCAATAATCTGGGAGAAATCTCTAGAAGAAAGGGCCAGACTGAGCCACAGGGTACAGAAAGATTACAGCTAAAATGTACGGGGCATGCTTGGCCACTCCAACCCAGGATCCACCTGGGTCCTTTTCTCCTCTCAGTTTCTCTTAGTACTGGTACCTAATCACTCTGCTGTAGGAAGAGCTTCTGAAGGTCAGATTACAAGAAGCAGAAAGGGCTTTTCTTATGGCTAAAAGGAAAGAGGCAGGGACTTAATAGCAAACAGCAGGATGGCAATAATTATATTTGTAATAAGACCTCACAAATCACCTCGTATATATATATGTAAACATCTCTGGAGGTTCTCAGGATTATCAGAGAAGAGAAATCCTGGAAAATGATTTCATTTTCTAAGAAGATGGTGGTTTTGGTTATTACATTTAAAATTATACATTTGCACTAACTAGCGGTAAATCCTGCAATGTACCCACTATGCATAATAAAACTTTGCACATTACCTGGCACATAGCAAGTGGTCAATATTCTTCACTCCAAAAAGATTCATGATACTCATCAATTTCTGTTTGAAATGGCACATTTCTTACCTGTTTTCCCTTACTAACATGGTTTGCATGTTTTTAGAATATCTCCACTCAACATCTCACAGATATTTATTATAAGAGCAATTTTCTGGTCAAGAGAAGGCCCACTCTTTGAGACCCATTTCAGTTCCACTCAAAGTTTCATCCGTATACCAGCAACATCATCAGCATTAGTTTGGAGCATATTAGAAATACAGATTCTGGGCTCCACCTCAAATCTACTGAAATAGAATCTGCATTTTACCTTGATCTCCAAGCGATTACCCTCATTACTCTTTTAGCAACCCAAGTGCCTCTCCCATAGGTGCAGTTGTTATACAGCCTGGTAAATCGAGAGTTACTTGAGAAGAGGCTTTATGTCTTTGAAAAACTCCACTGCTCAATGCCTTATTATAGAAGATATTTAATAACGCTTGTTGGATTTAGGACATCTGTGTCACCTATGTGAAAAACTAATCATCTGTATCATCTTTATAAACTAGATTATTTTTATTTATAAATAGTAACATTATAGATTAAGTGCTCTGATCAGAAAACTAAAGAGAAAAACAAAAACAGAGACTGTCAGTGTCCTCTCCTTCCATTCCCCCAAATAAGATTTTACATACTTATATCCTAGAAATAATATCTGCACCATATTTTTCTAACAAAGAGAAATAAAAGACTAATAGATTTTTTCCACATTAATTGTCTTGCCCAGGCTAGATTTACTTAACAGCATATTGTATTATATTTGACATTTGATTACAACTTAAATGTGAAAATTATATTTCAAGTGGAAATCGAAGTCCACATTTTACTTATAGAAGGTTTTAATTTTTTTTTAATTTGTATTCTGGGAGTATTATTTTCTCACTAGTTCAGTACTGCCTGTGTTTTCTTCCTTTGAGCATATTAGTATCCCCGGAATGCAAAGAGAGGAGCACAGGGTTTCTTATATTGTTTTAATAGGAAATTTGTTGAAAGTTCCACTGAAATTATCTGTCTTGCAAAGTTCTAATTACATCTTAATTGCCTCAAAGTGGAAAACTTGAGGTATTTCACTCAAAAGGTTGGGTACCCTCTCCTTCTAACTCAATAACCATTTCAGTGAAAGTTCTCAGGTTGCATTGTTCTGAGAAACAAAATGGGGATTTGTCTGACTGACAAAGCACATAATAGTACAAATGTAGCATTCCGCCGCCTGTGTGAGATCTTGGAATGTTGTGTTCACAACACAGAAAAGCTTTACAGGTAAAGGGAACATTTGTTAGGTTTCCCTTGACACAATAAGTATTTTATAAGCCTATTCTCTGCTTATACTGTATTCATTTTAATCTTATTACTGTTATACAAAACAAAGGAAATAGGAATTAACACTTCAAAACACTATTCATTTTAGATTCTGTAAAAGACAAGCTTACATAAAGGTTTCTAAAAAATTTTCAAGCAGTTAAACGTGTGCTTTCATCAAATGTGGAATTTTAGAAAAAGTACTTTCACTTTAAGGAAAAGAGGAAAATAAGTTGTGTTATCATAAGGAAAGCAATTCACTTCTGATCTGCATAGAAATATGCATTTATTTATACACCAAGTATTTATTAAGATGCTGCTAGTGGTTAGCATTGTACTTACCACTGGGCATGTATTTAATAATAATGTGCCCTCATGGATCTTACATTCTAGCAAATGCACAAAAAATAAACTATATCATATAAATATTTATAAAATAAACTATATTATTAAAATACGATAAAAGGAATGAAGTAAACAAACAAGGGCACATAAGTAAAAACAGATTAGCAAGGCAAGAATTTTCTGAAGAGTTGCATTTAATTTGGGAACAGAAAGCTTGAGGTATTATGAAAGAGAATTATACAATTTGAAATTTAAGAGTGAGTCATGGGCTAGATTATCCAGGCCTTTGCTGAGCTTGGAAGTTTGGGTTTTATCTGAAGTACAATTGGCAGCTATCAAAGAAACTTAAGCAGGGGAGCGAAATTATGGAACTTATATTTTAAAATTATTTTCTTAGGTATCAAATGGGTTTTAGACTGAAATAGAGACTTTATAAAATGGAGAGCAAATTAAAAGATACTGCACCTGCTAACCTAGGAGAAAATGTTGCCTTGGACCAGGTTTTTGGCAGTAATGATAGAGAACAACAGCTAGATATAAAATACATTTTAGAGGAATGTGCCATTAGACTTGTTGTTTCATTAGATAGGGAAAATAAATTAGCTATAATGAATATGATCATCAAATTGGCTTCTTCTTTAACTTAATACGTTGTGATTTAGGAATGGAATTGTCTTAATAAAACACAAATTCTATCTGGTTATCGACAGAATTTGTCTATTTGCTATTTTACTTTTTGAATTTTAGCCATTAATTGTTTTTAGATGCAAGCAATGGAAGGTGACCCAATTGAAGCAAACATGGAATTAATTGGAAAGATACCAGAGAGCTGAAAAATGCAGAGATAAAAATAACAAACTGAGCATGGAAGACTCCTAGAAGTTTCAGAAATTATTAGAGCAGGAATTCTCATTCACCACGGTACTATGGTTGAAATAAAACCCAATCACTTTTTTCATCAATGCATTGTTTGTCCAGAATTCAGTGTTCCAGGAGAGGAGTTATGATTACATATTTCTATTGGAGTTGTAAGAGAAAGGATTTGTTAAAGGAACTGCCAAGGACCTTTTCAATTGCATAGTGACAGCCAATATACACCTTAAATTGCAGTCAAACTATCACCATGTAAAACAGGAAAGAAATAATTTCCCAAAAGAAGACAGATCTTGGGAAATCACAAACATAAAAATATTCAGTAAAATAATAGGATAGTTTATATGCTGGCTTCTATTGGTAGGCTATATGTAGCCTACCAATAGAATATATATATATATATATATATATTTCATCCACAGAATCACGGAATGTAATTTAGAACATATTCCATAGTAGGTAACATAAAATGATTCAGAGTACCTTGAAGAGGATGTTTTTTTCATTGATTAAATTTATCTGCAAGACATGAGAATACCTTCCTCTAGCTCTGACCTATGACCACTGATTGCTACAGATGCGGTGGGCTGTTGATGGTAGTTCAGTAATTCCCTTCTTAATTAGGGAGTTAAATTCTTGTCATTTTGTTTTGCTTCATTTATCTCACATCTATCTGTCTCCTTAGATCAACGTAAAAAGCAATAATGGGACTGTGCATCCTTTTGAGCTTTTCTATTACCAGTTAAATTTTAAATTCCTTTTACAAATACTAAGAAAATTATATAGTCATGTGAAAAATTAATAGAATGAACAAAGAAAAAGAAATACATATCACTTCACTGCTCTGCTTGCCTTTAAAGATATATCTGAGAGAATCATTTGGAAGTCAGTTTCAAATAAAATTAAACCACTTGATTACTTATCAAAAAATAAACCAGTCAGCATTAATTTTTTTCTTTCTTACTTCATGGTAAATCAAACCACATAGTTCCTTAAGCCTGATGTCCTGGAGAGGGGTTATTAAAGAGTATGTTTGTCTGTCAATGGAATTTTATCAAATCTGATAATTTAAGTATAGCACATAAAAATGGGATAAATTTGTACAAGCACCCCTGAAGAGCAACAGAATACAAACAGCATTGTTGAGGCTAATAATGGTTCTAAGTCATGGCTTTGGATTCAAAAATGGGTTTGGATCTTACTTCTTCCATGTATTATTTGTGTAATCTTACATTAATTATCCTCTCTAAGACACAGTATTTTCATACATAAAATAATCACAAAAATACACAGACGTGTTATTGAGTAATCAAACTTACTGATTGATTTATTTTTAAGTACCCAATAATTGGCTATAATGATGATGATGATGATGATGGTATAAAGGAGTATCATAGGAACCAGAAGAAAAAAATCTGTTCTGAGATTATGGCTGTCCCAAAGACAATAAGCAACAGAAATTTAAGCAGAATCACAGACTACAGTAACATCCTTTCTCAGAAAATTCTTGGGCTTGTCAGTTAGTGACTGAACTTTAATATTACTTGACAAAGTTCATTTTATTCCATCATATTAACCTTCTTCCTCCAATCAAAATTATTGAGGCAGGTGGTAAGATTGCTGGCCATGGGAAGCTATCAGCACAGCGCTGGAGTGTTAGTGACCAAAGAAATCTGAGGAGAATATACAAGTGGTGATTTTTCCCCCTGGTGAATTTAACAGCATGAAATCCCAGATAGTCTTTCCTGCCGTATCCAACTTCTTTTAAAAATAAAATAATACAAAATTGTAGGCTGCCTTTTTTTAATGAGAGTGCAGAATGCTGTCCACATCATAGAGTGATCCTTTTCAGGCAGAAATACTGGGTATAATTTTCTACATAAATGGAAAAAAGTAATCTTATCTCCAGTATATTCCTCTTCTGTGCACTGCAGGTTTAGCCAGGCTGAAGCCGTTGAGAGAAAATTCTTCACTCGCATGAGAAGCAAAGATGAGAAGAGGTATTGCAACGGTGATGGAAAAGCTTTATATAATGAGATAAATCCCAGCACCTCTGGGAACTCATTCGATATGGAAACCATTTCATGTTTCTTTCATTATGGGGATGATACACTGTCTATTAAAAGTACAGAAGTGAGATTGCCCAGTTATTTTAATAGGGTGACTTGCTTTGGATCGTCAGTTAGTTTTGCAAACAACAGCATGTAGGCCTATTTTTCTACAGCACTATGCCTCAAACAAGTCCAATCTATCATAGTATGGTGGAGTTAGCACCTCTTATTATATAAACTTGTCAGGGCATTACAACATAAACAACACATTCTGCCCAGCTGCAAAACACTTATTTGGAGTCCATTTAGTTTCATAAACTTTTTCTAAGTCTCTGACACCTTAAACAAACTATGACAGGCATTTATATTGTATGCCAAACAAGGGGAAACACTCACTATATAAAATGTATCCAGAGACTACCAACAAAAGAAAATGTTGTAAGATAAAATAAATCTCTCATGGAAAAAAATCAGGCATATTAAAAATTCCTAGGAAGATACTCACTTTTCCTGTCATCGAAGAAGGACATGACAAAAGGTAAAATTTAGCTCAGCCTGAAATCTCTTTCAACTCTGGTTTATATAATTATTTTCTCACTGGTAGAACTAGTCTCCTTTTGGTAGCAGTGTTTTTGTTTTTGTTTTTGTTTTTGTTTTCCTGTGCTCGTTCGATATGATGCTATATAAATACAAATATTATAAGGGTAAATATTTATACCTATTCTGTGACTGAAACTAGATATATAAAAAATGTAGATTTTCCAGAAATCACAGGCAGCTTTCTCCCACTATGTGCATAAAATAGTAAATAAAATAATGAAGCAAGACAGACTGTTCTGGGCTTACATATCTATTTTCTATAGAGTAATTACTCTTCTCTAAACTGAGCTTCCTAACTGAAACGTGCCCTAAGGCACTTCTGCATCACAGCACTGTGGTTTATAGAACTGATCCCAAATTCTCCCAACCATACCATTTAGAAGTTTCCCCAAGTATTGACAAGAATAAGCTACAGCCATTCACAGAAGACAGCAAGCTCATATGAAGAGAGACAAGTATACTTTCAAGGGACTACGATTTGAAATATTGATATAGTCACATTAATTGAATTTTTGCCTTGAGAAGTGATTATAAAAATGTTGCTCCAATATTAATTTGTATCTGCTTTGGATAAGATTAACATTAATTTCTTCACCAGTCCCCATTACTCTTTTATTATTCACTAGCATCTCCCTTTGCATGTGTAAGAGACCTTGATGAAGCATGTTTATTCATAGACTAACCTTTTTAAATAATTCTAACAGCTCTCTAACAGTAACCTTCCTGGCATGCTGAATATCTCCTTTGTTTCATTATTCAATTCTTGCACTCTGTCCTCCACTTGAGATGCTGAACATGAATCATACTCCTCTTCCTATTGCTCTCTTCCTCCCACTAAAATGTCCTCTGCAGCCCGTTCCCACCGGAGAGCTCTGTTCACAAAATACTGCAGCAAAATTGTCTCTGGGTTGGATCGGGAAAAGTATAATTTCCACAGATCTGGAGTGTAATTATCGATTTTTTTTGTAGCTCATTACATATTTGTTACCATATTTTAGTTCATTGTTCATTTACCTTTTGTTAGAATATTTAGCTTGAGTTTGTCTTTGATGAAAGCTCTGGAGGTGACATTTTATCTTTTCTTTTTGTATGCAAGCTCTCGAGCTTATATTTCCTAGCTGATAAAATGGACAAAGCTGTGAAAATGAAAGGAAGAAAACCAAAAAGAGAAAAGTGAAACCCGTGAAGTAATTATATTTTTCTACAAACTGTGATATCATTATCTTTACTTGAGCCTTATAAGGCTGTATAAATACTTGAAAATGAGCAAATAAAATATTTCATTTCAATTATGGGCTTAATGATAGACACTTAGCTTAAAATAAAACTTAAGACTATATCTCACATAAAATCACAGATTTTCTTCTTTTTTCGAGTGGGGTCAAAATAGTTTTACCATGGTTTAAGCATTTTTATACCCATTTTTTTGAGTATAAGCATTATTTTTATGACATTGAAGGGACATTATGTGCAAAATTTGTCCAGGAAAATATAATTGTCTATCACCTGTAATATGAAAATTACTTCACTTTATTTTACTAAGTTTGAGGAAGGAAGCTACATATTTTCCTACAGTCAGTCATTTTTTCTCCCAAAGTACAAGAAGCTTCTCTTATTCTTTGTCGTACAAAGAAAAAATTTTTTAAATCAATTCAGTAGAGTTGACAAATATTCTAACAGTTGTCATTTGACAGATTACAGAAATTATATTCTTTGTATTATTTTTGTTTATAAACACACAAAATATGAATCTAATTGAAAAACTCTACTTTTTAACTTCTACGTTAAAAAGTTTGGATTACACTGGGTAATTGATTATTATTAAGTGTTTGTGTTATTAGCTTTTTTGTTTTCATGTTAAGAACTGAAGTCTTTGCTGCCAAACTCCTGCATCAAGGGCCATACATGTCAAATAGGATTTTATTTTACCAAACCCTTTAGAGTGCAAGGGAAGTCTGGTAAAAAGACTACCTGAGGCTACAGCGAACAAAAGGTCCTAGGTTTGATACAACATTTCAAATCAAGTACTCTGGACACTTTTTGTAATTTGACATAGCAAAATGTAATTCAAATTAAAGAAATTTACTCCTCATCTCTCCCAGTTATAGAATGTTATAGGTTACCACTTAAACAACATATGCTGTTGCAGACAAATCTAGAAAATGAACTTCTGTAAAATGTACTGCAGTGGATCTAGAAACATATTGAACAGAGCCATGTACATATGGCAGAACATAGTAAAACCAATAAAGAAAATGTCACCCCTTTATTAGAAAGAGAGGAAAAGTTCCCATCTTATGACCTTGGTGACGTAGAAGCTTTCATTAGGAATTTGATGTCTTTCTTGACAGAAACAAGGCCATAGGGCACTGAACATACCGTGGAGCTTCGCTTGGAACATACCGTGGAGCTTCGCTTGTAAGAGACAGGAGAAAATCCCAATTAAATGAAGAGACTTTAGATGTCAGGGATGAGTTCAAATTCTAAAATTCCATGTGACTTAAGTAACTGAATAAAGAAATGATGGCCCAAAATCAATAAAAGGTATTCTCATAGCATTCTAGCTAACTAGAAGCAAGAGGATAAATAATAACTTAGAAATATAAGATTGCTGTTATAACCTAAGTGGTTTAAACTGCTTAAAGCAAATAACCCTTCTCTTGAGAAGAAATGCGGATGAACATTTATTATGTAAAGCTGATAGACTGGCAGGAACTCAGGTTAGGAGAGCAAAACGATAACCAGCTTCTTCCTCCCCTTTCGTTTTTGGGGACCTTTGAGATTCATCTCTGAGTTTCTAGCTCAATGAGGAAAAAATTGAAGCCACTCATAGAAAGACTTCTGGACATAGGAAACCTCAATTCTAGTTGAGGGTTCTTTCACAAAAGAGCTGTTCTATTCTGACAAATAACTTGGCCCTTTGTTAAAATAAGAACCGGATGCTTTTTTGTTATATTATTTTCAGTACTATTTTAGAGCCTAAATGCATACATTTTATAGGCAAGTAAAACTATAGATAAAGTAAAAAAAAATAATAAAACCTTTCTATTCCCATCAATAACAGGTAACTACTTATCCTTCCAGTTTTTGTTGTTGTTGTTGTTGTTGCTGTTTGCTAATACAGATGTAATTATGCTCTGTGGGTGAAGAGATCAACAGATATCTGTCTATCTGTGGAGGGATAGAGAGAGAGAGAGAGGTAGATGGATGGATAGATAGATAGATAGATAGATAGATAATAGATGTTCATATATTTTGAGGGGGAATAATGCTTGTTTCCATGGTAAGTCTTAGTTAAATATATACATGGTTTTGTATACTATATATATATATATATAAAGAGAGAGAGAGAGAGAGAGAGATGCTTTAAAAAACATACAAAACAGATAGATAGATAGATAGATAGATAGATAGATAGATAGATAGACAGATAATAGATAGATGTCCATATATTTTGAGGGGGGATAATGCTTGGTTCCATGGTAAGTCTTTGTTCAATATATACATGGTTTTGTATATTATATATATAGAGAGAGACATAGATATATTTGTATGCTTTTTAAAGCACACAAAACATCTAGATAGACAGATACAATGATTTATGAATTACATTGATAGATTTCCTAATGTTGAATTACTCAACCATCTATTAAATAAACCTGCATTGTTTTGCATTTTGTTTTCATTGTCATTTTTTCCCTCAGATATCTTCTGTTATCTTCTATCCCTCAAAACCTCCTTCTGAGGTTTCACAATGATTTATCTTGGTGTAGGTCTTTTTCTTTCTCCTGCTGGATACTCTGTGGATTCTCTTAATCTGGCACTCAAGTTCTTCAAGTCAAAGAAACTATTGAATTGCTCCTTTTATGATTGCTCCCACAAATTTTTGCTTTTTTCTCTTTCTGAAATGCAAAATATTTCAGATTCTTGCTCATAGCTGGATCCATTTTTTTCTTTTCTCTAATATTGCTAATCACTTTTTGAGCTACTTTAATCCTTCTGTTAAATATATATCTTACATATGTATCTGTATGTGTAAAATTTTCACTTTTCTGTTTTTTTAAAAAATGCAGAGCTCTTCTTATTCTTTGCACATTTTTATTTAATAAACATCTGGTATTTTATTGATGTTACTTCATCTCATATTGCTCTGAGTATATTACATTTTGATGATGTTTAGGCTTTGTCTAAGCCTCTGAACTATAATTTTAGAACCCTTCTTCAAGTGCCTGGAGATACTTGACTGCTTGAATGAAACATGAAGATATTGGTTGTGTATTCCCCTGTAACATGATAGAGTTGCTGTTCAGTTTTTCTTTGGGTAAATTTGAATTTTGTGTGCGTGTATAAATTTATTGTGGTGCAATATTTTGGTCTTTCATTTGTGAATATCAATGATCTGTATGCTGTCTCTCATTCTTGATCTTATATATCTATTAGTTTGCTATATTATCTTCTATCTGCTTGTCCTTGGGGGACTGTCTCAGTTTTTGGTTCCCATAACTGGCTATATATTCTTCATCAAAAACCGTGCTCATTGTTACAAATAATGCAATCTTAAATTCTGCTACTTGTTTTCATTTTCCTCAAAAGCCTTTTCTAAAATTTTATTCATTCATTTTTTGATGTTTTTCCATTGCTTAAGGAAAAAATCCTCAGTTTGTCTTAGTTTCTTCCTTAAATTCAGGGAGGGCTCATCTTCCTCAGCTCTTTTGAAAATGGCGAGTATTTATTCTTACCGATGCAATATTACTATTGCTTCTATCATTACTTTCTTCTGTTTCTGCCATAATTTTATGGGTTCTTCTTTCATATCTTCTGGTTTTTCTTTTCAATCACCCAATTTTCTATAATCTGTCATACATTCATAGTGTTGCTCTTGCTCGTCTATCCTCAGTCTTGAAAAACATGTTTTATGCTGACATAATATTTGTGAGAAAAAAACTGAACAAGTGATTTTCCTTCATCCCAATTTTTGGTCTCTGGTTGGGGAGTTTAAAACTTCTCAAATCTATAGCGTATAGAACTGATTGATATTTATACCTCCCAACACAATCCCGGGGCCTCATAAGCAGAGAATTTCTAAAGTGAATTATTGTTGTGAGATCCTCTCCACATGGTGCATAGACACACTTGCATAAATACCTTTTGTTCATTCGTTCAACGCAAAATTAGTTACAATTTACTATGCAGAGCAAATGCTTTGCAAGTTTGCCATGCAAGATCCTTTCTTTTCATTCAAAAAGGATGATACATAGGGGTAAACAGGCAGCTACCATGCCATAAGGACTGTAATGATGAGTAAATGCAGGAGGAGGTTGTGCAAATATGTAGAAAGAGCACCTGCCACCAGCTGAGGCTGACGAAGAATGGCTGAGACATTAAGCAGGAATGGAGTTAAACTTCTAAAATGTAAAGTATGAAGGAGAGAAAAGCTTCAGCAAAAAGTTTTGCAGGTGCAAAGTTGTAAAATTAATAGTGAGAGTGAGCATTATGTGGGAAAAAAGTATTTTAACAAATTTGGAACACTGATTGTGAGATATTTTTGCCTGTGAGGTAAGATTGGAGAGATAAGCAATTAATTGACCACAAAGGACATTGTAGGCAATGTTAAAGGGGGTTATTATCTGCAGAGCAATACTGAGACATTGATAATTTAATCAGGGAAGTGATGTGATAAACTGCATTTTATAAAGATCTTTCTGACTTCAGAGTGGAGAATTGTTTGGAAATGAGTAAGAATAGAGACTGGGAGATCAATTAAAGAGCTATTACCATAGAAGAGTGATAAAGTTTCCTGTGAAGGGAGGTGAAATGAGAATGAAGAGATGTGACTAGATTTGTCAGAAATTTAGGAGCTAGAATTTACTAGATCTGGTAATTGATCCGATGGTGTGAAAGTGAATGAGAGAGGTCAATGATTATAGTCTTTGGCTAGATCAACAGGGTCACTGATAATGTTACTTCTTTCAGAAATATTTAAAATAAAAAAATTTGGTTTAGTTAGTGCGTGTGTTATAAAAAAGGATGGGGGAACAGATTACATGAAAAAGAATGAATATAAAATTATTACATGAAATATAGCATCAATCAATATATCAATGAATTTCAACTACAGTATTATTTCAGCAAATCAACTTAACCATGGGGAAATCAAATCTCACTATAAAAAGGTTGTGTTTGTTTTCTTCTTCAATATTATCTTCTCTTTTTTCCCTACTGTTAAGGAGATTTGGAGAAGAGACACATAGAACATCATATTCTTTACTCTTAAAGGAGGCTTTTGATTTTTTTGCATATAGTAGATCAGTAGACCATCTGGCAATATTTTAAAATTCAAGTGATATTTAATGGTATTTCCATTGCGACAAGATAATCATAGAATGCCAGAAATTAGGGATATGAATCTGGAGAGATTAAGTATCAGAGCCATATTTTGACCAAAGTCTCCATGTTTTTGGCCTTAGGTGTCAATAGGACTAACATATTCTATTTCTAGCTTTTTCATATGTATGTGACCACCTAACTGTCTATCCACATCCCTATCCTTCTTCTTATCTTATGATGGGTTTTGTTTGATCATCTATGTGTGATTGAACAAATCCTATCTTCCTGGTTTTCATTGTCTAGTTTCCTCTGTGGTCACATCTGAAGGGGCCTTGGATTATGCCAATGTTTACTACACTGTTTCGTTTTAATGCAGTTTGGGGAACCCAACTATTTCTTTGTTTTAGTGTCAAATTGTCTAAGACATTTTGGAAGTAAGTTTATGGATTTCTTTCACAAAGAAATTCACTCAAACTCTGAGTAGATTTCTAACTCACTTGTTTCTAGTCAATTCCATGTGCCAATAAATGAACTGAAATTATTTTCTAGACATAATGCTAAGCCAAATTTACTTTTTTATGCCCTACTTTCCTCAAATTAGTGGTCAGTTATGAATTTCAGGCTACCAAAAGTAAAAGGGGAGGAATTCACGTGTGTAATCTGATTTTTGCCACAGTCTCAGTCATTTTGTTCTCATGAGAAACTTTATCTGGTCCTTGTCTCCGGACGCTTTTTAAAATCCTATCACTTTCTTTTGGGCATGCAGGTTTCCTATAATTTGTAGCTCCAGATTTTGGGTTCTCTACATTTATTTCACTTCTGCTTGCAAAGTGGCCATTTTTTTTCTCAATTCCTTTCTTTCTTGTAATATTTTGCAAAAAGCAAAAGGAATGCCAACACACTGACTACTTCCAATCATTCCCCCAGGAATCAAGCTCAGTAGTTACTTGATCTGCCTTCTAAGTATCATAGTTAACAGTTGTTTCACCAAAAGTCTTGCATCCCATGGGTCTCCATCTTTCAAGTCTCTGATAGTTTCCTTTTCATCTGCTCCGTGACCAATAAACCAATGCCATACAATTTTCTTTGGCAGTTCCTTCTTTTCTTTCCTTTCCTTTTATTTTCCTTGTCTTTTCTTTTCTTTTTTTCTTTTCTTTTCTTCTCTTCCCTTCTCTTCTCTTCTGTTTTCTCTTTCCTTCCTTCCTTCCTTTCTTCCTTCTTCCTTTCCTTTCTCTTTCCCTTCCTCTCTTCCTCTTTTTCTCTCTTTCTTTCTTTCTTTCTTTTTCTTTCTTTCCTTGTCTCATGCTATTGACTAGGCTGGAGTTCAGGTTCACAAATGTGGCTCACTGCAGCCTTAACATACTGGGCTGAAGCAATAATCTCACCTTAGCCTCCCAGGTAGCTAGGACAACAGGTGTATACCACAATGTTCAGCTAATTTTTCTAATTTTTTTGTAGAGGCAGAGTCTCACCATGTTAGTGGTAGAAGGTATCTGAGTTATTGGTGATGAATCCATATGGGTCTGAAGCAACCTCAATTCTTGCCTCCTCAAAAGAAATAATTTGATTGAGGGGAATAAGGCAAAAAAAGAGACAGAGGCATGTTTCAGAACAGGTGTCCAAGTTTATTAACAAAAAGTTTTACAGCAGGAAAAAAAGAAAAAGTACACTTGAAAGAGACCCAAGTGGGCGACTTGAAGGACAAGTACCCCATTTATCTTTGATCCTAGGACTTTATATGCTGGCCCACTTCCCATATCTTGTGCCTTTTCCCTTTATTCTTCCCTAAGGGTGAGCTCCCCACATGCACAGTGCCCTCCTTACATTTGGTAGGTGAGCATGCACAGTGTGTTTAGGAAGTTGTACATATACCCATCTGAGGCTTTCCTCCCTTTTTCTGGGCCCTCAGCAGGTCATACTCTGTCATTTTATCTCTTAATGCATATGACTGCGCTCACTTGCCCAATTCCTGAGATTTTATTGGAAACTGATTACCAATTTCAAGTGTTTTTATGTGTTTGGCAAACTGCCTCTTCCTGGCGCCTGCAATCAATTATCACTTTAGTGTGACAACTGTGTACCGTCAGGAATTGCCTCTCCCTGGTGCAGGCTGCCAATTATCATTTTTAGAGAGGCAGTGTGATAACTGGTGAACCATCACCTGATGGTTGCCTGTCATTCCTGGTGGGGGCTGGAGGGGCAGGGATTCCTTTTCTGCTCTGCTCATGCCTAACTACCTGTAACAACCATGTTGCCCAGGCTGGTCTCAAACTCCTGGACTCAAGCATTCTTCCTGTCTTGGCTCCCCAAAGTGCTGAGATTAGAGTCATGAGCCACCACACCCAGTCTATTATTTTAAATAATAACAGCTGTTTAAAAATATGAACCCCAACTTTAATTGTTATTGTACCATAGACTTTATTTCTCATTCATACGAAGTTTGCAACAGACTTTCCCGATTGGCTCCATATTCCTCCCAAAATGGTGAACACGAATTCAGGTTTGTTCAATCTTTTGAGTTTGCCATTTTCAATTTGTGGCTTTTAAGGTCACCATTGGTATTTGTCTGAAGCCTGGGGAATAGGGAAAGAGTATGGAGAATTCAAGGTAGGAAGATTTTATCTGCCCAACATGGTAATAGTCCATATCAAGTCAGTTTAGATTTTGTTGGCTAGAACTCAGTTATATGGCCACACTTACCTACAAAGATGGCTGGGAAATGTGGATTGATATGTTCCCATGAAGAAGAGAAAATGGGTTTGGTGAGCAATTAGCCAGCCTCCACTGTGCTAAATACCATTGTAACCCACCTCACATTCCACTCCACCTCCTTTATATTAAGAGAATTGGAGCTTCTGTGTCACCAAAATGGATAATTGCCGCCCCTCTGTGGTTCTTTGAGGCCATAACCATTTCTGGTCAGACCATTCTGGGGAAATTAAGTAGAAATTGGATCTTCAGTTTCTGACACCTCAGTAAGGCAACCAAGACCTTTTCAGCTATAACAGCAAGAAGGCAGACACACACAAACTTGTCCTAAAGTTTAGCTCTTCCAATTGCAGTAGGAAGTTCTCTAAGACTTAGTTCGGGCAGAGACAAAAGCAGAATTAAAGCAACTAAAAGCAGATGTGAGCTTTCTGTAAGTCAAAGCAAAATTCTGACTTAGTAAGAGAATTGATAATGCATGCAAAGTAGCAAGGAGGGTCAGACACAGACATGCCAAATGGCACAAGACAAGTTGTCCTGACATGGATTTTAGGATTAGAGGCATTTTAAGTTTAATCCAGCAACCTGGGGCTTCCTAATCAACCCACTCAATCTTCCTGGGAGGCCTCTGATCTACAGGGTTCGGAAAATTATCAGAGAACTATTACAGTACAACAACAAAGCAGACAAGAGAGAAGTGGCTAGTTACTTAAACTTTTCAGCAGGTCTTTATTCAGGAAAAAAGAAGGAATATAAATTCAACCCAGTTTTGTCTGCTGCTCCAGCTCTGAGAACCATCCTGCTTACTAAGAACAAGCTTCCTGATGGCAGTTTGGCCAGGAGGGGACGATCTGCTTTCCTGATTAAGTATCTCTGCTGAAGCATTACTGCTTTCAGTGATGACTGTCCTTTTTAAAAATGACTATGTTTTTGAGTCTCACCTTCCCTCAGGTAAGTAAGATCATCCAGTTTGTGGGGTTGAAAACAGCTGTTAGAATTTTTGTTTTATACACATTCCCTTTCAGCCACTACTGAATAACAGACAGTATGTGGGAATAAAAGACAATCAAGTTTATGCCTATTATCTAAATATCATGTAAATATTTCTAATAAGTTGAATTGATCCTCTCAATCAAAAATTGAAAAATTAACTTTACCTTAGATGTCATCAGTTTCAGTGTAATTGACGATTGGTTATCTTTACACCTATGCCAATGAAATATTTTATGGTATTGCCTCTTTAACAGATTTAAAACATCCTGGAGCCTGGATGTGAAGTCAAATGTATCCAATTTTAAAAGACTGGGCTGGAGGCTATTTGGTTATTCTTGCTGTTAAGTTTCTCTTCTGATTACTGCTTAGTCATTCCAATTGTTCGCTTCGCAATTAATCATAATGACGGGCTAAAAGATCAAATCAACAAGCTTTGGCCAAACTGGGTGTATTGAGAAGATTTGGCTCTGCCTAACTTTGTTCTGAGGACAACTCTTACAGCACTACTTACCTAGGAGATGCTCAATAAATATTTGATGTTGATAATGTTGATGGCCATAATTGCAAAAGTAGGAAGATAATAAACAGAAATCAAATTTTCAGTTAGGCTCACATACCAGTCTGCCTTTTAAAACAGGAATACAATTCCTCTTGCCTCTGAAATTTGCTTTCACCCCCAAAGTCAAGATGCCACAGAATTAGCATAGCCATCAACACTATTCAGCACTTACTCTCAAAATGATTTTAGATGTATTTGTAAGTTAAAATGAATTTCAAACATGCTGAGCAATGTGATCTGTCATATTAGTCTAGATGTCAGGTGCCTAGACTTTCTCTGTGAGAAACTATTTACTCGCTTTTGCTCAAGAACTCATAAGGAACATAAGTGGGAGACAATTGTTATTTAAATTAGTGAATTATAACTATAGTGAACTTCTTTTTAATGAAAACACCTACACCAATTAGTTCATATTTTGTATCAAAGTGATTATTTCCCAACCTCATTTTCTCTAATCAAATCACTGTTTGTTACGGAAATATGGCAAGCTGTCAAATGAGTGGAATGTCTTTTTCTAATCCTGACTTATTAGTATAATTTTTCCCTTCAAGAGAGGCAGCAAAAATATCCACGGGAACTATAATTGGCTATGGAATGAGACAGTCGCCTCTGGCAATTGAGGTGAAGTAGGTTGGCTGCTGAATTGTAAAGATCCCATTTTTCGTTGTTAGCTCTTGTCCCTCCTTCGTACCCCATCCACATGGGCGAGTTTAATCAGCAATTCTGTAGTAGGAAGCTCCATGGCACTCTGAACTTGTATTTGAGCTCAGTTTTCTACTGATTAAACATGGGAGCTTGGAAAATGACTTCACTCTTGTAGGCATTAGTTTTCTCACCTGCAAATCAAGGATAATATCACCTTCTTGGTTGAAGTGTGTAAAAAGAATTAAATATAGTGCATATTGTGTGCCTAGCATGAAGTACTAAATAATGGCAGAAATTATTACTATAGTTTGAGAAATAACAATTTAGCTAATGTGAATGGCATGGCAAAAGAACCCCGCCCTCTTTCCCGACCCTTCTTCCCAGGGCATGATCATGGCTATTCCATGGTCAACATATTAAATGTCAATTTTAATCCCAGAGTAAAATTTCATAGCCAACTTGCAACTCTAGAAAATGGAGATTGATAATGGAAGTGCTGACAAATCTTTTGATGTTTTCAGGAATGTAATGGGCTTCTTAAGAAACTGGAGTTGCAAGGTAAGCTGTTTACTTTTTTTTTTTCTTCTGCTAAGAAGGCAATTATGCAGTCCTGTTGGACAAGTTTATAATATGATTAAACAGTCAACATTAAATCAAATGGTGATCGAATCCCCAAGAGGCAGTTTACCTTCACAGTACTTTTGAGATACTGAATTGTATTTTCAAATGTCTTTGCACTGAACTATGAAGAAGGAATTGCTAATGTTTTTAAGGTAAGGCAGTTAAAATGGGTGGATGGAAGGATGACCTTTTTAAAAATGTTTTTCTAATTTTAATATTTACTAACTGAGAAACATTTTCTCTATTGGCATTTTAAAAATTCTTCACAATAACTGAATAACTGGTCCAGACAATCCACTGAATATTTGCTCATGTCAATTTGCATCAGATTTACATATGATACACTGCAAAGCAATTTGTGTTAACACATGTAATAACAAAGAATACACTTTAAATCTGTGTAATAATTCAATTAGCAATTTATTTCTAATTTAGTAGACATTAGTATTTTTATAAACACCAAATATATTAAACATATTGTAAAGGAAGTTTCTGTATATCAGCCTTAAAAGATAAAATTATGGTAAGCAAATCAGTTTGTAAATAATATGATTTTTATATTTGATAGGGGGGAATGATTTATTTACTGCCACTGTGTCTGCATGAAATAAAAATCTACCACCTTCTCTCTTCTGGTATGCATTAAAATAAATAGCAACTTACTTTTCAGTGAAGAGTATTTTTAAAAATATAAGAGAAAATACATTCTAATCAAAAAACAGATCTACTCAAACAGTATAAAAATGATATGGAATTAGAAAGGCCACATATCCTCCTTAATCCTCAATTTAACTAGTTTAAATTGGAGGAAAATAAAGATTAAATATAACACAACAGGGGACACTTCAAGTTGTACATATATGTTCAAAATTCTGATTATGATGAGACCTTTGTGTTTTTAAAAACAAAATAACCTTACGAAGGATAAAAGAATTTTTCTTTAATAAGCAACATAAAGTAGTGTTTGAAAACATGAAGTACTAAATTGCTTGGGTTAAAATATCTACTGTTTCTCAACTAGCTTTATGACTTTGGGAAAGTTACTAAACTCTGGGCCTTGGTTTTCCTCTCTGTGAAATGGGAAGTTAATAATACCTCATAGGTTGCAGAGTAAAGGGAACACATATACACTGCTCATGGGAATATAAATTAGTCAAGCCACTGTGAAAAAAGGTTTGTAGATTTGTCAAAAACTTAAAACAGAATTACTTTTTGACCCAGCAATTCCACTACTGGTTATATACCTAAAGGAATATAAATCATTCTACCATAAAGACACATGCACATGCATGTTCACTGCATCTCTATTCACAATAGCAAAAACATGGAATCAACTTAGATGCCCATCAATGGTAGGCTGGATAAAGAAAATGTGGTGGCCAGGCGCGGTGGCTCATGCCTGTAATCCCAGCACTTTGGGAGGCCGAGGCGGGCTGATCACGAGGTCAGGAGATCAAGACCATCCTGGCCAACATGGTGAAACCCTGTTTCTACTAAAAATACAAAAATTAGCTGGGCGTGGTGGTATGCGCCTGTAGTCCCAGCTACTTGGGAGGCCGAGGCAGGAGAATGGCTTGAACCCGGGAGGCGGAGGTTGCAGTGAGCCGAGATTGCACTACTGCACTCCAGGCTGGTGACAGAGTGAGATTCCATCTCAAGAGAAAAAAAAAAAAAAGTGGTACATATACACCATGGAATACTACCTAGCCATGAAAAAGAATGACATCATGTCCTTAGTGGCAACATGGATGGAATTAGAGGCCATTATTCTAAGTGAATTAATGCAGGAGCAGAAAAACAAATACCACATGTTCTCACTTAAAAGTGGGAGCTAAACAATGAGTACACAGGGACATAAAGAAGGAAACAATAGATACCCAGGGCTACTTGTGGGCAGAGGGTGGGAGGAGGGTGAGGATTAAAAAACTACCCACCGGGTAATATGCTCATTAATTGGGTGACAAAACCCCATGACATACAGAGTTTTCCCATGTAACAAGCCTGCACATGTACCCCCTGAACCTAAAATAAAAGTTGAAAAGAAAAAAAAAACCTCATAAATTCATTTTGAGGATTGAAAGAGGCTTCAAACTGTGGAAAAGCTTTCAAACTGTGCCTGGCAAAGAATATTTAATTATTAGAGGTATGTCTGAATGTATACATTTATGTATTTGGAAGCCTAACTCTCATGGAGTTCATTTTCCAAAAATTTCAGATGTTATTTTATGTTATTAACAGAGGCTTACTGTTAACTCACTCTTACTTTTTCTGTAGCAGGAATGACCTAGAAAAGAGTACTACATTTCTTTTATACCAATCTCACTTTATTTTGAAAAATGAGCTCAGAATTGGTAAGCATTAGTGTAGTAGTCCTCAAAATATATCATATATTAGAATTACATGGATGACTTGCTATAAACAGATTGCTGGGCCCGGCCACCAGAGATTCTAAGACTGAGAATTTGCATGTTTTACAAATTCTCAAGTGAGGTTGATGCTGTTCTTTTGGAGACCACACTTTGAGAACCTTTGCCTGAGAAAACAATTTGGAGAAAAATGGAGCCATCTGAATACAGAAACCATTTTTATTTCTGCATATAGGTAAGAAATCACATTAATGCAGTATGTGCTAACATTTGACTGGCTAGTTGATATGCAGAGGATATTTACTCCAATGACTTGGATTCTGCTTTTTAAGAAGTTCCCCTTTGCAAATCGATGTAGTCTGGAAACCTCTTCAACACATCCCATTAGGGAATATGGTAGCAGATGATAAATAATGAAAACAACTGGATAAATGATGCAAAGAGTAGATGATCCTGTAGAGTCTTTGATTGACAGGCTAATGAGATTACACTTTAAAATTCTAAGCAGGGGGCAGCCAAGTCTCCCCCTTCTACAAGGTGTTTGACCAGAAAAATGTCATCTAAGTAATGTTTCAGGAAGATTAATTTTGTTGTAAAATACGAAGCAATAGTGATTAAATTGGACTGGGAGGGAGGCTATGTTCATAGAACACTTGTGAATGGTGGCAGGAATGAAAAGAGAGGGAGAAAATGAATCAGCAAAACCCACTCACTCATTCTATGTGGGGATAATCGAAGTTTCAAGCTTGGGTTCTTGGAGATTAGTGCCCTTGAGAGGAAGGGAAGGCAGCTGGAAGAAGTGTTTTATGGGTATTGCTATTGGATTAAGTTTCTGATTTTAAACCAGTGTGGCTTGGCTTCAGGGATTTTTTTTTTTTCCCCTGAAAGCAAAATCAGCACTGGTCTTAGTGCCTCAAATAAAACCCACCCTACCAGCGATTAGTTCGAGCAGAATTTCATGTCTCCACAATCCTTTTTAGTCAATCTCTATCCATTTCTTTTCTCTCCTTTCAGCTTCCAAGTCCTCTCATCTTCATTCTCTACTCTCCCACTAACTCTACTTCATGTGAAACTTGTAGGTAGAAAGAAACAGGGTCAAGACAAATGTTATGTGACTATTGTTTTTTATTGAATTGTTTTGTCTTATCTGAACAGTAGAGAACAAGGATGAACTATAATTTGGAACAAGAGAGGAGATAGAAATTGGAGAGAAATAGAAAAAGAATTTTTGAGAGATCACTGCTTAGGACACAGTTATTGGCTTATTCTTTGTCATCTTGTTTAAAAATATGAAGGCAAACTGTGAGCACACAAAGATAAGCTATAGGGTTAGAGATAGGAAAGAATGGGAATCTAGGGTTTAGTGATGAAAGAGAAAACTGCTGAATGGGGGTGCTTGATGCTACCTACCCCATAACTTGGTCAGTTTGAGGAAGGACATAGGGAAGTTCAGGAGGTTGCAAGGTCAACAATCACCACATTTTATTTAGAGCATTCTCAGCTATTGCCAAAATTGTAGAAGCAGTTCCATTCTGTAATATTATTTTTATGTACATTATTTCTGTTGAACACAGCAAGTCAAAGGTGAAATTATCCCACTGCATTGATTCTTTACTTTATAAAAGTGAAGGTGTATTGAGTAATGTATTACACATTTGGCACTAAGCTGCTTTTGTTGCCAGTGAACAATAAGAAGCCAAAGTGCAAAAACAAACATTTGAAAGAGAAAAATAAGAGAAAGTAATTAGATCACAAAGCTCTACACAAAGAAGTTAAAGAAACACCAAAGCTAGTGCAGCCATAAATATTTAGCATTTAATTGGAGAATTCTAGTCTCCCTATATTTGGCAAATCATTCTATAAGGAGCACAGCAGCTAGGATTCATCTATGTATCATGAGACGATGTCTAAATGACAAAGCTGTCTGCAAATGTCTCCTACATTTTTGTGTGAGATATTTTTAGGGGTGAATCTCCATGACACAGTAATGACAGCTGATATCTTGGTACTGTTTAGTGCAGGAGTCCTTAGTGTGTTGACATCAAATTCATTTTAATGCTTCATAAAATGCAGCATTTCAGAAAGCACTATTCTATAAAATGTGTGTGTTATTTATTTTAATGTGTGTGTTTTCAAAGGAAAAATAATGAAAAGTTGAAAAGTAATAAGAGAATTTTCAACTTCGACATGGAGATAGACTTTCCACATTTGTGTCATTATTATTATGTTTAATCTTTGTTATAACATATCATGAAAATGCTTAGACCCATAGAGATAACAATGATAAAAGTAATTATTCACATGGAATTTTTAAAATGTAATATTTTCTGAATGGTGGAGGACGAGATTTGAATGGGAAGGAGAGTAGTGTTCTATCTGGAGAGTGACTGACATGACAAATGTCACTGAAAATTATGAAAATAGTAGGTAAAATTTAGCAGCCTTTGGAGGTTAGGAGAGCAGAGGCGAAGGCATCCTCAGGAAAGTGGCTATTGGCCTAGGGGTTCTTACTCTTTGCAGGAGAAGCCACCACATTCCTGTATAGGATATTTTCTGTCATCTCTAGTGTGCCTAAGAGGCTGAGAAGATGGGAGAGAAAATAAGGAGACATTTGATTTATATCTGATTAGGTGGACGAGAAGGAATATTTACAGCATTGTTCCTATTGAAAAGTGTCTTTTGCATTTCAAACATTTGAATTGCAGTTGAGCATCTGGTACATTCACAAACTGGGACCCGAATTGTACAGAATGGTACAAAGGAGTTTTAAGAGTCTGTAGGAAGATGGCATGCCTTGAATACAACATAGTTTAATGAGACAGTGGCCATGCATCTGGAGCCAGTCTTCTGAAATAGCCCACCATAGGCTTAAGTCATTTACCTACCTTTCATATTAGCTCTCCGTAAGTTTCTCCGTATCTAGGCTTCTTTCAAGAGCTTATTGATGCTCTTATTGGGTCTGCTTAATTAAACACACTATTGACAAAATCTGGATCTTTATTTAATCTAGCCTAGTAGAAGTTAAACACACTCTCTCAATTGCTCGTGAAGCTCAGCCATGGTGTGAAAATAGAAACCTTGTAGTAACAAGTCAGTCAAGTTAGTATTCTGGCATTTATTATATGCTAAACATTCTACTATCACTTAAAGATTGTCTCTTTAATCCTTCTAATAAAGATATGAGTATTATCCCCGTTAGACAGATAAGAAAGCAAAGCCCAAGTCTCATAGCTGTAATTGCAGAGTCAAAAATCAGATCCAGGCATTTTATTTCAAAAGCCTGCTCTTAATTTCTCTGCTCCATTGCAAGCTGTTTACATCTGTCTGGGAGGTGATGCATTCATTCTCATCAAATGGATTTTGAACCAGAGTCGAGTAGTCAGCCTGGAAAATCAAAAATTACTATCTTATCTTCCCCAAGTGATGATAAACTGTTTTTCGAGGATTGGTGCCTTTAACATGTTTTATCTCTCATTCCATCTAGAAAAGTGTTCTGCACCTTTCAGGAACTCAATAAGCATGGATTGACTTAAAACTAATGTATATGTAGTCAACTGGCTCCTTAAGATAGAACTATTCTATCAAAATAGTTAATGGCTCAACAAAATAATTGCATATCTTTTTCATATTTTGTTATTCTTATAGTTTATGGTTCCTTATCAATAATAATATTTTTCATACCATTTCTTGGGTGGGTTACTGACCAGAATATTCAACACATATATTAGAAATACTAAGATTAATTTATAGATGACATATACATTTGAAAAAAATATACATTAATAACTGCTTAACATATAGTTGTAGTTTCATATGGATGAAAGAAAACATATGTGTATAATATATGTATGTATTTCTATATACATATATATAAAACATATATATGTTTATATATATATATAAAACATATATATGTATATTGAACATATATATGTATATTTTGACCTAAGCCTTGTTTCAAGTTATTTACTTTCATCATGTCATTTAACTTCCCTAGGTGGGGAAGAACTACTAATGTTCCATTTGACAACTGAGAAAACAGATTTGGGGCAGTTAATAAACTTGTCTTTTGTCAGACAGCTAGCTAATGGTGGAGTTAGAATTTAAAACTAAGTATGTGGACTCCAGAGCCTGAGGTCTTAAACATTGCACAACACTGGCTCTCTGCAGTCTTAAATCATAAATTATATTTTCTTTGATGTCTAATTTCTTTGAAGCCTTCCTCCTTTTGGGTCTGCATACTAACCAGTTGTATTACATGTTTTGTGACTATAAATTAGATAGAATGTTGAGATTTTCATCAATATTCTTTTAAAAAAAGGTTAAAACAATCTCATTTTTATAACATTGGTTCCATACTATGCTAAGAACATAGGGTTTTCAATGAGGTTTGGCATGAATCTTTTCCTGGATAACTTTAGAAATATATATATATATATATATATATATATATATATATATATATATATATATATATTCAGTGAGAATGGTGTTCCTCAATGAGAATGCAGTGGAAGGAAGATAAAGGGAGAAATACAAAAATCTCATGAGAAGCATTTTAAAACCTTATAGGTAACACACTTGGCAATCCTCTCCCTGAGAATCTGTTATTCCCATCTCTAGTTTTTTTGTGTTGTTTTGTTTGTTTTTTTGAGACAAAGTCTTGCTCTGGTCACCCAGGCTGGAGTGCAGCGGTGCTATCTGGGCTCACTGCTACCTGCGCCTCCCTGGTTCAAGCAATTCTTCTGCCTCAGTCTCCCGAGTAGCTGGGATTACAGGCGTCTGCCACCACAACCGACTAATCTTGTATTTTTAGTAGAGACAGGGTTTCACCATGTTGGTCAGGCTGGTCTCGAACTCCTGATCTCAGGCAATCCGCCTGCCTCGGCCTCCCAAAGTGCTGGGATTACCTGCCTGAGCCACCATGCCCGACCTCCAATCTCTAGTTTTATAGTGATAATAATATATTTTATCAAGAGGAACAATGTGTTTAAATGTCTCTCCCTCTTCCCCTCTACCCCCTCCCCCTCCCCTCTACCCGCCCCCCTCCCTTTTCTCTCTCCACTCACTAGATACTTTCTCTGTAGCAGTGGGTAAAGTAATATGGCCCAGGGGGTGCTTGTACTTCCTTTAGTAGGGCAAATGTGAACACAGTGATATTTAGGAAAAAGAAAGCTAGGAACAATCTATTTAGTTCTGCTTCTAGTATAGGTTTAAGCTAAGGACAATTTGAGTTCTTGAAGCCCATGGACTATTCAGATTAGGTTGCCAAGGAAATAATCTGCATGAGTATGTTAGAATTACATATCAAAACAAAGCAATGCTGCAGGAGGCCACTCTGAATCTAATTCCTCTGGGAAGGAGAGAATGTCCACATTTATTCAGAGGTATGAGGCCATAGCCAATTATCTTTTCATTTGAAAAACGACTAAGAGTTATAATGCCTTGATTTTTTTTTAGGCTTTGATAAAGTTTGTGGCACAATGTTACTAAAATTTTCTCATTCATTTCTCATAATAACTCTGAGAGTAAAGAGTTTTTGTTTTACCAATAAGAGAGAAAATGACCCTTTCTGGGAACTATAGGACAATGGCTTAAAAACGAAATGTATACTAAGCAGAGATGTGTGTACCATAATATTATAAAAGCTACATGAGTCATTTAACTTTGTGGACTGACCTATGTGAATGTGGTTGCCATGAGGAGAGAGTAGCATTATGGATAGGTTTTGACTAAGTAAGCAAGCTGTAAAATCACTTGATAAAGGACAAGTTGCTGAGGATTATTCTAGTGTACCAGTGAATACAATTCAAGTAAGATGAAAATCAAATGTGAAAATCTGATGCTAGTATTGAATTAATGACTATAGATGAAAATAAAATTTCAGCTACATATTGAAGTACATCAGGGTTTAGTTAGTTTCCAATTCAGAAACAGGTGTTAAATGCAGGTCTAGATACTGACAGGAAGGTTATAGTCTCTGTGATCCCCATGCCTGCAAAATCACCCTATGAAAGTTGCCCAGCAAATACCTAATTACAACTTAACTTGTTCATAAATCCATGATAAAATCAATATATTTTCCTCATAAAAAGAAGCCTTCCATTGGAGGCTGAATTCCATTTTTTTCTTTCATTTTTTATTTAAAGGGAACACATTTTCTATTTGAATGTTGAATGGGTAATGCCTGAAAATTTACTACATCTCCAGGGCTAACTTTTGAAAGTTCTTTATATTTAATATAGCTTTGATGAACAATTTTTAGTTAGTAGGACTTAATAACCCAAACAACTGAATATTATTTAAGTACTCATGATTTTTTAAAGCAAATAAAAGCCAAGGGAATGAAAAAGGCTTTAATATACAGGAGTATGGAACCAACAGTATAACTGAGAATTTCAATTGTTTATAGGAGTGATTTATGTACTGTCAACCATTATATATTTGCATTCAAAAGCAAAGATATAATGATTCTTATTTGAAAGTATGTGGTGCATTCTTCTTTCTTACTTTAATAAGAAAAAAATACCCAGTGGTGCAAGTAACATAATACACAACAATTTTAATGATTCTTGAGTTTAATGTTATGGTCTTAACAGAACATAATGAAATGTGTGCATTGACCAAATTCTTAGTCTTTGAAACATAGCATTTTGGGATGAAATATGCTTTGTTCTGAAACAGATTGACATAAAAATGCATGCATGCTATAAAAGAACAAAGACAAACTGTTTTCTAAAACATTAACTTTTTTATATTCACACATTTGGATATTGGTGAAAATAAACATTTAAAGCAATCTAACAAGCTGCCCCAAACCTGCACAGTCCTTTTGTATTTTACCAGAATGACAGATGCAAGACTGGAGAGTGAATAATTCCCTTTAGAAGATGTATTCACAAAGCCAGTGTTGCCAGGATTTTTATGAACTCTTTCATTGCTCAAACCAAAAGTAAAATAAAATTGAAAAGTGAAATAATTAGCTATCTTAATTTTTTAATATATGCCATCTTGTCACACAGTATCTGTTTCTGTCAATCTGCTAGTTTAATTAAATCAATTCTTTTTAGCCTTGAAGCACAAAAACTTACAAACTGGGTAAAATCTGTAAAGCAGCTTGTGATGGTTTCCGTGGTGTGCCAATAATGCATCAAAGTGACCATATTCCAAGACATTAATGTTCAGCTTGATTTTAGTAGATACAACTTTCTTTCTTATTTAAATTTGTATTTAAATACTTCACCAGTATTTGATGCTCAAAATTAAATGATAATAGAATTAAAGTTGTTTTTTTAAATCAACTTTGGGGTTCTGCATCCTCCCTTTCCTATACCAATCCCCAGAAGCCCAGAGTAAGCAGCCCTGGGGGTTCATGATCAAACTGTTCTCTAAAAATTAAAAAATCTCTTACTCATTTATGTTCTCAATGCCTTTATATTTGACATCATTGATACCAAACTCCTGTGGAGTTTGCAAGATATGAAAGAAATCTGGAATAAAATGAACAGCTGCACTGAAGTACCAATTTGTAATCATTGAGTTCTTAGACAAGGTAACTTACCATCAGTAATTTATGGAGAAAACCATTTAGTTTATTAAGTGTTACATTCTTCTTGCCTAGTGCAGACAAAAAAGGATTTTGTACCCCATGCTTCTCTTTTAGCTTTGGTTTACTGAGTTATAATTTAAATACAGTAAAGTCTATCCTAAGAGAATGTTACATTCTATATATTTTGACAAACTTACACAGTCCTGTAACTACCACAAAACCCAGTATAGAATAGTTTTATCCTCCCCAACTTTTCTCATACTCCTTTGTAATCAAATCCCTCTCCCGATCACCAACTTTTAGCAAATACAGATCTGGTTTCTGTCCCTATATTTTTACCTTTTCGAGAATGTCAAATAAATGGAATCCTTAAAAATATAACTTTTCTGAATCTTTTATTTAGCACAATGTGTGAAATTACCCATGTTACTGCATGGAACAGTAGTTTGTTCCTTTTTATTGCTGAGTAGCATTCCACTGTATGGATGTACCACAATTAATTGATTTGCCCAACCCCTACCTGTGGTGGACATTCAGGTAGTTTACTACTTTTGGTAATTAGAAAAAAAGCTGCTATAAAAATTTGTCTATAGGTATTTTTCTGAACCTATGTTTTCATTTCTTTTGGGTAATTATCTATTAATAGGAATATATTCCTGGGTTCTATGGTAAAAATATCTTTAACTTTGTATGCAGCTGAAAAACTGTTTTTCAAAGCCACCATATCAACTTTCATTTCCACAAGTAATGCATAAGACTTCTAGTTACTCTAAATCCTTGCATGTTTTATCTTTATTTTTAGTTACAGATATTCTAAAAGCTATGTAGTACTATCTCATTATGGCTTTAATTTGTATTTTCCTAATGACTAATGACTATACTTTGATGGGCTTATTTGCCAGTCATATCTTTTCTTTGGCCTTTGTTCAAATATTTTACCCATTTTTAAGTTGGATTGTCTTATTACTGAGTTTGGAGAGTTTTTACATATTGTGGTTCTTTACATATTCTGGAATGTAAATGATTTCATTTTTTAACTTTCTACATCCTAGTGGAAGAGAATGTTCTTTGTTTCATTTGATGACAATAAACATACTATTTGCAGATAACTGCTCTGTAACACTCAAGATTCTTCTTTAAGTTGTTTGACCATCGTAATTGTTTACTGTATACCAGTTCTGTGCCTTTCACCTAAATACATATAAATATGACCATACAAAGCCATTTTTACTTATAAAAAATCTATATATATAAAATATTGTTATTTTTAAAATAAGCAAAATTAATTATTTGTTTTTCTTTTGTTTTTAACTTGAAATTCCTACATGATGGTTGAAATAAAAGACAATCAAACCTAATAGTAATATAATTTTCAGGAGAGAACATAATTTTATAAAACCTTCAGCTCAATTAGAATGATAACCAAGCTGTCAGAATCTACCTATGAATCACCTTTAGTTCCATTTTGCCTGGAATCTTGCATTAATTTTAGTTGCTGAATTTATTTCAACAAAAGGCAACTACTCTATAAAGTTCCTATAAGTAGTTTGCTTAACTTTTTCAAGGAATCTGAAGCAAGTTGAGCTGTTTATAAAAGAAAGAAATTCCACTTCTCATTTTGCCACATAAAGTTACAGTAGGAAATACACAGAACTACTGTGAGGTATATAAGGTATTGCTCTAATGGCATAGCACATAGAACAAGTCTAATGATACAAAACTCTTTAGAACACTCTGAAGAAGAGCAAGCATCATAGCCTCGGATGGGGATGCACTTCTTTAAGCATTCCCACTTCATATCTTATTAAACCTCTCTTTTCTGAAATATTTCAAAAAAGAGAGGTAGAGAGGAAAGATGAGTAAACATTGGGAAAGAGATGAAGAGCTAAGCAATACGGGTATTTAAAATACGTACTGCTTTTACTTGATTAGCGATTTAAAAAATAGTAAAGAGTATTCTGCACAAATATTTCAAGGCTTCTACTTAGAACTCTGCCAAACGCCTGTTGAACAGTCCAATATACCTAAGTGACCTATATTATAGGATACAATTGAGGAATGAGACTTGGCAAGTGGAAATTCAACGAATGAAATAAGTCTACCCTGATGATGAGGTGTTTTCGGACATAGGAAGGTGAATGCCAGCGTTCGAATGTTATGACTCCAAGTTGGAAAAGAACAGAGCTTGGGAGTTTGATACGTGACAGGAATGCATGATCTGACCTATGGGAAATAGTGGTACGGTATCTGCAGGTTTATCTGATATATGTGTATGGAAGGGTGGACAGATATTAGGCCCATGTCTTCCACATGTCAGATAATGACATCTCTTATTAAAAGTAAACTTGAAGGTGAGAGGGATCAAACAGAAGATTCACAGCCTTCTAAGTTCCTCCCCATATTCCTGCAGCTATCTACTTCGAAAACCTTTCAGATATCTGATAGCATTAGAATGTTTATTGAAAGTATTCCACCCAGGCTGGCGTGGTGGCTCACACCTGTAACACCAGCCCTTTGGGAGGCAGAGGAGGGCATATTGCTTGAGCCCACGAGTTCAATACCAGCTTGGGCAACGTGGTGAAAACCCATCTCTGCAAAAAATACAAAAGTTATCTGGGTGTGTTGGTGTATACCTGTAGTCCCAGCTACTCCAGACGCTGAGGTGGGAGGACTAATTGAGCCTGGGAGGTCAAGGCTGCAGTGAGCCATGATAGCACCACTGCACTCCAGCCCGGGTGACAGAGTGAGACCCTGTATCAAAATAAATAACTTTCTACCCTGAGACTTAATACAACCATTTAAGGATGATTCAAAGTGATTAGCATTGAAATTTACCTATAAATTTAGCTTTATACGAGGCTACCTTATAAACTGGTCCACTTAAGAGAAGTCCAGGAAGTTTCCATCTAATGCTGAATTCCCCTTCACGGCCTGTCTATACAATGATTTCAGATTTTTAGGCAAACATGGTATTAAGCAATAAAAGGGACCTGCTTTTCATATTCTCAACTCTTCTTGTTTGCTAGACCAAACCAAACAAATCAAAAATCCCTCACAAAATAAGTGGTGCCTAATGCCACCAATGACAATGCTACCTTCTGAATCTTGGATATTTGGATCCCTTTCTGCATATTTTTTTTAGAGCTTGTGCATAATAGGAGGCTTTGCGTAACCATGGAGAAAAGCATGAGCACAGTGCCATGGTTATATCCCAGTGAATACAGAGGAGCTTTCTCATAAAGGCCACTTTTCCACATATTACTATTTTTGCGGTGTGGAACTTCAAACCCTCAGCCCGTTAGACAGATAAGGGGAGGGTCGAGGAATGGGGGTGGGGGCTATTGTCCATTAACTCCTGTGTAAGGGCAATATTGTAAATATTAACTTATTTTTCCTCTTATTTACCAGGTATTTTCTGTCTTCTTCTTTCACACATTAAAAAGAAAGAAAGAAAAAGTTTCAGAATTCTCGAGAAGTATGCAATAGGTTGAAAACCAAAAAATAAAAACAACACGTACTAGCTTTTATATCTCAAACACCCAAATAAATCATTTGGTAGTCCTAGAGCATTGCACAGAACGACTGGAGACTGTTCCAATTCCTGTGAAGCCATGCAGAGAAGACCAGGGAAAACTTTGAAAGACAATTGGTATTGTTGACTTAATAGAACACAACTGGATAATTATGGCATTGGCCAGTGCCTGAGTGAACAGATGATTCAAGCGTTCCCTGCCTCCAACAATGACTTGGCACTATATAACAACTCTGAAAATTAGACATGACTCTTTGAAAATTGGGAACCTCAACAGAATAAAATCTATTATCCTATTAGAGCTTTAAAACATAAACTAAACTACAAAGTCATATTATTTTCACATTTTAGTTTATGGTGTGAAATTCTTATCTGCTACACTAAACTAGACTTGGAACAACTAAGTATGCATAATTTGAACCTCCTTTCTTGAGGGGTAACTATGGGTGGTGGCTCTAATGTCTCTTCCAACAAAGGTAATTATATGTATGAGTAGGAAAAGTATCAGTTAAATTAATATTAACTTCTATACTTACTTCTCTACATTTCCTGAAATATAGTGCTCTAATCCCACTAATCTCAAACAAAAGAATCTAGTTTATAACTATAAAAGTCAGGGACCAGCTATCATTGGGTATGTTGGGTCAGATGACATTAGTTGGGACAATATACAAAACAGATCCATGGAAAATTCCCAAGTGCAAATATGACAACAAAGTTGGAGAAAAAGAATATTTTGGCTCTAATATGTTCCCTACCAAATTAAACTCATCGTGCTATTGGTAGTAAAATTAGGAGTGGTGGTAATAACAATAATTATTATAATAAGAATTATTATCATAGCATGTAATTTTTGATTATTTATTATGTGCCAAGCACTATACTAAGTATTTACATTATATTATTAAAACTTTTCTACAATTTTATCTTCAGAGTCCATGCTTCTGAACACTCTTCCATATTGCTGTCCTTTACCACCAACAAACTCTAAAATAGACATTCCAAAGGGTAGGAATCACGTCTAAGTGCCTCAGATACAATTCATTATTCACTTTGAAATAGTACATATTTTTGCAGCCAGAAACATAAATGTTATTTTCAGTATAGCTTTTCTGCATTTCTCTGGATTCTTTGTCAATGAAATTCTGTTGGAAAGAGAAGAATACATTGTTATATTTTATTTTGTACTTGAATGAATGCACAAATAAATAATCATCCAGAGGATATAATCTATCATTCATATGCTTCCATACTAATAAAACAGAATGCCCACTTCCTGCATTTTATATGGCACATTGGTTGGAAGTTCTAACAACAGGTTATGTTAGAGATAGGTAGTTGTGGGTATTATACTTCTAGACATGGCTGAAGCCTATCTGGAAAGAGATATCTCAGCTGCACTGTTATTTTTATACGTGAAGAGCAGTTCTTCGCAGTTATCAGAGTGAAAATTCCATCTGCTACTTGCTATATACAGACTCTGAGCAGAAGCCACAGACCTTTAAAAATGCTTATTTGTTACAAGAAAATACAATACATTTTCAGAATCCTCAAATATTGAACCAGAAAGATTATAGAAAATTCTATGCCAACAAGAGCCAGTAGAGATTACAAACATTATGTAAAGAGGAAAACAAAAGTATCCTGAATATCCCTATTGTGTAAACTGCCTCATTATTTAGTTTTTAAACACAATTTAGATTTTTTTCCTCTATTGTCACTGATATAATTTCAAAGTTAGGCCGATAATTGAAGAGTGGGTGAGCAAGACACGTACTGTACACGGCAGGGGCAAGTAGAACCGAGGAGGCAGGGGGACACATGAGCAAGTTTAACTTTTGATTCTTTTTAGAAAAGAAAACAATGAGAAAGAAAACAATTTATTAAATGAGAGGTAGTCACACACACCTCCAGAATATCAAAATTTAAGCAGCTGGTATGGCATTTCAAATATGCATTGTGGGCTGTTCCTTTAGAAAGTCATCATAACCTCTGCTTTTCATTGTCTGTAAAAAATAGATGTTAAATGGCTCTGAGTTTTAAGAGAACACTCGGGCATCGCAAATTCTCCAAAACATGTTTGTTTGCTGTTTCCTAAATATTTAATACAATGCATATATAGGCTAGCATACATTGTGATTGCCTGATATTTTTTGATTGAATTTCCTTTTCAGATATTCATAATACTTGACGTCCATGTGCAGCAGAGAAACATTTATAACAAAAAGTATGAACATAGTTATTATTTATGTGTATTTGAATCTTCTATCTTTACCTGTTCTTTCTTCCTTAATTCTATTTTGCCTATGCCCATGCCCCTTATATACTTGAAGAAACTTCCAGGAGAAAAAGCTACTTTTATATGCCCTTGCTTGTTTTTGTTGTGGTTTTTTTTTTTTTTTTTCCAAGTAGGTTTTTTACTAGCCCCAAAGGTGTGCATTGTTGGAATAATTTAATACTATCCTAGGGCTAGTCAATTGTAAACAAGTCTGCTCTATGGAAAAACTGCTTAAAAATTGCAACTCAACATTTTAGACTATGAAAAGGAACTGACTGAGGATTTTTTTTATAATAAGGCTCCTCAATTCACATTTTAAATCAACACTTCCCATTGGAGTTTGTGTGGGTTAGAAAGAACAAAGCGAAATTCTGAACTGTCATTTAGATCAAGATAATGATAACAAAAATAGTTTCTATAATTTTACAAAGGCAAATCTAGTCCTTGAAGAAGTCTTACATCAACAGTTCACCAAAGTTTACAGAACTTGCTTTGTTCATCTGGGGAGTAACATGTATCTGAGTTTGTTGCCATTTCCCACAATTTAAGTGACTACCAAAAAGTAAAATTTAAATAATTTGATCTAGAGGTTGGCAAACATTTTTCTTTAAAGGACCAGATCATAAATATTTTTGACTTTGTAGGCAAACTGTCACAACTACTGAACTCTGCCATTACTGTAACTCCCAAGTACACACTGACAGTAAATTAACAAATGGGCATGGCTGTGTTGCAATAAAACTTTATTTACAAAAACAGGCAATGGCTGCACTCAGCCTGTGAATTGCAGTTTGCCATAGTTTCAAAATAGAATCATTACAATTTAATCATTTCCCTGAAAAATCAAGAATCTTGCCTATTTTATGAAAACCGTTTTATTTCAGATATTTCTAGAGTATCACAACTAGTCTTGATCACATTGTCAACAGATTCAATTTTTTTGACTGAACTGAAAGCTTAGTATAGTCATATATAAAATGGTTGTAAAATATGATAATTTTTATTCTCCACATGCTTTTCATATTTTTATTACTATTTCAGATTTCTAAATTACTTACTGCTATCTGACAGAACAGGTCAGTTTTCTTTTACCTTCCAGTGATTTCTTTCATCAGTAAACAGCTCAATACAAAGCTCTGAGGGATCAAACTCACTGTTAGTCTTTAAAAACTTCCTGAAAAGAGGCCTCACCCATGTAAATTATTAAAATATTGATGAAAGCAAAACAAGCCACTCCAGGAAACTATACATAGTGAGAGTATAATACTGAGATGAATGTATAAAATAATTTTATGAAAAACGATTGTAGGAAAGGAGAGCTTTGTCCTATACATTACAGTTTTAAGGTGTGTCTTCATTCTTATTCATGGCAGTACATTGCCAACAATACGACGACTTTAATGTTTCTGACTGCCTCTGTTTTCTCTTGATATTACCAGGAGGCAGAGGGTCCTTTATATGCATTTTCAGCTGCATAAAGACTCTGTTTAGAACGTTTTACTGGAGTGAGCTAAGAGCTTTAGCTTGCTTAGTGGACTCCTGAATTACTGCCGCTTCATGCTGTCCTTATGCAGACTGTGACAATGTTTTATTTACTTTATTATCTTGTTACCCTTTAAACTGTGCGTACTTTGCCCACTTAAATTAGCAGAAACCCATTTTCTCCTTTCGCTAACAATAGCAAAATAGATCTATTAAAACTTTACAAGTGTAAAAAAGGACAGTCTACCATTTAGCTTGAACTAAGAAAGACTCATTTTGCACTGCTGATTTATACTCTCCCTTTCACTAGATCTCATTTACCCTATATGTTGCTGGCAAACAAAGAAATATTGGAGAGCATCTCACGTGTTTCATTTATGGTACAACATATTCTGTGTCTAATTCTAACATACATCCCAGAATGTTAAATCTACCTGGCATCAAGCAATTCATGCCTTGATGATTAATTACAAGTCTAATAGAAAAGATAAACAACCCATTGCAATTGCAGAACAGTAAGCAATTTCCTTAATCATGGAGAAATTACTAAATCCTATTCATCACAGGTGTGTAGGTTTATGTTATCAGCATCTGCTGTGAATCACATGAAGTTATTATTTTCATTCTACAGCACCAATGGGTGTTTATGGAAATAACTGTACACTATACAATTTTGATTGCACAGTGAGAAAAATAGTTATTTGGAATGCAATTTGGACTGCAATATTTCTTTTTTGTTGCCTCTCATTTGGCAGCTTATGCTACTCAGATATTATCATCAATATGCCATACATAAACTTACATTCATCACTGGTACTTAGGCTTATTAACTAAACAGCAATTATATTGTCGTAGGAGGATTATGGGAATGCCTATGACTGAGTGTTGCAATGTTTCCTTCTTTACAGCACAATGTGTTTTTTGTTGTTAACAACAAGCCATAATGTAAACAATCTGTTTGAAAGTATAAGAAATGTCATTGAAGGCAAAAACATCATTTTATGAAAATGTCCATTTATAAACATTCTTTTACAAAACTTAGCAACTCAGCATATTCTAACATAAAGTATATTGAACACAAACTACGCAAAAGGTTCAGTTGTAATATGCAATTTTACAAATCAATGAAGGTCTGATATTCATGCAAAATCACAAAGATCACTTGAACCCAATCTCAATATTTTTGTAAAAAGTAGGTGAGTTTTAGAGTTATCAGTTCCCACTAAATGATATATAACTTCCCCTCAAAATAAAATGGTAACTGGTTGCACCTCTTGGTAGCCCGCCATCTCCCTGTGAGACGCTTCCCCGGAGCGAACCCAGCCTTTGTGACTCCAGATCAGCTGAAAGTAGAACAAAGACAAGCAACCTCTCTTGCATCCCGGCATCACTACAGCAAGTTTGTGGGCCACGTGGTAGGTCCTTGATAGTCTCTTGACCACACTCAGTATCTATAATAGGGAAAAGTTCATTCTTTCCTCTTGTCACATACCTGAAAAGAGAGTCAAGAGGGAACATCTCTGCCTGCTTCCTACATAGTTAATTTAGTGGGCTGGTTATCAGAGTTCATGACTAAAGTTTTTCCATCGGCTATAACATCATAATGAGTTTGCTAAAATGGACTATGTAAGGCTCACAGATGCTGGTAGTATTGAAAGTTTCCAGATTTGATTTTTTTTAAAGGACAGAATTGAAAGGGAGAGACTGCAAGCTATTTTATATAGGAGATAGAAAACTAATTGAAAAATAGACTCTCCTAATCTAATAGAGATCTTACACCAACTACTTTAAAATATGTAAATGTGTAGAGAGAAGTATTTTTACTGGGGAGATTTTTTTTAACCATCATCAACTGCTACCACACTTGTAAACAGTAAGTTGCAATATTTGAAGTAATGAAAGTCATATTAAATACTTTCACCTGAGTTCATTAGGTTTATTGATATAATTGCAGTTCTGCTCTAATTTGCATATATTAACAGAGATTTTGTATTCACTATGCAATAGCTTCATAAAACAACATGATGTGACTACAGTTGGGACTAGAAATTAGGAATGGCCAAAAAGCTTCAGGCAATGATTCTGTCTGAGTTTGAATGAGCTATTTCAATTGTGTCTGTACTCATCTTGCTATAGGTGTAAATTAGAATCATCATTTCTGCCCTCTGATTCCTCAGAGGTGATAAGAGTATAAGTTCAGATTTTAAATAAGTCCTGGAAGTCTTTAAAGGAAGAAAACAGGGCTATACTAAATAACAATGAATCTATAATTTCTCTTTTTATATTTAAAAATTATAATGCGGCCAGGCGCAGTGGTTCATGCCTGTAATCCTAGCACTTTGGGAGGTCAGGTGTTCAAGACCAGCCTGGCCAACATGGTGAAACCCCGTCTCTACTAAAAATACAAAAAATTAGCCAGGTGTTGGGGCAGGCATCTGTAATCCCAGCTACTTGGGAGGCTGAGGCAGGAGAATCACTTAAACCCAGGAGGCGGAGGTCGCAGTGAAACGAGATTGCGCCATTGCACTCTAGGCTGGGTGACAGAGCGAGACTCCGTCTCAAAAAAAAAAATTATAATGCAAACTTGCGTTTTATTTTAAAAACTCATCACTGCTGTGTGCTCCAGATGTTGAGTTGACATTCCCACTATGAGCAAGAAGTGATTCATTCTCTACATGTGTTATTACAATTTTCAATCTATTTACTCTTTTAAGATTGCAAAATCCTGCTGATTTTTCACACTTTTTGAATACAAAAAGGCATATACATACATACAAAATACAATTACTACTTTTTTGAAAAGAAATTTAGAATATTGATTTAGAGTATATATTTCCTAGAATGATTTTCCCCTGACTTTTTAGGCAGATTTTTCTTTCAGCTTTCAAGTAATAGGATTTATTTAATTTATATTTAAATAAGCTATCTGAAAGAAGCCTATTTTTTAAACAACCCAAGATGACTTAGATTATTAAACATTTTATTTTTTTCTCCTATTAAGTATTATTTAGTTTTACCTTATTTTCTATGAAGAGATTTCTATTTGTGACTATTTTAGGAAGAAATTTGATTTTCTTATGTTTTTCCTGTCTTGTAATTGTCTTATACATTTGATTCTTAACCTGTGGGTTGGTATTATTGTTATCTCCATATGATACATGAGGATGCTGAGCTGCACAGTGATTTAGTAACCTGCTAAGGCTATACAGCTTTGAATTGGGAGAGAAAGAACTAGAATGTAGGCTCTCTGTCTCTAATGCAATATTTTACCCATCTACTATATTGTCTCTCTGGACTACTGCCCTGAAAAAATAGAGAAATGAAGACACTATTTATCCAATATGGGGAAAGGTACAGGAAGATAAGACTGGTGAAGGTAAGACTTAAGGGAGAGAGAGAAGAAACCAAGGGTTTGTATTTAGATATACTAGCATTGGGGGACTATTATAAGCTGAATTGTGTGTCCTCAAAATGTATCGAAGTCCTAACCCCCAGTATTTGTGAATGTGGCCTTATTTAGGAATAGGGTCTTTGCCGGTGATCAAGTTAAGATGAGGTAATTAGGGTGACTCTAATATAGTATAACCATGTCCTTATGAAAAGGAAATTTGAACACAGAGACACACATGCAGGGAGAGCGCCATATAAAAATGAAGGCAGAGATGAGGGTGACATATCTATAAGTAAAGAAATGCCAGATATTACAGGCAAACCACAGGAAGCTGGTTAAGAGGCCTGGAATAGATTTTCCCTTATAACCCTCAGAAGGAATTCACCTTGCCAACACCTTGATCTAAGACTATCGCCTCCAGAACTGTGAGACAATAAATTCCTGTTGTTTAAGCCACCCAGTGGGGTACTTTGTTACAGCAGCCTTAGGAAACTAAGCAGAGGCTTGTGCTCACCAACTGGGGTGAGTTAAATAGCAGTTGTATATATGATTCTAAAAAGAACTCTGGGCTTGATGTGGTTTGAACAAAATTTACATACAAATTTGAATAAAATGCTTTCTTATAAGACACACCAATTTATGTTTATTTTTATTGGATTCTGACTTTTAATTACAAAATGGCTGATATCTACATACTTCTCAATACCAAATTAATTTTATCATTTTTCTGTTTTATTTTTTCTTTTCTTTTTTTTTTCTTTTTTTTTTTTTTGAGATGGAGTTTTGCTCTTGTTGCCCAGGCTGGAGTTCAATGGCGTGATCTCAGCTCACTGCAACCTCTGCCTCCTGGGTTCAAGTGGTTCTCCTGCCTCAGCCTCCTGAGTAGCTGGGACTACAGACGCATACCACCATGCCTGGTTAATTTTTGTATCTTTAGTAGAGACTGGGTTTCACTATGTTGGCCAGGCTGGTCTCGAACTCCTGACCTCAGGTGATCCACCTGCCTTGGCCTCCCAAGGTTCTGGGATTACAGGCATGAGCCACCATGCCTGGCTCATTTTTCTTATTATGCCTACTGGATACTAGCTTAATTTTGTCCTACCCCACATTTGTCACCATCACTCTCCCTGTAAAACCAACATGAAAACTATTTTGCAAACATGTAATATGTTAAGTATGTGGAACTAACATTTTGGAACATACCCTTCATACCAGGAATTGTGTTGTGCATACTACATGGATGTTCTTGTTTTAATTCTATAATATTCTTTAGTGGCAAAAGACAAAGCAAAAATGTTTGTAATTATCCAATTCATAGCCCAGTAAATGTGACAAAATTTTAATAAGTGTGATGCGAGGCCCATCACAGATTCTCAACACATCCAGTTTCTCTACCTTTGTGCCATTTTCAATGCATATTAGTTTCCGTACATTTATGGGTGGATTATTTATCATAAAAACTATTAATATTGTTGAGAATGTATCGACATAATCAAAATCAAAGTAGTCATGTGTCTATCTTCTGGTTCTAAATTGAAGGAAATATGTGTGTGTTTATCATTCAGTCTTCTTAGTTGTAACCAGTAATTTAATTTTGGATAATAGAAAGAGAAAAGGAGTTTATTAAAAGGATACTATATAGCCAGATGAATCAATGGGAAACCTATGGAAGCAGATGAATGGCATCTATGGAATCAGCCTCAACTAACAATACCATCTGCAGAATTTATCTGGTCGGGCAATCATTGTCACCCTTTCTTACCAATCACCAGATGTTATGGCTGTCTCTGCTACCACTACTGTATGGAAAACTCAATCCTATAGAATTCTTGTCAGAGAAATCCTACTCCTGTTTGTCAGAGATCCACGCTTCCATTTTTCTGGTGTGAGCTTTTGTGGCAAAGCCAGTACCAATGTCACTGAAGGGCAGAAAGTAGATCATATGCCTGAGTCTGTTATAAGAAGTCTCAAAAAGCAAGAATCTGGTATATTAACCTCCTATGACAGGGAATGGTCTCTTACTACCAATAAAATCCATATAGTAAAATATAGCCAACTCTACAAAAGAGATTCAGATATTCCATAGCCATAAGTAGTGACAATGCTCACCACACTGTGGCAGAGACTGTGTCTTATTCATCTGTATATTCCAACACCTAACCATGTGAATAAAACATAGTAGGCAATTAATTTACCAAAATCAAATAATAAGGAACATGAATAATAATAACACCAATTAAGTGAAGTTCACTTTTATTATTTATTCAAACTTTAAATAAAGCTCACAATTTTGAAGCCTTCACAAATTTCATAGTTCAACCTGTAAGTATATGGGATCAGTAGTTTGATTCTGTTTAGTCTAATATTGGAGAGCTACTTAGATTGAGATGCATATTCAAAAATGCAAGTGTTTTGTTCATTTAATAAATAATTGTGGCAAATTTATTAAAAAATATGTTATTCCCTGGCCCTTGAAGCAATAATTTCTCATTTGAATTCAGTTGTCACTGAAATAAGGCTAAAGCAAAAATTGGTATAATATCATTCATTTGGAATAGAAAGTAATTAATAAATAAATCTGGGCAAATGTATTGGCCAAGCACTCTGAAGAACTAACCAATTAACATAGCACCTCACTCATGGTCTCTGAACATTATCCATTCATTATTCAGCATACATTTATTGAGGAACTAGAGCAACATGCCAAGTATACTGTTGGAACCAAGGATATGTCCTATATATAAAACAGTGTCACAATTCTATCTTAAAGGGCAAAAAAAAAAAAGTGGAGAAATTCTACTTCCAAACTAATATTATTGAAATTCTCAAATGTACACCTAATCAGAAAGTTATTTTTGCCAAAATTATCATACAGGTTTCTATGTCACCCCAGATGTAATTGTCAAGTGCAGTTTGTGTCTCCTCACTCTTTGCCACATTCTTTCTTTGGCCTTTCCTTCCATATGCTTGTCTCTCTCCTGCCTGTGGTTTTCTATTTCGGTTTCTCTCTCTAAAAAAAAAAAAAAAAAAAAAAGATACCACTTTGCCTGCTGTGCACTAAACTGAATAAGGAAATGATATCCATCAACTTTATCTCTTTTTATCTCTTGGCACCATTCTTCCTGGTAATATATAGTATGCTACTAATTTTCAGGTGAATAAAATGCCCTTGCCTCTTGACTGTGGATATATGGATATAATCTACCCTTTTGTATGTGTTTTTCACTGCTTTGTAGAACTTTCCAACTATAGTACTAGTAAAATGGAAAGAAAATCTAATCCATCCTTTGTCTTCTGAAGGACAGAAGGTTAAAATATTTATCCACTGACCCACTAGTTGAAAGTTGCCCCCAACAGCATTAACTTCCCTTCCACGCTGTAGTTTTGCATAGGCCAGGCGATCTGTGTCAAAAAATTGTGGTGGGGGTGAAAAAAAAAACATGAAGAGACTTAGTATTCTGCTTGAGATAAGATGCCATCTGCACAAGACATGTCTGAATTCACATGGAGCTGTCCACCACAGTAGCATCCAGACTCAGTGGTAGGCCAAAGGGAGACAAGTACAAATGCCATTGCATGTTTTTATTTATTTATTTTTCTTCTGTCACCCAGGCTGGAGTGCAGTGGTACAATCATAGCTCATTGCGGCCCCGAACTCCTGTGCTCAAACAATCCTCCCACTTCAGCCTCCAGTGTAGCTGAGACTATAGGTGGACACCACCATGTTTGGCTAATTATTATTATTATCGTTATTATTATTATTTGCAGACACAGGGTCTTGATTTCTTGTCCTGGCTGGTCTCGTACTCCTGATCTCAAGCTATCCTCTCACCTTGGCCTCTCAAAGTGCTGGGATTCCAGGTGTGAGTCACTGTGCCCAGCCTGCCACTCCATGTCTTGATGTAGCAGCCAATTCTAGACTTTCCCTGACAATATTCACCCCGCTGATTTTGCCAACCCTTCCTCCTTTCTAGTTAACTAGCTTTGGAGGTGCAGTTGTAATACAAATTGGGGAGACAATGAGTTTGGGAACAGTTATTTTGTATAATAGTTTTCAAATTCTGAAAAACTAAAAATCTGATCAAACAGAAGCAGCATTAGAGGCATAAGAGTTAGGGATATGAAGCTATTTGCTATCTACCATCTGAAGTATTTTTGCTCTTACCTGCATTCCAAGGGCCAGATGTTATATCATCGCCAACTGAAAAAAGTGTGGTATAATTTAGAATCCTGGGTGTCTGAAATCACCACCATTTTTTTATCCACTAACCTGTATAGAGATTTTAAATAGAAATTCTGGGGACTAAGTACTCAAGTGTCTTTAGGAGCCAGACAGGTGAGGTGAGGCCAGGTGGACATTATGCCAAACCGTATAACAGATGCCCACCTATAGAAGACAGCAGCTACTTGCTCTATCCAAATATTGCAGGTGAGAAGACAGCTGCAGCGATAGATAGCCCAATGGTTGGCTTTTCAAGATAAACCAGAAATCAGGATATTTATATCAAATCTCCCAATTTTAAAATTTGAAAACGTGTTTAAATGTTTAACTTTTCTTAATTTTTAAAATGTTGGAAAATAATTTTGAAATATTTTAAGTGTACAAAACAAAACACATGTACTGGCCAGGCTCTTAACTGCTTAGTACCAATATGTTGATTCCTTCTTGTTCAAGTGAGAGGTGACTGGAATTACTATTTGCTTATCTATAGAGTGTAGAGGCAATATATAAAAATTTCAACATAATCTCTTAAGTCAATGAATTCCTTAAATCATATCAATTCTTCCAATTATTACTACTGAAAATTCTAATTTAAGACTGTGTTAGGACCTGGATTAAGAAAATTTGGCACATATACACCATGGAATACTATGCAGCCATAAAAAAGGATGAGTTCATGTCCTTTGTGGGGACATGGATGAAGCTGGAAACCATCATTCTCAGCAAACTATCGCAAGGACAAAAAACCAAACACCACATGTTCTCACTCATAGGTAGGAACTGAACAATGGGAACACTTGGACACAGGAAGGGGAACATCACACACCGTGGCCTGTTGTGGGGTGGGGAGAGGGGGGAGAGATAGCATTAGGAAATATACCTAATGTAAACGACAAGTTAATGGGTGCAGCACACCAACATGGCACATGTATACATATGTAACAAACCTGCACATTGTGCACATGTACCCTAGAACTTAAAGTATAATAAAAAAGTTATATATATATATATATATATATATATATATATATATATAAAGACTGTGTTAAGACAACAAAGACATATGAACTCTGTAATTTTATTCTTTCAAAGGCCCTTGCCACTATTTAAATAAACTTTTGGCGCTTTCTGAGAACATACTTGAAGACTAAGCACGCAAAAAGTGTTTACAAAATTACTTGCTCTAAACTAGATTCAATTAAAAAATATTCACAATCAAGACATAACATTTATTTTTACTTCACTCAGGTGAACACATAAAGCATTCATATGCCCACTATTTGAATCTATAATACCCAAAAATGGCTATATTAAAAATTGATAAATATTTTATTATATGCTGACCAACTGCACGATATTGTCACATTCTTACTTATCCATGTAAATTTCTATTTATTTAAAAACTTTAAAAATTCCTAAATTCCTTTAGAAGTTAGGCATTAAAGTCTTTGTTTTTTTCGTGTCACAGCACCAAACATATTAGGGACGCTTCTCTGTAATAATGTTTGTATTAGTCAGAGTTCTCCAAAGGGACAAACCCAATAGGATAGATAGAAAAATGAGAAGAGATTCATTAAGGGATTTGGCTCATTTGACAATGGAGGCTGAGAAGTCCCAGGAGAGGTCATCTGCAAGCTGGAGAGCCTGAGATGTCAGTGGCGTGGCTCAGTCTAACTCTGAAGGCCTCGGAACCAGGGAAGCTGATAGTATAACTCTCAGTCCAAGGTCAAAGGCTTGAGAACCAGGGTGCTTCTGGTTAAGTCCTGGAGTTCAAAGCTCAGAAAGCCTGGAGTTTTGATGTCCAAAGGCAGGAGAAGAGTGCTGCAGCTCCAGCAGAGAGGGAGAGGGAGAAAGAGTGACGGGAAATCCCCTTTTTTCTATCTGGGCTCCTAGTGGATTTGACGGTGCCCGCCCACATTGAGGGTGGGTCTTCCTCATTCTGTCCACCAACTCACCAGCAACCGACTCTCCTCTGGAAATACTTTCACAGACACATCCAAAATAATGCTACACCAGTTCTCTAGGTAATCCTTAATCTGGTCATGTTGACACCTAAAATTAACCATCACAATATTCAAAACAATAACTATATAATTTACATTTTTTATTAGAAAATCCTACCCACTAAATCTTTTTTTTCTGATGAGACTTAATGTTGTCAGGTTGTAATAACCCAATACAGGGGAAATTTGATGGTGAGGATGACAACAACAATCTCTTAATAATGATGACACCAGTAGGTGCTTATACCTCATCAATTTGCAATCTCAGGTTTGACTCTGAATCAAATTATCTAGAAATATGTCTGCTATTATGAATATAATTAGAAAAATCTATTGATCATAAACCACATAATGCCTTTTTCAGACTTTGCCCTGCACGGTAACTTAATCAGACATGGAAAATATGATTGGATTCAGAAAAACAGGGTTGCTCTTTGTGAAACCCAAAAGCCATGCACAGCCTGATACATGTCTTTGTATGTAGTATAAGGCCACCTTACCAACTCATGAAAACATGTAACAAAACAAAATGTCGTGCCTTTTCCCCATCTTTGTTTTTATTAAAATATATAATATAGTATGTAACTTCTTATCTATTTCTGTTGTTTTCAGACAAACTTCCATATGTATTTACTGAACATACATGCATGTTAAAGCTTCCCAATATAATCTTTACTAAGTAGCCATTAAGCTACTGTTCATTTCTTTTCTTATAGCTGCTACTTTTTAAATTAATGTCCAAATAGCTACATATGTATAGTTTAGTGGCTGTTGCTAAACAATTAAAATATCAGGGGTGATAATATCTTCAAAGGTACATAACTTTAACCTTTCACATACAGAGGAAAAAATGGTTTGAGAGTTATAATGTCATATTATCTCTATTTTTTTTCTTCTAAAAACCAAAAATTCAACTTTGGACCATTTGGCTTCCATGGCATCTTCCCTTAGAATTTTACTTATTACTCCTAATCTGATTGTTGTTCCCGAACTTGTCTACAAATTGTTGTACTCTGGTGAACTTCGAAAAAATAGTAATGACTTTGGCCCATCACAAGAGACTTTGATTTAATTGATTGTGGGTGTGTCCTAGGCTTTGGGACATTTAAAAAAATTCAGGAGATTCTAATATGCAGACAGGTTTGGAAGCCACTGTGTTAGTGCAAAGTCATGGCTTGTTGATGAGTGTTTCTTGAGCACTGGCAGTCTTGCTCAGTGCCTGTATTTCAGAGAATATGAGAAGTACACAAAGACATTTTAAAGAGTGCAGCTCTCTTAAAAAATCAAAGCCAAAAGGGGTTCATAGAAATAAAAATAAAAATAAAATCCCTAAAGAAAAGTGACCTGGGTTTAGAAGGTATGGTTCTCAGGGTGTAGTCCCCCCAAAATCCCACATGTTCCAATGAATTGGGAGCCATAAAGCTCTCTTTCTCCTGCATTCAGCCTTAGGCTCATCCACATTATTATAAGAACAAAATACTAATTCCATTGATCCAATTTTGAGCACAGTATTTTGAGAAAATGTAGATAATAGTTCTATAAGGATATACAGTATTTGTAAGAGCATTTTATTAAATGGTATTTAACGTAGATGGCTGTATACAAGGAGGTTAATAATTATGCATTGGTGCTTAATGTTCTGAGAATCACATTATGGCAATCCTATATAAGAAACAGACTGTTGAAAACATAGCTTTATATGCAGTGTGAGGTAAATGAACATTTTATTGTGTACCCTGGGTGCCTAATAAAAATGTAATTCTTTTAGTTATCGTTAGCTCAATACCAAGGATGATGTAATAAGTACTTACGGGTGTCATGTCACAATTGTCTCTTTTTCTCCTAAACACCTTGAAACTCTGTAAGGACACAGCTGCAAACAAAGGAAGTGCTTGATATTTATTCATCATCTGCCACAATTTCATTGCTGCTTGAACCAGATAAATGATGAGGGGTATTTTAACAACTTATACCTCAGCTAGTAATCAGATGCTTATAGTTCGGCACAAAAATGTGTTACATTGAATGGAATAGTCTTTCCAAGTAGCTACTATTAGATCCAAACTTTAGTTTGGAAGCATATGCACATTTATTTATACATTTTAAATTTGGGAAAAAGCATTGAAAAGAATAGTGTAATTCTGTTGCTATATTTGACACTGACTTTCTTACCAAGCTGACATACAGTTACATGGCTTTTCAAGGGATCTACTTCTTTGAGTTACCATTCGTTTGTAAATACAAATTTTAGTTCATCCATTAAAATTATGTTATTGTTAGAATTTATATAATTAGTCATAATATAAATTGCTAAAATATTTTAAGTAATGATAGAGATGTGTTATCTGATACATACTCAATGAAAATGAGTCATAGAAAACATAGAAGGGACCTGAGAAATTATTTTATCTGTTTCCTTCAATTTATATATCAATATATCAAACATTAACTCAACAAATATTTATTGAGTCTCTATTCTTAAAAGTGCATGTAGAAAGTGAGACACAGGGAACTGAGATGACTCACCCAAGGGTCAAACTGGAACAAAAAGTTACAATATTTGGCTTACAATGCAAGGGTCTACACACTACATGATGTTGCCAATACTACAGTCCTGTCTGCCACCACTTCACTGCCACTGCCTGCACTTGCTAGCAGATAAACTTCCCTAAGCCATCTATTCAACATTTTATTATGAAAAATTTCATAGAAATGGCAAAACAAAGATTTTAAGGTGAATATCCTTACATGCACCATTTGTATTCTTCCATTAACATTTTACCCAGTTACTTTATCACCTAGCTACCCATTTATTCATCTCAGTATTAATCTGCTTTACAATCTTACTTTTAAGTACATTTTAAACTATATTACAGACATCAGTATACTTTTTCTTAAATTCCTCAGCACACATATCATTCTAGAATCCAACATTTGTTGAAGTATAAGGAAATGCACAAACCTTCAGTGTACATTCACTGAGTTTTAATAAATACATACACCCACGTATAATCTCTTTCAAGATACAGGACATCGTTATCAGTCTATGGAGGTGCAGCAATCTATGGCTGGCAGGCCAAATCTTGCACTCCAACAGTTTTTGTAAATAAACTATTTTTGAAACACAGCTACACACATTTGCTGACATGTTTATGGCTGCTTTTGTGTTACAATGGCAGTAAAGAGTAGTTGCAACAGGAACCATCAGGCCCACAAACTGAAAATATTTGCAATCTGGCCCTCTACAGAAAAAGTTTAGTACATGGTGTTCTAGAAAGTTTCTTCCGGTCCTTTCCAGTCAATTCTCCAGATGAAGATTTTCATGTAAATAAAAGCATACCATATGCACTCTTTTGTGTAAGGCTTCATTTACTCATTTTACTGTTTTTGAGATATATTTATTTTGTTGAATATTTCTGTAGTTTATCTGTTTTTATTGCTCAGTAGTATTACAATGTATGAATATACTCCTGCTTGCTTATCTCTTATTGATAACATTGGTTTGTTTATATTTGGGGGCTATTAGGAATAAAACTGCTATGAATACCTCTTATGGTTTGAATTTGACCCCTAAAGTTCATGTGTTGGAAACCTAATCCCCAATATAACTGTGTTGAGAGGTGGGGCCTTTAGAGGTGATTAGGTTATGAGAGCTCTGCCCTCATGAAGGGACTAATGCCTTCATTGCTGAAGTGGGACAGTTATCACAGGAGAAAGTTTCTGATAAAAGGATGAGTTCCACCCTCTTTGCCACCCTCTTTTGCATGTACACTCTCATATTATGTGATGCCTCCCACCATGTAATGAAGCAGCATGAGGGCTCTTTTTAGTGTAGCCCCTCAATGTTGAACTTCCCAGCCTCTGAAACTGTGAGAAATGCATTTCTCTTCTTTATAAATTACCCCATCTCATGAAGTCTGTTACAGTAATACAAAATGGACTAAGACAATACCCTTATGTTGATGGCTGTTGTAAAACCATGGTTCTTATCTTCTTAGCTTAAAAGAATTTAAACAAGAGGCACACAACAAAGGAGATGCAGCATAGAGTAATTTATTGCAAAGAAGAAAGAATATTTTGAAAGTTAAGTGTGAAATAGACAGTACACCCCAAGAGAGAGAAGGTTCAGAGCTGGCTGCTCGTAAGGATGAGACAGCCTTGGCTGTTACTGGGAAAACTCCCGTTATGGAAGTCTTACATGACTATTCATACGGGGATTGGGAAGAGGCGTTACTAGTAAGCATATTCTAGTGGTCCTCTGGGTGCACATGTGCAGTAGCTGTATATGTTTGTTCATACATCACATGTCTCATTAAATCTCCACCCAGGAGTGTGTTTGTTACTATTACAATGAGTAAGAGTAAGTCTGAGGATAGGTAAAATCGAAATGCACACACTCTCCACAGGAAAATTTCCCTACTGGAGATAGCTTTGCTTGAATGAGCTTGACTACAATGTGAATGCTGGGGCTTATTGTGTTGCAGGTGCAGTCGCCATGGTTCCTATGTCCCAAGGACATGGTTTCTTCCTTGACTACCTATCCGGCCTCACTTGTATATGTTTTCATTTTGGAGGAGTAAATACCTAGGGGTTGATAGGATAGTTCATAGGATAAGCATATATACAGTTTTATAGAGAAATGCCAGAATGACTCTCAGTGTGGTAATACAATTTTACATTTCTACAAATAAGGTATGAGAGATCCAATTGCTCCACATCCTTGACCATACTTGATGTTGTCTGTCACTTATTTGTTTGTTTGGCTACTCTAGTTGGTAGATAGTAATATCTTACATGACTTAAATTTGCATTTTCCTAATGACTAAAAATATTGAGGGACTTTCTCCATTCAGTCTCTAGTGATGTCACCAACATTTGCTTCTCAAGTCTCAAATATTTTATATGCATCATTATTATGGAATGGATCATGTACCCTGGATTATAATAATTTTGATCAGAAAATACAACTCTTTATTTAGTGCTATGGAAATCAAATTAATGCTTGGATGTAGAGAATTTATTAAATGATTGATTAATTCACTCAGTTATTCCTAGAATTAATTTTTATTGATATATTTCTATATGTTTTTGTTCTGCTATTCTAGAATCTAGGATTAAAATAACAAATAAAACAGAAAATGTCTTTGTGTTTAAGGAGTTTACATTCTAGAAAAGAAGATAGATATCAAATATATAACTCTATTAAAAAACAAGATATCATAAATAATAAAGCATAGTTTACAGGAAATAAGCAGAAAGATTAGCTAAAGAGAGGTGAGTGTTCCTTTGGAAAATAGTAGTCACATTTGTACTGAAATTTACTAGTAGAATTATACATTGTCTCACCAGGATATATTCTTTTCTTTTGTCCTTCCTTACCCAACACCAGCTTGGTTCTGGTTCCTCCTTGCTTATACAGTGTAAGTTGAGCCACCCCAGATTCAGGAATTCATCTACTTGCTCTGCGGTAGTTCCCTCCCAATGAATAGATCAGGCCAGCGGGATGCTAGGGAGCTTCTGGCAGAGTTTGTTCTGGATCTTTAAGAAAAGCTTATATAATCAGCTCATTATTTCTTTTTATTTTTGCACATGTCTATGATTGAGAGCTGTAACTATTTAAGCTGTTTTACTACCAGCCGGAGATACATTAAGGTTATTAAATCTCAGAGCATCTCAGAAGCATGAGTGACTGGACTAAATCAGATATGAAGCCTGCTCTATGTATCATTGGACTTACTGAATATATATTTCAATAAATTTAAGCCATTGGCCTTGGATTTCTGGTAACAAAATTACTGATATGGACTTGTAGTATGGTACAGGGGCAGACATAGAAAGAGTCAAGGGGAGAGAAGTCCATTCACAGGGGCAAATAAGTGCAAAAGTCACTGAGTAATGCAAAAAGATTGGCATTATCAATGAAAAAAGAAAACAAGAGGACAGTGGGTTTGGAGAGTGGTAGAGGAGAAAACTATGGGGATCAACAAATACTAGATTACAAAGTACTAAAAGGCAGTAGTCAGGAGATCATATTTTATTTGCTGTATGATGGGAAAACATTGACAATTCTTTTTTTGAACAGCTTAGAGGTATAATGGACATACAATAAACTATGCACATTGAAAGTATAGAATTTAAGTTTTGATATATGTATGTATCTATGACAGATTACCTCAATCAAGTTAATGACCATATTAATTACTTCCCAAACATTCCCCATGCCACTTTGTATTCCCAGCTTCCACTCCTCCACTCTATCTCTGCTCAGACAACCACTGATCTGCCTATTACCACTATAATTAAGGTTGAATTTTTCTTGAGTATTATATAAGGGAATCATACAATGTGTAATATTTTTGGTCTGAATTTCTTCACTCAACACAGTTTTTTTAACTCTTCCACACTGTAATATATAACAATATTTTATTTCTTCTTATTGCTGATATATACAAAATATATACAACATTGCATTGTGTAAAGAAATCATAACTTCTTTTAAATCCATTAACCTGTTAATGGATATCTAGGTGGTTTCTAATGTTGGGCTATTATGAATAAAGCTTTAGTGAACATTAATGCATGGGTCTTGTATGAATATATCTTTTCATTCATTTGGGGTTAATAACTAAGATTTGGATTGTTGGATCATATGGTAAGTGTATGTTTAACTCTTGAAGAAACTGCTAATGTTTATTTCAAAGTAGTCATAATATTTTACATATCTACCAACAAAGAATAAGAGTTCTAGTTTTTTCACATTTCACATTTCATGCCAACACTTGTTATGATTAGTCTTTTTAATTTTAGCAATTCAAATAGGTGTGTCATAGTATCTCATTGTAGTTCTAACTTTTTATTGTCCTAATGACTAATGATGCTGAATATCTTTTCATGTGCTTGCTATCTATGTATATGGTGAAGCATCTGTTTAAAACATTTGCCCATTTTGTAATTTATTATTTGTTTTCTCCTTGAATTTTGAGAGTATTTTACATTCTAGTTATAAATCCTTTGTCAAATTTATGATTTGCAAATGTTTTTACCCAATCTGTGGCTTGTATTTTCATTCTCTTAATAGTGTCTTATGAAAAGCACAAGTTTATAATTTTGGTTATACTAACAGTGTTAGTACTCTAACTTGTTTCTCTTTTTAAAACTTATGGTTCTTCTAGGTCTTTTGTATCTCCACATGACAATTATAATTAGACAGTAAATTGACATAAAATATGTTTAAAAATCACATTCTAGCACTTCTGCGAATAATGCATCAGCGGTCAAAGTGAACCTTTATTAATACAGCACCCAATCCATATTTTTAAATAAATAAAAAATAAATAAATGGATGAAATGACATAATTTTAAGGCAAAAATTAACTAATGAATGAAGAGGGTCATTTTATGTTGATATAGGGCATAATTCACAATAAAGATACAAAAATAATATTCTCAACATCATGACATCAAAATATCTCACACCTGTAATTCCAGAACTTTGGGAGGCTGAGGTGGGTGGATCATCTGCGGTCAGGAGTTCGAGACCAACCTGGCCAACATGGTGAAACCCCGTCTCTACTAAAAATACAAAAATTAGCCAGGCATGGTGATGGGCACCTGTAATCCCAGCTACTCAGGAGGCTGACGCTGGAGAATCCCTTGAAACTGGGAGACAGAGGTTGCAGTAGCCAAGACTGTGCCACTGCACTCCAGCCTAGGTGACAGAGCCAGTCTCAGAAAAAATAATAATAATAATAATAATAATAACAATAATACCATTATAAATACAAAGAGATAGTCACAGAATCTCTAAGTGCTTGCAAAATCAGATATACAACATTTATAAGCCTAGCGAACATTTCAATAATATTGTGTTGCTTATAAAGGGCGATTTAAAAAAATATTAATTTACATTTCCTTACATAAAGGAAGTCTAGAAGTCGGTTGGTTAAGGCTAGTCAAGTATCTCAATTATGTCTTTAAGCCTTAACCTCTTGGCGTTCCTATTAATGGTCACAAGGGGTTGCAGTACTTTCAGTTGCAGTCAGAGAGACTGGCAAACAGTAAAGGCTGCTATAGTTAAATCTATAAAGCAAAGGCTTTATTGCACATCTTCCAGCAGACAAGAATGGCACATAACCACCTCTGCCTGGGAGGAGGCCAGGAAATTGATGAGCTAGCTTCCCAGTGTCTATAGTGTCTACCTCATGTGCAAATCCATAGGTAGATACTGATTATTTTACTTGACCTATAGAACCCTAATGAAACTGCTGTTGAAAAATTGTAACTGAGACAGTGAAAGAGATCTGACCTAACCAACTCTATCTTGCTTCTAACCTCCAAGCTGTCCTTGTTCATTCCTGGACACAGGCCGAACTAACTTAGGGAGGAACTTAGTTTACAGTTTATAGTTTAAAACAAAGATGATAACGGCCTTTCCCGAGGCAAATCTTCTTCTTTCTTGGGGACTAGATTGCCTTTGTAGGACTAACAAATTAACCACAAGATTAGAAATTATGGTTTAGGAGTCATGCAGCTGGAGGTTACAAGATTCTGACCTTCCCTAAACTGCTCCTAAGATCAGTGCTTGAGATATTTTGCAGACCCTGCACTTGATGGATCAGGTGGTACCATCCAGATCAATAAACTGGCTTATCTGATCTTGTGGCACCGACCCAGGAACTGACTCAGCACAACAATACAGCTCGACTTCCTATGATTTCATCTTTGACCCCCTATGATTTCATCTTTGACCTGACCAATCAGCACTCCTGGCTCATTGGCTTCCCCCATCCACCAAGTTGTCTGGGAGACTGATTTGAGTAATAACAAAACTCCAGTCTCTGCACAGCCAGCCCTGCGTGAATTACTCTTTCTCTATTGCAATTCCCCTGTCTTGATAAATCGGCTCTGACTAGGCAGCGGGCATAGTGAACTCATTGGGCAGTTACACTAACAGTAATTACCCATATTCGGACCTCTGCTTCCTATAGTAAAAAACATTTTTAAAAGAAGCAAACAAAACAAACAAATAACTTTAAAAGAAAGAATAAAATTCTACTTTTCAAAGAAACAACAGTTCAAAAAAGAAATCTGAAGTAATATACTATGATGCTTCATCTAGCCCCTGTCTCTGTAAGATTTTTTTTTTTTAAATAGTAGGAAAAGTTTGCAACAAACTGCTATTTTAAAGTTGCAGGCAGTAATTCTCCAAATTGTGACTTAAATTCACTTTTGTGACAGCAATCTGAGAGAGTTCTCCACTTACAGAAACGTAAAGAAAAGAAAATATCTACCTATTGTTCTTGAATAAAACACTGTTAAGTGACCATTTTCCTAAACTTCAATGGTAAGTGTTCTGGTCTGAAATGTAAATTGCCTCAAGAGGCCAAACGACCACAGCAATAACTGGCCTTATAGGAAGTTCTTGGGAATAAAACTTAATACCTGTTCATTAGAACCTGTGCTATAGCCACCTAAGTAAACCTTGTTAATATGCAGGGATATATTTATTCAAATCAGTGATGAGAGGTCAAATACATTTTGTTTGAGGATTTAAAAGAAAGATGAAATAATTTTTTACTCACAGGCAGGTGAGGTGTAATTTTGTTGTTCAATCTGTAGCTCAAACCATACGGATACTAGAAATTGTGTTATTTTAAGACAGGACCTTTACTGTTTTCGTGTACATAGTTGTAATTTAAGTGTTTGCAATAGTTCTGATCACACTAACACAGTAGGGTGCTTAATTTGTTAATAAATTAAGAGATAAATTAATAAAAAATGAAGTGGAAAAGGCTATATCCCAAGACTAATGGGTTGCAGCCAAAGCTACAATTAGTGGGAAAATTCATAATTTTGAAATTACAATTATTTTTTAAAAATTGAAAGTAAATAAGTATTTTACTTAAATATGAGAACATAACATAATTGTAAATAAAATGTAAGATACAAAAATAAATATAGAATAAAATTTTAATCACATAAAATTTCATCCTGAAAATGAATATAAGAAAAAGGTAGATATTTGTTGTGTGTGTGTGTATGTGTGTATATATGATGGTTAAAGGAGACATACAGCTAAATAGAACACCTGTCAATCTTATTTGTGGGATCCTATTTTTATTTGATTATCCTTTTCCAAGTTTATATAAATAAGCAATCCTTTATAAAAGATTACATAAATTTCTGTAAACTGTATAGTTAAATAAATGATTATATTTTAATTTTAGCTCTTTAACACATATTATAGAAATAAAATCTTAGAGATAATTTAGACTAACCAATTGCACAAAAAGAATACAGAGGCCATAAAAATAAAGTATCTTGTTTAAAGTCACACATTATTTGGAAACAGAGCTGAGCTGAGATAATTCATTTGATTCAGTAACAATAATTTGTAAAAGCCTAATGCATGCCAGGCATCATGTTATGTGCTGGAAATACATATTGTTTCCACCCTCCAAGTTGTGATATTCAAGTGAATAGTATAGATAAAAATAAGAGTAAAATTTGCTAAGTGCTATAATATAGAAAAAGACAGGGTGCTATGAAAAAAAATGGGCATAGAGACCTCAGCACAGTTCAGGAGATCAGAAGACAAGTAAACACATGTAAAAGAGAAGTTAGAATCCCTATGCTGATGGCAAGGATAAGAGATGGTTGGATTGGAACTCTATCTCCTGTTAGAGATAGGATAGGATAGGAGCTGTATCTCCTGTTGAACATCAGCAATTCTTTCCAAAAGTCAGATGCTCTGAGCAAAATCTCTAACCAGCAGTCTCATTTTCATCATTAAATGATGTTTTATATGGTAGTAGAAAGGTGCTATTCCACAATAATTTTTCAAAACACTCCATTCTAGAACTCGTTAGTTTATAAAAATAGGAATTTATTTTTTGCTCATACATAAATATGTAGACTTGGGTTTGGCTAATCTTGGCTGGGCTTGACAGGAGTTGGCTCAAGCTTTAGGTTGAGTCCCAGGCTCTCCATATATGTCTGTCATTGTTCTTAGAATATCAGCTCTCCTGGAGACATGATCTTCTCATGAAGAAGGGCAGAGGCACAAGATAATAAGTCCAACCACACAAGCTGTTACCTGCTCTTTTATATGATGGTCAGTCGGGTGTCCATAAGAGGGGACGAAGGAGAGAATCCAGGAAACAAAATCGTATTATAAACCTAGAAACAGGTGCATGGCAGCCAAGCAGGACCACAAGGGAAAATGTCAGGCGGTCAGGAGGAACAAAGGAGGAGCAAGGTAAAAGCCAGGGCTGGAACCTCTATTGGGATTTCCATGAGAAAAAGCAGAGCATGGTAAACATTTTAGGATTGGCTAGTTTGAATAATTTTGGCGGGCTATAAATGATACAGGTGGTCCTAAATGCCTGGTACCTACTACTGAGATCATTAAAGTAGGGGAACATTGCCTCCTGGGGTGTGTACGGGCTAGACAGAGGAGAAGTAGCTCTGAATTGCTTAATTTGCATATCAAAAGCATGAAGCATGTTCCTGGCTGAGGCCTTTGCTATCCCGAAGAATTGGCTAGCCCTGGAGGGACAGTCTCTCTTCTGCAAAGTTTTTAAAATGTCAAAACATCATAATACACTAAAATTTTAAAAAATTATATAAACAATATACAAGCACATGTGAGACTTCTGCTTGCTGTGCATTTGACATCATCCCACTGGTGAAAGAAAGTCATTTGGCTATGTCCATAGATGATAAGGCCATGATAAATGTGTGGTTCTATACTACTTCAACAAAGTATTAAAGAATCCACTGCACATCTCAACACAAATCCTCACGGAATTCTTAAAATATAACTAAAACATAGTTATATACATATATGTGTATATGTGTACATATGTGTATATATGCATGTACAGATATGTGTATATATGTCCATGTGTATCTATGTATATATGTATGTATATGTGCATATATAGACACATGTACACACGTATGTACATATATACACATATATGTGCATGCATATATTTACATATACACATATACATGTGTGTACATATACACATATGTACATATATACAGATATATGTACATATATTAGTTAAAAAAATGAAAAAAAATTTTTTACATGGTGTTTCACACTATCATCCAGGCTGGAGTAGAGTAGTGTGATCTCTGCTTATTGAAGCCTCAACTTCCCAGGATCGAGTGATCCTCCCACCTCAGCCTCTCAAGTAACTGAGACTACAGGCAGGCACCAGCACACCCGTCTAATTTTTGTAGAGATGGGGTTTCACCATGTTGCCCAGGCTGGTCTTGATCTCCTGGCCTTAAACGATTCACTCACCTCAGCCTCCCAGAATGCTGGAATTACAGGCATGAGGCACCGGAACTGGCTCCAAAATGATTATTTTACATTGTAAAATGTTTAAAATTTTTGATCAACAATTATGATTTTTAATAGGGTTATTAACAGATGTTTTGTATGCAGTAGCATCTTCTATTTTTAACATCTTACTCAATTTTTTAAAGTTCTCCATGGTGTTCTTCAATGTTATCACAAAATCTATGCAATAATAAAGGGTAAATATAAAAGCCATTGCTCGAATCAAAAATACTTTGGGCTACATCTCTTACAGGCAGCAATCTCTGTGGAGTGCATACACTTTGTGACATTTGGCACACTTTTTGGTTAGTTATAAAAGTGACTCTGGCATTCTAGCAGTTGTATTTGGATTGTAACTCAAGAATTTTCCTGGAAGTCATTTTGTTAAAAATGCTTCATTGAACTTTGGGGACATAAATATACTCTACTTTTTGGTCTTATATAAAGATTGGCTGAAAATGTTACATTAAGAAATATATAAGTTCTATGAAGTTGGGACAATAAAAACTAAAGGGTCATTCCTCTAGGAGATTGTTAATTATTTAGATATTTTGAAGTGTGTCTGTCCATGTTAAAAGACAGAATTTAAGGTGACTTGGTATATTCGAAGAAATGAAAATACTATTGTCTATTAAATTTAGATTGATAGCAAATATAAACTACATTATAATCTTGTACACCAATGCAAAAGAAAACACACTTATACCACTTACTTTGAGTTTCATCATGATCCCAGGAACATTACAGTGTGAAAAAATGTGTGGCTTAGAATGTATACATTAGTTTTCATTATGGCTGGATCACATCCTACAAAAGTGACGGTGGGAAGAGACAATGCTGTAGATTTAGCACAGCTGCGTCATGTTGGACATGACAAACCAAATGCGCGAACTAAAATCTGGACTTTAAACCAAGAGACATAAAAAGCCATTGGTCAGTTTTAAGTGGAAAGTGTCCTGATCAAATTTTCATATTAGAAACATAATTTTGTTTGCAGTACAGAAAAGGGCACAGGGATTCAGAAAGGGATACATGATCAGAACAGAAGGAATAGTTCCCAGTTATCAAGTTGGGGGAGTAAACCAGGTGAGAGATGATGAAAGGCCTGAACTAGGTTCATAGCAATGACTTGGAGAAGAGTGAACAGATCTTAAGATTACATCAGAGTCAGAGCCAGGGCAGAGAAAATGGTGGTCTCTCATGGGTTGAGCCTCCCTGCATCTGTTAGAATGTCCATCCAATTTTTATTCAGTAAACTCTTAGAGATGACAACAGAGATATCCAAGGTGCAGAAATAAAAGATATAATCTTATTCTGTGAGGAGCTGTTGGTCTGGTAAACCAAACTTCAGTTTGTCACTGTGATGTCATATAATTGAAGGCAAATCCATTTGGAATCTTGGCACCTTGAAGCAAAAAGTTAGGCCTTAAAAATTCCTGTAACTTTCTCTAAAGTGATCCTTGCTGGAGATGTCACACTCTCTCCTAGCCCTTTGCTTGGAAAGAAACAATGAAAGATGAGGCTGTGATGGCTATGGTGGCTCTTCCAGGAGGGGATGGAGGAGATGACTAAGAAGATTCAACAGGACTTCAGCCAGTTTTGAAGTCCCTGTTGAATCCATGCCTTCTCTTTACTTTTTTTACCATTATCACCACTATTATTGCTGTATTAGCAGTAGAAGTAAATGATGGCTTAGTTCCAAATGATGATACCAGAGTAAGGAAATTCTGACTGAAAATTACATCTCTTATGTGATTAAAATACTCAACTGATTTCATCAGTATTTTTAATTTTTTTTTTCTTTCCAGATAGGATGGGAAAGGGCAGAGTTCAGTTAGTTTGTTATAAAATCTTGCTATTCAAGATGAAGGGGATAAAATAATTTGTTATTACTCCCTGCTTCTTCCTCCTGAGATATCGAAGTTAAAGGGAGAAGAGAAGCAGCTGTAGGAAAAGCAACAGCAATCTCTCTTTTAGACAAATCAAACATCCCACGTATAAGGACACCATTAGCCACATGTTCCATAAAACTACCACTAATCCACCTGTTCCAAAGCAGCTGAACTTGCAATTTCAGGCCTGCAAAGCTAAAAGGTGAGGAGGGGAAAATGACAAAAAGACTAAGAAGAGATTCATAAGAGAATAAAGCCAAAAATCTCATATGGCGAGCCTCCCTGCATCTGTTAGTGTATCTGGAGGCAGAAAAAGACCATGATTAATATAATTTGATTCATCGGAGATTCACTGAGCATTTAACAGCTCACCTAGCATTATCTCATTTCTACTAGGGGCAAAAGCACTGTAGGCCATTTAAAATGAAAGCCATACTGTGCCCATCTTCCACAGGATTAGTATAGTGCCCGGATATTATTTCCTCACACAAAACAATCACATGGTATTTGAGTTAGTGATATCTTCTAAACATTCTGTCTCATTGACTAAGTGTCACTCAAGATCAGCGGGGAAGAGGAATATAGAAAAATGTGATATATCACCCACTAAATACTACAATAAGTGAATGAGACAAAAAAAGAATGAAAATAAATGTAGTACACATTTACAATGTGCCAAGCAAAATTCTAAGAATTTAAATTGTATTATGTCATGTAATTCTCACAATGGCTCTACAAGGTCAATAAAACTTTAGAGGAAATAAAGGTAGAGATCAAGTAACTTAGATTATATAATTTGAAATGGAAATGTGATTTTGGCCAGGCGTGGTGGTTCACGCCTGTAATCCCAGCACTTTGGGAGGCCGAGGCAGGCAGACCACTTGAGGTCAGGAGTTCGAGACCAGCTCAGCCAACATAGTGAAACCCTGTCTCTACTAAAAAATACAAAAATTAGCTGGGCATGGTGGTGCGCACCTGTAATCCAAGCTACTTGGGAGGTTGAGGCAGGAGAATTGCTTGAACCCGGGAGGCAGAGGTTGCAGTGAGCTGAGATTGTGCCACTGCACTCCAGCCTGGGTTGATAGAGCAAGACTCAGTCTCAAAAAAAAAAGTGATTTTATGTATCTTCCATACCACAAAACTACTCTTCTTTGTCACTTAAGTCAAGAAAAAAAGCCTTGGAAGACACTTTACACTTGTTAGTGTATGTTTGTCCATCATTGAGCTTGGGATTTTATTTCATGCCAGAGCCACCTCTGTGTAAAGTCCTGTGAGGCAGAGATCATTAGGATTGCTTTAATAAATTCATTTATTTATTTATCAGATCTTAGTTGATCTCAGTTTGCATGACAAATACTTTTCCAGAGCTTGAGAGAAGGCAGTTATCACTGAAGTTTCTTCTACTGTGGTAGCAACATCCCAGTAGAGTGTCAGAAAATCAATACCAAAATATAGTGTATATTTATAATAGTTTAGGAACAAAGGCTAAACGAAACTTGATAATAGATTGAGGGGGTGTAGGTGAGTAAGAAGCTGTTTTAGGCCAGAAAATCCATGAAGGCCTTTCTCTGGAGGTAATCCCTGCAGTAACCTGAATTAAGCGGTGAGCCATGCAAATATCGGGGGGGATGAGTATTTGAGACCAAGGAGGAATTGATGCATTGGCCACAAGGAGTGTGTTTGTTATGTTCAAGGAACAGCCAGGAGGGCAGAGTAGCTGGAGAGATGTGAGAAAGATCATGAATAGTAGAAGATGTTATAGAGGCCATGGTTGCTCACACAGAGTGCTACTGGCATGGGAAAGGATTCATATTTTCTTACAGCTGTTATAGAAAACTATTGAAGGGTTTGGAAAGGATTTGGATTGCATTTAATAATATAATTCTAGCGTGTCTGGAGAATAAATGGTAGCAAGTCCAGTGGAAGCAAGGAGGACAATAAGAAGGCTACTGCAAAATTCCTAGCTTGGTTTAGAATGGTGAAGATGGATGCTATGAGAACTGCTGAGATTCAAAACGTATTTTAAATATGAAGCTGACAGGATTTGGGGCATCAGCAAAGGAGTCTGGAATGAATCCAATATTTTTGCTGAGCCATTTGGTGAATTGTGATGTCCTGAGGTGGAAGACTGTTGGGGAAGATGCAAGTTTGTGTCTATGAATGCCTGTACGTGTGTATGTGTGTGTACATGTGTATGTCTGCATGTGTGAGAATGTTTGAGGAATCAGGGGTTCTGTTTTTGGGCATATCTTAGGCCCCTATTAGTTTCCCAGAATGAAATCTCCATGAAAGCAAGGACTCTGTCTTGATCATTGTTATAGCACATAGAACAGTGAGTGAGAATTATTAGCAGGCAAAAAAAAAAAGTTTGTTGTGTGAGAGAATACATAAATAAATGTATGAATGAAAATTGAGATGTTGTAGCAATTTGTTCTAAAAATTTGAAATTAAGGAGGAGTTATTTGCATAGAGTTTCTATAAAATCATGGTATTGAATGAGATTATGTTGGGAGATTATGCAGACACAGAAAATACTCCAAGGATTGCTTCCTGGGGCACCCAATCAAATATTTCAATAGAAATAGGAAAAATATCCACCAAAAATCCTGAGAAGTTTTGGACAGTAAAGCAAATAAAAAGCAAGAAGAGTACTATTTCTCAGAAGACAAGTGAAGGAAGTATCTCAGCTAAGAAAGGACTTTTTATTATGTTTGAAAATGTGGAAGCCATTCTAATTTTGAAAATATGCTTATCTAAATATAACTTGGACAAATGTTACTAATATCTGTTTTATAATAAGATAAAATCCTGCATTGAAGTAACCAACATAGAAATTTGTGATTTTTTTTTAATGTTCAGAATTAAAATATATATCTAACCCACTTAACTGCAGGCTCTTGAAAGAGCATTGGCAAGAAAATAATTTGATACTGTCTCTATTCTCTCTGAAGAGCATAGATTAATTTATCAGATTACCTAGTACAAGTAAGTATAGATAAGGGTAACTATATACATTTTGTAAAACTGTGACACGTTTAAAAGTGAAGGGGACACAATTTTTAACTGTGCTACAGAAATAAGCATTATTCCTGATTTCCTCAGGGATATCAAGATGTAGGGTCATCCTGTCAAGGTGGGGTCATGGATAATATACAGAGTCGTGGTCCAAGAAAATAAATGAAGATGGTACATTTCAGTGGGGCATAAGTAAATATCTTGGGTGTTCTGAAGTCAAGAGATAGCATTTATTGAGGAGGCAACCAGGTTATGGAAAAGAGCAGTAGGTCTAAGGCTCTGAAGAACAGGCCTGATAAGAGTATGTTTCTAAAAGATGAAACAGAAGGGTGTCAACCGAAATGGCAATAGAAGAGTGCCCACAAATGCTAGTGTGCATAAAAATGAATAATCCTGGGTTAGTGAAAACAGTAATAGTCTTTACAGTTCTGCCAGAGCTGGTTTCTTTTAATGAGTTTCTTTTGTTTATCTCTTACCTCCAACAATTTTTACATTTAAGAAATGTTACAAACTGGCTGACTTTTTAAAACAATGGAGAAGGAATCCAAACACCTATTTTGTAGGTCCAGTTATAGGAGGAATTACTTACATGATCTTAACAATTGGGGTTGGGTGCAGTGGCTCACGCCTTTAATCCCAGCACTTTGGGAGGCCGAGGTGAGCGGATCACAAGGTCAATAGATCAAGACCATCCTGGCTGACATGGTGAAACCCCATCTCTACTAAAAATACAAAAATTAGCTGGGTGTGGTGGCACATGCCTGTAGTCCCAGCTACTACGGAGGCTGAGGCAGGAGAATCACTTGAACCTGGGAGGCAGAGGTTGCAGTGAGCCGAAATCGCACCACTGCAACCTCCAACCTCAACCTTCACTGTGTCTGAGCCTCAAAGTAAATAATCATAGCAATATTTTTCACAAGATTGTGGTAAGGATCTGGTGACATTATTCATGTAAACTTCATAGAGTTTATAAAGTCCTCTAAAATTGGGACTTTTGGATATTCTAATATGATTGATTTTTATATTTCCCAGACAAAATACTGAAAGCAGCACTTGAAAATTACTTATTCATGCTTCTGGCTGTGCAATTTCCCAATAATCCATAAGAGGAATCTAGAGATTGGATTGGATCTTTCTGTGGCTATGCTATTATGCCATGTGCACTTTCAGAAGTTAGTGATTGAGTTTCCATTTTAATACAGAATTCTACTTTGCTTAAAGATATTGGATTTGGAAATGCAAGCATGTTGCCTTATAATGCCCTTTCTGGTGATAACTTCATATTCCCTATAACTTCTGCCTGGAATGTTATTTTTTATTTGTGTTAATACCAAGTAGACTTTTGTTTATGCTTCAAAGCCCATCTAAAATATTTCCTTTTATCTGTCAAGACCTGCATTAGGAGCATGTGCAAATGTATAGTGAGATTTAAGGATTAGTGCAGTGAGTATGTCAAAGGTGCTCCTGTTACCCAGTTCTGGTGCAGTTTTAGCAGAATGTGGAGGAGGCAATGCAAGCACCTTATGTTGCATCTGGGCACCTTTTAGCCTTGCTATGTGAGCGGGTCTTGTGTGGTCAAGAGTCAGAACACCAGGATAATAATCTTTGCTCAACAACTTGCTAGCTGTGTGGTCACTGCCTCGTTAACAAAATATAGAGAATATCCCTGTATCTTTTGTTACAAAATAAATGTTAGAATCTCTGTTCATCTCAATATTGTTTAAATCACAATCAATTGAAATAATTTATAGTCTTCCTGACTACTAACTTGTATCAAATGACTTACACATTAGAAATCATTATTTTATTATTTCATTTAGTCTTTTACAAAACTTTAGAAATAGAGTAGCATGTGATTTGCTAAGAAAATGTAATCAGAAGGCATTTTTAAAAAACTGTTACTTAAAAAAAAAAGTGGCATATATCTATTAGAAAATCCATTTTCTACAAAGTCTTTCTTTGCAAAAGGCTAACAGAGACTAACTAGTAGATGTGTGATTTTTTACAACTAGGATGGTGGCAGCTGAGCCATGCTATGTATTTCATTTAGAGACCCACGGCCAGGAGAGAGGCCAAAAGGGAAAAAAAATAGACGTCTACTGAAGATAGACAGCTGGGTGTAAAGGTGAAGCTACATTATGAGAAGCGGTTCTGGAGTGAGCTATTTGCCTATTTTATATGGACATGCTGAAACCATGTTGTAAATAAGTAGGGTGCCTAAGAAGCACAAGATGTCGTTATGAATCTTGAGAGCCCTTAAGCATCAGATTGGATGTGCAGAGATGGTTTAAAGGAGTAGTGAATGGACAAAGTGGGTCAAAGTGCAAAATATCATAATGTTTAATGCATTCTGCAAAGACAGACATTTTAATGCCAGCTATTTGGATGCAGACATTAACAAACGGTGAGCAGAAAAAGAAAAAATAAAGCACTCTATCTAAAATAAAAGAGCTTCCCCAAAAGCACAAATAAAGAAGCGGAGGTGAGGGGCTGTGGGAGACACAGAAAACAACATTGCTGATTTGAGATCAGAAGCTCAGAGGTAAGAAGTGTGTCCTCAGACACCTGTGGAAAAGAAATATAGTCAAGAATGAATCTAAACAGAAAGATGAATTAGTGAAAGAAGACTGGCTTTGTGGGCTATAAATAAGAAAGTTTTACTAAAACACTTTTGTTCTTTGTTTCTTCCTGAAGAAAAATTCAGATAGGAAAGACAAAAATAGACAACATTAGCCTCAGGAAGAATGCTTTTCTTTTAAGTAAAAATGCATAGATGTAAGGATAGAAATAAAGGCAGTTAATGTCATTGGGCCACTGTCCTTACTGCAGAAAATACTAAGTTCCTTATGATTATTTCTGAGATTCCATTTAACTTCAGAGGTCTATCATTCTACAAGTAAAACGAGGACCTTGGGAGAGATTAGTCATGAGCAAAATGTGAGAAGCTTTTTCAGTCCTGTTTTATTTTGGAGGTGGGGTCCAAATATAAAATTTATTTTTATTTACATGGTCAAAAATAAAATTTATTTTTTGTTGCCATTTGTTTGTTTTTAATGCAGTTTGCCATGAATGAACTAAGTCAGCATTTCTCTGAAGGCTCTTGGTGAGTAAACAATGGATGTTCTGTCTCTTTGAAAATTGCCGTATGATTTAGGCAATTGCCATACTGATTAAGGGTCGTGGGCCAAACAAATAAGAAAATTATAATTATTTAAGATTAATAAGAAAAGATACACATTTCTTTAATATAATTTTTATGTGACACAGGAGTCTTTGCAAGAAAATTATGACCTGAAGAAATGATTAAACGTATAGACTTTTATGCTAGGTTTGATGAAGAATGTATAAAAATGGAGAAATATGATTAAAGAGTGTGATCTAATGGTAATAAACCAGAGGGAAATTTAGCAAGGACTGTTTGTTCACATTCTTCCCTATGACTGTTTGTCTTCAAAGATAAGGACACTTGTTTTCTCTGGGTATAAGAAGGGTGACTCTAAAATGAGGGTCTATGACCTGCTTCAGGGGAAGGTCAGAAAATCCTTCTCAGGTTTTAGGACCTTTTTCAGAAAAGAAGAACAGGGGAAGGTGAGAGTGTCCTTCCTACTTCTACTGTTTTTTTCAGATGCCAAGGTGCCATATATTAGGGTACCACGTCCTGAACCCCATCAGTGGGACTCCTATGTCTCCCTGGAGTTCATTGTCATCAAGCCTTTCTGAGTTCAGGAAGCAGACTGGTTTCATACGTACATACAACCTACTTATTCTAAGTCTCAGTTTCTTCCCATTTAAGTGATTATTGCACAGCATTTAGTATGTGCCCAAGAAAAAACCTTATGCCATATTATTATTGTTACTCTTTTATTTCTAAAATATTCACTTTATTTTGGATATCAATTTAGTTATTGTTATCTTTCTGAGGAACAACTATGAGAATTTTTATGAAAACAAGATAATAATAGTACAGTTCACCCTTGAACAACACAGGTTAGAACTGCAAAGGTACATTTATATGTGGAGTTTCTTCCATCTGCCACCCCTGAAACAGCAAGACCAAACCCTGATCTTCCTCCTTCTCTTCAGGCTACTAAAAGTGAAGACAGTGAGGATAATGACCATATGATATTCCTCTTCCATTTAATGAATAGTAAATATATTTTCTCTTCCTTATTGTTTTCTTAATAACATTTTCTTTTTTCTAGTTGACGTTATTGTGAGAATACAGTATATAATACACGCAACATGCAAAATATGTGTTAATCAACTTTTTAGGTTTTTGGTAAGGTTTCTGGTCAACAGTAGGCTCTTTGTAGTTAAGTTTTTGGGAAGTCAAAAGTTAAACATGAATTTTCAACTATGAGAGAGGATCAATACCCATAATTCCAAGGGTCAACCGTGATAATACTATCAGGTAAAATTTTTTTAGATAAGTATGTGCCTAGTACTCTTCAAAGAACTTTACATTTAATCTTTACCATGATCATGTAAAGGAAGTGCAATTATTATCTTTATTTTATAGATGTTATAACTGAGGCAGCCCATTCTCCCATGGTTTTGAAGAGTTTTGCAGTAGACCTAGGACCCAAATCTAGGACATCTGACCCTTCTTTTTTTTTTTATTATTATTATACTTTAATTCTAGGGTACATGTGCACAACATGCAGGTTTGTTACACATATATACATGTGCCGTGTTGGTTTGCTGCACCCATTAACTTGTCATTTACATTAGGTGTTTCTCCTAATGCTATCCCTCCCTGATCCCTCCACCCCATGACAGGCCCGGGTGTGTGATGTTCCCCTCCCTGTGTCCAAGTTTTCTCATTGTTCAATTCCCACCTGTGAGTGAGAACATGTGGTGTCTGGTTTTCAGACATCTGACCCTTCTATACCGAGTGAGCTTCACTGATATTGCATAGAGATAAGAAAGTAGAGACCTTTCCCAAAGTGTTCTTTGCTGACTTGTTCATCACTTAGCAAGTCTCAGGAGGAGTGGCCCTGTTAAAATTTATCAATAGTAGTTATACGCTAACATATCTTATGCATAAATGAAAACAGATGCAGTACAGAGACTGAATTGCCTTCCCAAACCATGGTGAGATTCAGTAGTTTTATTGGGCTCAGGATAGCGTAATATCTGAGTGTAGAACGGGAATAAAGATTATCTAGATCTGAATCTTGGCTCTGCCCTTTACCATAAATATGACTGAGTTAGCTGCTTAATTCCAAGCCGCTTAATCTCTATGAGGCTCAGTTGCCTCTTAAAAGGTATATTAATGATTTATATGTCTCAGTGTTTTTGCAAAAGAGTACACGAAGTGCTTAGTAAGTTTTCAATAAATGGAAGTTATTATCATTATCATTATTATGCATCTTGGAAGGCCCAGAAGAACTCTTAACGTGACAATAGCTGCTGATGACGCTAAAGAGAGAAACAAAGGAGAGCTTTTTCTTATTTATGCATATCAAACCTAAAAGTGTTAATAAGGAGGCAGCAGGACAGCAAAAGAAAAAAAATGAAACAGAGAAAGCAACATAGCTGTAAGAAAGGAATCTCATTATCAAACACATGTATTCAGGGATTTTGAGTATTTATTTCAAAGTAAAAAGCGTTTTTTTTATTGAAAATATTAGTAAACAAGTAAACATTTAGGAGAGATAATGTAATGCCCAATGAAAACCTTCAATAGTGCAACTATAAGTAGTAGTCACTTGTTTTAGTTATATTAATGTTAATTTTGTAGTTTAATATGTCTTTCTAAAGACGACATGGATGGGTATTTTTAAAAAAGTATTTGTCATGTTATTTTATTCTTTAGTAGAATTTTACTATTTGATGGATACAGCTTGATGTCCAGTACTATTTGACATAAAACACATTGATGAGTCATTAGGCTGATCATTGAAATCCTGTTGAAAAATATTTTTAAAGTCACTTGTAAATAAAATATACAAATGTAAAACTGAACAACATTCATCAGCTAAATTTAGTTTACAATTTCTTTTAAACATTTACTGGAAAGTCAAAAATGTCAAGCATATTAAAATGCTGGCCTGACAGAAGCCCTAAGGGAAAACTGTCAGGCCTCTGAGCCCAAGCTAAGCCATCATATCCCCTGTGACCTGCACGTACACATCCAGATGGCCAGTTCCTGCCTTAACTGATGACATTCCACCACAAAAGAAGTGAAAATGGTCTGTTCCTGCCTTAACTGATGACATTATCTTGTGAAATTCCTTCTCCTGGTTCATCCTGGCTCAAAAGCTCCCCTACTGAGCGCCTTTTGACCCCCACACCTGCTCCCCCTTTGACTGTAATTTTCCTTTACCTACCCAAATCTTATAAGACGGCCCTATCCCTGTCTCCCTTGGCTGACTCTCTTTTCGGACTCAGCCCGCCTGCACCCAGGTGAAATAAACAGCCTTGTTGCTCACACAAAGCCTGTTTGGTGGTCTCTTCACACAAACGCGCATGAAATTTGGTGCCATGACTCGGATCGGGGTACCTCCCTTGGGAGATCAATCCCCAGTCCTCCTGCTCTTTGCTCCGTGAGAAAGATCTACCTAGGACCTCAGGTCCTCAGACTGACCAGCCCAAGGAACATCTCACCAATTTCAAATCTGGTAAGTGGCCTCTTTTTACTCTCTTCTCCAACCTCCCTCACTATCCCTCAACCTCTTTCTCCTTTCTATCTTGGCGCCACACTTCAATCTCTCCCTTCTCTTAATTTCAATTCCTTTCATTTTCTGGTAGAGACAAAGGAGACACATTTTATCCGTGGACCCAAAACTCCGGCGCCAGTCACGGACTCGGGGAGGCAGCCTTCCCTTGGTGTTTAATAATTGCGGGGGTGCCTCTCTGATTATTCACCCACGTTCCATTGGTGTCTGATCTCTGCGGGGACGCCTGCCTTTGATCATTCACCCACGTTCCCTTGGTGGCAAGTCAATTGCAGGGACTCCTGCTTTGGCTGCTCACCTACGTTGCAGCCCAGGGCTGCTCCCCACCCCCCTTCTCCGTGTCCCTACCCTTCTCTTTAAACTTGCCTCCTTCACTATGGGCAACCTTCCACCCTCCATTCCTCCTTCTTCTCCCTTAGCCTCTGTTCTTAAGAACTTAAAACCTCTTCAACTCTCGCCTGACCTAAAATCTAAGTGTCTTATTTTCTGCAATGCCATTTGACCCCAATACAAACTTGACAGTAGTTCCAAACAGCCAGAAAATGGCACTTTGAATTTTTCCATTCTACAAAATCTAAATAATTCTTGTTGTAAAATGGGCAAACGGTCTGAGGTGCCTGACGTCCAGGCATTCTTTTACACATCAGTCCCTCTCTAGTCTCTGTTCCCAGTGCAACTCATCTCAAATCTTCCTTCTTTCCCTCCCCCCTGTCCCCTCAGTACCAACCCCAAGCGTCACTGAGTCTTTCTAATCTTCCTTCTCTACAGACCCATCTGACCTCTCCCCTCCTCACCAGGCCAAGCTAGGTCCCAATTCTTCCTCAGCCTCCGTTCCTCCACCCTATAATCCTTTTATCACCTCTCCTCCTCACACCTGGTCAGGCTTACACTTTCCTTCTGTGACTAGCCCTCCCCCACCTGCCCAGCAATTTCCTCTTAAAAAGGTGGCTGGAGCTAAAGGCATAGTCAAGGTTAATGCTCCTTTTTCTTTATCCCAAATCACATAGCGTTTAGGCTCTTTTTCATTAAATATAAAAACCCAGCCCAGTTCATGGCTTGTTTGGCAGCACCCTGAGATGCTTTACAGCCCTAGACCCTAAAAGGTCAAAAGGCTGTCTTATTCTCAATATTCATTTTATTACCCAATCCATTCCCGACATTAAATAAAACTCCAAAAATTAAGTTCCATCCCTCAAACCCCACAACAGGACTTAATTAACCTTGCCTTCAAGGTGTACAATAATAGAGTAGAGACAGCCAATAGCAACATATTTCTGAGTTGCACTTCCTTGCCTCCACTGTGAGACAAACCCCACCCACATCTCCAGCACACAAGAACTTCCAAACGCCTAAATCGCAGTGGCCAGGCATTCCTCCAGGCCTGCCTCCCCCAGGGGCTTGCTACAAGTGCCAGAAATCTGGCCATGAGGCCAAGGAATGCCCGCAGCCCGGGATTCGTCCTAAGCTGCGTCCCATCTGTGCAGGACCCCACTGAAAATCGGACTGTTCAACTCATCTGGCAGCCACTCCCAGAGCCCCTGGAACTCTGGCCCAAGCCTCTCTGACTGACTCCTTCCCAGATCTTCTCGGCTTAGCAGCTGAAGACTGACACTGCCCAATCGCCTTGGAAGCCCCCTAGACCATCACGGATGCCGAGCTTCGAGTAACTCTCACAGTGGAGGGTAAGTCCTGTCCCCTTCTTAATCAATACGGAGGCTACCCACTACACATTACTTTCTTTTCAAGGGCCTGTTTCCCTTGCCTCCATAACTGTTGTGGGTATTGATGGCCAGGCTTCTAAACCTCTTAAAACTCCCCAACTCTGGTGCCAACTTAGACAATACTTTTTTAAGCCCTCCTTTTTAGTCATCCCCACCTGCCCAGTTCCCTTATTAGGCCGAGACACTTTAACTAAATTATCTGCTGCCCTGACTATTCCTGGGCTACAGCTATATCTCATTGCCGCCCTTCTTCCCAATCCAAAGCCTCCTTTGCGTCATCCTCTTGTATCCCCCCACCTTAACCCACAAGTATAGGATACCTCTACTCCCTCCTTGGCAAACGATCATGCACCCCTTACCATCTCATTAAAACCTAATCACCCTTACCCCGCTCAAGGCCAATATCCCATCCCACAGCTCGCTTTAAAAAGATTAAAGCCTGTTATCACTCGCCTGCTACAGCATGGCCTTTTAGAGCCTATAAGCTCTCCTTACAATTCCCCCATTTTACCTGTCCTAAAACCAGACAAGCCTTACAAGTTAGTTCAGGATCTGCGCCTTGTCAACCAAATTGTTTTGCCTATCCACCCCATGGTGCCAAACCCATATACACTCCTATCCTCAATACCTCCCTCCACAACCCATTATTCTGTTCTGGATCTCAAACATTCTTTCGTTACTATTCCTTTGCACCCTTCATCCCAGCCTCTCTTCACTTTCACTTGGACTGACCCTGACACCCATCAGGCTCAGCAAATCACCTGGGCTGTACTACCACAAGGCTTCACAGATAGCCCCCACTACTTCAGTCAAGCCCAAATTTCATCCTCATCTGTTACCTATCTCGGGATAATTCTCATAAAAACACACGTGCTCTCCCTGCTGATCGTGTTCGACTGATCTCCCAAACCTCAATCCCTTCTACAAAACAACAACTCCTTTCCTTCCTAGGCATGGTTAGTGCGGTCAGAATTGTTACATAAGAGCCAGGACAACACCCTGTAGCCTTTCTGTCCAAACAACTTGACCTTACTGTTTTAGCCTAGCCCTCATGTCTGTGTGCAGTGGCTGCTGCTGCTTTAATACTTTTAGAGTCCCTAAAAATCACAAACTATGCTCAAGTCACTCTCTACAGTTCTTATAACTTCCAAAATCTATTTTCTTCCTCATACCTGATGCATATACTTTCTGCTTCCCGGCTCCTTCAGCTATACTCACTCTCTGTCGAGTCTCCCACAATTACCATTGTTCCTGGCACGGGCTTCAATCCGGCCTCCCACATTATTCTGGATACCACATCTGACCCTCATGACTGTATCTCTCTGATCCACCTGACATTCACCCCATTTCCCCATATTTCCTTATTTCCTGTTCCTCACTCTGATCACATTTGGTTTATTGATGGCAGTTACACCAGGCCTAATCGCCACTCACCAGCAAAGGCAGGCTATGCTATAGTATCTTCCACATCTATCATTGAGGCTACCGCTCTGCCCCTCTCCACTACCTCTCAGCAAGCCGAACTAGTTGACTTAACCCGGGCCCTCACTCTTGCAAAACGACTACGTGTCAATATTTATACTGACTCTAAATATGCCTTCCATATTCTGCACCACCATGCTGTTACATAGGCAGAAAGAAGTTTCCTCACTATGCAAGGGTCCTTCATCATTAATGCCTCTTAATAAAAACTCTGCTCAAGGCTGCTTTACTTCCAAAGGAAGCTGGAGTCATTCACTGCAAAGGCCATCAAAAGGCATCAGATCCCATTGCTCTAGGCAACGCTTATGCTGATAAGGTGGCTAGACAAGCAGCTAGCTTTCCAACTTCTGTCCCTCAACAAGCAGCTAGCTTTCCAACTTCTGTCCCTCATGGCCAATTTTTCTCCTTCACATTGGTCACTCCCACCTGCTCGGGGATTTGCCCCTGCCCAGGACTGGCAAATTGACTTTATTCACATGCCCCGAGTCAGAAAACTAAAATACCTCTTAGTCTAGGTAGACACTTTCACTGGATAGGTAGAGGCCTTTCCTATAGGGTCTGAGAAGGCCACTGCTGTCATTTCTTCCCTTCTGTCAGACATAATTCCTCGGTTTAGACTTCCCACCTCTATACAGTCCGATAGCAGACCAGCCTTTATTAGTCAAATCAGCCAAGTATTTTTTCAGGCTCTTAGTATTCAGTGAAACCTTTATATCCCTTACGGTCCTCAGTCTTCAGGAAAGGTAGAACAGACTAATGGTCTTTTACAAACACACCTCACCAAGCTCAGCCACCAACTTAAAAAAGACTGGACAATACTTTTACCACTTTCCCTTCTCAGAATTCAGGCCTGTCCTCGGAAAGCTACAGGGTACAGCCCATTTGAGCTCCTGTATAGACACTACTTTTTATTAGGCCCCAGTCTCATTCCAGACTCCAGACCAACTTGGACTGTGCCCCAAAAAACTTGTCATCCCTACTATCTTCTGTCTAGTCATACTCCTATTCATTGTTCTCAACTACTTACACATGCCCTGCTCTTGTTTACACTGCCAGTTTACACTGTTTCTCCAAGCCATCACAGCTGATATCTCCTGGTGCTATCCCCAAACTGCCACTCTTAACTCTTAAAGTAAATAAATAATCTTTGCTGGCAGGACTGTGCTGAATCTCCTTAGGCACTCTCTAAATAGATGTCCTAGGTCTTCCCAATTCTTAGACCTTTAATACCTGTTTTTGTCCTTCTTTTATTCCGTTTAGTTTTTCAATTCATACAAAACCATATCCAGGCCATCACCAATAATTCTAAATGACAAATGTTTCTTCTAACAACCCCACAATATCACCCCTTACCACAAAATCTTCCTTCAGCTTAATCTCTCCCACTCTAAGTTTCCACACTGCCCATAATCCCGCTTGAAGCAGCCCTGAGAAACATGGCCCATTATCTCTCCATACCACCCCCAAAAATTTTTGCCGTCACAACATTTTACCACTATTTCGTTTTATTTTTCTTATTAATATAAGAAGACAGGAATGTCAGGCCTCTGAGCCCAAGCTAAGCCATCATATCCCCTGTGACCTGCACGTACACATCCAGATGGCCAGTTCCTGCCTTAACTGATGACATTCCACCACAAAAGAAGTGAAAATGGCCTGTTCCTGCCTTAACTGATGACATTATCTTGTGAAATTCCTTCTCCTGGTTCATCCTGGCTCAAAAGCTCCCCTACTGAGCGCCTTGTGACCCCCACACCTGCCCCTCCTTTGACTGTAATTTTCCTTTACCTACCCAAATCTTATAAAATGGCCCCACCCCTATCTCCCTTGGCTGACTCTCTTTTCGGACTCAGCCCGCCTGCACCCAGGTGAAATAAACAGCCTTGTTGCTCACACAAACCCTGTTTGCTGGTCTCTTCACAGGAACGCGCATGAAAAAACCAAACAAACAAAAAAATTTCTTTTGGTAGCAGAATAAAAAAACAAAAAAAAGGACTTTTTCTTCTGGACTGAACTATATTTAAATCTCAAAGGATGGACATCTCACAACCTTCCTACAGCAAGTACTGTGAGGTAATAATTGATATATTAATTATTAAAATTATTGAAGCTGGAACTCAGATTTCCATTTTATATTTACATATATAATTATTCTATTAATGGATTCTAGCTTAAATAAAGAGAAGCAACATGAGTCATTGGGGCAAGGGGTGAGATCGATGACCTCTGGAGATTGATCCCAGTGTTCTGACAGAGTTAGCTTCTGTTATCAGGTGCTATAGTTTTTCATAGTGATGCTGATAGAGCCTACTCAAGGATTGGACTCATTCTTTTGTTCCATGAATGCCAATTCTGCAGAAGCCACTGTGGTAGAAATTCAAATGTAATGAAAAACAAACATTCACTCATTTATTATCACTATTTGCCTGCCACAAAGACAGATTTTGAGGAAGATAAACAAATAAAAACGTGTTTGCCATTTGAAGGGAAATTATATGGTGTTTTAGAGTTATCATGGAAGATTTAATCTTTCAGAGAAGCTTGGGGAGATTCCCCTGGGAAGTGACACTTGAGCTGATCTGTAGGAGGACATATGTGATGAATAACAGAAAGAGCAATCAAGGCAGTGAAAACGATACAGTCGAAGGACCCATGGAGGAAGGAAGCAAATGCAAGGGGAATAACAAGATCAAGGTGGCTGGAAACAGAAAGCAGGAGCAAGCATAGTTTAATAACGTTGGGATGAAAGAAGCAGGGAGACCATACAGGGAGGGCTGGAGCCACAGGGCACCATTAAATGGTTTTAAATAGGTAAGTAAATTGGCAAAGTTTGCCTTTGGAGAGAATTGCTCTGGCTGCTGAATGGAGAACAGGTTCAGGAATGCCAAAGTGAATATACATTGACATTTTAGGAAGATTTGAAAGTGTCTAAGCAAGAAATAATGATTTTGACCCTCCAAGTGTTGTCCAAAAGAACATTTTGCAATGATGGAAATCTAATCTGTATTCTACTGTAGTCACCAGTAGCTACATGTGGCTATTCAACACTTAAATGTAGCTAGAGTGACTGAGCAATTGAATTTTATGTTTTTTTAATACTAGTTATTCCAAATTTACATAGAAAAAGCCACAGGTTCAAAAAAAAGCCACATGTAGCTAATGGCTAATGTATTGTACAGCTCTGCTCAACAGTATTAGAGTTTGGTATATTAAATGATTTCAATACATGGCAATATGGACAAGACACTGTCATTCAAAATGGAAATGAAAACAGAGATAACATGAGAAATATCACTCAGGTACTATCTGGAAGAGCCCAAATTTGAATCTAAATTACAGTCATGCTTCACTTATCAATGGCAATGTGTTCTGAGAAATGCATCTTTAGGTGATTTCGTAGTTGTGCAAACATCATAGGCCATACTTACACAAACTTAAATGATATCACCTACTACACACCTAGGCTATATGGTATAGCATACTGTTCCTAGGTTACAAATCTATATCATGTAAATGTACTGAATACTGTGGACATTTGTAACACAATGACGTTTGTACTATCTAAACATATCCAAACATAGAAAAGGTACAGTAAAAACATGGTGTACAAGATAAAAAATGGTGCACATGTATGGGGCACTTACCATGAATGGAGCTTGCAGAACTGGGTGTTGTTCTGGGCGAGTCAGTGAGTGAGTGAGTGGTGAGTGAATGTGAAGGCCTAGAACATTACCATACACTATGGCAGGCTTTATAAACGCTATACACTTAGGCCACCACTAAATTTATAAACAAATAATTTTTCTTTAATAATAAGCTAAGCTTGCTCTAACTATTTTACTTTATAAACTTTTAAATTTCTTTTTGACTTTTTTGTAATAACGTTTAGCATATATTGTTCAGCTGTTCAAATATGTGTTCTTTCTTCATAGCCTTATACTATGAGCTTTTACCCATTTGAAATTTTTTTAATTTTCATTTTTTTACTTTTTAAACGTTTTTGTTAAAAACAAAGACACAAACACATACATTTGCCTAAGCCTACATAGAGTCAGGATCATCAATATCATTGTCTTCCAGAGCTGCATCTTGTCCCACTGGATGGTCTTCAGAGACAATAATACATAATGGAGCTGTCATCTCCTATGATAACAATGCCTTCTTCTGGATACCTCCTGAAGGACCTGCCTGAGGCTCTTTCACTGTTAGTTTTTTTTTAATAAGTAGAAGGATTACACTCTAAAATAATAAGTGTAGTATAGTAAATGTATAAACCAGTAACATAATGGTTTATTATCATTATCAAGTATTACATACTGTACAAAATTATATGTGCTACAATTTTATGTGACTGGCAGCACAGTAGGTTTGTTTATACCAGCATCACCACAAACACGTGAGTAATATGACACACCATGATATTCTGACAACCATGACATCACTAGGCCAGGGAATTTTTTAGGTCCATTATCATCATAGGCGACCACAGTTGTATATGTGATGTGGTCTGTCATTGACTAAAATCTCATTATGACTGTACTTAGTCTCTAAACCTTATTCTATTTCTTTCTTTTCTTATGGCTTTTTCCTCTATAAGAACTCAAAGGGGGAGAGAAAAAGACGAAAAATATCTTCAAAGAGGAGAACAAATCTGATCTTTCTCTACGTCTGCTTAGTTGGCGTAACTTTAGGATGTCCATAAGTTGTAGCTTTCCTGGGAAAATTTGATTTTACACTGGTTATCCCAACATAATATTAATGGTATCCTCTTAGACTCTCAATAGTGTCCGGTTTGGATGACAAATTCTGTGGTCTTTTTAGCCAACTGCTACTGAAGTGGTCAGATTTATTGCACAAAATATATTTTTAAAAATAAGTAGCACAAGATGAAATATGGCCTCAAATTTCTTGGTTAGTTTCCACTAGAAAGTTTTAAACATTAAAAAGTACAAAATTCATTACATTTATTGAATGATAAAGTATAACATTGTATGAAGTTGATGACTATTAAAACTATTTGAGTGTTTAAGTTTTGTCAGGTTCTCTTTGGTGATGTCAGTTAAGTGTCTTTCATTAATTCTTATATGCCTCACTTTTCCTGTAAATAACTTATTAACCACCCACTACTTTTTTTCTGACTGATTAAATGGTATAAATGTCGAGAAAAACAACATGAATGACATAAATGCCAAGAATCAGTTGAAATGTAAAAATATATTTAATACAGAGGTTCTGTTTATGACTCCTTAAAACATACTTAAGGAAGCACACAGTTAACTAATAACAGCAATTAACTAGGATTGGTAGAAAACCTTTATTTTCTTATTCTATAGTCCATTTGTGAGGAGCTTAATATAAGAAAGTTAGTAGGTCAAACTAATAATAGGGCAAAGTACTGTTCCAAGAACTTGTCTAATGATGTTCCAGTGCCAAAAATGCTCTGAAAAATTGAGATAATTGAAGTCTTTGATCAGAAGGGTGTAAAATAATGTTGGAAATAATCAAGTGAAGATGTAAAGCTATGACTCGGTTTCCCATGCTGAGCATGTTAACATTCTTCACTGTTTCTTCTTGCATGCTGTACATGGCCGACATTTTTCAAAGTAATGAGAAACACTATTTGGTGAAGTTCTTTTCATCTTTGCTGTCCACATGTATCACTCCCATCCAAAAGTTGCAGTTGCATTTAGCAGTTGCAAAGGAAAGGATTTTCTCACGTAGGCATGGATACTTGAAGGGGCTGTATCAACACATAGAACAGTTAGTTACACATCCTCCTAGGTTATCCTGCTGGAACAAACAGCAAAAGACCAAGAGGTAGCAAACAGATAATTTAATCCACAGCTGCATCCCCTGGATTTACTCATTTACTCACGAGTCACAGGCTCTAGCCATAGGATAAAGGACTTTTAGTCACATGAGGGATATTTTCCCAGGTGGCATCTGGAATAAAAGTTGTTTTTCAACAAAATCTTAATATATGAAGCTCTTCTAATCATGTAATCTCCCCATCCCCTCACACACACACACTACTTTTTGGGTCAAAGGAATCATTTCCTGTATTTTCATGGATTTTTGCATAAGTAAACAGGCATAGAACCAACTCTTATGAGCCGTAGATTAATGAGAAGCTTCTTTTGATTCTGACTTATGTTAAACACAGAGAAGATGTGTGAATTCTCTGCGCTCACACAAGATTTGCTACAAATTAATGTGAATTGTAGACTGATGAGAGGCACAGAATGGGACCCGCACATCACACATATTCAAAGACAGGAGAAGAAAATCTTGATGAGTACCAGGTCAGAGATTTCCCTAAGTTATTCCTAGTTATCACTTTCTCTGATGCCCTGAAAAGTGGAGAGTGAAAATTACCCTAAAACCTACTCTCAGTGATGGCTATCAATTTTTTGTAATTGATGTACATAATTATACTTAAATTAATATTTGAAATAGTGAAAGTTTTGACACGCTTCGGTTTGTGCACATGAGGGAGGTAGTAAGCAGGCAGGGTAAAGCTGAGGTGTCCTGGGATCTCTGCCAATCTCCTTTAAGACTCAGGCCATGATCAGTGTCTTCCAACACTTACCTGTCTGTCTAGATATACTATCTTATGTAGGCTGAAGTTTTCTGAACTTTCTTAGTGCAGTCTTAAAATGTATATATGGGCCGAGCACGGTGGCTCACGCCTGTAATCCCAATCCCAGCACTGCAGGTGGGCAGATCATGAGGTCAGGAAATCGAGACTATCCTGGCCAACATGGTGAAACCCCATCTCTACTAAAAATACAAAAATTAGCTGGGTATGGTGGCGCATGCCTGTAATCCCAGCTATTCGGGAGGCTGAGGCACGAAAATCGCTTGAACCCAGGAGGCAGATGTTGCAGTGAGCCGAGATCGTGCCACTGCACTCCAGCCTGGTGACAGAGCAAGACTCCGTCTCAAAAAAAAAATAAAAATGTACATATGAAATTCTGTTATTGATACTGATCATGACCTATTTCTCATTTGCAGTTACGATTTTTCAGTTTAAACTCTATGCAAGCATTTGTTTGTTGCCCAGTTCCCATCTGAAATGTATCCCATGCATTTCAGTATGCTATTACATATTATTTCTGTTTTCTTTTTAAAGATGTATTCTTCAGACACTGAGAGTGGATAAGCAGCATTTCTTATAGAATGATTTCTCAGCTGTGCTCATTTTCTGTTTCAATGTGCAATATATTACAAATACACAAAGAAAGGCGAGGAAAGGGGGCAATCTAACCCAAGACTTGGTAGGACTAATTTGAAGGAAAAGAAATCCTGTTGAAAAGTTGATGAAGAAACTTATAGCTATATACGTAGTGTGAGTGAATGGAACATTAAAATACTCAGGACTTTAATTCTCTTTGAGGTGCCAGATAATAGAATATAACAGGGGCGCATGTAAGTACAATTAAAAACAGAAGTTATTCATTGCAGTGAGAGATACACAAAAGTGTAACAAAAAGTTCCAAGGAAATGTGAGAATATAATTGGGAATTCAAATAAGGCTCTGAGCTTACCCTAAAGTCTTGGTAGCATTTTGACAGCTCAATATGAAGTAGAAGAGCATTTCATGTGAAGGGAATAGTATCTTAGAGATGGGAAAGTATAGGCAATGTCAAGTTGTCAGGTTGCACAAAGGATAAAGATATATTATGAAAAAGATAGAATAAGAATTGCAGAGGTATACTGAGACCAGGTCATGGAAGTCTTTGAATTCTATGCTTACACACATGGATTTATTTAGTAAATGGGAGGAGTCCTTTCATGGTGTTTGACTATGACCATAAATGCGCTTTAGGGTGATACTTTGGTAATGACATGTGGAATAGACCAGAGTAGACAGATGAAGAAGATGAGCAGTCTGGATTAGAGATATGGAGACCAGACCTCACTGGTCAGAATGGAGAAGAATCCTCAAACATGATACTATCTCTTCCTAAATACTATATCATAATAACATCCTGGGGCCTCAGTTTCTACAATAGTAAATGTTGGTTGAATGCAGAATAGAAAGGATGTGATCCCTGGTAATATGGCAAGGGAAGAGGCAGTGGGATAGAATCATAGATGAGGCTTTGATATGGTTTGGATTTGTGTCCCCACCCAAATCCATATTCACTTGTAATCCCCAGTGTTGGAGGAGGGGCCTGGTGGGAGGTAAATGGATCATGGGGGCAGATTTTCCCCTTGCTGTTCTCATGATAGTGGGTGAGTTCTCACAAGACCTGGTTGTTAAAAGTGTGTAGCACCTCCCCCTTCTCTCTCTCTCCTGCTCCAGCCATGTAAAGGTGTGCTGCTTTCCCTTTGCCTTCCGCCATTATTGAAAGTTTCCTGAGGCCTCCCCAGCCATGCTACCTGTACGACCTGTGAAACCATAAGCCAATTAAGCTTCTTTTCTTTATAAATTTCCCAGTCTCAGGTATGTCTTTACAGCAGTGCAAGAACGAACTAATACAGGCTTCAAAACCTGTGTGATTGGAAGAATGAAAAGGTTGTTAGTAAGAATAATAAGAGAATTATTATCTGAGCATTAGAAAGATGATAATATGTTCTTGCAATGTCATAGGCAATCCTATTCTAAATTCTAAGTGTTAAAATTTTCAAAGTTTATGCTGATTTATCAATTAAATACAAGTCCTGACTTTGGAAAACATTTAACATGGTTTGTACATATATAATGAATTTTTAAACACACTCCATTTAAACATGTGACTAATCAGAAAACAGAATTAGAAAATTTCATGTAAATCACAGGTAAAGAAAATGGCAATATTTTTGTTTATTTTTGTTTTGATTCTGACCCTCCCTCTTGTCACCCAGGCTGGAGTGCGGCGGCATCATCTCGGCTCACAGCAACCTCCGCCTCTGGGTTAAAGCGATGCTGCTCCTGCCTCAGCCTCCTGAGTAACTGGGATTACAGGCGCCTGCCACCACGCCTGGCTAATTTTTTTTTTTTTTTTAATTTTTCATAGAGATGGGCTTTTACCATGTTGGCTAGGCTGGTCTCAAACTTCTGATCTCAGGTGATCTGCCCACCTTGGCCTGCTAAAGTTCTGGGATTACAGGTGTGAGCCACGGCGCCCAACAAAAATGGCAACTTTAATGAAAGAATGAAAACATCTTTCATCACCGTTATATATTCAACATTTTAAGAAAATTACAAATTAGTGATAAGTTCATAAAATAAGCCCACATTCTACAAAAACAAAAGCTTATTTATTTTGAAAACTACTTGTTTTTCCCTAAAAATGAGGCCTGTCATGAAAAGTACAATTTTTAAAAAATTGTCTCCCTATGACCTCAAGGGTTTTTTTTTAAAAAATTTGGGAGTTTTCTGTATTTTTGTTTGAGTTAATTTTTTTTGGAGTTCACGCAATCAGAAGTTTTATCTTCTAGAAAGCAAAATGTCAACTTTGTCTTGTTAATCAGCTTACTGTTCTCATGATTGTCACTGACAACTCTTATGAAGTATACAGCCATTTACAATTTTCACCAGAGCGCAATCTCTAATGAATGTTTCAAAAATAGAGCACTGGCATATTCATTCTATTTAATTTTCCACTATAACACTTTGAGTGAGGTATGGATATTCTCCTTTTACAGGGTGATTGTTTGACATTGTGATGCTAAGTTAATTGCCAATAATCGGTAAATTTTTTGTATGACTCCAGGTGCTGCTCACTTTCTACCACCTGTCAGCTACTTCTTCACTGTCATTGACACCTAGAGTGCTTCCTCTAAGGTACCCTCTCGGGTGGTACAGCAGCACCAAGTAATGTCTCCAACATTACTACACAAACTACAGTTGCTGTGTAAATAAACTTGTGCTTCGATAGAGAGGAAATCTGTCTATTTCTCTGTAACTGTTAGGGAAGATATGGTTCAGTTGGAATAGCCTCTCACAAAATACTCTAGACAATGGCATTAATAATACTGTAAGTCTGGAACAGAAGGGATTACTGAGTATCAATCAGCACTACTTTTCAAATTAATTTAAAATGTGTATATTATGCATCCGAACATTATGCATCCTAACATTAGGAACTCTGTCGGGAAAGCTTATGGAACCTTGGATGTTACATAGCGGGCTTTGCTATTCAGGCCTGAGCATCTAGGTCTAGCCTAAAAATCATATGTTAACTGATTGTGTTTTTTTAAAGTGTCACTTGATCTTTTAGAACCTCACATTTTTTAAACAGAAAAATGAAATATTGATGACTGGGGATCAATTCTTCATAGGTCTCTCATGTTTTTTCACATCTTGTGAGCTGATACTGACAGCCTTTGTTCCAGACTATCTATTCAATTATGTTTGTATAGTGAACAGCCTTGGAAAATAGAAATAGCGTCTCCCTCCAGAGCAACGGTCAGGCATGCTTCTTGCCCATTAATAGCTTTTGGGTTCCCTAAGCTCAGGATTTCATTTTGATAGTGCAACCTACTGTGTGAACAGATATCATCTGGCCCTTTTCATGTTACTCTGTGGGAACTGGGGCTCAGTGAACTGTCACAAGATAATATTGATGCTCCAGCTATTGATATTACTGTGAGTATTGAAATCCTTTGTCTCTGACCCAGGAGACTTCTTGTCTTTTGCCAGCATCCATGAAACTGCAGCAGGCTAACTAGTTAGATTGCAAGAATTGTAAATTCCCAGACCCTTCACATTTCTTGACATTGATATGTATAGTCTTCATAAACTCTTGCAAAGATTTATTTGCCCCCATCATTCAAATCCCCAAAACTGTACTGTCTAACTCCATCTTCAGCTCAAATAAACACCAGGCTAAATCCTGACGTTTGCTGGATAATTTAATTAGCTCTTTCCCAGTAACTCTGCATCATTGACCTTCCAACTGCCCTGCTCTGAAAACATGTGCCACAGTTCTAACTAGGAACAGCTTAAGACCTTTAGAAAACTTGAGTAGTGAAAAGATTATCGTGCCCTCCACATGTGTAATTCAAAACAAAAATAGTAATAAACAGCAAAGGAAGTTTAAGGAAGTCCAGTGAATTCTGATTATCTGCATGATGACCATTCAGCCACTGTTGTTCTTATAGCAGCAAATATTAAAATTTTTGTTTCTCAGTCATTTTCTACACCCAAACTTGTGATGAGTCTGTCTATAGAATAACCCAGCAGTACTGATTTGAAAACTAAATCCCAGATCTGAGCTCTTATCTACTCTCTTCTTGCATATATGTATGTTGTCCCTTCTCCCCAACTCCCTGCCTCTATTCTTTGTCTCTGCCAAGTCAAGCTGCCTTTCTTCTGCTGAATTAACCTGATATCAATAGCTTACCTGTCACCACTTGTCAGAATTTCCTCCCACTGCCCATCTTGATTCATACTGTCCCACTGCCTCAGTGATTCTGAACTCACTGTCTGACACAACCCACATTTCTTTGAGATTCTGCATGATTCAAAGTTCATCTAGGAAAGAGGTTCATATCAGAAACCCCATTTTCAGCAGCAACTCAGGTCATGCTCACTTCTAATTATACTGTTAAATGAGTGTCCTTTGGTATTTAATTTTGTATTATCAGAGGTTTATTGAAAAATAGAAGGCATTTATGCAAAAACATTTCAGGAGTTTTTAGTATTTTTTCATCAGTCAGAAGACAATCCTATAATTATCGTCATCATGATATTTATTTTAAAAAGGGTAAGAAAATAACAGTAAACTCGAATGCCTTTAAGGGTTTAAGATAGATATGTAATTTCTTAATACAACAGCATGTGAGATGGGAAAGAAGGATGAAGGATATCTCTCATTTGTAAATGTCTAACAAGCATTGGAAAGTTGTGAGAAAAAGACAGATTCAAATTACATGAAATAGTGAAGTTAACTGATTCATACATATTTTTAGGTGAATGAGAATTTGTTGAAAGAATGAATTAACACTTCACATATATTATGGCACACATTCAGGAATCGCCCCCCTTTCCCCCAATTACACCATTGGTCTTTTTTCTTGTTCTTTCTTTTCTTCTTCCCTCCCCAACCCTCACTGATTTTTGTTTGTTTGTTTTTGTTTTGTTTTTGTTTTGAGACAGTGTCTCGCTCTGTCACCCAGGATGGAGTGCAGTGGCACAATCACAGCTCACTGCAATCTCCCTCTCTTGGGCTCAAGCGATCCCCCAACCTTGGCCTCCCAAATTTGCTGGGATTACAGGTATGAGCCACCACAACTGGCCCCTTACCATCTTCTTATAAACTGGCAACTTTTCCTTTTGGTAATCATCAAAATGCTTAAAATATTTTCCTAAGCCTAGAGGCATATCTAACAAAAAAAGCCTTCCCCTACTCCCATTCCTTCATCTGAGTGGAGAAATAGGTTTACATCAAAAGTACTTACTGGATAGCATTATCAAAAACAGCGGCAGTTTAGCTTTAATATGATTTATATATGTGGCATGATTGGGAAAGACATTTACTGTTTCTCTGCCATGTTACACTCAGGACTCCATCATGCCTTCTGTCCCAAAGTGATTAGATCCTCTGTGATATCTACTTGGAGTATATCCTTTCCCCTTTTCATGGGTATTGACTCTAGTAATCACCTTGAATTTCAAATAGCAACCAGGCACTTTTACTTCAGGTTGGTTTTCAGCACACTGCCAAGTCTCCCTAATGTCAACAAGGCTAGCAGTCATTCCTGGGCCAAATTTGTCCCCTTCCTGAAGCAATGTCTGAAGCTGAACAGGAGTCACTCCCCAGCATCTCCCCAGTCCTTGTGTGCCACATGGATAAAGAAGATACAGTCCCCATGACTGGCTAGCTTGAAGATGCCAACAGGTCTCAATTGTCTTGACTTGGTTTATGACAAACCCAGCCTCAGGTTGCCATCTAAAAATGGAGACATGGCCGGACTCATCTTTCTCAAGCTACCTGGACTTCAATATTACTCTTGTGACCCGAATTATCTTATTTAGTTCTTTTCTTGTTTGGTGCAAGTCAGCTCCTGGAAGGTGGAAGTGTTTTGTTCTCCATTGCATCTCCTGGGATTTTTGCCATAGGCTTTTCTGTACTGTTTGCATTTCTGGTTGTTTGCTTGAATTACCTCTTTGGGACGTGAGGAATTTACACTAAAACACCTGTTTCTTTACAGAAAAGATACTAGCGCCAGTCTGGCAGGGGCCTTTTCTAGTCTCAAGCACGCTGAGCAGTCCTACACCTTGCCTTCTGAGAGAGAAGAGGACAGTCCTCAGCCTCCTGAAGCCTGGCAAGGGTGCCTTAGTGAGGACATCACCTGCAACTCCCAGATGGATAGACGAGGCCATGGAGAGAGGAGAACACCAACCCATGAGTGACAAGTGCCTGTCATTGTCAATGATGCTGCAAGCACCACGATGCCCCTTCTTAGCAGGGACCCAGTGGGCCTTACCAGCTTCATTATTTTCTAGGCATGATCGCATCCTGTCTCCCATTTTTGCTAAAATTCTATCTAGAGAAAGAGCTCATTTTTAGCTAAAAAAAAAAAAATCCTGTTTTATCTGCTAAAAAATCACATAAAATAACTATTGGACTGTTTGAAATGGCGTGGCCTCTGCTCTGACTTATTAACTGTGATCTTGACTAAGTTAAGCAGTCACTCTGACCTTACGTTACTCCCTCAAATTTGAATAAAAATAGCAACTTCCTCTACTTATAAATTACTTCTAAAAATTAGATTCTTGAGATTCAAAGATAGGTAATACCTGCCTTCAAGAAACTAACTCTCAAGGCTGCTGTATGGAAATCCTGCCTCCTAACTAGATTGCACTCTTCTAAATGCTGTACTACTGCTATACACATTCTCCAAATCAAGTTAATTTCAAAGTCTTGCTGAATCTACTTTTTAGAAATATCTAAGTCATGTGTACGTCTTTCCATTCCTGCATCCCAGGGGATTGCAGCCATCAGCTCACCTCCTCTCCTAATCCAAAATGTTCCTAACTGGTCTCCTGCCTTGCCTTTCTCCTGATCACTTCCTACAACAGAGTGATCGTGACTTGAAATGCAAATTATATTGTATGAGTTATCTCCCAAAAACATTCAGCTGCCTAGCTCCCTTAACATGAAGTCCAAATTGCCCTAACATGGAGTCCAAATTTCGTTAGCATGGTTTAAGAGTCTCTTCATGAACAAAAGGCTTCTGTCTTCTCCAGTCATACCCAAATCTTTCCTAATCAAAAGCCATTTTTATCAGTTTAAGAACAGAGACAGTTGTTCCAGATATAAGGAAGAGCATTGGCAAAGTTGCAGATAATAATTTAGGTGAGTGTGATTCAGAGATCTCATTAGTGATGCCTCAGAATGACTAGGAGACATGGATAAAAGGATAACAAGAAAGAAAAGGAGACCACAAAACCACAGTCCAGATTGTAGGAGGCTTGGGTTGTGGTAATGAGCTGGGACTTCTCTGCTGGCTATCAGGAGTCCTCATCTATGATCTGCTAGAAGAATATCATGATTAGAACTGCATTTTAGAAAGTTAAGTCTAGTGGCTGCAGAGCATACATATAGAAGGTAGAGCTTTGAGTCCACAAGAACATTATGGTTTAATAAAACTCTGTGAGAGAGATTAGAGCACAAACAAAGGCAGTCATAATGGAAATGGAAAGAAAGTTAAAGGCTAAAGACTCCAGAGACATTTTGAAAAATGTGGGAAATTAGGAGAGGAGCTGCATCAATCAGGACATCAGTGTTACTGATTTGCGAGACTAGGGAATTAGGATGTTCTTGATGAAAGTGAGCAAAGGAATTTTGCAGAGATCAGAGTAGAACTTTTTTTTTTCCCTGAAAGCATTCTGAAAACTGTAAACACCCTACTGCATAAGATATCATCATCATTATTACTAAGCAGTCCTATGTTAATAGCCCTTTGGGTCTAGAGCTTGAATTATGCGCTATACCTTGTACTTGAAAGAAACTATATCCTGACTAGTCCAGATGGATATTACTTAACCTGCTTTAAGATCCTCTAGGGAGGAACAACCACAACAAATCCAAGAAAGGTCCCCTTCCTAGCAACTGTGCATCCTTCCAGCTGCCTTATCAATGATATCATCCCTTCGATATGTTACAGAGTCCATTTGGACAATTTTTAAAGGGACTCATGACATTCTGGTAAAAGAGAATTATGATTTCTGGACTCTTTAAAATTCAAATGTAGGGGGAAAAAAAGCAAGTCTTCTGTTTGATCATAAAAGCTATAAAGATGCAAAGAGAGAAAGGTCCATTCTAGCATTTCAATAATATCTGTTTTCACTGAAAACCTGAGCTGACTTTAATCATCTACACTTCAGACTGGGCTAATACCTCAGAAAGCTGCAAATACTGTGAACGCTGTCACACTAGCACAAAGCCTTTGCAAAAATTTCCCCAAAATACACAGATTAAAAAGCACATTTTCTCTCTCTCTGTTTTCCTCTCTCTCTCTCTCTCTCTCACACGCACACACACATACACATGCACAAAATTTGTCATTAATTGTTAAATTATTTTCATTGTAGGAAAGATAAATCTTTCAATTAATATAGTATTGTTCATGCTAAAAAATGTCTTATCCATTAAAAAGATACTCAGTTGTAATAGAGTAGTTCAATCAATACTGGTAAATTGCACATTTTGAGGGGATAATTGGTAAATGCAAACTCAACTAGAAAAGAAGAGAAAGCAGTGTGTCTTTGTTCCTTCTGTGGTAAAGGAATTCAGACCACCACCAGTCAACATACCTTGAATTATGAAAACAGCACCTACTATTTCATCATTCAGAGAGATCACTCACAAACCTCTTTTTCAATTGTATCTAATTTTTTTGTGCTGGCATTAGGCAATGGACCACCTTTGTATTTAAAGTCTTTTCTTTAAAAAGATTTTAAATTTCAGAAAAAGCCTTTGCACTTAAACAGTGCTTCCTTTTCTGTCACTTTCATGCTTAAATGGTCGTCCAATTTGACATTAACTTTATCGAGAATAATAAGTCTCAATAGAGCTTCTATTATCCAGTGTTCTGTGAGTAGGTAGCACTTCAGTTGAAAGAAGATTATTCCATTTTTATATTTTCTGGAACACTAGAGGAAAATCTCAGACATTGTCACATTTCATTTGCAGGTAAACCTGTATTCATCTTAGGTTAACTGGTTACCACTACTCACTTTCACCTAGTGTTTCCATATTTTTTTCTTATAGAGCTGTGTCTACTTTTATTTCAGAATGAATCATGTGTGGCTATTTGAATTTTTATGACTCATGGATTCCTCATGAATATCCAAATTGTATTTTCATTACCCAGTATATGATTCTTTCTAAGTAGCAAGATTTTTATTGTATGTGTACAGTTTGATGCCATTTCTTATGTGTTAGTAGCGAATGTCTCCTTGGCTTATTCATGAAGAAATGGGTGATGAAGGTGCCCACAAGCATTTCTACTTGATATTTGTGTTCAGATTCTTTTAATAAAGGATTTTGACAACTCAACAAATTAGAAGAAAGTATGGTGAAGAGCAAACTCTTCACATGTTTGTTCTGCACATTTTTATCTTGTTCATGCAAACAATATGTCAATGTGGCTATCTACAAATAAAAGTTTGGAAGTTTTAGCTAAGAAAAATGCCGTTCTCTAAATAAAGTAATACAGTGTGAAAATTCTTTTTATGTAAAACTTTGTAGAGCGAAATACAGGAATAACTAGAAAGGATAAAACTATCGCTTGTTTGTAAAACTCCTCAAGATTCAAACAGTGGGGTATCATGGGAAGTATTAATAGAAACATAACAAGGGAAGGCTAATAATGTCAATCATTAAAAGACAGCAAAAATAGTAAACAAAATATTTAGGTCACAATCCCATAAAGAATATGCAATTCATAAATTTTAGATGACATCCTCTGATCAAGTACTAACACTTGAAAGCAGAGGTATATGTTACATATTAGTTATATATTATCAGAAGTACATTTTTAAAACAGACATGGTTCTTTAATTCTAAAACAAATTATTGACAGAATTTGTTCACCTATAAGTAGGCTGCTGATTTCACATACCCATGTTCATTTTTGTAACTCTGGATTTAAATTTGTGGACAACTGTATACAGAGAATCCTGACGTATTATGCATTTTAGTATTTCTTCTCAATCTAATTAATTCTCTATAATAATAACACTTTGGGTTATAAGAAAATACATTGGTGAGGAGATTTTTATTGGTTGTGTGTGTGTTTTGGAAAAAAATGTTCAACTATTGAGCTGCATAACTTTTTTTGTTTTATTTGGATTTTTCTGATTTATTGAATATAATTGACAAATAGAATTTGTATATATTCAAGATGTACAATGTGATGGGTTTTTTAAAATTTGTTTTATTGCTTTTTGTTTTTGAGACAGAGTTTCTCTTTGTCTCCCAGGCTGGAGTACAGTGGCACAATCATGGCTTGCTGGAGCCTCAACCTCCCAGGCTCAAGTGATACTCCCTTGTCAGCCTCCATACTAGCTGGGACCACAGGGGTGCACAACCATGCTTGGCTAAATTCTTTTTTTTTTAATTTTTATTTTTAGTAGAGATGGGATCTTATTATGTTGCTCAAGCTGGTCTGGAACTCCTGGGCTCAAGCAATCTACTCACCTTTAACTCCCAAAGTGCTGGGATTACAAGGGTGAGCCACCATGCCCAGCATGTGATGTTTTTATATGTATACACATTTTTAAAATTTCATATTTTCCTAGATGGCTACTTTTACATTGTTCATAGATTTTTTTTTTAAACTTTTATTCAGTAGGAAACAGATTTTCTGTTTAACTGATTGAATCTTCTTTACTTCTGTTTCTTACCTACCTTTCTCCATGATGGGAACAGTGGTGAAAGGGAAGTGTTATAATATTTCATTGGTGCTCAAGGTTTGAGATGGAAAGCAACATGAGAATGACTTGCCTGTTTATTTTTTTCACGTTTCCTATTCAGAGCATAACAAAATCAAATCTTAATAGTAAGTACTTACTTTGCACCAAACAGATCAATCTTTTCCATTAGATTGTCACATGAGACATGAACTCAACTCTAATTGATTTCAAAGTCATGTGGTACAACAGCCCTTATAGAATTTTTTCTATGATAGTCTAAATCAATAGACCTAGCAGCTTAACAAAAATAATTACATCAACATATGTGCTTTCCTGACACCATTTTGTTCCTAGGTCTTAGAAACAGTCTGGTATTAGAAGAAATCCAATAAGTTAGAAGCAGAAAGATTGAGTCCAGGTAACTAAGTGCTTGCACCTCCTGGGTTCTAATAATGCTGATTCCCTCATTTTCTCAATCTTTTCACAGCTCACAGCACAGTCCATCAATCTTACAAGCAGTTCTAATAGTTCCTGGATTTGGAATTTGATGCAGAGCTTGATGCAGGCTTTGTATGAACAGATGCTTATATAAAAGCTAAAATAGGTGGGTATTAAAAGGATTAAGTGATTCAGTAGAGTATCTCAGCCAGCCATAATTCAAGACACAATAGTTCAAATCTTTCATTGCTGTTTTCTTTGATAAAATGTAGGCTTTAACCTTTTGGGAAGTCTTTTTCTACAGTGTCAGCAGCAACTCTAGACCTGTCAACTCAACAATACTTTACAACTAATGCCTTTCAGAATGTCTGAGGTAGAGAAAGGAATTGCAATAATACTGCCTAGGATTCTGTGAGATTGGAAATGTAGTAGCATACATGGGCTACTTACTTTGTTTATGAAAATAGGTGAGTTGGCAATAACATGAGGGGAAAAAAATACCTGCAGCAGAAATCCAAATTACTGAAAAGAATAAAGTTATCTTATCAGGGAATGCTAAAGACCAGTATGTGTCATGTCTGAATTAAAATTATAAACTATTCAGATGTCACTTTTGTGCTTGAGTTTCCAAAGATGAATTTTTGTTTACATCAAAAGAGTAAATAATAATTTAGTCATTAAAAGGTTGAGATTGACAGTTATGTTTATACTGGTTATTTATTCATTTTTAGGTGCAGATGTCTTCTGTTAACCTCACAGGATATGACCATCAATTAACTTCAATTTTGTCTTGTTTACTATGCAAACGTTTGAATTTCATATTTATTTTGCTCATATCAAAACATAATTTTATTGACCAAACTAAGGACATTTTCCTACAAAAGTATGTTAGCTCTAGCATTCCTTTATCATTGGAATCTAACCACACATTGTTCATTCATTCAACAGACATTTAATGAGTGCCTATTATTTGTCAGCTATTTTATTAGATACAAGTGAGAACACAGACATGGTCTCTTCTAAGAGAAGGTAGAATTCATTTAGAACTGAAAAATTAGCAAATAAAAGACATGAGCACAGATTTGAAGACAGGTGAATGGATGTTCTCTCTTTAATGGTTAGAATAAGTCGGAAAGTAGAAAGAGAAGGGAACTTAACCTGCCTATTTAAGTGAAAGAATATTTGGCCAAATATGCCTGAATTTAGTTATTGGTGGATTAATTCAAATATGTTATATGATTTGTAAGTTTCCAGAAGGGCTCCACTCTATAAGTATCTATGCTATATAATGCTTACATTTCAATTTCATATACATTTATTGGGGTTAAAATAATTTTTTTGAAACTGCAAATCCATCTAGAGGAGCAATAGATTAATATTGATAATTATTTGTCCCATAATGTAATTGTGTTGGGATTTTTCAATTACAGTCAATTGAAATAAGACTGATTTTTAATGGAAAGAAACAGACTATAACATTGCTGGGGTAATCTGACACAGTGAGTTAACCGAGAGCAGTAAAGGACAGAAAGATAGACAACATGGGGAGCTACAGTTCCATAGAGAAACTCTTCCTGCTTTTATAGTAACACTCTCACTAGTCAAGGCTATACTAACAATGTTGTGAATTGAATTTATTGTTAGATTTTATTCAAGAATAACACAGACATTGATTTTAGATCATTGCTTCTCTAAGAAATATAATGCTAGCAAAGAACCTATGTAGATATGAGAGACAGAACAGAAACATTTCTATGAGCTGATTAGCAATATTATTCTCATTGCCCAACAAAGAATAGTGTATAGTAGATATGTGACTAAGACAGGGCAGTAAGTAAATAAAAGAGAAGAAGAAACCTATTTTTCTGAGTAGTTTTCTTTAGTAATAGACTTTCTCTTCTTTCAGTTAGTTTCCTCTTTCCTTTTCCTTGTCTTTCTTCCTCCTTTTCTTCTGTACCATTTCTTTTATCTTTTTTGTTGTCATCATTGTCTCCTCTACCTCCTCCTCCTTATCCCCCATCTTCCTCATCTTTTTCATTGTCATTAACTATGAGATGATAGTCTAGGGACTCTTCAGATGCATAGTTCCTTTCAAAAATCACTGAATAATTGATTAAAGATATGTATTTAACATAGAAATAAAGTTTCAAAAACAAATACAGTATGGCATAGTTCACTGGTGTATGGAATTCTTTTTTTTTAGTGGATTTATTTTTTAGAGGAGTTTTAAGTTCAAAATTCTTATAATTTTAGGCCAGGCACAGTGGCTTACACCTGTAATCACAGCACTTTGGGAGGCCAAGGTGGGCGAATCACTTGAGGTAAGGAGTTCGGGACAAGCCTGGCCAACATGGTGAAACCCCCTCTCTATAAAAAGACAAAAATTAGCCGGGCGTACTGGCATTTACCTATAATCCCAGCTCCTTAGGAGGCTGAAGCATGACAATATCTTGAAATCGGGGGTAGGGGGTGGGTGGGGGCGGCAGACGGAGGTTGCAATGGTGAGTGCACTCCAGCCAGGCGACAGAGTGAGACTCTGTCTCAAAACAAACAAATTTAAACAGTTCTTTTTCAAAAGAATTTTTCTTAATATTTATCCAACAGATTAATGCCAACATCCCTGAAGAAAAAATTATTAGCTGAAAATCTATTTCAGGAAGAATTAACTTTATGCAGTAAACAATTGCCATTGTCATTGAATGTGTAAGAGAGATGAAGAGTTCTGTAATTGTGTCATTATTGTTTTCATAGTATATTTAGCTCTACATTTAGATAAAACTTACAATACTTCTCAAATATTTAGGTAATTTTGAATTTTCTCTGTTATGTCTAAAAGTCATCTCTTAGTATTAGAAATAATTTAAGAAATTGCTCACAAAAATATTTTAGCCTCAGTTGTTTTAAGACACATTTTGAAACTAGGTGTTTGTATCTTATTTAGATATTTTATATTTAATTCTAATTTTTCACGATATCATCTCTGACAAAATTTTTCTTTATTTTAGATGATGATTTGCAGAATTTCTTCATCTTTTCTGCAAGTGACAGGATTTGTTTTGATGATAATTATATTTACGGTATCATAAATTATTTTAAAAAGCCCTAAATTCAACATAAAGTTTAGCTATAATGTATTCTTTTTTTTTTTTTTCTGTGACAAAACTAGTATGGAGTACAAACTTTTAGTAGACGTGGGGAACAAGTACTATAAACACATTTAGTTTTCCATAGTGGATCAAGATTGTGAAATGAAAAATACATTTATACTTAAGTCAATGCATTTCTGTTATTTTCATAATCATTTTAATTATCTATGGTAGAAATGAATGTGGTATTGAATGAAGTTTGAGAAAATCTAGTATTATAAAGAATATCTACAGCTTGGAGAAGAGTATGTCATAGGTTCAGATTTTATACCTATAGTTTTGTATTCTGTCTCCAGTTTTGTAATAAGAAATGAAGAATTTACATAGCCAAGGGCATTAAATGACTAAATTCTTTTTGCCTAGTTTTTTTTCTTTTGATAAATATTTTCCAGTTTTAGTTTCCTGTTGATAGCTTTAATTTACATTTCATGTTATTTAAATTTTGAAGGACAGTTGAGAGTCAGGTTAGAAGTATTGCAATTTTGGTCAACTAGATTTATTGAGTGTCCACAGTGTACAGTGAGCATATGGGTCTGTAATATGAAACAGAATAAATAAAAGCAAAGTTCTGTCTCCTGCAGAAGCACAATTTTTTATCAATGCAGCTGAATCTTGCTTTGAAATGAGATAGACTTTTTAAAAGTCCCATGTAAAACAAGTTGTAAATATAACTGCATATTTAAATACGTAATAAGAGTTTATTATTTAAAGGGCGCCCATGCTGAATTACAAATGTGTTAATTTGTAAGGAGGTGATAATTTTTAATAAATATTTTCTCAATGCATTTTTAATTTATTAAGTATGTTTAACCTAATGATTATTTATGTACATTTACTGATAGAGATACAAGAATACTTTGAGATAGTAGTATAAGGTCAAATTCATCAAGAAGAGTTCCATGGAGGAAGATTTGAGATTACTGAAAAAAGAACTGATTATGTATTAAATAATAGAGGGCAATAAGAAATACAATACAGAAAAATTTTCCTTATTTGTCTGATGGAACACTTTCCATTAGTTCCTATTGTTTTGTTTTCTTTTGTTTTACTGTCATTAGGGTGTTTGAATGACCTACTGGCAGATACTTGAAGTCACAAAAATATGATTCCACAGAGCTTTATTATTTTTGCATGAATGGTATTTTAAAACTTTAATAATTTTGAATGGTACCTACAGTCTCCAGTTTATCTGGTTTCTAAACTCTATGATGTTTCGTATTCAGACTAAAGGCATTTGGGTTTGATAGCCTTGATTTCAGTCTATACATTAATTGAAAGTATTATGTGCAAAGATGATATAAAAGACAGCCATTCATCTTATCATCATATAACATTGACAGTCCATTAGAAGAATAGATAGCAGAGAAATAATTACAAATTTAAATTGATGTTAAATACCTCAAATAAATTACATTTGCAATTTGAAGTTTTAACAATAGGATTTAAACTAGGAAAGTGACACATAAGCCAAAGCTTGAAGAATTCATGGATCAGGAGAAGGGTTTTTGGGGCAGTCACCATTTCCTGATGAGAAAATGAGGTCTGCAGGAGCTGACACTACAGTTAACAGATAAAGAAAATTTAGATCATCTGGCTTCTAAAATGAAATTCTTTTCACTGTCAAATGTTTTTATCATCTATTTATAATTCAATCATATAAATACAATATTTTTTGTAGATTAACATTTACAGATTTATTAAATACTTAAAAATTAAATGAGCAGAGATAATTTGATTTCCTTTCACTGTTTTATTCAGTCTTTCCTAATTTGTCACAGCTAAAGGCCATGGGAAAGAATAATCAGAAAATCCACTAATTAGAATCCATTTCTACTTTCTTCAACTAATTAAATCATTTGTTTGTTTTAAATAAGATATACTTTTAATAAAATGACTATTCGTCATCTGACATAATAGTATGTTATACCTTTTCTTTAATTAATAAAATTTGAATTTGGACACAAATTCCAAAAGCAGAAGCAATAGGGAGTTTGTGCTTCAATAAGCATATTAACTATTTTACTAAAAAGAACTCTGATTAATGAATTTGTTAATTTTCCTTTGCTGTGACTTTGGATAACATGTTTATTTTTCTTTAAAACATAGGAACATCCAAAATGTATTGTTTTCAAGAGGTCAGAATGTCTCTTCTATCTATGTCCACTTAGAGGACCAAACATGACGAGGAGGAGAGACTATGGTAATAATTATTAGTATTAGATTCCCAAAAGCAATTTCCCTAGTCTTGCACTCCCATTTCTGCCTGAGGATTTCTTAAGCCGATCAAATGGAGTCTTTAAATCAATGAACTAAAAAGAATGACCATCAATACCATGTGATTTTGACATAAGTTTTATCTAACCTGGGATATGACAAGACCTATCCCTTTAGCCATTTACTCTGCCTGTTCCTGGGTTCAGGCATAGTAGACAGGGATTCTAAAGCTAAACATATCCAATTCTACTCAACCCCACTTCTAAATATGGTATGGATGAAGGGGAGACAATCGAATGAAAGTCCTTAACACTTTATACAGCTCTCACTATGTGCTAGGCCTTGTTCTTGGTGCTAAACATATGTTATTTTAATCTGCATATAAACGCTATAAAGGGAAAATTATTATCCTTACATTATTGATGAGAAAAGTGATGCACAAAGATATTAATAAAATTAGCCCAAGGCCTATAAATTATGAGGTACTAGAACTAAAGCGGATGGTTCCAGAGGCTGTGCCTACTATAAGTTATCTTTGGAATCAGCCTGCTTTCAGATCTGGACTCTAAAATTTACCAACTGTGATACCTTGGATAATTTATTTATCCTCCCTTAAAATCAATTTCTTACTCTGTAAAATGAGATTAACAACACCTCATAGGGATACTGCAAGGATTGAGATTGTGGTAACCTACATAAAACACCTTACTTAGCATTGTGGGTGATACACAGAGAACGCTCTCTCAGTGGTTGACACTTACAATCATTGTTATCATACATGCACATCTCTTTTTTATTTCTTTTTTTATTTTGTTTTGTTGTTGTTGTTGTTGTTGTTGTTGTTTTTTGAGATGGAGTCTCACTCTGTCCCCCCAGCTGGAGTGCAGTGGCGCAATCTCGGCTCACTGCAAGCTCTGCCTCCCAGGTTCATGCCATTCTCCTGCCTCAGCCTCCCAAGTAGCTGGAACTACAGATGCCCGCCACCACGTCCAGCTAATTTTTTGTATTTTTAGTAGAGACGGGGTTTTACCATATTGGCCAGGCTGGTCTCAAACTCTTGCCCTTGTGATCCGCCCGCTTCAGCCTCCCAAAGTGCTGGGATTACAGGCGTGAGTCACCATGCCCAGCCACACCTCTTTTTATCTTGCTTCATACTTTACTGCACTTCCCAGCTACTGCAGTTTCTACAAATCAAATGTTTATGGCAATCCTGCTTTGAGCTATCAGCTCATTGCAATCCTGCTATTAATGCCATTTTTATGACATCATGTGCTCACTTCTTGTTTCTGTGTCACATTTTGACAATATTTCAAATTTTTACTATTATTATATCTGTTATGGTAATCTGTGATCAGATGTAACTATTCTAATTGTTTTGGGGCACTACGAACAACACCCATATAAGATGGCACACTTAATTAATAAACGTTGTGTATTATCAGTCTGTTCCACCAACTGGCTGTTCCCTGTCTCTCCCCCTCTCTTAGGTCCTCCCAGTCCCTGATAAACAGCAATATTGAAAGTAGGCCAATAAGTAACCGAACAATGATCTTTAAGTGTTCAAGTGACAGGAAGAGTCACATGACATAGAGTTCTCACTACATTCTAAAGTGACTGTTCTCACTGCGTTCTATTACATTGACAATACACCTAGTCACCCAAAGCTCTGATGGAGATGTATAAAGAAATTAATGTGGTTTTCATGTCTGCTAACACAACATCCATTCTGTAGCCTACGGATTGGGGAGTCATTCTGACTTTCGAATACTATTATTTAAGCTTAGTGATGAAAGCATGTCAAAAGCTGAGACAGACTGAAAACTAGGCCTCGTATGCCAAATAGTTAGCCAAGTTGTGAATGCAAAGAAGACGTTCTTTAAGGAAATTAAAAGTGATACTCTAGTGGACACATGAATGATTTTTAAATAAATGAAAGCACTTTCTTGCTGATATGGAGAAAGTTTTAGTGGTCTGGATAGAAGATCACATCAGTCACAACATTCCATTAAGCCAAAGCCAGAACAAGGCCCTAACGCTTTAAATATATGAAGGCTGAGAGAGGTGAGGAAGCTTCAGAAGAAAATGTGAAGCTAGCAGAAGTTGTTTCTTGAGGATTAAAGAAAAAAGCTATCTCTATAACATAAAAGTGCAAGATGAAGTATCAAATGCTGATGTAGAAGCTGCAGCAAGTTATCCACTGTTCATCAATCATCTGAACTATCTGAACTTCTACACTAAACAAAAATTCTCTACGCTAAACAAAAAATTTTTAATGTAGACAAAATAGCCTTCTGTTGGAAGAAGATGCTGTCTAGGACTTCCATAGCTAAAGAGGAGAAGTCAATACTTGGCTTTAAAGCTTCTAAAGACAGGCTGACCCTCTCATTAAAGGATAAGGAAGCTGGTGACTTTTAAGTTGAAGCCAATAATCATTTACCAGTCAGAAAATTTACAGTCCTTAAGAATTATGCTAAATCTTCTCTGCCTGTCCTCTATAAATGAAACAACAAAGACAAATTACAGCACATCTGTTTACAGCACAGTTTGCATTGTTTACTGAATATTTTAAGCTCACTGTTAAAATCTACTGCTCAGAAAGAAAAGGTTTCTTTCAAAACATTACATTGACAATGCACCTAGTTACCCAAGAGCTCTGATGGAGATGTATAAGGAGATTAATGTTTTCATGTCTGCTAACAAAATATCCATTCTGTAGCCTATGATTCAAGGAGTCATTTCTACTTTCAAATTTTATTATTTAAGAAATATATTTCATAAGGCTATAGCTGTCATTGTGATTCTGCAGATGGATCTGGGAAAAGTAAATGAAACACCTCCCAGAAAGGATTCACCATTTTAGATGCCATTAAGAATATTCTTGATTCATGGGAGATCAAAATATCAACATTAACAGGAGTTTGTAAAAAGTTCATTTCAACCCTCATGGATGACTTTGAGGGGTTTCAAGACTTTGGTGGAAGAAGTAACTGCAGTTGTGGTGTAAATAGCGAGAGAACTAGAGTTAGAAGTGGAGCCTGAAAATGTGACTGAGTTATTGCAATCTCAGGATAAAACTTGAACAAATGACAAATTACTTCCTAGGAATGGGCAAAGAAAAGTACTTATTTGGGATAGCATTTGATCCTGGTGAAGATTCTGTGAATGTTGTTGAAATAACAAAAGATTTCAAATATGTAAAACCTAATTGATATAGCAACATCAGGGTTTGAGAGAATTGACACCAATTTTGAAAGCAATTTTACTGTGGGTAAAATGCTACCAAACAACATTACATGCTAGAGAAACCCCTTATCAAAGGAAAAGTCAGTCTATGTGGAAAACTTCATTGTTGCCTTATTTTAAGAAATTGTGTCAGCAACCCCAGCCTTCAGCAACCACCATTCCAATCACTCAGCAGCCATCAACATTGAGGCAAGACACTCCAGAACCAAAAAGGTTATAACTCATTGAAAGTTCAGGTGATCATTAGCATTTTTTAGCAATAAAGTATTTTTAAAGTTAATGTCTGTACATTTTTTAGACATAATGCTATTGCACACTTAAAGTATAGTGTAAACATAAGTTTGATATGCACTCGGAAACAAAAAAAATTCTGTTACTTGCTTTGTTGCAACATTCATTTTATTTCATTGGTCTGGAACTGAACACATATCTCCAAGGTATGCCTATATTGTTAAAAAAGAATAGGTATACCAGTGTCTGGGTCCTCCAAGAGACCTTCGTGAAAACAATGATGGAATCTGTAATATCCTCTATCTTAAATATCCTTAAGTTGAAGTCACAAGACTTACAAAAATATTTTTGTCTTTTTCTCCACTCTGAACAAAGTGTTATCCTTTGAAAGAATTATTATTCTCAGCAAACTAACACAGGAACAGAAAACCAAACACCGCATGTTCTCACTCATAAGTGGGAGTTGAACAATGAGAACACATGGACACAGGGAGGGGAACATCACACACCGGGGCCTGTCAGGGGGTTGGGGGCTAGGGGAGGGATAGCATTAGGAGAAATACCTAATGTCAATGATGAGTTGATGGGTGCAGCAAACCACCATGGCATGTGTATACCTATGTAACAAACCTGCACGTTCAAGACATGTATCCCAGAACTTAAAGTATAATAATAATAATAAAAAGAATTATCTTTGTGAAAGACATAATCTCATTACTCTCCTTGTTGACTCTTTTTTCCTCCATGGTTTTGGAGATGACTGCAGTAGTCTGTTATGGAGATTGTCACAAGATAGAGTGTGATAATAGCAACCCAAAAGAAGAAAAGGAGGAGAAGTTAGAGACTCATTACAAATAGACCACTGTTCCAATGGTTGTGGAAGGTAATGGGGAGATGGCAGCACAAAGTGAAGAACAACAATCTCTTGTAGATTAGACCAAAATAAAAATAGATAGTGATATCAACAGAGATAGGAAGACAAGGAAAAAAGCCCTGATGGATAATAAAGACTTTCCTTCAGAGTGTGTTGACAGTATTTTGTCTGGTCTCAATATACAGGTCATGGTTGAAGACTAAGATTGTGAGTCACTGACTATGCATAGATATTATAGTCAATGAAGAGAAGTCCATCAATTACCACACCAGAATATTTTGTCCCATATATTAGGTGCCTTTAATTAATGAAGTAATTATTCCTGTTCCAAATTCTACATGAATCTCACAGAATGAGGAAAAAAAGGGGGGAAGGGGAAGGATCCCCAAAACCACATACCATCAACAAGCCAAGCATCAGAGCAATGTTCATGAAATTATTCTTTGCCAACTTCCATATAGCATTTTGGCTTGACTTTTTATAACTTTTCTTTTCTTTAAGGGTAAATAACTCTACGTTTCTTTAAGCCTGGTTTTATCTGTATATTAATTATAATTTGTGGAGAATGTTGAAAGACAGATGCAGTGTGAATTTCTCTGATTTCAGCATCCCACAGGGAAGGTCTATACTCTAAATCTCAGAAAGAGAGAGCATATGACTGCTGACTGATATTTCATTTATCTGCAGTTTGACCTCCGCCACTGCTTCATCTCATTGCCCACACCTGCACTACCCTGACTTTTTTCTTGATGGCATATAATCAATATAAAGGGCATTATTCAGGTTCCCAACACCTATGTGAAGGCAAAAGTTCCTAAGTTCACTACAAATCTGGGGGAGGTGTCCTGCTGACCAGACCTGAAGCCTGCATTTAGACGATCTTCCCTTAAAATATTTAATGTAAACTTGATTTCTTAGTTGTGCCTTGGTCTTAAAGTGTCAAAATAAGTTTTCTAATAAATGTATTTTTTAAAAATGTGCTCAAGAAACTTCTCCTGCTCTGTTCTATAGGCAAAGTGGCTCTTATTTAATTAATTTTGAAATAAGAGACAAATGAATAGACTGTACAAAATCATCCCATCACTTTGTAAGGTTATACTAATAAAAATAAAGAGCTTCAGTCTACAAATTCTATAATTTGACTGGCTCTAAATTATAAATGCCAATTCTTATCCTACAAATGCAAACTCACTGAGGGAATATCAATGGAAAATAATTACTGGGTGGATTTTTGTGCTCTGGTTCCACAAAATAAAATACATTTAGTGTTTTCAAATCAATGCTGGAGGAAATGTCAAGGCAGGAGGACACATTTACTCATTTTGCAGAGATGTCCAAAGCTATTAACTTTCTGCTCTTTAATTAGAAAAGCAATGCAGAACTATTATTTCGCTCAACTGTAGGAAATTCAAGACATTTGGTATTGGGAAAGAGTCCTGAATTTGTGAAATCTTATAGATCCAAATGTATTTTTAGTGTAATAGCAATAGTTACTAAAATGTGTTTCTATTTTTATGACTATAGCTTGATTCGTTAAACATGAACCCTAGGCATACAAAGATAATGGATATTGAAAGAGGATGATGATTATAGGAAAATTAGGATGCTGAAGTAGCTTCAAAAATAGTATTATATAAATTTTCTTACACAATATATGAAACTGCCTGATTTTAAAATTAGTTTTAGGGTAGGAGTTTCCATGGCTTTCAAAATATTCTTTAAAAATCATTAATAACAGATCAAGGGTTTCTCTGTTTATTTAATTATAGTTTCTTTTCTTCAAATATAATTACTTAAGAATAAACTATTGTTCTGTTGTTAAGTCACATTAAGGGAGTTAATATGACATATTCCTTAAGCCCAAGACATTTGAAGTTGCTACCAACGCTCAGATTTTGAGTATAGGGAAAGAGAACTGAAATATGTTATGCTGCATGGTAATCCTCATTCCTTTATTTAAAACTTTATTTTCATACTGAGTTTTATGGATGAGCACTGGAGATAAACAAAAAGCTGAAAAGAGGTGGGAAGAGAGAAAAATATGAAGAAAATAATACTCTGAAACATTTGACTCCTTTGAAAGTTTATAAGAATTCCAGATGCTACAGAATAAGAGGGCCACTGCTCATTCCCACTAATTTAAAAAGTGGCTGGCTGTATGTCAATGACAATTATTTGTTTATTTTCATTTTGAATAATGGATTACTGAATGACCTATTTACGTTTCAAGGAAAAATTTGATTCTTAACCTAAAAATGTGAGATGGAACTACGAGATATGTAAATACATTTTCATGGAAAATCATTATTGCCTTGAATATAAATAAACATTCTGTTCAATTCATTCAAATTCAATGGCTACTGAATTCTAACTATGGGCCAAACGTTTTAGGATAGAGGTAAATATGACAGAGTTCCTGCCTGTTAAAAATTTATGGCAGGAATCCTGATTGAATGATAGGTTTTAACACAAGTTATGCAGCTAATAGAGCCCAAGGCTGAATTTCTAAATCTAAATTGCTTGCTTGCCTTCTTTTCTGTTCTTCAATTTACATGAAAAGTCTGTGGACTTTGGAGTTAGATGATGCTGAGTATTTTACCTACCTTCTCTTAATAGCCATTTTCCTATCCATAAAATAAAACTGACACTTACGGCACTTCTTCCCAGTCCCTGCCTGGAATTTTTACCTTTTTGTCTTATTTTAAATACAAAATTAAAATGGTTACTGTAAAAATGCAAATGGTACAAAATAAAAACATTCAAATGTAAAGGTCTCCCTCACTGTTGTCATGCAATATAATTCTACCCTTTGGAATTAACTTTGACTAACAGATTAGTGTATATTCACCTTTATTTAAAAAATTAACCTCTAGATTGACAAGAACTGAAGAATATGTCTTCCTTACAGAATTTTTCACTTACTAGAATTTTTCTTCAACATAGAAAAACAAAAACCTTTAACTATGGCACGTGCTATGGTTTGAATGAGGGTGTCCCCTCCAAAATTCACATTGAAACTTGAGGTGTAGCCTTTTAAAAATGATTAAGTCATGAGGGCTCCAACTTATTAATAGAATTAGCACTCTAAGTAAATGGCTTGAGGTTGAAGCTCTCTTACTCTTCCACTCTTCTGCCATGTGAGGACTTGGTGACCTTCCTTTTGTAATTGCTGTCTTTTCCACCCTGTGAAGATGCAGCAAGAAGGCCCTCAACAGACACCAGATGCCAGCATCCTGATTCTGGACTTCTAGCCTCCAGAACTGTAAGAAATAAATTTCTATTCTTTATAAGTTATCCAGTTTTGAGTATTTTTTAAAGCAATACAAATGGACTAAGACAGTACATATTCCAAAATGTGATAAAAGCATTGCTGCATAAAAATATGTACTTATTGTTCAAAAAAGAATTCTCCTTATGTAACTTAAATATTAGCCTCTCCAAAGCAGGTTTCCATTAACTCCTGGAGAAATATATATACTTCAGTTTAATGTAGTTAAAATATCTGACTCAGAAATAGCCTACAATCAGATCTCAACTCATCTACTTACTAAATGTATAACCTTGAGAAATTTGCCTCTGTTCTCCATATCTCAGTTTCCTCATTATATAATGAGTTAATAATGACCCTTATTTCATAAAGTTATTGTGAATATTAAATGATTTAACACATGTAAAGCAATGGCCTAGAGAAAGTTAACTCATTATTAAATGTCAGCAATTATTTTCTCTACCAAAATGGAATTGATAAACTTAACTATAGTTAAATAAAAAGTAAACTATAAAAAGATTATTTTCTCCTTTATGATACTATAAAAGAACTACCTCCTTGGAAAATACTTATTAATATGTTTAAAATATGTGTACAAACCAACATGCAAAGTAAAGTATCTCACCTTTTAGAGAATTCACGTAAATTTGGTAATAAGGCAGCAAATGGAAATGATTTTTTCCTTAGGGCTCTTACTGGAGCTTTTTGATACATCTGTTTTAATTATTTAAATAAAGTTATAAATAAAATATATCTAATTTATGACTAATATGTTTATTTAGGTCCTTATAGTACCTTAGGATCTTTATATCCTTCTGATGTAAGAAGTTTATTATAATATTTTATTTTCTCTCACTAGTATAGTTTTATCAGAATGCTGTTTTTCCCCCTAGATCAAATCAGGCAGCTGTCATACTTACTAACTCATGCAACAGATTATAAACCAAGCCAACAATAAAATGACAGGAAATCAACCTAAAATTGTAGACAATATGGACATAATAATTTTGTGTCCTTGAACACTGACATTCATTTTTTAAGGTAAGGGATTATTTAGTACTTATAACTGAACAACAGTTTTAACTGTATATGAAGATAAAAAACACTGTCCTATGTTCTCAAACTATAATAATGTTTTATGTCTTATAAATCTCTGTACAAATAAATATAAAACCATTTGTTTTGATGGCAAAATTAAAAAAATAAGCTGTAGCTATTTAAACTTGGTTGCTCTGAATTTTAATAACTTTTAATAATTAAAATATAAAGACAAACACTATTTATAATGTTATGCTTCAATAAGATTGTTTTGAAGTATACAAGGACAGAGAGAAGCCAGGCAGCTGTGGTTCAAATCCTAGACCTGGTGATTTCAAGCAATGTGAACATTTAGCAAATTACTTGATCACTGTGTGTCCTAGATTTTTTTAAATCTACAAAATAAGGATAATAGTGCCTATTGAAGAGAGATCCATATAAAGTATGTAAAGTGCTATAACATATGAAGCAGTCAATTTATATTTGCTACAATTATTATATTTGAATGTATATGGTTCTTTGAAGACAATATTGTTGCTATTGGTTTTACTTCTATGAATGTTCTTGACTTAAAATATTGATGATTTTGCACCTTAGTTGATTGCACCTAAGTTGATGTGCCCAGCTAATATTCAATATCTGTCAATGTCCATATAGCTAATGACAACTCTACCCTATGGTGATTAGTACTCATGATTGTAAATTTTGAAAATTATTTTGAAATCTTGCTGACAGTCTGGCTTTGCTGCTGAAGTTCAAGCTTTACCTTGCCCACAACTTTTGTTCCACAGGACCTGAGTTCAAAATGTTTCTTGCCAGTTGATCTTTGTCTTAGAAAATTTCAGCAAAATGTTCTGGTGGAGGAAGGTTTTTTGGTGTGGAACAACAGACATAAACTATGGAAATGCACAGAAGTAAAGGCATTTTTCAGAGAACCAAAGGTAATATATCCTGCATTAAAATCACTGAGATACGGATCAGAAGTCCTGAATTTTTATGCCAGATCAATAACTTGCCTATTAAGTAATTAAGATTATCTGAGCCCCAATTTCTTCCATATAAGATACCTCTGCTATGATTAGTGAGTTTTTCATAAGTTATGAAAATGTTGATCAAGAGTTCGGGAATGATGTTAGGACAACGTTCCTGCTCTCTGCTGATCCACTTTTCCATTTAATAACAAGAGTAATATATCACTTTTTAGCATGTTACCATGTCACTTAAAACTTAAAAACTAAAATTTGTAATGATTTCTCATTGCTTTCATTTGAAATCCAAATGTCTCTGGTGGTGTATAAGGTGCTAGGTGTCATGGTTTCTTCCACCCCCACGCGACTGTGCTTGATTTCTCTCAGTTCACACAATTTAAAGGAAATAAGAATGCTGGCAAGGATGTGGAGGAAGGGGTACCATCATAGACTGTTAGTGGGAATGTAAATTAGGACAGCTATTATGGAGAACAGTATAAAAGTTCCTCAAAAAACTAAAAATGTAATTTATATGATCCAGCAATTCCGTGGCTAGGTAAATATCCAAAGAAGGGAAATCAGTATACTGAAGAGACATCTGCACTCCCATGTTTATTGCAGCACTATTCACAATAGCTGAGATTTGGAATCAATCTAAGTGTCCATCAACAGACAAATGGATAAAAAAATGTACATATGTACAACGGGGAACTATTTATCCATAAATAGGAATGCAATCCTGTCATAAGCATTTTTTTAAACTTCTAATACATCATATGATCTATCACACTTCCCAATTTATATTTATTTACTTTGTGTTTTTGTCCTTAACAGAGTAACAGCACACTTATGGCAGGGGTAATATGAGTTTGATTCCCTTTTTTATCCTTAGCTAAAGGATACCTAGTACACAATAATTATATATTATATAATATTTTTAAACAAATTAATCTACTACCATAGATTTTAGTATCAACTACAAGTTGACTTTAAAGCTTTAGCTCAAACCCAGGCCTTTCTCCCAAACTTAATATTTGTTTATCTGAATTTCTGCTAAACTCCTCACTAAAAGTTCTTCAAGAACCTCAAATGTAACATTTCTAAATAATGTATAGTTATTTCTTTTTTCTCTTCTCTTTATCCTATATGAATTTCAGTTAGTGGTACTATCAAACCAATGAGCCAAGAAGAATACCTACTAGGCATTTTTACCTGCTTCTCTCACCACTCATTAAAAAAAAAAATGACCAAACTTGTGTATTTGATCATATCACTCTGCTAAATAAGTTTATTTAATGGAAAAATAAACGACCTAGGAATGTATTTAGCCAAGGAAGTGAAAGATCTATGTAAAGAAAACTATGGAAGACTGATGAAAGAAACTGCTGAGGACACAAACAAATGAAAAAATATCCCATGCTCATGAGTAAGAAAAATTAATATCATAAAATAAACATACCACCCAGTGCAATCTATAGATTCAATGAAATTACTGTCAAAATACCAATGTCATTTTTAACAAAATTAGGAAAAACAATCCTAAAATTTACATATAATCAAAAAAGAGCTAGAATAGCCAAAGCAATTCTAAGCTAAAAGAATAAAGCTAGAGGCATCAGTGACTTCAAATTATACTACAAGTCTATAGTAAACAAAACAGCATGGTATTAGTATAAAAATAGAAACACAGATCAATGCAACATAAGAGAAAACTCAGAAATAAGCCACATATCTACAACTGATATATCAACTGATCATTGACACAGTCAACAAATATACACTGGGGAAAGGATACCCTACTCAATAAATGAGCTGGGAAAATAGGATGGTCATATGCAAAAGAATGAAACGGGATCCCTATCTCTCAACATATAGAAAAATCAACTCCAGATGAATTAAAGACCTACATGTAGACCTGGAATTATAAATATACCAGAGGAAAGCCTAGGGAAAATGCCTCTTAACATTGGTCTAGGCAAAAACTTCCTGACTCTGACCTCAAAAGAACAAACAATAAAAACAAAAGTAGACAAATGAGACTTAATTCAACTAAAAAGATTCTGAAAAGTAAAAGAAATAATTAATAAAGTGAACAGAAAACCTGAAGAATTGGAGAAAATATTTGCAAACTGTGCATGAAGCAGGGAAATAATATCCATTTATAAGAGACTCAAAGACTCAACCAACAATAACTCCATTAAAAAGTGGGCAAGGGACATGAGTAGACACTTTTCAAAAGAAGAGGTACAAGTAGCCAAGAAGCCATGAAAAAAATGTTCAACATTCCTAATCATCAGAGAAATGCACATTAGAACCATGAGATATCATGTTACATCAGTCAGAATGGCTACTATGAAAAAGGAAAAGGAAAAACGTATTGGTGAGGATGCAGAGAAAAGGGAATGCACTGTTGGTGGGCATGTAAGTTAGTATCACCTAATGTAAGTATCATGTAAGTTAGTATGAAAAACAGTATGGAGACTTCCCAAAGAAATAAAAATAGAACTGCTGTTCTATCCAGCAATTTCAGTACTGAGTATCTACCTAAAGGAAAAGTTATCATTGAATCAAAAAGATTCTAGGAGGGAAATATCAGTGTCAAGATAGCTGACTAGAAGCAGCTAGTGTGGGCTGCTCTCACAGAAAGGAGATGGAGTGGCAAGTAAACACTAACTGTTCACCTGGATTATCCAGGAAGACACATTGGGATTCATCAAGGAAGCAAGGAAACCTACAGAGACCAGAGAAGAGTGAGACAGCACAGCCACTCAGCCGGGATTGGCATGGAGGCAAGTGAGGTTCCCCACTGCAGAAAATGAGTGAGAGAGAACCCCCAGGGATCCATATTTCTGTCACAGACCTTTGCAATCCTGGGGAAAGGGAATCCCCCCGACCACCTTCCCCTTGGGCCTCTGCACTGACACTGAGAGCTTCATGGAGTCTGTGCAAAACTTCTGCTCAGGCCCATATGGATCCCCAAGGGACTTGCATTCCTCAGCACCCCAGCACTAGCTGCTGTTTCGTTGCCAACAAAAGAGTCCAGGCTCTCTCACATACTTCTAGGATAGGGTCTGCATCCGTTGTGCCGAGGAGCCTACAATCTGCAAGCCTTACCTCGGCTACACCCCAGCAGGCAAAGCCCAGTGCCTTGGGACCCCCGCGCATCCACCCCACCCCTGCCGGCTCTGCACTTCTCTGAGATAACAGACAGTCAGCCATTTTAGCCTCTGCCCCTGCTGCCCTCAGTCTGGGGAGGGAGTGAAGAGCCTAAGGATTATCACGGGGCCTCCAGCACACAGTAATTGGAAAAGTGGCCAGGCTGTTTTCTATGCAGGTCCCTGCTCCTGCTATTCCTCACTGGGCAGGACCTCCTGACATGGGCCCCAGCACAGCCACCAAACCCCGACCTGAACTCTCAGACTGGTAGCAACTCTGCACTTCTCTGAGATGGAGCTCCCAGAGGTAACAGGCTGCTCTTTTTGCTGCTTCTGCATTCCCCACCCCTACTGCCCTCAGGCTGAGGAGGGAGCAAAGAGCCTAAAAACTACTGTGGGCTTCCAGCACACCACAGGTGCCTTAAGGAAAAGAAGTCAGACTATTTTCCATGGGGGCCCCTGCTCCTGCTACTCCTCACTGAGCAGGGCTTCCCAATCTGGGCCCCCAGCAAGTCATGCTGCCCCCAGCCTGAGCACTTCAGTTGGTGGCAGTTCTGTTTCTATGGGGAGGAAATCCCAGAGACAACCCACAGGGCCTCTACCATTGCTGCAGTAGCAGTACTTCCCTTGCTGCCCTCACACTGCAGGAAGAATATAGACCCTAATTGGTTTGCTGGCACCTCCAACACACCACAGCTGCCATATGGAGAGGAGTCCAGTCTCTTTTCCCTGAGAACCCCTGAATCTGTTCTCTTCACCAGGCACAGCCCCCAGCTTGGGCCCACAGTGCAGCATCTCTCCCATAGCAGCTCTTTGTCTCTCTGGGGTGGAGCTCCCGGGGGCATCTGACAGCTCCTCTGACACAGCTGCTGCAGCCATACCTGTCCTTGCTGCCACCAGGCTGGGGAAGGAATAAAGAGTCTGAGTGCCTTATTCACATTTCTAGCATGCTGTAGACACCCTATAGAGAAGAGGCCAGAATGTCTTTCTTGCAATCCCCCTGCTCCTCCCTCCTTGTCACCAGGCAGGGGCCCTTGGCTTGAGCCTGTAACACAGCTATCCAACCCTGGGCCAGTGGCTCCAATTAGCAGCAGCTCTGTGTTTATCTGGGGTGAAGCCCCAAGAGACAAGTGAAAAGCCCTCTGCCATTGCCATTGCCAAGGTCCCCACCTCTGCTACTCCAAGCTAGGGAGGAAACAAAAAGCTGGATCATGACGCAGGGCTGCAGTCAGCAACCTAGAAGACGTAAGCAGAGATCTGTAAGTAGCCAGAACTCCAGTAGGAGAGAAGTTCACACTCTCAGAGGAATGGGAGGTAGCACAGTGGCCAATGCCAGGAAATACAGAGGAATCCTATGGCTGAGCAAGAGCCTATCTACCAGCCATTACAAGTAAGCACCATCTCCTAGATTGCAGCCTAACATCAACACCAATAATACTTTTCTAACATAGTCTTCTGTGAAACCAAGGACAAGAGTTCATCTACAAATAAAAATCCTGCACAAACCCAAGAATAAAGCCAACTGACTATACTCAAAATACACCACAGTTAAAGGGATATTAGCCCACACAATGAGAAAGCACCAGTGCAAGAACTCTGGCAACTCTAAAAGCCAGTGTCTTCTTAACTCCAAATGACTGCACTAGCACCCCAGCAATGGTTCTTAACCAGAATGAAATGGCTGAAATGGCAGACAAAGAATTAAAAATCTGGACAACAATGAAGATCATTGAGATTCAGGAGAAAAGTTGATACCCATTCCAAAGAATCTAAGGTATCCAATAAAATGATTCGAAAGATGAAAGACAAAATAGCCATTTTAAGAAGGAACCAGACTGAGCTGATAGAGCTGGAAAGCTCACTATAAGAGTTTGATAACATAATCAGAATTATTAACAATAGAAGAGTTCAAGCTGAGGAAAGAATCTCAGAGTTGGAAAACCAGTTATTCAAATTAACTCAGTCAGACAAAAATAAAGAAAAAATAACTTTACAAAAATGAACAAAACCTCTGAGAAATATAATTTCTCAGGAATTCTATAATGAGACCAAATCTACTAATCATCATCCCTGAAAGAGAAGGAGAGAGACCAAGGAACTTGGAAAACATATTCAAGGATATTGTCCATGAATATTTTCCCAAACTTGCTAAAGAGGTTGACATGAAATTCAGGGAATTCAGAGAACCCCTGCAAGATACTATACAAGATGATCATCCCCAAGACAAAGAGCAGATTCTCCAAGGCCAAAGTGAAAGAAAAATATTAAAGACAGCTAGAAAGAAGGGGCTGGTCACCTACAGAAGGAACCATCAGGTTAACAGCAGACCTTTCAGCAGAAAACCTCCAAGCTAGAAAAGATTGGGAACCTATATTCAGAATCCTTAAAGAAAATAAATTCCAACCAAGAATTTCATATCAAGCCAAACTAAGCTTCATAAGAGGAGAAATAAAATCATTTCCAGACCAGCAAGTGTTAAGGGAATTTGTTACCACCAGACCTGCCTTACAAGAGGCCCTTAAGGGAGTGCTAAACATGGAAACAAAAGACTGTTACCAGCCACCACAAAAACACGCTCAAGTACATACACCATCAACACTATAAAGCAAATTCATAATCAGCTAACATAAAAACCAGCTAACAACATCACGACAAGATCAAGTCTGGATATATCAATATTAATCTTGAATGTAAATAGGCTAAATGCCCCACTTAAAAGGCACAAAGTGGCAAGTTGGATAAAGAAGCAAGACCCAACTTTATGCTGTTTTCAAGGGATCCATCATGGCTGAGCATGTTGTTGGTGCATGTCTGTGATCCCAGCTGCTGGGGAGGCTGAGGCATGAGAATAGCTTGAACCTAGGATATGGAGTCTGCAATGAGTCAAGATCATACCACTGCACTCTAGCCTGGGTGACAGAGCATGACTTTTGTCTCAAAAAAAAAAAAAAATCCATCTCACATGCAAGGCCACCCATAGGATCAAAAGAGCAAGGGCTGCTATACTTATCTCAGACAAAATAGACTTTAAATCAACAACAATCAAAAAGGACAAAGAAGAGCATCATTACATAATGATAAAGCATTTGATTCAACAAGGAAGACTTGTATTCTAAATATATATGCACCAAACACTGGATCACTCACATTCATAAAGCAAGTTTTTAGAGACTTATGAAGAGACAGATAACCATACAATCACAGTGGGAGACTTCAACAGTCCATTGACAGTATTGGACAGACCGTGGAAGCAGAATACTAACAAAGATATTTGGGACCTAAACTTGACGCTTGACCAAATGAACCTAACAGATATCTACAGAACATTTCACCCAACAACAACTGAACATATATTCTCATCTGCACATGGCACATACTCCAAAATTGACCACAGCCTTAGCCATAGGCAATTCTCAAAAAATTCAAAAAAATTGAAATTATACCATCCACACTCTCAGACCACATATCAAAAAAGAAGAAATCAATACCAAGAGGATCTCTCAAACCTATACAATTAAATGGATGTTAAACATTCTGCTCCTGAATGATTTTGAGTACACACTGAAATTAAGGCAGAAATAAAGAAATTATTTGAAAGTAATAAAAACAAAAATACAGCATATCAGAATCCCTAGGACAGATCTAAAGCAGTGTTAAGAGGAAAGTTTATAATGCTACATGACCATATCAAAAAGTTAGAAAGATCTTAAATTAATAACCTTACATCAAATCTGGAGGAACTTGACAAACAAGAGCAAACCAACACCAAAGCTAGCAGAAGAAAAAAGAAAAAATTAGAACTGAACTGAACAAAATGGAGATGAGGAAAACCATGCAAAACATCAATGAAGCCAGAAGTTGATTATTTGAAAGCTCAAATAAGATTGATAGAACACTAGCTAGACTAATAAAGAAAAAAGGAAAAAGGTCCAAAGAAACACAATCAGAAATGACAAAGGGGACATTACCACCGACCCCACAGAAATACGACAAACTATCAGAGACTATTATGAACACCACTACATACACAAGCTAGAAAACCTAGAAGAAACTGATACATTCTTGGAAATATACAACCTCTCAAGATTGAACGAGGAGCAAATTGAAATCCTGAACAGACAAATAAAAAGTTCCAAAACAAAGTCAGTAATAATAATACAGAAAAACCCCTACCAACCAGAAAAGCCCAGGATCAGAAGAATTCACAGCTGAATTCTATCAGATGTATAAAGAAAAGTGGGTACCAATCTTACTGAAACTATTACAAAAAATTGAGGATGAGGGACACCTCCCTAACTCATTCTATGAGGTCAGAATCATTTTGATATCAAAACCTGGCAGAGACACAATGAAAGAAAACAAACAAACTTCAGACCAATGTCCCTCATGAACACAGACACAAAAATTCTCAACAAAATACTAGCAAATCAAATCCAGCAGCATATCAAAAAGACAATTCACAATGATCAAGTAGGCTTTATCCCTGGGATACAAGGTTGATGCAATATATACAATTCAATAAATATGATTTATCACATAAATGGAACTAAAAACAAAAAAATCACATGTTAATCTCAATTGATGCAGAAAAGGTTTTTGGTAAAATTCAACATTTCTTCATGTTAAACACTCTCAATAAACTAGGTATTGAGGGTACATTCCTCAAAATAAGAAGAGCCATGTATGACAAACTCATAGCCAACATTCTACTGAACTGGCAAATGCTGGAAGCATTCATCTTTAGAACCAGAACAAGACAAGAATGCCCACTCTTACCACTCCTATTCAACATAATACTGGATGTCCTAGACAGAGTAATCAAGCAAGAGAAAAAAAAAACCTTCTAAATAGGAAGAGAGAAAGTCAAACTATCTCTCTTTCCAGACAATATGACACAATACCTAGAAAATTCCAGTTACTGCCCAAAGGCTCTAGATCTCATAAACTACTCCAGCAAAGTTTCAGGATATAAAAAAATCTACAAAAATTAGTAGCCTTTCTGTACACCCATAACATCCAAGCTGAAAGCCAATCCAAATATGCAATTCTATTTAGAATATCCATAAGAAGAATAAAATATCAAGGAAGACAGCTAATCAGGGAGGTGAAAGATCTCTACCATGAGAATGAGAAAACACTGTTGAAAGAAATCAGAGACTACACAAACAGACAGGAAAACTTTCCATGCTCATGGATAAGAAGATTCAATATTAAAATGGCCATATTGCCCAAAACAATTTGCAGATTCAATGCTATTCCTATCCAACTACCAAAGATATTTTTCACAGAATTAGAAAAAAAAATTCTAAAATTTGGAAACAAAAGCAATCCCAAATAGCCAAAACAATCTGGTACTGGTAGAAGAACAGACCCATAGGTCAACAGAATGGGCTAGAGATCTGAGAAATAAAGCTGCACATCTCCAACCATTTGATCTTTGACAAAGCTGACAATAACAAGCTAGGGGAAAAGACTCCCTATTCAATAAAAGGTGCTGGGATAGCTGACTAGCTATATGAAGAAAATTGAAATTGGATTTCTATCTTTCACCATATACAAAAATCAACCCACTACAGATTAACTATTGTAAAGCCTATAACTATAAATACCCTAGTAGAAAACCTAGAAAATACCATTCTGGACATCAACCCTGATAAAGACTTTATGACAAAGATTCCAAAAGCTATTGCAACAAAGACAAAAATTGAAAAATGGGACCTAATTAAAATAAAGAGCTTCTGCACAACAAAGAAACTATCAACAGAGTAAACAGACAACCTACAGATTGGGAGAAAATATTTGCAAACACGGCATCCGACAAAGGTCTAACATTTAGAATCTATAAGGAACTTAAGCAAACAAGCAAAAAAATAAACAACTGCATTAAAAAATTAGTAAAGAATATGAATAGACACTTCTTAACAGAATAAATACATGCATCTAGCAAAAGGATAAAAAAGTTCAATTCCACTAATCATCAGGGAAATGTAAATCAAAATCACAACAAAATATCATCTGACAGCAGTAGAATGGCTAGTGCTAAAAAGCCAAAGACATAACTGATGATGGCAAGGTTGCAGAGAAAAGGGAACACATATAGACTGCTGGTGACAATGTAAATTAGTTCAGCTACTGTGGAAAGCAGTCTGGAGATTTCTCAAAGAACTTCAAATTGAACTACCATTTGACCCAGCAATCTTATTACTGGGTATATACCCAAATGAATATAAATTGTACTACCATAAAGACACATGCACATATATGTTCATCACAGCATTATACACAGTGGCAAAGACAAGGAATCAATTTAGATGGCCACCAATGGTGGACTGCATAAAGATAATGTGGTGCATATACACCCATGGAATACTATGAAGCCATAAAAGGAATGAAATCATGTCCTTTGCAGCAACATGGATGGAGTTGGAGGCCATTATCTTAAGCGAATTAACATAGAAACAGAAAACCCAATACTGCCTGTTCTCACTAATAAGTGGGAGCTAAACATTGAGTATATATGGACACCAAGAAGGGAAAAAAAGACACTGAGGCCTACTTGAGGTGGGAGAAGAGTGAGTATTGAGGGTGAGGTAGTATTACTCAATACTACCTATTGAGTAATATGCTCATTAATTGGGTGACAAAATTATCTGTATATCAAACCCTCATGACACATAATTTACCCACGTAACAAACCTGCATGTGTATTCCTTAAACCTAAAATAAAAGTTGGAAAGAAAAGGAAAAAGATACCTAGCACTTGTATGTTTATTGCAGTACAATTTGCAATAGTAAAGATAGGATCAACCTAAGTGCCCTCAACGGATGACTGGATAAAGGAAATGAGGTGTGTGTGAAGGTATGGATACACATACATACATATATACACACACATATATGCATACACACATACATGCATATATATGTATGTATGTATACACACATATATGTATATGCACATATGTATGTATACACATGCATATATATGCCTATATATGTGTGTGTGTGTATATATGTATACACACACACGGAATACTAATAATATACAATGGAATACTATTATTCAGCAATGAAAAAGAATTAAATCATGTCTTTTGCAGCAACATGGATGGAACTGGAGGCCATTATTTTAAGTGAAACAGTTCAGAAACAGAAAGTCAAATATTACATGCTCTCACTTATAAGTGGGAGCTAAAGAATGCGTACACATGAACATAGAACGTGGAAAATAGACAATAAAGACTCAGAAAGGTGGGATGGTGGGTTTTGGGGAGAGGGATGAAAATTACATAATGGGTACAATGTACATCATTTGGTTGATGTTTACACTAAAAACTCGTACTTCAACCTTAAGGAATATATCCATGTAACAAAACTGCACTTTCACCCCTTAGATATATACACATTTTAACCAAGATTATTTAATAAATTCTCAGGAAAAAGAATTAGAATAAAATAAATTGAGAAATTTTCTCTAAGAAAATCAGGAACCAGGGAACCCGGGGAATCTAATCACATTCTACAGTCCATCTTTGTGGAATGTAGCCAACAAGATGAAGAAAGTTGCATATAGAAGCTTCCATGAGGAAAGAAAAAACACAGTAGTGCCCACTGAAATATGAGATATTAGCCAAAGATCAGAAAACAGATTCTAGAGGAAACAGAAGTTATTGATACTTTCAGAACATTTACTTTGTGCCAACTGTTTAAAATAAATTATTTTTCATCATAATAAACCGCTCATCTATATTCCTCCTGAGTGAAGAGACTTTGGCCACCATTGTAGATTGAGATTCTAGTACGCTGATGAAACTTGTAAGATTCTAACAATATTTATTGGAAAAAATAAACAAATTAATATTGTTATGAAAAACAGAGGATCAGAGAAAACAAGAAATACACCTATATTTTTGTAGCAATTACATGTTGGAGAACCAAACTTTCTCATTCGCAAGTCCTGCTTATCACCACCACAGTGTGTTACCTCTTTTAGAGTGAAGCACTTTCTCTGTCCAGAAGGTCTCAGGATTTCTGAAATTCCTATAAAGAATGTATTATAAGTAGCAGTGAATCAATTCCATGATTAATTTGAGACTAAAGAAGTGAAAATTGATTAATGAACTTAAATTGTGGAACTAGGAAGGTGGAAATGCCATTGATGGAAGTGGCTAGATTTCTGATCCCAATTTTTGAAGGTAAAGGAAAGCATTCGTTGAGGTTACAATTGAACATGGAAATGGAAAATGTCAATAGTGAATGAAAGTAGGTAAAGGTGTTAAAAAAAAACTACTGGAGTTAAAGATAAATATTTAAGGATCACCAACATGGAGTTGTTGGTTGAAACAATAAAAAGGGATTGATTCTCTTTGGCAGGGAGTGTAGAGGGAGAAGGGAGTTGAGAACAACACTTTAAAAAAAGCTACTGGGAGAGGATGGAAGAGAAAATGGAGCCAGCAGAGAACACAAAGTTGGCGTAGTTAACAGATGCAGCCCTGCTTCTCAATTAGCAGTGGTGCTGCCAGAAGATCTGTGGTTCAGGCCACCAGAGTTTGTCAAGGAATAGGTGTGTCAAGTTAGACTCATTCGTCCAAATGAAGTCAAGGAGTAAGCTGAAAATAAGGAGATGTTCTTGGTTTTAAATTGAATGTAGGCCACCAGTGGTCTCTGGGGTATGCTGTGCTGACTGCCAAGAAAGAACCCATGAATTATCAGTTCCCTAGGCAGCTGTTTTGGTGTTTCAAGTTAAATCCTAAGCAAAGTCTGCACCTTTGCTCCCTGTGGTATTCAGTCCTAGCAAAGAGGCCAACTGTGTGACTGGCAGGTGGTCGGGATGATAAATTAATACACACATATGGATTGAAGCAGTTCCGTCCTATTTGCCAGTCACACCCTGCCTGGTCAGCAGCTGCCTGAAAGCTAAAACAAAAAGTAAATAAAGAAGCTGGGAAAATAAATGGTTTCAGTACGTGAGAACCAGAGATGCTCAAACATTGGAATACATTGAAATCACCTATGATATATGATAAAATTTTAATTTCTAGGGCCTCACTTCCAGAATTACTGATCAATGGGTCTGTACTGAGCCAGGTCTCTGCATTCCTGAAAAAGCTCATGGGTATTTCTGATGCCAGATTGTCCTTTGAACCCATTTTCAAAAAATTGCTCCAGATAGTAGGAGCTGAGAAAATCTTGTGAAACTGGATTGAAATGTATCTGAGTAGACATACTCTGTTTTCATGTGTAAATACCCCTTTCATTATTAATGTTATACTCTTACATGGTTCAAAATAAATGATTAGTGTGCAATATATTAACTTCTCTGCAATTTAATATTAAGTGATATTAAATATACTATTGTTTTCTGTCCTAGAAAAAATGAACAAAATTAATCAAATTTTGAGAAGATTGTGGGCATCATAAATCATGACCTAAACACTTTCATATTTGCACGTTGATAGATTACTAAGGGGAGTGTGTTCAGGAGGCAAGGGCTCTCCACCGAGAATATCCTGCTTCAAATTCGAATCTAAGAATAGATAAGATTCCAGCCAGCTGCAACTGACATGACATGGAGTGGGGGATGAAGTACTTTCAGAAATAATTAGGTCCCAACACATTCAGAATGTTATAAATAATAAATGAAACCTTGAATTGGCTAAAGAAACAGAATTGGTGCAAACTTGAGAGCACAGGTGTTTTGTGTTGGGTATGCCTTGCCTTGCCCATTAGGAAAGCAGACAGGTTCAATACAACTTAATGAATCTTCTGGGAAGGTCCCAAATAGATTACTTCACAGGAGCCCAGAGCAGGAGGCCAGACTAACTGTAGCAAGATGCATAGCTGAGAAAGAAGATACATTCTTGAACATTATTGACTGTAGAGGCAGAGTATTTCACTTTTATGCACAAAAGCTCTGAAAGATCCATTAAGAATCTTTACTTCGAATCCTCCCAAGCAACAAATACGATTGCTATGTAGCCATTTTTTTAATGTGTGCATTGTGGTGTCTTGTGCTTCCATTTTTAAGAGCGGTGTTATCTTTTTAAAAGCAATCTTATTTATTTTACAAAGACTTTAATAAGGTTTATTATGTGCCAGGCATTATTCTAAGTACTTGACAGACATTAATCATCTGTTCCTTATATCCAGTTTATGGACAAAGAAACTGAAGCATAAAAAGGTTGCATAACTTCCCCAAGGTCACATAGCAAAATGTGATAATACTTGATCTGGGAATTACACTCCACAGTCAGCCCTCACTCACACAATAATTTGTTATTATGCTTTTTCCTATATTTTGATGCCAAAGTACCCAGGAACCAGGGACTGGGAGTATTTATTGAAGACAAGTAAGTTTTGTAAAATATATACACTGCAATACATTTAGTAAGATGTCTCTGGCCGGGCGCGGTGGCTCACGCCTGTGATCCCAGCACTTTGGGAGGCCAAGGAGGGCAGACCATGAGGTCAGGTGATCGAGACCATCCTGGCTAACACGGTGAAATCCCGTCTCTACTAAAAATACAAAAAAAATTAGCCGGGTGTGGTGGCAGGCGCCTGTAATCCCAGCTACTCCGGAGGCTGAGGCAGGAGAATGGTGTGAACCTGGGAGGCGGAGCTTGCAGTGAGCCGAGATCGCGCCACTGTACTCCAGCCTGGGCTACAGAGTGAGACTCCATCTCAAAAAAAAAAAAAAGATGTCTCTAAGTTGAATTGGATCACACTATAAAATGGCATTGGTACTGGTGTTAGGTCAATAGTTTATGTCTGTCAAATTAATGAATACTGCATATGAAATAGGAGAGTTCCCTGAACCCCCTTGCAGGACATGCAACAAGAGGTGTGGCTTGTCTATTCGGCCACTGTGCACTCTCAAACCCCTATGGGAGTGGAAGCACGCAGATGGGCAGGTATAGGAGGAGCCAGGGTGAGTGCCCTTGGGCTCCAGCTTCACGGCAGTGTCCAGGGGTGGGATCCTGTGACTCCCAAAGTCCAAAGGGGGCATGTGTTACAGTTTGCTCTTTTAGCCTTGCCATCCATGGATCACTTAAGTGTTAACCACCTTAGTGCCCCCTTGGTACCCAGGTCCTTGTCCAGCATCCAGAAAGAATTGGGTCACACAGATACTTGAGGATTTTTGAATGCGGGGTGGAGGTGGCTCTCAGCAGAGTGGATGGGGAGCTGGAAAGGGGATGGAGTGGGAATATGATCTTCCCCTGGAGTACGGCCGTCCAGTGGCCTGTCTCCTCTTCAACCGCCCCCAGCTGAATTCCTCTCGGTGTTCAGAAACTCCTCTTCTCTCCTTCTCTGCTGTGCCATTCTGCCATTCTTCTACCCTTCTGTTTGACTCTTCATCTGCTTCTGGAGTCTGGGGTTTATATGAGCACAGGATAGTAGGGGGTGGTGAGCCAAAAAGCAACTTTTAGGCATGAAAACAGGAATGCCTATTCTCATTTAGGGCCGCAGGTTTCCAGGGTTGAGGGTGGAGCCTTTGCTGGGGAACCACCTTCCTTTGCCCAGTGTTTCCCTGACTCCTCTCCATATCATATATAGGCTGAAATCTCACTTGTAAGAATGTTCTCTGACTAATTAAAGACAAAGTAGGAGGACGGAAACAAAGTAAAGAGACCACAGTGTTTCCCATCTCTGACATCTCTAGTTACATTTATATAATCTTGCGTGATCTTAGTGAGTCTGAGTTTGGTGACCAATTAAATGAGGAGGAAATGTTAATGGTAGCTTTCATATGTCATTAGCAGCAGGACACTATTTTCAAAAATATGTGCATGAGCCAATATATTAAACAAATCAAGTAATAACATTAAGGTTGGCAGGGTGAGGGGGAATCTTGACTCAGAACCAAGTAACTTTACCTGCTTTTGAGCCACGTTTCTTAGATAATTCTAAAGCACTTTACAGTAATAAACTTTACACTTCCCACAAACTGTGTAAGCTACACTGAATATATTTGGAAATTCTGGACTTCTGTGAATTGCTCTGAACCTATTTACTTTTCTCATTCTACAGTCCTGACTATGATTAGTCTTTTGAATTAGACAAGGATAGAAGTTTCCTTCCCAGAGGTCATAAACAATTACTGACAAATTAAAAACCATGTAAGAACTGAGCTTCATAGCCACAATATATCTCCTTGATATGAATGATTGAAGATATTGTAAAATAACTAAATATTATGAGCTTTTCCCAGAAGTATTATCAATGTGTACCTAAAAATATTGAATGGTGCCCAAAGATACAAAAAAAACAAAGACTATCTTGGACATGACCTTTGTCTATTATAGGGTAATCACCAAAGCTTAGTGCATTATGCAAAGTGCTAATAAGTCTCATAAATTCAGAAAAATCCAGGTACAATGGAATCGATTTCCCAATACCTTCTCAATAGATTTTCCAATGAAAATGTGGGTTACTTGAATTGAACAGAAACTATGTGAAAACAAATACCAATAGCCAAATCAAGTTTGTTTATCTCATAAAATAAGAGCTCTAACTTTATTTACCACAAACACATTTATATATTTATTATTACTCAAAAAATCAAGGATAGAGCATAGCTATGTTTGGTTCTATAGCTAAGTTTTTTGGTTCCATATCCAAGTGTAGGTATGCTATTATAATATCAGCACAACTACAAAGGGGAATGTTAACCTACCAATAGGGACCTTTTTGCTGTTATATAAAAATTCAAAAGTTTTTGCAATAAAATGTGCTACAAAAATACTTTTATTATGTTTCTCAGTATTACAAAACAATAAATAAGAAAAGCTTCCTATGACCCATGTGCAGTGAATCCATCTTCTAATTTATCCAATTTTAAATTCTCATGTATAGATTTCTTTAAAGAATAATTATATTGTCAGTATATTATAGGCATTTTCATTTTTTGAGGTTAAGTTTTAAAATATTGGTTTTACCAAAAATAACCTTAAACAAGTCAAGCCTGCAGCTGAAGGATCATAAAGAATTGACTACATGAGAAGTTGTAATCATAAGTACTTCACCTGACCAGTTGTATACCTGACTCTTTCATGACCAAAATTGATGCCACGTCTTAGACATATCCTCTCATGGGCAAACACCAATAGAGTTCTGCGACAAATTGCTTCATAATTCTTTGCATATAAAAAGAACTGGAAGTAATCCCATAAAAAAGAAAGTTTGAGACTTACAGTGACACCTGGACTAGGTTTTTGCCACATTCCTAATCTCCAGGATTGTCAGAGAGTCTGTGAATGCGCAAATAAACATGCAGTGGCTAAGTACAACACAAAAAACCCCGCATATTATCCCTCACATCTTTGGCTCTATTTCCCTTTAGCCATTTGGAATCTCCATTCAACTCATCTATAATATACTTTTAAAAACAAAATGAGATTTATTCTTCTCTGAAATACTCTGAAATTAAATAATTCTATATATGAAATAGACCACATAAGTCATGCTATTTATTAATAATTGATATTAAACGTTTTTGTATTATAATATTTTGAACAAATAGTTCTTTTGTAATGTTTTATCCATATTAATATAAATTACAAAAAAAGAAGCAATTACCCAGTTAATTTGTCAGACCTCAGCTTCCTCTACTTACATTACTTCATTAGAGAATCTGAATTGTATGTTTTTAAGTCTCTTAAAAATTTTAATAACTAATGAAAGCATTTTGTTGAACAGTCTGTGTGTGGGTTTGTTTATCATGATGAACCGTTAAATTATATAGATTGGCACACATAGGCAACCATGTGCTGTATGCATTTTTGAAATAATGTAATTATAACAAAAAAGATAATTGTGATAAATGTGTTTTCTAAAACATGAAAAATATTTGGGGTAAATCCCAATTCTTGGAATAGCCAGGAGTCCTATAGGTGGTAAAATGCTACCTAAACATTAGGGGAAATTAGACTATTTCCTTTAAGCTGAGAGTACAAAGCAAGAAAAAAATGTGTACAATAAACAGGACAAAAGATTTGGGCTAAAGGTTAATAAAATTTTAACAGGAAACAAAATGTACGCTGCCTTGTGAAATAAACCGTTTCCTTTCAGTGATAATTTTAACTCAGATGAGCAGTGAAGAGAATGCCAGATTAATTCATTTATCTATTAAACATTTTCTGTACCAGGGAATGAGCTAAGTGTAGGAATTAAACAAGGACCAGCATCTGTGTTTTCTGTAATGCATTGCCCAGTTAGGAGGCAAGTTCTGTCGCCGGTAAATGAACCAACTGAATTTTATGCAAGAAGCATTGAGGAGGCAGAGGCATTTGTGCATGTGCTAGACTTGACAATGGATCAAATGAAATATGAGCTGTGGACATTGTTTCTTGGAAACTTACAATTCACTTGAAAAGAAAAGGCAGTCACTCATAAAACAAATTAATACAAACAAGGATCATAGGTTATTTAAGTAACCAAATGATAAAGAAAAAGCCCACTTAGACAGTTTAAGAAAGAGAAGCAGCAATATTAGCTATGATGGGGCTGAGGTTCTCTAACATTAAACTAAGGTTCTCTTGCATACTGCATCTTTTCCTTTGACCTTTAGGTGCCTCAGAATGAATTGTGTTTTGTTTTAATAGCTTTATATTTTATCCACTGCCAGAGGATTACCCTACAAGTAGTGGCACTTAAAATGATATAAACAATAATATCTGCTATTATTATTATTTTAATGATGTAGAATTTGGCACAGAATGACTTTAGCCTGGGGCTGACTTGCCCTGAATTTAGCAAATAAATGCTGGGCTATTCCTTCTACACCTGTATTTTGATATCTTGGCTTTACTGCTATTTTAAGCCATTTCAAACCCTATTTTTAATGCATATTTTAAATGATGTTCCAACAGACTTTTATTTTTTAAAAGAGTTATAATATTATAACCACTAAAATCTTTTTGGAAAATGTAAATCAAGATGAAAAAATATACAAGATGTAAATTATACCATCATTGTAAATGACATAATTTCTTGCTATATATAAGCTGAAAATTTCACTATCTCATTTATGTGATGATTTCCATAGTGGAGTGAAATGCATGAATTCCCTATTTCAGATGCATTCAGCTGTAGTAACTGAAAAAAAAAATCCTATTCATTTAAGGTCATTCTTGCCTGTTGCAGAGCTCTGAAAGCTATAGCTCTGAGGGCTTGAATGCTATCTCTTCAATTAAGATGATGTCATTGGGGAATGTGACTTTTATAGGCTATGTTTTACATTTAAAGAAGGGTATTTCTCTGAGGATTTGAGTCCATTTCCTTGCCAAAATTTAAATTCAATTTAACTATTTTTCAATTCTTTTCTGGTTCTTGATTTATTTTCAATTGCAATATATTTCGATCTATGATATTCTCTAAACTATGCAAATGATAAATTGACTTCATTGCCTTGTTATTTAGTGATTACGTGTTAAAACACACTTGCTCCGAATCTGCCTGTATCTGATGTTAAAACAATTTAGGCATAACTTCATATTATTAGTGTTGGTTCTATTTTTTCTAAGCCTTGGAAACAAGTAAAATCTTTAAAATACTTATTGATTACTTTTATTTATTTATTTATTTATTTATTTATTTATTTATTTATTTATTTTTGAGACGGAGTCTCGCTTTGGCTGGAGTGCAGTGGTGCGATCTCGGCTCACTGCAACCTCCACTTCTTGGGTTCAAATGATTCCCCTGCGTCAGCCTCCTGAGTAGCTGGCATTACAGGTGCCCGCCACCACGCCCAGCTAATTTTTTTTGTATTTTCAGTAGAGACGGGGTTTCTCCATGTTGGTCAGGCTGATCTCGAACTCCTGATCTCATGATCCGCCTGTCTCAGCCTCCCAAATTGCTGGGATTACAGGCTTGAGCCACGGCACCCAGCAGATTATTTTTATTTCTAATAGGTGTTTCAAATTTTGTTAAAAACTTTTAAGTGCAACTGCTCTTAAAAAATTCTTACCATGGATTAGATTGAGAGTTTGAAACTTGCATTTCACAATGGTTTTTATCAATAAAAATATTAGATGTTTTCTCAAGATATACATTTTGAAACTTCAATCACTTTTATTGACTACTTGTAAAATTGGAACTATATTCATATAGTCAGCAGATGGTCCTAATATGTAAGAAATATAAATGAGAACACAATAATTTTTTCAAAATGAGATATTTAAACAAAAAAAATGAATGACAATGTTTTAATTTGATAAAAAGCAGATCTCAGGAGTTGGAGGCTCTAGTGAGACATGATCACACCCTTGCACTCCAGCCTGTGTGACAGTGAGACTCAGTCTCTCTTTAAAAAATGCAGAAATACTGTAAACAGATATACCACATTATGTTTGAAACGGGGTTGTCTTAGTGGTATTCTTCTAGTGGAAGGATCTGTAGTTGGACATTGTTAAATCTACCCAGTTACTGTTGCTCTTCTATATATTTTCTATGCATGCACACCAAATTTATTTACTCGTTAGTGTAAGGTTCAACTTTGTGTCACCTCTTCTGTAAGAAATGTACTTAATTTCCTTATCAAAGAATTGCCTCATCATCTGGTTATATTTAAAACATGTAATTTAAATATAAGAAACATTATTGCATTGAAGTGGGTTATTTTACAATATATGCATTCATCTTTGTAATAATAAGTCTAGCATAAAACTATGAATATAATAATTACTTAAAAGATATATTGTGAATTGAATTGAATTCATTCTCTCTATTGAAAAAAATGTTAGGACTCCAACACATACTTAAAGAGATATATCTAATCTAGCTTATCGCATTTTTCTTAAAATATTAGTTATTTAGTAAAATTTAACCTTAATACAAATATTAGCTAATATAATTTCTTCAGAAATCTTCCTCGTACTACACAGGATGAACATTATTTTGTGCTACTGTAGACTTGAATCACAGAATCCTGGTTTGCAGGCTAGGCAATGGTGCTGAGAAAATTTTGTGTGGATTATGTTTATAATGAAACTGTTAATTATGTTTGAGGGAGAGTCTTCCTTGAATTATGGGAATTTTCATAAACAGAGAAGAATTCGAAGAGGGAGATATTTGAGCAGGGGTAAGACATGTTAATTGATTTCATGAACTTCCAGTTGTTCATGAGTAAGATAGTTCACATTTGTTCAGGGAAAGATGGCCAGATCAGTAAAGCAAATAACATAGGATTTGGATTGAAGAGCAGACTGGAAATGCTTATTAAGGTCAGGATTTGATGACAATACATTTGAGCACGTGTTTGGCTTTTGTGATAGCATTCCTAAATAAATTCAATCAACTAAATTTTTTCATGTTTTGTTATCTAGAAAACTATTCTGTACTGCTAAATGCTTTCATTAATTTTTGATAGAGATGACTAAACATTACTGTTCCATGTTTCTGATTTCAATGTGCCTTTGTAAGCTTGAATATATCTCTTCTGCTTTCCATATTTCTTTGATTCCTCTTGGTGAATAAAATGTGAATAGTAATACTAGTAACACAATATTTATGATTTTGTGAATGGTACCCTTAAGGTAACCACAAAATATTTTACTTAGAAACAAATTTAAGTCTATTTTATACTTTGCTTTTTTTAAAATGAATTATTTCAACATATAAGGGGAGATTTATAGGCAAAATCCTTTTGTAATCAATTGTCACAGAGTAAGGTTCTCTACTTTCTTTTTCAGCTGTTTGCGCACCTCTCTAGAGATGAATAGGTGACAGACAGGAAGACAAGCTGGGGAGGAGGAAGAAACAGTGTGGGCTAAAAAAATAGGTTTAAATATAATTATCTCTGCATCAGAGCCAGAACAAAATAATAAATCACCATTTTCAACAAAATATTGATAAAATTGCTTACATGCAAATATTGCAATAGAAAATTATTTGCATATAAAGGAGGAACAAGTTTACCATCTCACTGACATTAATATGTTATATTTTAGTTGGAATAAACAGTTTGTCTTTCTTAATGCTGAACTGTGGTTAAAAATGTGCTACTTATTTTATGCTCAAGTAATACTGTCACTTTTCATTTGCTAACTTATCCATTTTACCTATGGCTTTGCTCTGTATCCATTTATTTCTATTGAACCAAACCAGACCTTAAAGCTGTAGGATTCCTAAATCAAATACTTATGTTTATAATAAAGACAGCTGAACTAGGATACTCAGTATTAGATTAGATGATCTTTCATTAGTCAGACTTTACAACCGAATTACATATATTTAAACCACACTAATCCATGTTAAATATATATAAAGTAGGTGTTTTTCTAAGTCACTTAGGGTACAATTAAATTTGCTTGGACACTATTGGTTCATATACCTCTTCTTCAAAGACAACTGTTTCTTTTACTTTTTTCACTTTTACCAAGTGGCCCAGCAAGCTTGCAATTGGGTACATACATTTTAAATCTTTCTTTTCAGAAAAAGCTGTAAGTATTAAAATATTTATTTCAGTAATAACACAGTAAAAATTAAAATTACTGTTGAGGAGTATGTTTAATTAAATTAGGGCACAATTCAAACTAAATTTATCCTCGTATTCTCAAGTTATAATTATATAGATTGGGTAACAGCACAGAAATAAATGCAAACTGGATAAACTTTTGATATACACTTTGGTTATAATTATATACATATTTTGCTATAGAAAATGAATAGATAAATGGATTAAAGATGAATAGATATGCACAATCCTATAGAACTATAAAAAACAAAAATATACACAAAAGTTATGTTTAAAATGGTACATTAAAGATTTTTTTCTACTTTTTAGCATCTCTGTGATATTTAAATAATGTTAAAAATAGCTAAAATTATAGCCATTTTTATAGTTATTGATTATTCTTTATTGGGCATTTTAAAAAATTGATATTAGAATTAAGGTATGGTGAATAAAATGGTCTCCATAGGCAAGTCTCCAAAATATTATTGAATGAGTAATGAAATGAGACACACTAATTTTTCCATCAGGATTTTTTTTTAAATATGGTAAGAGTGTTAACATTTGAAAATTATTTTTTGTTGTTGTTGAAAATAAAGTATATCTTGAGGTTGATATGAAGTGTTTTCATAATATAAAATCACTAGACCATTTATATTTGTGATTATCAGCACTGGCCAATGAGAGACACATGAAAGGAAATGGCTGAAGCATGAGTGAGATTTCAAAAGAAAGAGATGTTAATTAAAGACCAAGGGAACAACATTTTATCTTAAATGGGGTTTTGGAACAGTGTTATGGTAGGATGAGCACACTTTTGCATTTGCTTGGGAATTACCAAATTAACACTATTTCAAGGTAAAATTAATAGCAACTTCTTTCTCTCTTAAAATTTTCAAGTTTAAATGGTGAATTATATGATCACCTTATCATTCTGTTTAGAGAAGTGTAGCTAGCTTACTCAATTCACAAAGCACCCTTGGATTTCATCTATGGAATGGAGCAGAAAGTGATTGTGAAAGTAACTAAAAATTATGAGAAACACTTACAAACTTGGTAGGTTGCTGCAGATGTTCTCAGAGAGGTCTATTTCAGATCCAGGTCTTGTTTACCTGACTTTCTACAGCCTTCTAATGGGGGTTACATTTTGAGGACCCTGCTTTCTCAGCACTGAGCTCTCCATCTGTCTTTGAAGTTGCTGTGTTTTGCTTTGATCTTGAAATCATTTTTCACCGTGTTTTGATGATTAGTAATGGTTAAAGTCACAAAGTCAGAACATGGTTTTACTCATTCTCTCTTGTAGGCTTAATGGGAATCTCAAAGCTCAACTGAAGTTCCTCTTTGATAATACCATACCCAAAGTAGTTTTTCAAGCTCATTTTCTCATCTTCCTGAAAAAGAGATACACAAACTTGTGACAGTAACTAAACACCGACACATGCCTTGGAAGTTTTTTTTCTCTTTTAAAGTGAAACTCATGTTATTACAAAAACATGAGCTTGCCCTGAGGGTGGCCAGGTACTTTGATTTGGGCCAGGTACTTTAATTTTCTTATATATACCAAGAGACTCTATTTACCACAGTTTTAGTTTGTTGGTTCTAAAGCCAGATTACCTAAATATCCAGAATGATTTCAAATAGCAGTCTGGGCATTTGAATGTAGGATTCAAAGATCATAGAAGATTTCCTAAATTAATATCTCTTTCGGTAGAAGTTTCTAGATATTCTGCCAATTTAGTTCATGCTAAATTGTGCCCTGCTTACTTTAAGGCAGTTTTAAGAGCTTTCCTACATAAAGATGATTGGCCATCACCATTATCAAATTGAATGTAAGTTCATTTATAATTCATGAAACTACACTATAATCTGAGAGGTAGACTAAATGGACATAGTGCCTGTTCTGTTAGGATTTTCATTTCCTTGGGATGCTATTAGCTAGTAGTGTGGATCAAGTGATGACATAGCACTGAGGAAGTGAGAATAAGTACAATGTGAACAATGAAGACTTTATTGTGCTTACTATGTTTCTGGAAGTGCAAAAGAAGTCTCCTGGACTTAGAAATTGTTTCAATGGGTGAATAGTCACTTAATTGAGAAATCTGTTTGGGAAAGACAAAATTTAAAAGAAAAGGCATTCCAAGCACACAAAACAGCAGGCATATGGATTAAACATCAAGTTAATAGCATACAAAGTAGGGAAAATTTGTGAACATTTGTGATATAGGGCATCTTTCTATAAGCAGTGCTGTTTTGATACCCAATATAGCTCATAGTTTCTAAACATATATATGGGATAATGGAGCACAAAAGAACTACATCAATAATCAGTCCCTGCTTCTGTTTGAATCATTTCATCTATGTCATTGATCTCATCTTCTGCTACCTTCCCTGGGTTTTGTCATCTTTATCTTCAGGTTCCCTCTTGCTTCTGGGTCTTTTCAGTCTCCTGTAAACATTCTCAAGTCTATCCCATACTTCAACCAAATACAACAGAACAATTTTCTTTTCACACTGCATTCCACCTTCCCTTTTCTACCCTTTGAATTTCATGACTTTCTGTTGTCACTACTTACTTGTTGTCTATCTAAAACTTCCAGACTGGACTAATGCCCTGTTTACTTGCATTATTTTATTTATTTTATAAATGCATATGTAGTTACAATTAATTTCATATTATTAAGTATAGATTAGAGGCCAAGTATACTTCTAATGTCTTTATATTCACTTTATTTAATTCTCATTACAACACCATGAAGAGGTATTATTATTCCCATTTTAAAGATGAGAAAAGTGAAGCATGTTAAGTAACTAGCCCAGTAAATAAATTGCTGAAGGAAGATTCTAACCCCTGCACTTTGGCTCTAGAGTTCCTGCTCTTAACTGCGATGCTATGCTATCTTTCAGAAAGTTCTCTTGCAAGTGTCCTAGAAACTGCCAGGCTGTCAGGAAAGAAGAAACACTGATGGAGAGCTCCATTGGCAAAGGCTAGATATTAGGCAAAGCCACAACTTTTTAGGCTTTATTCTTAAAACAATGTGAGAAGTGTAGGTGAGCCTTCAGGTCCCAGTGCTCTGCATTTAGAAAATAACAAAACATTGGATGAAACACATTTTGAATACTATTCTATATAGAGTGCCTGGCACTGTATCCACATAAATTGGTATCTTTCTGCAGGTACATTTCATGCATTAAGTAATCTTTCACTAGATTCAAGGAAGGACAGCCACTTTTCAACAGTGGAAATTACTAGTGCTTCATTTTTTTCTTTTTTCATTCATTCATTCATTACTGGAATACATGATTACTAAGTACTTTGTAAGAACCAGTAGGTAACATATTAGAGTCACACAGATTGCTATGTCTCCAGGAGGACATCCTAAAAGTCTGACATCTAACATAAATGGAGAAAATGGTCAAGTTACAAATTCTTCCCCCACCCCTCAGTACACCCTAAAACATTCCCAGCCAAAGATAAGGAAAAGCAACCCAGCAATTTCCTATCTCTGTTTCTGCTGAGGTATTTAAATTAAATGCATTCTGCTCTGAAGTTTGTTTGTTTGTTTGTTTGTTTGTTTTACTTGGTGATTCTTCCCCATACCCCACATTTCAATCAAGGTTCTGTGATGCCTTTGTCTGCTAAATTGGGATGTTGATTCCACTTCACCTAAGGATGACTGCTATTATTTCCCAGTTTATTGCTGAAGTCTCTTGATTGTTACGGGAAGTCAGGGAGCCAGAACAGAGGGACTGGCTGAAGCAGCAGCAGCAGAACATAAATTGTGAAGATTTCATGGACATTTATTAGTTCCCCAAATTAATACTTTTATAATTTCTTATGCCTGTCTTTACTGCAATCTATGAACATAAATAGTGAAGATTTCATGGACATTTATCACTTCCCCAATCAATACTCTTATAATTTCCTATGCCTGTCTTTACTTTAATCTCTTAATCCCATCATCTTCCTAAACTGAGGATGTATGTTGCTTCAGGACCCTGTGATGATTGCGTTAACTGCACAAATTGTTTGTAAAACATGTGTGTTTGAACAATATGAAATCTGGGCATCCTAAAAAAGAACAGGATAACAGTGATTTTCAGGGAACAAGGGAGATAACCATAAGGTCTGAACACCTGCGGGGTTGGGCAGAACAGAGTCGTATTTCTCTTCTTGCAGAAAGCGAATAGGAGAAATATCTCTGAATTCTTTTCCCAGCAAGGAATAACCCTGGGAAAGGAATGCATTCCCAGGGGGAGGTCTCTAAAATGGCCGCTCTGGGAGTGTCTGTCTTATGCGGTTGAAGATAGGGGATGAAATATGCCCTGGTCTCCTGCAGTGCCCTCTGGCTTGCTAGGATTAGGAAATTCCAGCCTGGTGAATTCTAGTCAGACCAGTTGTCTGCTCTCGAACCCTGTTTCCTGTTAAGATGTTTATCAATGACAATGCGTACCCAGCGGGACATGGAACCTCATCAGTAATTCTAATTTCACCCTGGCCTTGTGATCTTGCTCTGCCATTTGCCTTGTGAGCTTTTATTGCCTTTTGAAGCATGTAATCTCTGTGACCCACTCTCTATTCATACCCCCTTCCCCTTTGAAATCCCTAATAAAAACTTGCTGGTTTTACGGCTCAAGGGGCATCACGGAACCTACTGACATGTGATGTCACCCCCAGAGGCCCAGCTGTAAAATTTTTCTCTTTGTACTCTTTCTCTTTATTTCTTAGACTGACCAACACTGAGGGAAAATAGAAAAGAACCTATGTTGAAATATTGGGGGCTGGTTTCCCTGATACTTGATGACAAGTAGTATCTCCTTGCTGATAGCTCTTGTTATCTACCACCAAAGTCTCAGGTTCTTTCCAGGCTGTTAGAATATATTATAGCTACTACACTATCTTAGAAAAACTGACAAAAAGAAATAGGAAAAAACCTGACTACATTTTAATCTCCCCACATCCTTGGCCTGGGAACTGAGACATGTATGTATTTAAGACAGGGCCCTTTCTCCCATTAAGATTGCAAACTCTTGTCTCCCTCTAAGAAAATGCAAAAAGCCTAAGATAGTAAATGCACTCTAAAATTGAGAGATGTCTTTTATAGTCATATCACATAATTTCTTAATTCTGCTAAAAATAATATGTGGCCCAATAGATTCTTGTCAAACAGAAATTCTACTTAATACTTGAGAGTTTATGGCCATAATAGAAATGTTTCCAAATTTTCTAGCTTATTATGTTTTTGCCAATCATAAAAATACATCGTTAGTAGCAATGTTGATCACTTGCAAATTTTATGTATCTAGTCTTATGAAGAAAAAACAAAATTAACCTACCTCAGTAAAGATGACTACAATGTGTTTGGCTTAATGAATAAAAGTTACTTTAGAGAAGTCCAGACTACAGCCAAGTTTCACTTAGTGTGATGTAGTAGAAAGAATCTGAATTTTGGTGTCAAACTAGCCTCAAATCTCTTCTTTTGCAAAATCTTATTATTAATAGATAAGTTACCTAGCATTTCTGAGATTCTCTTCTCTTAGCTGTAAAATAAGAATAGTATTGTCAAACTTTTAGGGTTCAGGTTATCAGGAAAATTGATATTTTATCCATATGCCTGATACATTGCCTCATACACCATAGGTGTTTAATATGTGGCAATCATTATGATTCATACGGTCTTAACCACCAATCACTAAACTAATTATATTATTTGTTTGAAAAACACTATTTCACATGAGGCACAGTTTTTTACTCAGAACTGTTTTCTAGATTATCATTATACACATAATAAAATATGAATACAAAATGCTCCTCAGAACAAACTGTTTATTGCAAATAATTCACATTCTTAACCCATAAACAAAACTTGCTCTCCCCTAACTCTAATTCTGTTTATAATTTTGAAACTGCTGAAAGTTCAATTCACTCCTCTTTTGTACCTATTTAAGATTCATAATTTTTTTCAAGGCTGAGCTTGTTCTTTCTGCCTATGTGTCCTAACAATACCACATGATCTTGTTCTTGAAATGCTTTATATATTCTTTTCACTCATTTTGTCACTCAGCTCTACAAAGAGAAAGCTGTGTACATTGTTTCTTGAACTGTGGGGTTGCAATATATTGTCTCAGGTGGCCATGACTTGTCTATAAAATTTTACTCTGAGTTTTTACTTTGATGATAATAAAAAATCTTAATATGAATCATCTCAGTGGCCACTTTATAATAAAATATTGTCTACAAGTTGATGGCTCATACTTGCACTTGTATTTATAATTTTGGGTAGGGGAAGAGAACACCTATTAAAATGGGAATCATTACATAACTTTCAATATTTTGAGAGGCATATCTTACTGCCCATAGTTTCCGTATCAAAATAACAACACTCATCTGTACCCACTCTTGTATTTGTGATTAATTATTTACCTGTAATGGAAACTAAATATGTTTATATAAGTGGCAACTCATACATTTAAGGATTTTAGAATGTAAGATTTTAGTTTTGGAATTCTGGTAGTCATCACTTATACTCACCAATATCAGTTGTCATTTCCTTTGTGGACACTTCCTCGTTCACACCTTCCAGACCTCTTACAATTAGATGAGGCCACAATTAGTTTTAATCAATATTTCAGACTAAGGCAGCAAAAATCTTTCTGCATCTGATTCCAGTTATTTCTCTGCTTTGGTACTAACATGAAGACGTTGAAATGAGACAGTGAAACCTCCCCTAGAGAGTCAACTGGGGTGAAACATGTGATCAAAGTGAAAAGGGATAGCTCCCTTGACCCCTTCATGGGACTCACGAAGCAGGTGGCTCCTTTACTAAGCCTGCAGCTCTCAACCCCTCATGGGAGGGGGAACACACAGGTGAGCGAGTGCAGGAGCTGGGACGAGGGCCTTTGGGTGCCAGCAGGAGCAAACCTTGTACTGGCCCCCACAGCAGCATCTAGGGGGCTGCCCGCCACCCCTGACGTCCCAAAGGGTGTGTTACAGTGCACTCTCTTAGCTTTGCCATTTGTGGATGGCTAAGTATTTAACAGCTCAGTGTGACAGCCCTCTGTATCCTGAGCTCTTGTTCCGCATCCAAGAAGAATCGGGTCACACAAACAAATTGAAGATGGTAAATGCAGGGGATTTTATTGCCAATTAAAGTGGCTCTCAGCAGGATGGAGAGCTAGAAAGGGGACAGAGCCAGAAGGTGGTCTTCCACTGGAGTTTGGCAGTCCATGGCCTGACTCTTCCCTGAAGTCCCACCATCAAGACGTCCCTCTGAAGTCAAGCTGCTTCTCTCTGATGTCTGGCTACTGCTTCTCTTCTCTCTTCTCTGCCACTCTGCTCTGCTGGTGGGGTCTGGAGTTTTTAATGGGTACAAGATTGGGGGCAGGTGGGGGTCAGGGTGGTTTTGGAAAGGGAACAGTCAAGTGGGAAACAGGATTGCATGTTCTCACTTTGGGCCATGGGTCTAGGCTTTGAGGGTGTGGATCTTTCTGGGGACTGCCTTCTTCTACCCAGTATTTCTCTGCCTCTTGTTCCTATTAGAACTTTATATGTTAAGCCAGTGAGATTTGTGGTCTGTTGTCACTGCAACAAAATTGAACTTATGCAGACTAATACAGAACCTGGGCTGTAACTATCAATGTGGAATTCACATTTAGTCATTTCATTTCATAAAATAATAATGTGTCCCAATAATGATAATTCAAATTTTTCTTTTTTACTTTATTTGCATTTGATTATAACATTTTAAAAATCATATGTTGTTGTATTTTTATGGTCCTAAAATATGTAGGTACAAGAATTTCATAATTATCATGTTTGCATATTTAAGTAACATTATCATAATACCAATTTAATTCTATGTTAGGAATCTTTGGAAATACTTTTGTCTTTTAATGAGGTTCCACATATTTCTGAAATTTGACAAGCACTGGTTTTAAGTTTGAATTCAGCAATTTTGGAATTTGATAGGCCTGAAGTATATTCTAAACAGTATAATTACCAACTGTATAAGCTAGGATATAATTTATAACATTTTGAAACCTCACTTTTTTCTTTTCTGTAAAATTTATATTATAACATCTTCTTTATGCCAGAGTTATGAGGCTTAAGTAAGATATTTTTGAAGTTTTATTATAATGCAGTGTCCATGGTAAGTGTTCAATGAATGTCAAAATAAAATTATATTTTATTGGTTTACTTGTCTTATTTTTAAAATAATTCAATATATTTTAATAGTTTTTATTTAGAAATAAGTTTATTATTTTATTATTATTTTTTATACTCTTTTTTTTTTTTTTTTTGAGACAGAGTCTCATTCTGTTGCCCAGGCTGGAGTGCAGTGGCACCATCTCAGCTCATTGCAATCTCTGCCTCCCAGGTTCAAGTGATTCTCCTGCCTCAGCCTCCCAAGTAGCTGGGATTACAGATGTCTGCCACCACGCCCAGCTAATTTTTTGTATTTTTAGCAGAGACGGTGTTTCACCATGTTGGACAGGCTGGTCTTGAACTCCTGATCTTGTGATTCGCCCGCCTCTGCCTCCCAAAGTGCTGGGATTACAGGCGTGAGCCACCGCACCCAGCCTGATTTTTTATACTCTTATCATACACCCCATACCATTCTGAAGAGACTTACTGAGGTCCAAGACTCCTCCAGCTTTTTCTCTATACCATTTCTCAAGGTTTTGTCTTTTCTACCAAGAATAAAAAAAATCAAGTATAAAATCCTCATGTGACAGTAAATGTCTAATTTCTGCAAGGTAACATAAATCATTCATTCAACAACCATTCTAGGTGTTAGCAGTAGTGTCACATACAAGAAAAAAAACAGTCCTTACCCTCATGACGTTTATTATGTACTGGCAGAGACGCATAAACCAAAGAATATCATTCAAAATGTGAAGTTTTAACTGTGATAAATGCTACTAAGGAATTTGTCTAAGGAGAGGTATGTGGAGCTAAAATTGCTTATATTTGAAAGAAATATCATTGTCTGATAAGTCAGGGAATCTTTTCCTAAAGAAATAACAATTGACCTAAGACCTAAAAAGGAGCGACCATTAACTGGGTGAAGCATTGATAGACAAATGTCAAGTGTGACTGGAAGAGAGGACCACATGATGAAACAATTTACAATTGCAAAAATACAGAACCAACCTAATTGCCCATCAACCGAAGAGTGGATAAAGAAAACTTGGTATATATACACCATGGAATACTCCTCATCCATAAAGAGGAACAAAATAATGTCTTTTGCAGCAACTTGGATAGAGCTGGAGGCCATTATTCTAAGTGTGATAACTCAGGAATGAAAAACCAAAGATTGTATGATCTCACTTATAAGTGGTAGCTAAGCTATGAGGACACAAAGACATATAGAGTGACATAATGGACTTTGGGGACTGGGGAGAATGGTGGGAATGGGGTGAGGAATAAGGGACTACATATTGGGTACAGTGTACACTGTTTGTGTGATGGGTGCACTGAAATCCAAGAAATAACTTCTAAAGAATTTATCCATATAACCAAAAACCACTTGTACCTCCAAAACTATTGACATTTTTCTTAAAAGCCTGTGATGAGAAGGAGCATACCTAGAATGCAACACTGAATGAAGAATAGAATTACTGCAGCAGAGACAGTAGGTAAAACAGTGATGTGAAATGAGACTGGACTGGAGAAACAGGCAGGGTCCTATATGCACCATCGCATGGTTTTGCATTTAGCCCCAAAACAATGGAAAATGATTTGAATGTTTTAAATGGAGTAGAGAAATGTGACATGGTTTGATTGAGGCTGCCACAGATAATAGAGAAACCAAAAGATGCAGGTGAAAAAAATAGTGGTTACAGATAATAGTCTAGAAAAGATGATGATAGCCTGGTCTTTGATGGTGGTGGTGGTGATGACGGAGAGAATAAAGCATACTAAAATCTATTTGAGATAAAAAATTAACAGAGTTGGGGAAGAGTCAAGAATAACAAATAGAGTTCTGGATTTCTTTTGTGCTTAAATAGCTGTTGGTGCATTCATCAACTTAGAGGTTAGGATAGAAGAAGATGAGGAAAAAGATCATAAATTACATTTTAGGCACATTGCATTTGAAATACTTTAACACAGCCAAAGAAAGGCATTAGATAGGAAAGTGGACATACATTTTGGTGCTAGGGAAGTCAATTTTTGATGTTAATTAAGAGCATGGATTTGGATTAAATATCTGGGTACGAAATTTTCCAGGAGGATTTAAATGGACCAAGGTCTAAGATGTTAGGCACTCCAGTATTTGTTGTCCAGTTGGAGGGGTCTGAAACTGCAATAATCAGTAGTAAAGTATGGCTATTGAAATGGAAGAGGGTGTCCATTCAGAAAGGAATAGGCAATAGAAATAAAAAAATACTGAGTAGCAAAATTGACCTTTGGACTTACAGGCACAGATACATTTATCAGTGATATTTTTTATGTGACTAATAGGAATGGAAACCAGATTGAGGTGGGTAAAGGTGTGAATATAAAGTACAGAAAAAGGGATGGATATAAATAAAATTCTTTCATGTACAAAAGAAGATGTAGGAAAAGAAGCAAAATATGGAACACCTACAGGAAGTCTTTAAACATAGGTGTTAGGGCATATGTGCATCTGTGTGTGTGTGTGTGTGAGAGAGAGAGAGAGAAAGAGAGAGACACAGAGTTTACTAAAATAAAAATTGTATATCCACTTTCCAAATTAGTTACATCTCATGTTACGTAATAAATATATTCTTCAAAAGTGATACATGAATCTAAATTTTGTTGAAGTGTTTTAAATACGATAGGAAAATAATTTAGAAATAATCTCTTGCAAATCAATTATTACTTTTGAGCAACTTTTCACATTATTTCTGTGATTATTTGAGCACTTTATCTTCCTACTTGTCTGGCTTTATTTAAATCAGTTACACTCATTTACATTCATGTACACTAGTTACTTAGCCTTGCTTAATGCCCATAACTTTTAATACCATCTCACAAATTCTACTATTATCTGAATTTATTTGCTTTTAAATTTGAGCCGGTTCCATAATTGACTAATATCATGTTTTCATATCCCAGCTAAGGGCTATTCAAGTAATATTTTCAAAAAAAGAAGACTTGGATCCCCTACATCTGGAATAATACTTAACACCTTTAGACTACCTTTATCAGAGAAGTTCAATTACATCTGTATAATTGAACTTCTCTGATAAAGGTAGTCTAAAGGTGTTGAGTATTATTAATGTCCTTATACTCAAACTCACTAGGCACATTTCTTAATGGTTTTTAGTACAGAAACAAAAGGAATCCGATTTCTCGCCCTAAAAGCAAGCATATAATCATACACTATGACAAGAAAATATTTAAACCCTTAATAATGAAAAACAAGTTAAAAGCTAAATAAATAAAATTCTTACATAAAATGTTGAGGACAGGCTTACAAGAAAGCTACAAATTCATCTGATTATGGTGAAACATTGCTCATCACTAAAACATGATACATGGGTATAAATTAGCTCTTTCTCACGAAAATCTGAAATCTCCTGTAACTTCTACTCATCATCCTCTAGGGTAACAGAAGAGTCTGTTTATTTCTTCCATGCTTACTGGCCTTATGCATATTTGAAGACAGTGTATATGTTGCTCCATCCCAAATATTCTGGTTTTTTAATTTAAATATTCATGCATTCTTAAAACAGCTTCAACTTTTCTGGATTTCATGGTAATTAGCTTTCTAATGTGTTCCAGTTTGCTAATATTCAAATAAAATATAACGCTCAAAACTAAATATGGTATTCTATTAGTTAATTGATTAAGAATTATTTTCATAAATATTTACTGAGTACTTTATAGGTACTATTCTAGGCACTGGGGATAGAAATAATTAGTGCCACAGAAAAACATCCCTGTCTTCTATAGCTTACACATCACATATATATGTGGTATGTAATCAGCTCCTTTTGTGATATTTCAGCTCCTTTTGTGATTATCTCTCAAACTATTTCAGTAACCATGCAAGTATTCTTGGACTTCCTTTTAATGTATTTTTTCCTCATTCCCTTGTTTCTCATGCAGACATAGAGTAATAGAGAAATAGAGGAGGGAATAACGAAAAGATTATGACAGAAAATCTATCAGCTGGGTCTCACTTCCACTCAGACTCCTTTTTTTGTGGTTATAGCTCACAGCTGCTTGTGGGTATAGGCTATTTGTGGAGTCAACAGAGAAGTGTTCCCAATATCCCTGTCTGAAGAACTTGGGCGTTACAAAAATAAGCTATGTTTTGAAAATTAAACTATGCAATTGACACATACTGTATGGAACCAACACTTATTTTAAAGTGACAGAAAGAGTGGAATGTGGGAGAGCAAGCCTGTTTTCTGATTGAACATACTAACAATTTAAAGGAAATCTTTGTCCTTCAGAAAAAGCACACAAGGAGTATTACAAGGTGTTTGCCAGTCTTCAAACCAAGGCAAAGCAAGAACCACAGATGCCTCCTCAAGAAATGCTCTAGGTGGCGAGTATCTTCTAAGGCTGTTACAAGTTCTTGATACAGCTATCTTTATAGGTGTATGATTATTATGGAGATTAATACCTCAACTTTTTTAGAGTTCCAATGATTATAGATTAAAATTTCATAGTAATTCACATTGTTGTTCTGGGTGTTTGCTAAGGTCCAGTCTGATATTCTTTTCTGATTATTTTAAAATAAATAATTATTTAGGTTTCTAGGTTATAGTCAGCATCTTGAGTCCAATCTGTTCTGAGAAACTAGAGTTCGTGTCTTTGAGGCTTCAAGGCCAAGGAAGAGCAAAATCAGTGGAGTTCTGTCTTGGTGGCCAGCACTTTCCCCAGGCAGCAACTCTTTCCTGTGAGATCCTGTTCAAAAAGGCCCAAATCCTTCACATCCACCAGACCAATGACAATCACCATCCTTATAATGTGTGTGTATGTGTGTGCGTGAATGCTCAATGATTGGATTTGTGTCATTTGTTTTTGGTTATTTTCCAGGGAATTGTTTCATTTGCAATAGTAACTGTGAGAGTAGGTACATCACTGCCAAACTCATGGTGAAATTTTCTCACCAGCTCCATTCATTTCCTTCAGGCTCCTTTTTTCCAAGCCGTGTCTGAACTCACTGGATGCTCTTCATCCGGGCTTACACGTTCAGAGTCCAGCAGTTCATTTACAGATGTGGAGCCAACAAAAGCAGAGTGAAGAGCCTTTAGTGTTATTTTCGCTCCCTCCTAAGCTCTCTAACTTTCATTTTGTCCTTTCTCTTGATTTGTCACTACACTGTTTTCTCTTTTCTTACCTTGAGCCTCTGTCATCTAGACATTTGGAAGGGAAGGGAAGGAAGGAAGGAAGAAAGAAGGATGAGAGGGAGGGAGGGACGGAGGGAAAGGAAGGGAGGAAGAAAGAAGGGAAAAGCATTATTTCACCATGCTTAAGAAAAGAGAACTTTCTTTTAGTTGTCTTAAATATTAAGGCTTCACTATGAGACAGGAGGGGGTAAATGATTCTTGGAATACAAATGAGAAAAAAAGGTGAGACAGTGCACAAAAAATAATTAGATTAACACTTAGATGAAACTGAGGTAGAAAAGATTAAACAGTTGGCTTAAGATGACTCAATTAGCAAAAATGTATATTAGTTTCTCAGTAAACCCCACTGATACTTTCTTAAAGGGTTCTGCATTGTTTGGCTAACTATATATCCCAATTTGCTTAGAAAATTCCCCCTTTTACTCTCCAATTATTAGTAGTCCAGTTTCACTTAAAGTATTCCATTTGGACCATCATAGTAATCTTAATCATACTTTCAATAATTGTGGAGTATTTCTTTCTTTTAAGCTTATTTTTTATAGTTTATATATTTTTCACATAATTGTGTTTGCTCAGTACGCTGCCTTGTGCCCGTTAGGAACACATCTATTGTGTTCATTCTGTATGAATGTGTTCACATATGAACAGTAGGGAACAATCAATGTGTTAAAAGTCTGGTGCTACCCTCATTTGATGAATTGGTGTGGGTCATCCTTAATTATATATCTGGTATATTCCCTGACAGCACTGGATATATCTCTTGTCATTTTACACTAGTTAAAAAAAAAACTGTGACATTACTTGAAGTACTGTTCAACATTAGCATTTCTTCAGTTAAAAGATTTCTAAAAGAGAGGTGATCAACTTTGAATTTTAAAAATAAACATAAATCATTTTCTCTGTTGAGTAATTAATGCATAATTACATAATTACTTTATCACATGGTTCTCATCAAATAATTATATGTGGCCTTTAAGCAAGCTTTCTGTGCTCTGAGAGTTTTATAGACGTGATTAATTCGTTAGGGATTTTTTTCTTAAAGGGAAGGATTATTTACCTTTTTTTTAAATCAAACAACTGTATAATTAAATATGCATTTGATGACTGCCATTCTTTAGTTACAAAAATGGTTTCAGTTCTCCATCTTTTCTTATATCTCATTCTTTGTAATATGGCTTTGCAGCACTTCCCATAAAGTAGTAGATTCTAAGTTCTCTTCTTTTATACCTGGGCTAGATTTGTGACTTGTTTTATCTAACAGATTAAGTAGTAGTAATTTGCCAGATCAAAGGCTTCAAGGGGTCTTTCACACTTTTGCTTACTTTCTTGGAACTCTGGAACTCTGCTCAGCTACCATGAGCACAAGTATGGGCTAATCTGCTGAATAATGAGATGCATGACTAAGACATCCCAGTTACCTCTGTTGAAGGTTGAATGCCAGACATGAAGGAGGTCAGCCTAGAAAAGCCATCCTCTGGCTGATCTAATGGCTAACCAAAAATCTATGAGTAAATCCACCCAGCTTAGGTATCAACTGAGCTTGGCTCAGATCAGCAAAACTACCTAGCTGATCCACAGAATAATAAGGAATGCTGAATAATAATAAATGCTTATTGATTTAAGACATTAAGATTGGAATAGTTTGTTACAAGATGATGGCTCACTGACACAATGCATTTTGTATACACTTACTTAACTAAATAGAAAGCACTTCAAAGTAACATAACCAATATAAATTCTCTTTACTAGCCAAACAACTCAGTCTAAATGTCCTAGTGGTACTTGAATTGAAGGTATCCAAAAAATAGTATGTTACTTCAAAACTATTTTTTTCTTCCAAATTCTGCTTGATCACTCTACTCAAGATAAGAAAATGTATTTCTTTCCACATTTACTAGTTTTCTCCATGCAATTATTTACCACAGCCAATGGATTTTCCATTTAAATATTGATTAAGTATGCTTCCCAACTATTCATTTACTAGTTACTACCATGTTACAAATGATACCATCTCTGTCCTGAATTAATCACCTGGCCTCAAGTCTCTCTCCTTTCAGACAATCCCACCAGAGTTATTTTGTATAATACATATCTAATTTTGCATGTCTTTTTTCTTTAAAAAGATGTTTATGGAAAATTTAAATACACATACCCTTTGTATTAGCAAGTATATTCTTGTTTTTCTATGTATAATAAATATACAAAGCCAACATAAAATAATATTCATTGTAGTAAAATTAGCTTTTATTTTCAAAAGAGTTTATATAGATAGTAACTTTATGAGCCATTTTAAAAACTGTTAGTTCTACTTTGACATATTAAAAAACAAGAATAGCCAAGTTAACAAATTGCATGGTATGAGTGAAATCCAGTTCTTCATTGCATAGATATTAAAGTTCATATGCCTTTGAGCTTTCAGTATTGACTCCTTTTATTTACATTCCCCTCCTCATTCTAAACACTGCATGTCCCTTAAATTGTCTTTGCTCAAGATGCTCCTTCTGCCACAAATGTCCTTTCTTATTCTAATTCTAGAAAAATTAACTTCATCTTACAGAAACAGATTAAGAGACCGTCTTAGTAAAACCTTACTTGATAATTCAGTCAGAAATAATTTCGAATCTCTGTGCTCCCACATAGTTTTATATTAACAATAATATGGAATTTAACACTTTGTATTTGCTTTGTAGATATGCTTTCTGCTCGACTATGAGCACTTTGGCGGCAAATGATTATATAATTTTTATATTTATATCTTTAAATTCTAATAAAGTGCTTGACAGTAGATACATGACAATCTATCAATATGTCAGTAGCAACATCTTTGAAGTACAATGTGTAGAATATTTTCCTTTCAGATTCTTAGTAAATGTCTGTACAGATGAACTGCAATAGGTAATTCATGAGCAAACCCTTGCATTTAGAATTGTTTTTATATTCTAGACTAACAGCAATTTTGATGTGGTTATTATTATTCCTATTTTATAGATGAAGAAACCTAGAGAGGCAAAGGGATTTGACAAAAATCACAAAGGGTCTGTAACTCTACAGCTGCATATCTTTTTACTTGACCAGAGTTTCGTAGAATTAAGAAAACACTTTAATCACATGTAGCATACATTAACATTCCCAAAGTATTCAAGTAACTGCACAGGTTATATGTACTGAAAGGTTAAAAGTGTGCATGAACATTTTAAGGTGCGTTTTCCCCAACATAGGCTTGTTAAACTGCTGTGTTTTCCCATACAGATTCATTGTAATTCTGGAGTCTTGCTAGCCTGAACAAAAACCACTGTTTATTTTTTAAAAGCTGTAATATAAATAACTGTGAAAATTGCAAATTATTTCATATTTTTCAAAACATGGAAATGAGTGGAAAACACTTGAGTAAAAATATAATTCTCATAACACAACAATTAAACTTCAGTTTGAATTTTTCTGGCCCGTAAGTTTTATGAATGACCTCCTTTATTGCATGACTGTCATCCTCACTTCCTTGAGAGAATTTCCTTTGCCCTCTGGCATCACGTGCATGTCTCCTGCCTTGAAGTTGGACTTCTTTTTTCTTTATTTTTTTATTTTATTATTATTATTATTATTATTATTATTATTTTACTTTAAGTTTTAGGGTACATGTGCACAATGTGCAGGTTAGTTACATATGTATACACGTATACACGTGCCATGCTGTTGCACTGCACCCACTAACTCGTCATCTAGCATTAGGTATATCTCCCAATGCTATCCCTCCCCACTCCCCCCACCCCACAATAGTCCCCAGAGTGTGATGTTCCCCTTCCTGTGTCCATGTATTCTCATTATTCAATTCCCACCTATGAGTGAGAATATGCGGTGTTTGGTTTTTTGTTCTTGCGATAGTTTACTGAGAATGATGATTTCCAATTTCATCCATGTCCCTACAAAGGACATGAACTCATCCTTTTTTATGGCTGCATAGTATTCCATGGTGTATATGTGCCACATTTTCTTAATCCAGTCTATCATTGTTGGACATTTGGGTTGGTTCCAAGTCTTTGCTATTGTGAATAATGCCGCAATAAACATACGTGTGCATGTGTCTTTATAGCTGGACTTCTTTTTTCAATCTACTTGGACATTCAAATGCACAGGGTGGGGATTTGTCTCCTTTATAGATTCTGCCATACCAGCACATTCTTTTGAGGCAATGAACAGAAAATCACAAGAATACTAATAACATATATGAATAAAGGCAATAATGATACAGACAGTAAATTGACAGCAAGCAAAACATCAAAGTCATCTTATGGTATGAGAAAAATAGATTCTGGTTTGTTTATTTATTTGGGGAGGTGGGGCTGTCACCACTGATCTTATTCTAACCCAGAACTCTTGCCAGACAATTGAGTATACTCTATGGGGTACTGCAGCACTACAATTCAAAACAAATTAAAACCAATTATGCAATGCTATCCTCGATAAAATATAACTCATTAGCTGAAATTACATTCAAACCTCACATATGGAACAATTAGGATATTTTTCAGGCAGGTCCACTGATTGAGCAAAAATTTTTGGAGCAGTTACATGACATGTCTTTAAACCAGGAGCAAGTCTGTTGCTTGTCTGAGAGTAGTGTATGTACAGTAAAGAAAATATATTCAGATATTGTGATATATTAAAAGAGGAAGCTCATTTTTATCTCTGTCAAAGAGAAGTATTAGTTTACTACTAGGATCTCAGTCACCATATGTCCATTGCTGATTCCCATAAGGATATCTTATTGAAATTGTAATGATTCACCAGGAGCAGTGTTATCGGCTTCTACACAGTCAAGAGTAGATGATTTTAATTTCTATTCTTCTAAAACATAACTGATGAAAATCCACTGGACTGTCCTTTGGCTATTCTTTCTTAACATAACATTTTTAATGAAATATTTTTCCTGACATCTTGCCTCATTTATTACATCCCAGTTTCATCAAGGAGACAGAAAAGATTAGGTAAAAGGTAGAAGTTTCTCATGATATTCACTTTTTTTTTCCAGATTCAAGTGGAAACTGAAAAGTTCATGAAAAGCAACTTGAGGCTTGCTTTCCTTAAATTCTCTGTAAACTAGACCATACATGGCATTCTTTGCTCTCCATAATGTGACAGAATTTTGAGACTGTCTTAGTTATTGTTATCTGTATGCAAGAAACAGAAATAGATTATAAATTATGCAAATAAGAAAAATAGACCCTGCATAGTTCATAGGATCAAAACAAAGCTGAAAATCTAGGTCTTGGGTTCAAATTGTTGGAATAAAGAATTTGGTTTGCCTAGTGTGAGCTATTTGTCCACTCTGAGTGATATCAGCAGTGCTAGGTACTATGGTTTGTGGTTTGTGGTATTTGAAGTGGTGAATGATTTTAGGCAGATGCCACTAATGCAATAAGTGACTTATTCTGCCAATCTTATTCTCTCCTATAATAATTCCCCAACTTATTTATTTCCTTTACACCTTACATTTAGCTCTCAAAATGAGAAAGAAAGTGAACATTCATTGATAGAATGAATGAAGATTTAGTGCGCAAGAAATATATTCGTATCCTAAAGATTAGATCACAAAATATGCGGATTCAAGAAGTCTCTGTTTTGGAGAAGTACAAGCTTCTCACAGTATTTTTTACTAGGCTCTATTCTGTATATAATGTAATAGAATGTTATGGGCATTCTAATTTTGAAATTAAGGAGGGTTCCATAAAACATACATTTTCCTTAGTGAAAACAAAGGTATTGTTACATGAGCCATGATTTTTGAAACATATATTATTTGGTAATTTAAGAGCACAAATAGCCCTGTGATGGCCATAAGTATTTTACACATTCTTAAAGAGAGATTTGAATCAAGAGAAGTAAACCAACTCCACAGTAATAGTATCATAATGGTGATGATATACAATTCCCTTCTTAGCATGCTGCAGAGAGAAAAAACATCATCCATAAAATCAGAAAATTAAAGTTCCAAAGTTCATACTTCATCTTATATAAACTACACTACAAACTACAAACCCTAGTACTTAGCACTACTGATATCACTCAGAGTGGACAAATAGCTTACACTAGGCAAGTTTATATAATCAATTATTCTAAGCTATCATTTTATTAATACGATAATAAGAATGAGAATTTCTGACCTACCTACAATAGTACTATTGTGAGAATAATTTATTTGCAATATTTTTCAACACTTAAATAGGTATAGTTTATTATTAAGTTCAGTGTAAGTCAACATTCTTTATCACTTCTATAATTACCCTTATCCTAAATTTTGAGAATTGAAAATAAAAGGCTTCTTGATAATATTTTCTAAATTACTCAACATCACAATCACAATCTTAATGTCTATCCTGGAAGCTTCAGGAAAGCAGTGATAACTTCTGATATGTTTATAGCTCTAGCTCCATGTCCTTCAGAACCTAATATTCTATAGGTGTTAAATCAATATCTCTTGATAGAATGAATGAAGATTTAGTACTCAAGAAATCTATTCCTGTCCTAAAGATTAGGGCACAAAATATATGGATTCGATAGGTCTCTGTTTTGGGGAAGTACAACAAACTTTTCATAATATTTTTTACTAGGCTCTATTTTGTATGTAATGTAATAGAGCATTATGGGGGTTCCAATTTTGAAAGAAAGGTTCCAGGAAACATACATTTTTTTTTCTGTTCTTTGGAGTGGTGGCCCCAATTCAATAAATAAATCGCCGCAATGGGGTTTTAAGTAACAGGAAAGCAGAGCAAGTGTTTTTATTCACCTCTTCCTTTCTGGAGAAAAATGTCAAGACAACACCACACAGAGGCTCAAGCTGAGATGTTAGGTGTGTTGCTTAGCAATGTAAATTGTGTTTATATTTAGTCAGACTGCACTATAACAAAGTTAAAAAAAATAAGTTTCCTAAGGAAGGATAGAAACACTAATGCTCATTAAAATGTTATTATTATTTTTAATTGGCACATAATAATTGTACATATTTATGGGGTACAGTATAATATTTTAATACATGCATACAACGTAAAATGATCAAATCAGGGTAACTAGCACATCAGTTACCTCAAACATATATTGTATCTTTGCTTTGGAAACATTCAAAATCCTCTCTTGCTGCTATTTTAAAATACACAATAAATTGTTAACTATATTCACCGTACGGTGCTATAGAACGCTAGCAATTATCCCTCCTATATAGCTATAATTGTATATCTATTAACCAGCCTCTTCCTATTCCCCTTTCAGCTCGACCTTCCCTATCTTCTACGAGATCAAAATTTTTAGATCCCACATATGAATGAGATCATGCAGTGTGTATCTTTCTGAGCCTGGATTATTTCACTCAACATAATGTCATCCAGGGTCATTCATGTTGTTGCAAATGACAAGATTTCATTTTCTTTCACTGAGTGAATAGTATTCTACTGTAGATATATACCAGCAAGTGTGTGTGTGTGTGTGTGTTTAATTCAAGTACTTTTCACAAGTGATCTGGCAATCCAGAAGACTGATCTTCTCATTGTTGTGTACTAGAAGGAATGTCATGAGTAGCACATGGACTAGATTACTGCATATTTCCTCAAACTATTGACACTCCCTCACACGTTACATAATCCAGACTTTGGAAATACATTGGCAATCACAGTATTTTGATTATTTTTGTGAAACCATGTGGGTCATAACACAGCTTGTGAGTCACGGTAAACATTTTTTCTTTCTTTCAGCCTATCATCTGGAACAGGAAAGGAGACATACCTTCATTGAATGAGTGATGAAAAATACTGTTGGGCAAGTTAGTTGGAGTTGTCGATTGGGATTATGTTCCACAGCCCTTCTGTCAAGTGAAAGGTGAGCTGGCCCTTGTCACAGATGACAGACAGGCTGAGAGATAAGAATAAACCAACCTTAGAGAATTCCCGTAGTATGTGGGTAGTAGAAACAATGATACTTCATGTTTTCAAAGTAATTACCTTTGTCCTTTGTTCAAGAAAGTTTTGCTTATTATTATTATTTTTTTGTACCTAGAAAAATTAAGTGAATGGTTGTATCTATCACTAAACCAAAACCGTATGTGCAAAGCAGCAGCAAACTTAGAGAAGTCCATCACAGGTTGGCAGTTGGTTTCCTAAGAACCTGAAACAGATGTTCAGAGTGCGAAGGCTGGCTGATATAACCAGCAATAACTGACATAGATTTTTGGAACTGGTATCTATTCCTTTGGCACCTCCAGAAGTGGTTAGGGAAAGGAACCCTGTACGTTTAGATTCCTGCTTTCATATTCAAAATATCAGCTAATATTATTGTTACCTGGCTGTTGCCATGTGGCTTGACCCTTGATGGCTGGATAATGTAGGACTATGTGGCTATAATAAATGGTAAATAAACTTTACTTCCTTCTCCCCTCTTCCATTCTGCATCCACTACATACACCCCTTTAAACTCCAACCATAACAGAGCATTTGGGGCTCTATAACTGAAGATCCTCACTGCTTATTTCTACACTCAGGCGTAGAACCAATAAACTATCTTTCAAGCTTATACAGTAGAATGAGTTGGAAGAGTTAAACTATAAATTTACCTGTGAAAATATGTCATCTGTGATTTGTAGGGTTCACTTGGTTGTTTGTGTTTTTCAAATGTCTTCTATCAGTTTTTAAAACAAGTTGTCTCTGGTTTACTCCCATGGGCTTTTTCCCAAATGTTTCTCCACTAAAAAATTAACACTAACTCTAATTTCTTTGTACACAAACATTTACATCTGAATGTCCCTATGTCTTTTCATTTATCCTGGGAATGAGCTCATTTGGAAATTTTGTTCAATTTGGGAGAATATATTGATTATTTCATTGTCTATGAATAAAGGAATTCTACATGAAAAACAAACTGACTTAATTCTCATAAGTTTTGAATTTGGTTTGGAGAAATCAGATTCTTTGTAAAAAAACAGATTCAGAAAGATGTTTTCCTCTTTTCTTCTTATATTTAATAGAGACCAAATATTTTACAGAGGACTGAACATCTTCATGGGATATAGTAAAGGTCCTGTATAAACCCTGGCAACACAAAATTATTATACTTATTATGAATGTTCAGATAATGAAGTATTTAACTATATCATATATCAATTTCTTGACAAGGCTTATTTCTGCCTCTCGATCTTTGCATGCCTTATTATGAAATCTTGTTTATAATAACTTCAGAATGACTAATGACATAGCTTGCTATTTTGTGTATACACAATGCAGCAATTCTTAATTTAAAAAAATTAAACAGGAATAAGATAGAATCAGGAATGGCAAGACCTTGGTACAGAAATATGTCCATGCTGCAGAGCATTAATTCAGTTATGCAATCACTTTTCCTCTCTGCGTTTATCTATCTGTTAATCGATTTATAAGGGGTTACTTATCAGTTATTCAATAATTAGTTATTAATTGATTAACTGATTGATAACCCCATGTCATTTGATAGACTGATTGTTAAGTGGTCCCTCACTCAAGTGCTTTGGGAGCCAAACATAACGTAAAGGAGGGAAGAGGGTCAGGTGTAAGAAAATGTGGGGCCAACCTCCGGGAAATTAGGAAGCATACATCCTTCTTGACAAGGTCAGCTGCTACTTAGCTGCAGGTTATTATAGAAAGGCAGACCGAGTATTGCAGATTTCTAAACTTGTCAAAACAGCAGCAAACTCTTGTTTTTAGGTACTATATTATAATTGTTAAATATTGACAATTTAATCCGTTTTTTGAACACTATACATCACAATGTGACATAATCAGCATCCTATTTTTGGCTTATAGGCTGCCAGCCAGCAACCTATGGGTTAAAGAATTTCCACTTTGGATGCTAGAAAGCCCTAATTGGAAGTATACTGAGCATGACTTCACATCCCTTTTATGATTCAAAAACATCCAAGGATTTTAAGGATATCATGCTAAAGGCTGTGGAAAAGCCAGTTAATTAATGCCAAAAACTCAGTAAAATATTACTTATATTTTTAATGAGGATTCTTAACTATTTGGTTGCATAGTTGGCACCTGAGTCATTTGGTACTATTTGGTACCTAAAGTCATTGTTTATTTTCATTATTTTCTTTTAATATTTCATGCCATTTGTTTTTACAGCCTTGTGAGTATCAGTACAATTTGAAATATGCTAGGTGTAAGTTGAACAAGCCACATACTGTTCCATGTTCCATATTTTGCCTTCAGAGAAAAAGCTCCTGAAAAAATGCATTATTACTCATACTAATGTCTAGTATTATAATTCAATGACAAGTGTGGAGCTAAAAGCACCTGCTGATAATGGCAGCCTCTACCAAAGGCTTTGCCTACAGTCTCTTTGTTAGGAAAAATAGCTTTTTGATCTAATTATTATCATTTGTATTGATTATGGTGTTTTTAAGGGAATTATGCTAAAACATAGTGTTGCTTATATGATGACATCAAATAATGACAAAGACACTCACACAAAGTGCTTGATCTCAGTGACAATTCTAAATTGTTAGTCACTAAGACATCACATTGGGAAAGGTTTTAGTTGGCACAGAAGTAAAGCTTTATATGGAATTTCGATGAAAAAATAGGTTTCTCTGTTTTACTTTTTCAGAATATCTAATTTACTTCAGAAAGCAGTTTCTAAAAATATATTTCTATACCTAGGTATTTCTTTAGTTTCTAGAAAAGATTATTAGCCCTGGACACAGGGACTATAGGTTATCTTCTATGCAGTCATGGTGCTCACACCAAAAAAGGAGCTAATTCACCTGACAAAATTCAAAACATAACAGCCATCTAAACCACTCTTAACTGCCTTTTTTTTTTTCCCTAGAAACCACTTTATACTCTAGAAGCATTGCTATCCTTTGTGTTAACATTTTCACAAGGATATGTGTTTGTATGCAGTCTTCTTTTCCTCCCTACTCAGAATTTAATTGAAACTTCAATTAGAAAACTGTGCAATTTGGTTTTTATTTAATTTAATTAATTAATTTATTTTGAAACAGAGTTTTGCTCTTATTGCCCAGGCTGGAGCGCAATGGCATGATCTTGGCTCACTGCAAACTCCGCCTCCCAGGTTCAAGCTATTCTCTTGCCTCAGCCTCCCAAGTAGTAGGGATTATACACATACGCCACCACAGCCAGCTAATTTTTTTTTTTTTATTATTATACTTTAAGTTTTAGGGTACATGTGCACAATGTGCAGGTTAGTTACATATGTATACATGTGCCATGCTGGTGTGCTGCACCCATTAACTCGTCATTTAGCATTAGGTATATCTCCTAATGCTATCCCTCCCCCCTCCCCCCACCCCACAACAGTCCCCAGAGTGTGATGTTCCCCTTCCTGTGTCCATGTGTTCTCATTGTTCAATTCCCACCTATGAGTGAGAACATGCAGTGTTTGGTTTTTTGTCCTTGCGATAGTTTACTGAGAATGATGATTTCCAATTTCATCCACGTCCCTACAAAGGACATGAACTCATCATTTTTTATGGCTGCATAGTATTCCATGGTGTATATGTGCCACATTTTCTTAATCCAGTCTATCATTGTTGGACATTTGGGTCGGTTCCAAGTCTTTGCTATTGTGAATAGTGCCGCAATAAACATATGTGTGCATGTGTCTTTATAGCAGCATGATTTATAGTCCTTTGGGTATATACCCAGTAATGGGATGACTGGGTCAAATGGTATTTCTAGTTCTAGATCCCTGAGGAATCGCCACACTGACTTCCACAATGGTTGAACTAGTTTACAGTCCCACCAACAGTGAAAAAGTGTTCCTATTTCTCCACATCCTCTCCAGCACCTGTTGTTTCCTGACTTTTTAATGATTGCCATTCTAACTGGTGTGAGATGGTATCTAATTGTGGTTTTGATTTGCATTTCTTTGATGGCCAGTGATGGTGAGCATTTTTTCATGTGTTTTTTGGCTGCATAAATGTCTTCTTTTGAGAAGTGTCTGTTCATGTCATTTGCCTACTTTTTGATGGGGTTGTTTGTTTTTTTCTTGTAAATTTGTTTGAGTTCATTGTAGATTCTGGATATTAGCCCTTTGTCAGATGAATAGGTTGCAAAAATTTTCTCCCATTCTGTAGGTTGCCTGTTCACTCTGATGGTAGTTTCTTTTGCTGTGCAGAAGCTCTTTAGTTTAATTAGATTCCATTTGTCAATTTTGGCTTTTGTTGCCATTGCTTTTGGTGTTTTAGACATGAAGTCCTTGCTCATGTCTATGTCCTGAATGGTAATGCCTGGGTTTTCTTCTAGGGTTTTTATGGTTTTAGGTCTAACATTTAAGTCTTTAATCCATCTTGAATTAATTTTTGTATAAGGTGTAAGGAAGGGATCCAGTTTCAGCTTTCTACATATGGCTAGCCAGTTTTCCCAGCACCATTTATTAAATAGGGAATCCTTTCCCCATTGCTTGTTTTTCTCAGGTTTGTCAAAGATCAGATAGTTGTAGATAAGCGGCGTTATTTCTGAGGGCTCCGTTCTGTTCCATTGATCTATATCTCTGTTTTGGTACCAGTACCATGCTGTTTTGGTTACTGTAGCCTTGTAATATAGTTTGAAGTCAGGTAGCGTGATGCCTCCAGCTTTTTTCTTTTGGCTTAGGATTGACTTGGCGATGCGGGCTCTTTTTTGGTGCCATATGAACTTTAAAGTAGTTTTTTCCAATTCTGTGAAGAAAGTCATTGGTAGCTTGATGGGGATGGCATTGAATCTATAAATTACCTTGGGCAGTATGGCCATTTTCACGATATTGATTCTTCCTACCCATGAGCATGGAATGTTCTTCCATTTGTTTGTATCCTCTTTTATTTCATTGAGCAGTGGTTTGTAGTTCTCCTTGAAGAGGTCCTTCACGTCGCTTGTAAGGTGGATTCCTAGGTATTTTATTCTCTTTGAAGCAATTGTGAATGGGAGTTCACTCATGATTTGGCTCTCTGTTTGTCTCTTATTGGTGTATAAGAATGCTTGTGATTTTTGTACATTGATTTTGTATCCTGAGACTTTGCTGAAGTTGCTTATCAGCTTAAGGAGATTTTGGACTGAGACAATGGGGTTTTCTAGATATGCAATCATGTCATCTGCAAACAGAGACAATTTGACTTCCTCTTTTCCTAATTGAATACCCTTTATTTCCTTCTCCTGCCTAATTGCCCTGGCCAGAACTTACAACACTATGTAGAATAGGAGTGGTGAGAGAGGGCATCCCTGTCTTGTGCCAGTTTTCAAAGGGAATGCTTCCAGTTTTTGCCCACTCAGTATGATATTGGCTGTGGGTTTGTCATAGATAGCTCTTATTATTTTGAGATACGTCCCATCAATACCTAATTTATTGAGAGTTTTTAGCATGAAGAGTTGTTGAATTTTGTCAAAGACCTTTTCTGCATCTATTGAGATAATCATGTGGTTTTTGTCTTTGGCTCTGTTTATAGGCTGGATTACATTTATTGATTTGCATATATTGAACCAGCGTTGCATCCCAGGGATGAAGCCCACTTGATCATAGTGGATAAGCTTTTTGATGTGCTCCTGGATTTGGTTTGCCAGTATTTTATTGAAGATTTTTGCATCAATGTTCATCAAGGATATTGGTCTAAAATTCTCTTTTTTGGTTGTATCTCTGCCTGGCTTTGGTATCAGGATGATGCTGGCCCATAAAATGAGTTAGGGAGGATTCCCTCTTTTTCTATTGATTGGAATAGTTTCAGAAGCAATGGTACCAGTTCCTCCTTGTACCTCTGGTAGAATTTGGCTGTGAATCCATCTGTTCCTGGACTCTTTTTGGTTGGTAAACTATTGATTATTGCCTCAATTTCAGAGCCTGTTATTGGTCTATTCAGAGATTCAACTTCTTCCTAGTTTAGTCTTGGGAGAGTGTATGTGTCGAGGAATTTATCCATTTCTTCTAGATTTTCTAGTTTACTTGCATAGAGATGTTTGTAGTATTCTCTTATGGTAGTTTGTATTTCTGTGGGATCAGTGGTGATATCCCCTTTATCATTTTTTATTGCATCTATTTGATTCTTCTCTCTTTTCTTTTTTATTAGTCTTGCTAGCGGTCTATCACTTTTGTTGATCCTTTCAAAAAACCAGCTCCTGGATTCATTAATTTTTTGAAGGGTCTCTATTTCCTTCAGTTCTGCTCTGATTTTAGTTATTTCTTGCCTTCTGCTAGCTTTTGAATGTGTTTGCTCTTGCTTTTCTAGTTCTTTTAATTGTGATGTTAGGTTGTCAATTTTGGATCTTTCCTGCTTTCTCTTGTGGGCATTTAGTGCTATAAATTTCCCTCTACACACTGCTTTGAATGTGTCCCAGAGATTCCAATATGTTGTGTCTTTTTCTCATTGGTTTCAAAGAAAGTCTTTATTTCTGCCTTCATTTTGTTATTTACTGAGTAGTCATTCAGGAGCTTGTTTTTCAGTTTCCATGTAGTTGTGTGGTTTTGTGTGAGTTTCTTAATCCTGAGTTCTAATTTGATTACACTGTAGTCTAAGAGACAGTTTGTTGTGATTTCTGTTCTTTTACATTTGCTGAGGAGTGTTTTACTTCCAATTATGTGGTCAATTTTAGAATTGTTGATTTGGGGTGTAGAGTTCTATAGATGTCTAATAGGTCCGCTTGGTCCAGAGCTGAGTTCAAGTCCTGGATATCCTTGTTAGCCTTCTGTCTCATTGATCTGTCTAATATTGACAGTAGGGTGTTAAAGTCTCCCATTATCATTGTGTGGGAATCTAAGTCTCTTTGTAGGTCTCTAAGGACTTGCTTTATGAATCTGGGTGCTCCTGTATTGGGTGCATATATATTTAGGATAGTTAGCTCTTCTTGTTGAATTGATCCCTTTACCATTATGTAGTGGCCTTCTTTGTCTCTTTTGATCTCTTTGTTGGTTTAAAGTCTGTTTTATCAGAGACTAGGATTGCAACCCCTGTTATTTATTTATTTATTTATTTTTTTGCTTTCCATTTGCTTAGTAGATCTTCCTCCCTCCCTTTATTTTGAGACTATGTGCGTCTTTGCATGTGAGATGGTTCTCCTGAATACAGAACACCAATGAGTCTTGACTCTTTATCCAGTTTGCCAGTCTGTGCCTTTTAATTGGAGCATTTAGTCCACTTACATTTAAGATCAATATTGTTATGTTTGAATTTGATCCTGTCATTATGATGTTAGCTGGTTATTTTCCCTGTTAATTGATGTGGTTTTTTCACAGCATCAATGGTCTTTACAATTTGGCATGTTTTTGCAGTGGCTGGTACTGGTTGTTCCTTTCCATGTTTAGTGCTCCTTCAGGAGCTCTTTCTCATAAGGCAGGCCTTGTGGTGACAAAATCTCTCAGTATTTTCTTCTCTGTACAGGATTTTATTTCTCCTTCACTTATGAAGATTAGTTTGGCTGGATATGAGATTCTGGGTTGAAAACTCTTTTCTTAAAGAATGTTGAATATTGGCCCCCACTCTCTTCTGTCTTGTAGGGTTTCTGCTGAGAGATCTGCTGTTAGTCTGACAGGCTTCCCTTTGTAGGTAAGCCAACCTTTCTCTCTGGCTGCCCGTAACATTTTTTCCTTCATTTCAACCTTGGCGAATCTGACAATTATGTGTCTTTGGGTTGCTCTTCTCGAGGAGTATCTTTGTGGTATTCTCTGTATTTCCTGAATTTGAATATTGGCCTGCCTTGCTAGGTGAGGGAAGTTCTCCTGGATAATATCCTGAAGAGTGTTTTCTAACTTGGTTCCATTCTCCCTGTCATTTTCCGGTACACCAATCAAACATATATTTGGTCTTTTCACATAGTCCCATGTTTCTTGGAGGCCTTGTTCATTTATTTTCACTCTCATTTCTCTAATCTTGTCTTCTTGCTTTATTTCATTAATTTGATCTTCAATCACTGATACCCTTTCTTCCACTTGATCGAATGTGCTATTGAAGCTTGTGCATGTGTTATGAAGTTCTCGTGCTTTGGTTTTCAGCTCCATCAGGTCATTTAAGTTCTTCTCTAGACTGTTTATTCTAGTTAGCCATTCATCTAACCGTTTTTCAAGGTTTTTAGCTTCCTTGTGATGGGTTAGAACATGCTTCTTTAGCTTAGAGAAGTTTGTTATTACCGACCTTCTGAAGCCTACTTCTGTCAACTCGTCAAGCTCATTCTCTGTTCAGTTTTGTTTCCTTGCTGGCAAGGAGCTGTGATCCTTTGGAGGAGAAGAGGTGCTCTGGTTTTTAGAATTTTCAGCTTTTCTGCTCTGGTTTCTCCCCATCTTTGTGGTTTTATTTACCTTTGGTCTTTGATGTTGGTGACCTACAGATGGAGTTTGGAGTGGATGTCCTTTTTGTTGATATTGATGCTATTCCTTTCTGTTTGTTAGTTTTCCTTCTAATAGTCAGGACCCTCATCTGCAGGTCTGTTGGAGTTTGCTGGAGGTCCACTCCAGACCCTGTTTGCCTGTGTATCACCAGCAGAGGATGCAGAACAGCAAATATTGCTGCCTGATCCTTCCTCTTGGAGCTTCATCCCAGAGGGGCACCCACCTGTTTGAGGTTCTGTTGACCCCTACTGAGAGACGTCTCCCAGTCAGGCTACACGGAGGTCAGGGACCCACTTGAGGAGGCAGTGTGTCCATTCTCAGAGCTCAAACGCTGTGTTGAGAGAGCCACTGCTCTCTTCAGAGCTGTTAGACCGGGACATTTAAGTCTGCAGAAGCTGTCAGCTGCCTTTTTTTCTGCTATGCCCTGCCCCCAGAGGTAGAATCTAGAGAGGCAATAGTCCTTGCTGAGCTGTGGTGGGCTCTGCCCAGTTTGAGTTTCCTGGCCACTTTGTTTACACTGTGAGCTCCTCAAGCCTCAGCAATGGCAGATGCCCCTCTCCCCGTCAAGCTGCAGTGTCGCAGGTTGATTTCAGACTGCTGTGCTAGCAGTGAGCAAGGCTCTGTGGGTGTGGGACCCACCAGGCCAGGCACGGGAGGGTATCTCCTAGTCTGCCAGTTGCTAAGACCATGGGAAAAGCCCATTATTTGTTCAGAAGTGTACCGTTTCCTCAGGTACAGTCTAACATGGCTTCCCTTGGCTAGAAAAGGGAAATCCCCTGACCCCTTTTACTTCCCAGGTGAGGCAAAGCCCTGCCCTGCTTCAGCTTGCCCTCTGTGGACTGCACCCACTGTCCAACCAGTCCCAGTGAGATGAACCAGGTACTTCAATTGGAAATGCAGAAATCACCCATCTTCTGCGCCGATCTTGCTGGGAGCTACAGACTGGAGCTGTTCCCATTCCACCATCATGGAAGTGACCCCCCTCTTTTTTTATTGTTTAAAAAGAGACTTCCCTCTATCACCCAGGCTGGAATGCAGTGATGTGATCATGGCTCACTGCAGTCTTGACCTCCTGGGCTTAAACTATCCTCCTGCCTCAGCCTCCTAAGTAGCTGGACCTACAGGTGCACACCACTACACCCAGCAAGTATTTTTATTGTTTGTAGAGACAGAGTTTCACTATATTGCTCATGCTGGTCTTGAAATCCCAGCCTCAAAGGATCCTCCCACCTAGGACTCCCAAAGTGAGGGGATTACAAGGGTGAGGACTATACATTTCTCTTAATTTTGCATTCAGATTTTCCAATTTTTGTCTTTGTCTTTATTTTCCTATGTACATTTTAAACTTCTCCCACAACCACTATAATAAGTCACCTAAAAGACTTCTTTCTCAAAATGTCCTTCTCCCACCAACATACATATACACATGCATGCACACATGCACGCACACACACAGAGGGAAACGGAGGGCTTCTTAGTTGTTTTTTAAAAAAACAATTCAACAGTAATATTTAGAGAAATTTATATTTGGCTCCTGTTTTCTGAATGTTTCTTCTTCCCAGAAGCTTCTGGTTTCTTCTTTAAAAAAGTGCTACCTTCCCTAGTCTTTGTGAGAATGCTAATTAGAAATTTTATAAATTATTTGTATATTTTCATACAGAAAAATGTTGTTAGCAATTTATATTTCCATGTGTTCTGAAATCTGATAGAGCTTTACAACCATTACTATAATCATGATACAGAACAGCTCCATCACTCCCTAAAAATTCCCTTTTGCTGCTCCTTTGTGGGATTTCCCTCATCTCACCCCAAATCCCTGAACCCTATGGTTATCTTCTCTGGACTTTTTTCCAGAACAGAATATAAGTGGAATCATACAGCATATAGCTGTTTTGCATCTGGCTGCTTCACTTAAAACATGTATATGAGTTCCACAGAATGTTCCTCAGTAGATCCTCTAATTACAATTTTTTAATTAAAAAATTTTCTCTTTGTTTAACCAAAAGCCCGTCTGATGTTCATGAGGTCAGGTTTTTTCTTTGTTGTATTTCTTTGGGCCATTTTCTTGTGTGATAACAGTTTATGTAAATGTCCAGCAGTCCTTAATTGCTGTTTATTTTTATAAGTGTTAAGCCATATTTACAAAAGTCAGTGACACAAGGTTTTCTGCTTTGAACAGGCCTTCTTTTCATGATCACCTTTACCTGGAAGAGGAGAATTGACACTTCTGTGTGGAGAGCAGGGAACTATTGATTGTCAGGCTTTTTGAAGGTAGAATGGGAAGTTTGCCTATATTGGGTATACACAGCCCAGCTATCGTCACATTCATTCAAATGGCAAAGTAAAAACTTTTTGGTGGTACCAGTATGTACACTAAAAACCTTGGTTCTCCCCTGGGAGATTATTCAATTTCTATAAAGGGCCTGTTGTTGTTGTTGTTGTTGTTTTTCTGTATAATTAAGAGCAAAGACCACTGCTGCTTCTCAGCCACCCCCTAACCCCTGTGTGTGTGTGTGTGTGTGTGTGTGTGTGTGTGTGTGTTAGAAGGAGATGTGCTCAGGAGTATGTTATATAAGCTAACCTAGGGGTTATGAAGAAAGCGCTCCCATTTCAAGCTTGATGTCTCTACAGCTCTGATGGAAAAAGGACATCTTCTGTTTTAACAGAAACATTTTTTTCTGGTTTTTCAACAATATGAAAAAATTGGGTTTTGTCTCCAAAATTTATCATAATTTCTGAAACATTCTTGATTCTGCTTCTATTCTCAGTGCTGCTGTGAATACTGTCTTACATATATTTGTCATTCATTCATTGATGTTTGTGGCGGAAGAGGAGGCAGAACTGTGTGTACTCACAGCCATGGTGAGCCAGAATGCAGACATTACTGTCACTGCAGAAATGGCTAATTTCATGCAAGAACTGTGTAATTCTCAGTAACAAAAAAAGGTCATTATTTCTTCCCACATTACTATAGATCTCTCTCATTGTTTGTTGACTATCCTAGATTGTATTCCTAGAGTTTAGATTCAGCTAAACTTTTCCATTTAATAGTGACCTCCTGTATTTTTGGAGCCAGAGGGGAAAAAGAGGAAATGAAGAAATTTAGATGCTTTAATAGACACATGAGCATATTTAAGGGAGCCTCCCATGCACACTTTATGCATGGTGTAACATTCTACGCTGCCTTTGGTTACTAGTAAGAGAAAACAATAAGGGGGCAAACGTAACCGGGGCAAATTGTGCTAGATTCCTTACATGCATTTACTAATTTTTCCTTAAACATCTTCTTTAAAATAATTACTATCATATAAAGAAATTGAACCTTAGGAAATATTTGCAAAATTACTCAGCTCACAAGTAGCAAGCAACTACTCCAATCTATTTCTTCTGGCATCTAAGACCAAGCCCTTAACAAAAGGCAAAACTGCCTGCTTGAGAAGGCAGAATGAGAGATAGGGGTCTAACTCAGATCCATTCAAATGACAAAACAAAGAAAATTTAGCTAGGCTTGGAAATTATGTGCTTACATTTTTCACTCCCGTGCTTTTTCCTATTCTTTCTTCATAAGATTGCTGCTTTTTAACAGCTTAAGTGAGGTATCATTTATATGTCATAAAATTTAACCATTGTACATGTTGTAATGCAATGATTTATAGTAAATTTACATAGTTGGACCACTACCTTGGTAATCCAATTTTAGAAAATTTCTATTACTCCAAAAAATTCCTCCTGCTTATTTGCAGTTACTATTCCTATCTACCCCTAACTCCAGGCAAACAATGATCTCCCATTAGTCTCAATATGTTTGCCTTTTCTGGAGTTCTTATAAGCAAATAAAATCATGTAATTTATAGTATTGTGAGTGGGTTTGCATTTATGCTGTATATAAGTGATTCATTCCTCCTATTATCAAAAGTAATTTCTTGTATGGAGTTCCACATTTTGTTTATCCATTCACAAGTTGAAGGATATTTATTTGGATTGTTGCCACTTTTTGGCTCTTATAAATAATGCTGCCATGAACATTCACGTGCAAGCTTTTAAAAATTAATTTCTATGTATCTATTTCTCTTGGGGAGATTCCTACGAGTGAAATTACTGGATCTTATAGTAAATGTATGTTTAACACTTTAAGAAACTGTCATGGGTGCAGCACACCAACATGGCACATGTGTACATATGTAATGAACCTGCACATTGTGCACATGTACCCTAAAACTTAAAGTATAACAATAATAATAAAAAAGAAACTGTCAAACTGTTTTCAAAGTGCCTGAAACATTTATATTCCCACCAGCAATGTGTGACATTTCCTTTGCCCACATCTTTGCTAATACTTGATGTTATGTATTTTTTATTATAGCTGTTCTAGTAGGTGTGACATGGAAATTAATTTGTATGTCCTTAAGAAGTAATGATACCAACCAACAGTTTATGTACTTATTAGCCATTTGTTTATTTGCTTTGGTAAAATATTAAGTTTTTTGCTCATTTTTTAATTTGGTTGATTTTATTATTGGTGAGTATTAAGAGTTATTTGTATATTCTGGAAACATGTCCTTCATAGAATATGTTATATGAAATTTTTCCCATTCTGTGGTTTCTGTTTCTATGTTCTTAAAGGTGTCCCTTGAAGTACAAAAGTTTTAAATGATAATGCCCAATTTATTTTGTTTCTTATATTGATCCTACTGATGATGTCATATCTGGCAATTTACCTAACCCAAGAAAACAAAAATTTTTCTTTTCTTCAAAATTTATTATAGTTTTGTGTTTTAAATTGAGTTCTCTGATATATTTTGAGTTAATTTTAATAAATACAAAGTATTTGTTAAGTTTCATATTTTGCACAGACATTGAATTTTTCCAACACCATTTGCAGAAAATAATATTTTTTTTCCATTTGCCTCTGTACCATTGTCAAACATCAGTTTACTATATTTTTGTGTGAGCTTATTTTTGGGTTTTTCTATCCTGTCCCATTGCTCTTTTTTCTATCATTTTTTCAATACAAATGTCAAATATCTTGACTAGTAAATAAGTCATGAAATCAGGGAGTGTGAATCCACTGTTCATTCTTTTTCAGAATTGTTTTGGCTATTGTAGTTACTCTCCCTTCCATTTGCATTTTAGTATCACCTTGCCAGTATCTAAAAAAAAAAAAAAGTTTTCTGAAATTTTGGTGGCGGTTGTGTTGAATCTGTATATCACTTTGGGAAGAATTGTAATCTTGAAAATATTTAGTCTTCCAATCCATAAACATAGGTCACTCTTCATTTGTTTAGACATGTATTAATTTTTTTTATTACACTTTAAGTTTTAGGGTACATGTGCACAATGTGCAGGATTGTTAAATATATATACATGTGCCATGTTGGTGTTCTGCACCTATTAACTCGTCATTTACATTAGGTATATCTCCTAATGCTACTCCTCCCCCCTCCCCCCACCCCACAACAGGCCCCAGTGTGTGATGTTCCCCTTCCTGTGTCCATGTGTTCTCATTGTTCAATTCCCACCTATGAGTGAGAACATGCGGTGTTTGGTTTTTTGTCCTTGCGATAGTTTGCTGAGAATGATGGTTTCCAGCTTCATTCATGTCCCTACAAAGGACATGAACTCATCCTTTTTTATGGCTGCATAGTATTCCATGGTATATATGTGCCACATTTTCTTAATCCAGTCTATCATTGATGGACATTTGTGTTGGTTCCAAGTCTTTGCGATTGTGAATAGTGCCACAATAAATTTATGTGTGCATGTGTCTTTGTAGCAGCATGATTTGTAATCCTTTGGGTATATACCCAGTAATGGGATGGCTGAGTCAAATGGTATTTCTAGTTCTAGATCCCTGGATCAACAAAACTGATAGACCACTAGCAAGACAAATAAAGAAGAAAAGAGAGAAGAATCAAATAGATTCAATAAAAAATGATAAAGGGGATATCATCATTGATCCCACAGAAATACAAACTACCATCAGAGAATACTATAAACATCTCTATGCAAATAAACTAGAAAATCTGGAAGAAATGGATAAATTCCTCGACACATACACTCTCCCAAGGCTAAACCAGGAAGAAGTTGAATCTCAGAATAGATCAATAACAGGCTCTGAAATTGAGGCAATAATTAATAGCTTACTAACCAAAAAAAGTCCAGGACCAGATGGATTCACAACCGAATTCTACCAGAGGTACAAGAAGGAGCTGGCACCATTCCTTCTGAAACTATTCCAATCAATAGAAAAAGAGGGAATCCTCCCTAACTCATTTTATTAGGCCAGCATCATCCTGATACCAAAGCCTTGCAGAGACACAACCAAAAAAGAGAATTTTAGACCAATATCCCTGATGAACATCGATGCAAAAATCCTCAATAAAATACTGGCAAACCAAATTCAGCAGCACATCAAAAAGCTTATCCACCATGATCAAGTGGGCTTCATCCCTGGGATGCAAGGCTGGTTCAACATACACAAATCAATAAATGTAATCCAGCCTATAAACAGAACCAACGACAAAAACCACACGATTATCTCAATAGATGCAGAAAAGGCCTTTGACAAAATTCAACAACCCTTCGTGCTAAAAACTCTCAATAAATTAGGTATCGATGGGACGTATCTCAAAATAATGAGAGCTATTTATGACAAACCCACAGCCAATATCATACTGAATGGGCAAAAACTGGAAGCATTCCCTTTGAAAACTGGCACAAGACAGGGATGCCCTCTCTCACCACTCCTATTCTACATAGTGTTGGAAGTTCTGGCCAGGGCAATCAGGCAAGAGAAAGAAATAAAGAGTATTCAATTAGGAAAAGAGGAAGTCAAATTGTTCCTATTTGCAGATGACATGATTGTATATCTAGAAAACCCCCATCGTTTTCTAGCTTCCTAAGCTAGAAATCTTCTTAAGCTGATAAGCAACTTCAGCAAAGTCTCAGGATACAAAATCAATGTGCAAAAATCACAAGCATTCTTATACACCAATAAGAGACAAACAGAGAGCCAAATCATGAGTGAACTCCCATTCACAATTGCTTCAAAGAGAATAAAATACCTAGGAATCCAACTTACAAGGGATGTGAAGGACATGTACTAATTTATCATAGAAATGTCTTGTAGTTTTTGGTGTACAAATCTTGCCCTACTTCAGTTAGTGTTTTCTTAAAATTTTATTCTTTTTAATGCTATTATGAATAGATTCTTTTCAAATTTTCATCTTTTAGATTATTTATTACAAAAAATTAAAGCAGATTTTCATATATTGACCTTGCATACAGGGACCTTGCTAAATTCATTTATTACTTCTAGCTGTGTGTGTATGTGTGTATGTGTGTGTGTAATGTGCGTGTACTCAGGATTTTCTACATATAGTTTTTTTTTTTTTTTTGCTCTTCTTACTATACTAGCTATAACTTCCAAAGATCATGTTGAATAGACATGGAGAGAGCACATATAAATTTCAAGAGTGCTGAAATAAGGTTTTTTGGTGTCATTTTTGATCCACTTTATAGTTGATGTTGGGGGGACAGTATTTGCCAACTTTTTTTATTCAGTAATGGCTCAAAATTCACTCCTGAAATATGTTTTTAAATGTATCTGCTTGCCACAAAATTAAACTTTGCTAAGCACAAAGTGAAGACGAGAGATGATAGTAATTGAGAAATCAAAGTAAATTAGGCATGGGCCCACACTGCAACTAAACATATTTCGAGTGGATAGTGGTTCCTTATAAAACAAAACCAAAAACCTATAGTCAACAAAATTTTTATTGCTAATATATTGGGTACAGTTTGACTGTGAGAATACTCCAAATTGCTGGTAACAAGGACTTCTTAGATAAGAAAATATAATTAGATTTTCAAAATGGCCTATTTCCTAAACTTTTACTTGTTTTTACCTAAATTATATATAAAACACCATAGAGAGTTTGTATAACCAGAGTTTTAAATAACTAATTGAAAAATTATCTACTGAATTTGTTACCCAAGAGCTCAATAATTCTGAAAAGAAAACAAAGTTGTCATATTAATAAATTTAGAAATAATATTAATTATAGGGAATATATAAGAAATTCCATGTACATTCCTTAAAAGTAATAAAGCTGTATGTCTCTTTCCAAGGCATAGTCTTCCAAATTTATGCCACTGTCCTATAATCCTTTTGCATTTAGTATATATCTTTATTTTAATCCCATCTGATGATACTACAATTATTAGTTTCATTTCTTCACTGGAGAGTGAACTCTGCAAACATTGCCTATCCAAGTAATCCATGTATCAAAAGTAATGCTTTTGTGGAATAATCATTCTTTTCCTGGATATTGCAAAGTGATAGAGAATTACCTAAATAACAATAAATATGTAAAGTTTTTAGTTATCTAAAACTATATGTTGTTAGTAATTGTTAACACCAAAAATGATAATAGGAAACTGTAGCCATAATACAAATCTAAATACTTTTTGAATGAGTAGGTTGCTACTAACATACTTCAGTATGCTTTTGCCTCACTATCCATTTATTGCTCCACCCAGTAAGGATTTCAAAGAGTAAAACTGGAAGCTGTACAGTTGTGGGTCAAAGTCTGGAGAGTAACTTTTTAGTTAGTTGTACCTCTTTTATTATATTCTCTTAGTTCCACACACAAAAAGTTGAAAAATAAATATGTGCAATCCTGCATGGAATGTCAGAAAATTGTAAATGATGTATGAGATAAAAAACTACTCGGTGTGTCTAAAAACCAACACACTGAGAGTTCAGCTGTTCTTGAACTGCTCTTTGTAAGACTAAACCCTGACAACTATCTCCTTTAAATAATGGACATTTGTAACGTTATAAAAAGGCAAGCCAAGAAAAAAAAATAGGGAAGAACTTTCTAGTTTCTTCCAAAGTTGGCTTTCATTATCTTCCAGACAAGAACTCTTTGCCTCTCTCAATGGGAATATCATACATCAGATATACTAGTCAATATTTCAAGCTAAATTTTGGACAGAGAGGTTATTTAATTTCTATTGTTTTTAATCTATTCAAATGCCAGGAAGTGAATCATCTATGAAATTTTCTAAGTACAGTTTTTGACCAAGATAACACTAGACCTTCCATACATATGGCAGCAATATAAACTTTTTCTGTTTTGTGTTTAAAAATCATGTTCATATATATATATACATACACACACATGGAATCTTTATTTCCATAATTTGCAAATATTGGTGTGCATAATTTCTGAATGTACTGCCACTTCACATGTATAATTTAACAAAGCAATAAATACATTTGGAATAAGTGTAATGCATAAAGGAGATAAATAAACATATGTATTTTTTATCTAGGACAAAAACAATATTTACAAAAAAGTTTCTTATTTGATATCAGGATTCTTCTGTCCTTTTTCTGAAATTCACTGTAGGAATTTAGTTAACATTCTGGACACATTCCCATGGTATGTAAATGTTTTCAAGTATCGTGGTATTGATGCTAGAGGCAAAGAAGAGGCATGTAATGTACATTTTCCAATTAAATGTCTAGATGCTTTTTTAGTAATCAAGGACTCATCTATGTGTCACAACACATAGTTTATCAAGCCATTAGCTGCTGGTTCAAGACTAAAGAAAATGCTAGCCTGGTTCACTGCAGGGAATGAGACTCTCAGGGCTGTTCACATCCAACATCATTTAAACCTCAATTTCCTCCCAGAGTCTTGGCCTTGAAAGAATCCCTACCAAGTCTCAGCATGCATTGACAAGAACTTATAAGCAGAGGACCCTCCTTTCATTATTGCCCAGCAGGTTGGTGGGGAGGTGTTCCTAATAATTCAGTGAGTTAAGTAAATGTTTCTTGTTATAACAACTTGTAATTCCAAACTCTGCATTCTTTCTGCAGAAATATACTGGATTACATTTCATAATCTAGGATTAACTAAACTATAACTGAAGTGCAATGTTGATTAAACAGAAGTTTTCTGTTCTTGAATGTCTAAACATCAATTATAATTTGTATCTTAGGGAAATCATAAGCCAAATACAATCAAGTAACTCAAAAATGGATTTATGTAATGCAACACAATTTTTAAATGGAAGTCCAATCGGAAAGTAATTATTGCTTTATTTTAACTCATTATATGTTTTAGAATACTATTCAGAATTTATTGAAAGGATTTAAGTTATATTTCTAAAAGAAGGTTGAAAATCTTACAGATATAGACAAAGAAGCAAATAGAATAGAAAGCTTGAATTTTAAGTTAAAGGCACATGATCTCTGGAGTTAGACAATAACAGTTGCTAATTTGTGTGCTTACATTTATTAGCTGGGTGTAGGCATTTTAATTTTCTCTTACTTCATCTATAAATGAAGAGAGTAACACTGATATGAAAGGACAGTCATAAGATTAAATGAGATAATATAAAATTTTACTACACTACCAGTCATAAAGCTATTATTTAAAAATTTTAATTCTCTGCTTCTCACTTTTCCCATGGCTTTTTGAGAATCTTTAAATTTCTATTATTTGGGGGTCAGCCAGTTTCCTGGTGCAGTAATTTTTATTTAGAGATGATTATTGCTGAGTCATGCTATTCCAATTAGCATTCTTGATCTACCGGAAGGAAGACTGGCATCTGTTTTGCCCTGCTAAGCCAGTTGACTTACCTACAGAAGGTTTACAAGAAGGCCATCAGGGACTTTGATTGATGTCCCAATAAACATATTGTTGGTCATAACAGATTTCATCCATCTTATATTTTGAATGACTCGATAGTTATTTGCAGCTCATGAACTTATGCTTTTTGATTGGACAGTGGTTTAGTTTGTGTCACCACAAGAATACTGAAGGAGGTAATTTATCACAAACCCTCAAATTTCTGTAATCTTAATAGCTACAAATGGTAGGTTCTTGTTATTCAGGTAGTTATACTCTATAAAGTTGGCAAGAATACTAAATTAACCATTTTTCCAAAGGGAAACAAACAAGTAGAAAAGAAAAACCCCTTTTCTGGGGGAAATTCAGGCAGCTGCAGTAATTTGCATAAGTAACAAAGAGCCAAATATTTATCAACAAGACAATGGGGAAAATGTCTCTGAGACATTTCAGAGGCCTTTGCAGTAGCCCCTCCCATCAAAGGCCCAAAGGCCTAGGAGGAAAAAATGATTTCCTGGGCAGGGCCCAGGGCTCCCCTGCTGTGTGCAGTCTAGGGACTTGGTGACCTGTGTCCCAGCAATCCCAACCATGGCTAAAAGGGGCTAAGCTACAGCTTAGGTCATTGCTTCGGAGGGTGCAAGCCCCAAGCCTTGGCACCTTCCACGTGGTGTTGAGCCTGCAGGTGCACAGAAGTCAAGAACTGATGTTTGGGAACCTCCGCCTAGCTTTCACAGGATGTATGGAAGTGCCTGAATATCCAGGCAGAGGTGTGCTGCAGGAGCAGAGCCCTCGTAGAGAATCTCTGCTAGGGCAGTGCGGAAGGAAAATGTCGGGTGGGAACCCCCACACAGAGTCCCCAATGGGGCACTGCCTAATGAAGCTGTGAGAAGAGGACTGCCATTCTTCAGACCCCAGAATTGTAGACCCACTGACAGCTTTTGCAACGTGCACCTGGAAAGCCCCAGGCACTCAACACCAGCCTATGAAAGCAGCCAGGTGGGAGGCTGTACCCTGCATAGCCATAGGGGCAGAGCTGCCCAAAGCCATGGGAGCCCACCTCTTGCTTCAACGTGACCTGGATGTGAGACATGGAGTGGAAGGAGATCATTTTGAAACTTTAAGGTTTAATAACTGCCTTATTGGATTTAGGACTTGCATGGGGCCTAGATCCCCTTTATTTTGGCTAATGTCTCCCATTTGGAATGGGTGCCTTTACCCAATGCCTGTGCCCTCATTGTATCTCAGAAGTAACTAACTTGCTTTGGATTTTACAAACTCATAGGTAGAAGGGAGTTGCCTTGTCTCAGATGTGATTTTGGGCTTGAACTTTTGGGTTAATGCTGGAATGAGCTAAGACTTTAGGGAACTGTTTGAAAGGCATGATTGTGTTTTTAAATGTGAGGACATGAGATTTGCGAGGGGCAAGGGCATAATGATACGGTTTGGCTGTCCTCACACAAATCTCATCTTGAATTTTAGTTCCCACAATCCCCATGAGTCTTAAGAGGGACCCAGTAGGAGGTAATTCAATCATGGAGGTGGTTACCTCCATGCTGTTCTCCTGATAGTGACTGAATTCTTATGAGATCTGATGGTTTTAGGGGCTATCTCCTCCTTCACTCTGAACTTCTTGCTCCTGCCATGTGAAGAAAGATGTGTTTGATTCCCCTTCCACCATAATTGTAAGTTTCCTGAGGCCTCCCCATGCTGAACTGTGAGTCAATAAAACCTGTTTCCTTTATAAGCTACCCAGTCTTGGGTATGTCTTTATTAGCAGCATAAGAAGGGACTGATAAAATGTTTTTGCTGTTGTGAATAGTGTGGCAAAGAACATATGAACTAATGTGTCTTTTTGGCATAATCATCTCTTTTCCTTTGGGTATTTACCCAGTAATGGATTGCTGGGTTGAATGGTAGCTTTGTTTTTAGTTTTTGAGAAATCTCCAAACTGCTCTCCACAGTGGCTGAACTACTTTGCATTCCCACTAGGAATTTTTAAGTGTTTCTTTCCTTTTTTTTTTTTTTTTCTGTAGCCTTACCAGCATCTGTTGCTTTTGGTTTTCAACTTTTTAATAGTAGCCATTCTAACTGGTGTGAGATAGTATCTCATTGTGGTTTTTGATTTGCATTTCTCTGATAATTAGAGATGATGAGCATATTTTCATATGTTTGACTACTTGTACTTCTTTTGAGAAGTGCCTGTTCATGTCATTTGCTCATTATTTAATGGGGTTGTTTCTTGCTTGTTGATTTGTTTAAGTTCCTTATTGATTCTGGATATTGGACCTTTGATGAATGCACAGTTTGCAAATATTTTCTCCCAATCTGTAGGTTGTCTACTTACTCTATTGATAGTTTCTCTTACTATGCAGAAGCTCTTTAGTTTAATTTGGTCTCACATGTCAGTTTTTGTTTTTGTTGCAATTCCTTTGGGGACTTAGCCAAACACCCTTATCAACAGAAACATATTTTAATTCTAAGGAAAATAACTCCTAACCTGGAAAATTTTCTACTTAGAACCCTGAAAGTAGCAATCTTCGGTACTTTCTCCTGCATCTACTTTTGAAGCACTGAAATATTTAAACACTAACATCCTTAATGATTGGTAGGGGATTATTTTGAGTACTTTTCTGTTTATTTATTCAGTCAACTTCTCTTCTAATGAATTAAATGTGTGTTGGGAAGGGTGTGCATTAGGGAAGAATGTCAATTTTTTTCTACCTACCTCCTTTCCCCAGTATCTCCTCTGGGAATTGGGACATAAAGTTGGGGTCCACTCTTTTATCATTAAGAGTTTTCTTGTTCTTTGCTTACCCACCATTTTAGAGAATGTGACTGCACTTCAATGAGAAAAATTTTGCAGAACTCCGTTATTGTGTTCATATTTGTCAGAATTTGGTGAAGGAAATCTGTGATCTTCTATTCTGCAACTTGTACGCAGAATACTCAACATTTTAATTTTAAATAGAGAAAAAATTGAAGTCAAAATCATTGCCTACTTTCCTCAAATTTTCCCAGGAAATAAAAGAGTGTTTCTAATTTACAGAAATCATTAAATTTTGTAGTGAATACAGTTCAGTGAAACTTTTATGAATACATTTAAGAAAAACATAACCAGGTTTGTTTTGAAAAATATATAAATTTACTAATAAATATTATTTAGGAACTTCTTGACTGTTGCTTCCATACATGACTGTGATTTTTGAGAGAAAAAATAAACATGAATCTAAATATTAAAAGTCAAAATATAAAATTTACACCAAATGAAATGTGAAAACTCTAGACGTAATTTATATTTTTATACCTCCACTGAGTCAATTATGCCCAAGCACTATAGTCTTTACTTGGATTAAGCAACAATAAAAAATAATTACTAGTACTTTACTCAGTACTTGCTTAAACTATAGCAATGTAACAAAGGAAAGAATGAAAAGGAGAGAGAGTGGGTATGGGGAGAGAGAGAAGGAAGGAAGGAAGGAAGGAAGGAAGGAAAAAAGAGAAGGAAAAAGAAAAAGAGAGAGAAGGAATGAAAGAGTTAAATAAATGGAGCTATGGCTATGAAGTCTGAAGTTATTAATTAGCTCAATTTCTGAAGCTTTTTAAAATATAACATACTAAATTTTTAACTATTCTTTTCTCAATATTAAATGAAGGCTCATTGAATCTAATCACAAGACCAGTCATCAGTGCTTTGTTTGTCAAACGGTTTAGGTTCATAAGCTATGATCTTTGGGACATATGCCTAGACAAATTTTCAGTAGTTCATTTAAGAAAGAAAAGTCAGACTGCCTCTGGTAGATGTTAGCTTTTTTCCTGTAAATTGTACTAATATGGAAACATGGTAAAATTCCTTAACCTCTTCAGTTGAAAAAGTCCTTTACGTCTTAGGAGCTATAGTCATGTTTAAGAGTCTTAGAGTCTCTTACTCTCTTTTCTCTCTCTCTCTTTTTCCTTTCTCTCTCTCTTTTTCTGACTTATCTCTTTTTCTGACTTAAGTGTTTTGTTTTTCGTTTTTGGTTTTTCAGCTTTTACTTTGCTCAGGCCATCGGACTAGGCTACTATGTGCCCCGTTTAGCTCCCAACTGAGCCTTTTATTCTTAACCAGTGGATTGGCTAGTTCCCAATTTCTTTCTGTTTTTGAATTTTTTTTTCCTTTCTCTGCTTTGTCTCAGCTGGTCTGCAAGCCTTTAGAGACGACTGCCTCATTATTTCATGTGTATTGGATTCAGCAAATATTGTAACTGCAACTGTTGCCTATTTAGGGTTCCTCTATTTCGCTGGCAAGAAGCTGTTGCATCATGCACAGCTGAAATACAAGGCTCACAATGTCTATTTACTCGGTCTTTTTTTGTCAGGGTAAAACAAACTTTGACTACAGTGCTTTCCAGTAGTTTTTACATGGCTGTTCCTGTGTTAAATAGAAGAATATCACAATTTTTAAAGTAATTTCCATGGATTCCAAGTCACATTTCACATCTAACTCCACTTAACAGGATTGAAACACGCAGGTGAATACAAATGGGGGAAACTTAAGCTATAAGAGCAGAGTTAGCATACTAAGAAAGTGCTGGAATAAAATCTAGGTAATTAACAAAATGGCCATACTCAGTGAAATAGCCACAGCTGTGACCAGGAAAGGTGGTTCTTACACTGGTCTGTTCAGTCTCCTTTGTGAACAGACCCAACTGTTGCTAGTGAGTCACCAGTATTCAATATATGCAATAGCAACATGTCTACAGCCACAGTTCCTTATTCCATGCATCAAAGCACACTGAAGTTCCGGCAGTCTGACTGAAAGATGACTCATCTACCAAGACTCAACTTAAGCAGGACTTCCTCAGTAAGGCCTCCTCTAGTCTTCAGCAAAAGTAAGTGCTTCTGCCTCAGGGTCTATGGAAGCTGAGACATACCACTAACACTACATCTATCACATACTATTGTCATTGTCTTCACACTGATGAATCTCATCCATAGGACCTCAGTTGGAGGTGAATGGACAATAATCATGCTAAAAACACCTGCACAACTGCAACAAGAAATTTTTTTCTTGGTCTTTCTGAATTTTGCCTGCTAAGACCTCCTACTTACCCCTACACACAAATTTGTCTTTTAACTGCCCTTTGCACATATATTGGTTTAATATTTTTCCTTTGCTGCTGTGCTACCTGAACTGCAAAATTGAATCTCTGGATTACATGTTATAGTAACACAATCTCTAATATTTTCAGGTGAATAAATTTTTTCTCTCCTAAAACAATTTGAGGATAAGCCGGACACTATAAAAACACACATATATTACAGGGCCTCAGTCCTTTATCTACAGTTCTAAAATCTGAACTCTGAAAATAAAAAGTTTGTTTTGCTTTGTTTTTGATTATTTTTGTTTTTGTTGCTTTTATTTTTTGTTAACTCTCATTTGGCAGCACACTGTAATGTCACTGGAACTCATTTGCTGGCAAAACCAAACCAAAACTGATATGTGAATAGTTATGGTCTTTATTTATTCTGTGGTATTTGAAAAGACATATTTTATATAAAGAAATAGTAATGTGTTTAATTGTAAGATGCTGTCCAAACCCTACTGAGATGTTTTATATCATAAAGTACATTTTCCTTGTTACCTTGCTAAAATCCAAAGGATTCCATTTTCCATATGCATCTTGCCCCAAATGTTTTGTATAAAGAATTGTGGATATGTAGGTGTAAAATCAGTTTTCTTTTCAAATTGATTAACTCCGTGCTTATTCACCTGAAAACTCATTTCATGTCCTAACTGATGCCACCTGCAGTATGCAGACACCACTCTGACACCTTCTGCTTGCTCTCAACTCCTTCTTCCCTAATTTTTTTCCTCTTGACCAATTATTTTGATATCATTTAACATGGAATTAAGTTTCTGCTGTCACTGCTTTCTGTGCTTCCATTTATATTTAAAGTTGAACACAATATCTTTTAATGTACAAATTGACTAATTATAATTAAATTTCTCTGGGAATATCAAGTACAAATGATACGATTTTCATAAAGCATCTCATAGAGTTTTCACAGTGGCACCAGTAAATTGGCCTAATATTCATAGTTTTAGGAAAATTATCATAACATGCCAAAAATGTTTGAAAAGGAAATCTTCTAAGAAAACACAGTATTTAATCTCCCTTTTACAGACTTTCATAAAACAGGATATCTTCTAAAAGCAATTATCTAAATTATGCATGGATAGCTAAATAATTCAATGTCTACGTATTTTTACTAAAACAATTTCTTTCAGTGTATCTTTTAAAAAATTCTATATGAATTCTAAATAACAAGTAAATAGATGAAACAATCATTTCTGCAAATAATAAAATTACCTTTTTACATTTAAAAACTTTGAAGAAAATTTAGGACATGTACATATGTATCTTTACTATTATACATTAGATGAGAAATTATGTTTAAGTAATAGGCTTTTTAGAAAACTTGTACTTTAGGTGCAGAGGTACATGTGCACAGGTAAACTCATGTCATGGGGGTTTCTTGTACAGATTATTTTGGTGCCCAGGTATTAAGCCAAGTACGCAATAGTTATTTTTTCTGTTCCTCTCCCTCCCACCTGCCACCCTCAAATAGGCCCCAGTGTCAGTTGTTCCCCTCTTGGTGTCCATGTTTTGTCATCATTTAGTGCCTACTTATAAGTGAGAACATGCAGTACTTGGTTTTCTGTTCCTGCATTAGTTTGTTAAGAATGATGGCCTCCAGTTCAACCCATGTTCCTGCAAATGACATGATCTCATTCCATTTTATGGTTGCATAGTGTTCCATAGAGTGTATGTACCACATTTTCCTTATCCAGTCTACCACTGAGGGGCATTTAGGTGGACTCCATGTCTTCGCTATTGTGAATAGCACTGTGATGAACGTACACATGCATGTGTCTTTATGATAGAATGATTAATGTTCATTTGGGTATGTAATGGGTAGTAATGGGATTGCTGAGTTGAACAGTAGTTCTATTTTTAGCACTTTGAGGAATCACCACACTGCTTTCCACAATGATTAAACTAATGAGGAATCACCACACTGCTTTCCACAATGGTTAAACTAATTTACACTCCCACCAACAGTGTATAAGCATTTGCTTTTCTCTGCAACCTCACCAGTATCTGTTATTTTGTGACTTTTTTTTTTTTTTTTTTTTTTTGAGACAGAGTCTTGCTCTGTCATTTTTTGACTTTTAAATCATGGCCATTCTGACTGGTGTGAGATGGCATATTGTGGTTTTGATTTGTATTTCTCTAATGATTAATGATTCTGAGCTTTTTTAAATATGCTATTTGGCCACATGTATGTGTTCTTTTGAAAAGTGTTCATGTTCTTTGCCCACTTTTTAATGTTTTGTTTGTTTGTCTTTTGCTTGTAAATTTGTTTAAGCTCCCTATGGATGCTAGATATTAGACCTTTGTCAGATGCATAGTTGGCAAAAATTTTCTTCGAAAAGCTCCTTCAGGTGTTAAATAACTTTCACAAAGTCTCAGGATACAAATTCAATTTACAAAAATACTAGTATTCCTATACACCAACAATTGCCAAGCCAAGAGCCAAATCAGGAATGCTGAGGAAGCTTATTTTGGTTGAATACGAAATTTTTGGTTGAATATTCTTTTCTTTAAGAGTGTTGACTATAGGCCCCCAATCTCTTCTGCTTTGCAAGATTTCCGTTGAAAGGTTCACTGTTAGCCTGATTGAGTTCCCTTTGCAGATGACCTGCCCTTTCTATCTGTCTTTAACATTCTTTCTTTTGTTTCAACCTTAGAAAATCTGATAATTATGTGTCTTGGGATGATCTTTTTATGGAGAATCTTTCAGGTGTTTTCTATATTTCCTGAATTTGCCTATAGGCTTCTCTAGCAAGGTTAGGGAAATTTTCAGAGACAATATTCTGAAATATGTTTTCCACGTTTTTTTGCCTTCCGTATGTCCTTTTCAGGGATGTCAATGATTTGTAGATTTGTTGTCTTATCATAATCCTGTATTTCTCAGAGGTTTTGTTCATTAATTTTCATTCTTTTATCCTTATTTTTGTCTGTCTTATTTCAGAAAGGCATTCTTCAAGTTCTGAGATTCTTTCCTCAGCTTGGTCTATTATGCTGTTAATACTTGCTATGGCATTTTGAAGTTCTTATAGCATGTTTTTCAGCTCTAGCACATCAGTTAGTCTCTTTTTTTTACTGAAAATTTTGTGTGTCAGCTCCTGTGTCATTTTGCCTAGGTTGTCTTCCAGTGTTTCTTATAGTTTTGGGGTTTACATTTAAGTCTTAAAAACATTTTTTTTAAATAAATTTGAGACAGGCTCTCACTCTAGTTGCCCAGGCTGGAGCACAGTGGGGCAACCTCAGCTCACTGCAGCCTTGACCTCCTGGGCTCAGGTGGTTCTCCCATCTTAGCCTCCAGAGTAGCTGGGATTACAGGCATGTGCCACCACCCTGGCTACTTTTTTGTATTTTTAGTAGAGATGGGGTTTCACTATGTTGGCCAGGCTGATCTCAAACTTCTGGACTCAAGCAATCCGCCTGCCTCAGCCTCCCAGAATTTTGGGATTACAGGGATGAACCACAGCACCTGGCCAACATTTAAGTCTTTAAACCACCTTGATTTGATTTTTATATATGGTATAACGAATGGGTCCAGTTTCAGTCTTCTGCATATGGCTAGCCAGTTATCCCAGCATCATTTATTGAATAGGGAATCATTTCCCCATTGCTTATTTTTGTCAGCTTTGTTGAAGATCCAGTGTTTTTAGGTATGCAGCCTTATTTCTGGGCTCTCTATTCTGTTCCATTAGTCTATGTGTCTGTTTGTACCAGTACCATGCTGTTTTGGTCACTGTAGCTCTGTAGTATAGTTGAAACTGGGTAACATGATGCCTCCAGCTTCGTTCTGTTTGCCTGGGATTGCTTTGTCTATTAGGGCTCTTTTTTGGTTTCATATCAATTTTAAAATACTTCTTCCTAGTTCTCTGAAGAATGTCATTGGCAGTTTGATAGTAATAGCATTGAGTCTGCAAATTGCTTTGGGCAATATGGTCATTTTAAAAATACTGATTCTTCCTAACCATGGGTATGGAATATTTTTCCATTTATTTGTGGCATCTCTGATTTCATTGAGCAGTGGTTTGTAATTCTCCTTGTGGAAATCTTTTGCCTCCATGGTTAGCTGTATTCCTAGGTATTTTACTCTTTCTGTGGCAATTGTAAATGGGACAGCTGAGGAGCTTTAGGGCTGAGGCTATGGGGTTTTCTGGATATAAAATCAGTGAAGGAGAAATAAGATCCTTTTCGAAGCAGATGCTGAGAAAGTTTGTTACCACCAGAACTCCTTTACAAGATATCTTTGAAGAGGCACTAAATATGGAAAAGAAAGACTAGCAGCAGCCAATATGAAAACATATAATTTGTCCCATTCTCTATGTTGTCCATTTACTCCATTGTTAGTTTCTTTTTTTTTTTTTTGCTGTGCACAAGCTCTTTAATTTGATTAGATTCCATTTGTCAAGTTTTGCTGTTGTTGTGATTGCTTTTAGTGTTTTCATTATGAAATCTTTGCCATTTAATTGTGATTCTCAGCTTTCTTGGATTGGGTTTTGCCGTTCTCCTGAATCTCGATAATCTTCATTCCTATCCATATCCTGAATTCTATTTCGGTTATTTTAGCCAACTCAGCCTCATGAAGAACCCTTGTTGGAGAACTAGAGCAGTTGTTTTGAGGACATAAGACACTCTGGCCATTTAAGCTGCTGGAGTTCTTGCATTGGTTCTTTCTCATATTGGAGTGTGGGTATTCCTTTAACTGCTGGGCTGCCTCTCATTGAATTGGTCAGGCAGGGGCATGGTGGTTGTGCTGGAGTCCCAGGTCGAGCAGCCCTTCCCAGTGAGAAGTGAGGGCCAGGACCTGCATGGAGAACAGTCCAGGCACTTTTCTATGAGGTGGGTGTTCTCTCCTGTGGGTATGTACCAGCCCATGCTTCCACAGACTCTCCAAAGCCTGGAGACAACAAGATCAAGGCCTATGAGATAGCAAAGATGGCAAACTGCCTCTTCCACTGGGAGCTGTGTCCCAGAGAGTTGCAGATAAGCTACTGGCTCAACAGTCACAGTAGAGGGTGGCTGGAGATGGAGACTCAGGCCAGGAGGACACACCAAGAGGGGAGATATGGGATTGAGGACCTACATAACAAAGAGTCTGACCAGTTTTCTATAGGGTTAAGAGGTCTGCTCCAGTCGCTAGTTACGCTGGATTTTCTAATATCTAGAGATATCAACAGTGAAAACTGCAAAATAACAAAGATGGTGGCCTGCCCCTTCCTCTAGGAGCTCCATCCCAGGAAATTCCAGACCTGTTCCTGGCCTGAACACACTGGTGAGGGTGGCTGGGGACCCTAGTCAGGAGGTTCTGACTAGTGAGGAGGAATAAGATTGGGGACCTCCATAAAAAACGCAGTCTGGTTGCTTTTTCATAGAACTGCTGTGCTATGTTGGGGGTCTGATCCAGCTCACAGTCACCTGAGACTCTCCAAACCCTGAAGGTGACAACGTCTAAGGCTGTGAAATACTTAAAGATGGTGGCCCACCCATCCCCTCTGGGAGCTTCATCCCAGAGAGGTTTGGAACGGCTGCCAGCTGGAAAGCACCAACAAGGGTGGTTGCAGGCCTTGGTCAGGAGATTCCACCCAGTGAAGATAAATGGGATCCACGACTCATGTGAAAAAGCAGTCTAACTGCCTCTTTGTAGAGCTGCTGTGCTGTGCTAGGGGACCACTCCAGTCCCTAGTCACCTCAGAGTCCCTAAAGGCCAAAGGCATCAATGACTAAGCCCGCAAAATAGCAAAGATGGCAGCCCAACCCTCCCTCTGGGAGTTCTGTCTCAGGGAGATGTAACACTGCTACCCATGGCTGGCTAGAGTTCCAAGCCAGTGGGTCTTATCCTGCCAGGTGCCATGGAAGCATGGCCTGCAGACCATTGCTTCTCAGTCCGCTAGATTCAACTCCTTTCCTAGAGCTATGTACGGGTGTCTAATCTCCTGCTTTGCCAGAGTTGCAGCTGCTTTTGCCGGAACGCCTGGGTATCTAAAGTTCCTGGGGCTCTGCGTGTGCCTAAATGGCTGCTCTGCCAAGACTCCACGTAACTCTGCACGTCAGATTGAAAGCCCTGGTGGAGTGGGTTCACTAGGGATCACTTTACCCGAGGGTTGCACAGATCCATGGGAGAAGCATGGTTCCCTGGTGTCACTCACTCACTCACCACTTCCCTGAGCAGAGAAGTGTTCCTACGTGGACAGTCATTCTGCCTTGCTTTTCCCCATTGTCCATGGCCCAAGCTGTTTTCTTGAAGAATTCCAATGCATACACTTGGACTTTCTGAATTGTTAAATTATTAATAAGTTGGTACTAAAACAAAATACAAGAAAAGAAAAAAGCAGCTTTACTTGATTAATAGAAGTCCTTTTCTTCATTCTGGTGTGATGATGTTTAATTTTCAGAGGGTTCTTCTGACGTATTTTATTTTGGAGTGCTAAGTTATTTAGAAATGATAATAATTGCTGCTTATTTTGAATTTGTTTAAATGATAGAATGACCTATGAAGTGCTAACCTATAAATACATCAACATAATAAATCTGAATGATGAATTCATTAAAGTGATAATTTTGTTTAATCTTTTGATCTTTGGACTGTGGCCTTTTGGCCTTTGGGCAGTGGACTCAAAATATAATCATTCTTTAATTTCTTTTTTTTAAAAAGCACTAAAATGCAAGATGGTAGTCTTGGAAGTCAGAATCCTCTAACGAGTGTGTAACTACTCATTGGCAAAATAAAAAAAAGAAAAGTACTAATATGCACAGACATTTTTCTAGGAATGCAGGATATGGAATGAATAGAACAGTATCTCTTTTATTTAAAATCAAAGTCAAATATAGTGAGACTGACAAAAATATTAAATTAAGTGTTTTAGATATGAAGTAGTAGAGTCAGACAGTAAGAGGAAGTGAGCTTGGGGGTCAACAGAGAGGATAATACATGAAAAGCTTTAGAGAGCAGGTTGTTGGCATGTTTGATGAAAGAGATATCAGTAGAATTAGGAGTATATGTGTTGGGGTTGGTTGGTGGGTTAGGTCAGGGTTATGAGTCTTTTAATCAAAGCAAGTTTGAACATTTGCACTGAGGGCCATAAAACATGAATGTAAGCTGCTTTATTATGTTGGAGAATAGAATGAGTAATATTGAGAAAGCAGTTTCCTGCAGTTGACAAGGCTAGAGAAGTAGCTAACTGGGTGCCAGACCATGGAAGAACTTGTAAACTTGTTAAAGAGTTTGGGTTTTTCTGTGTGGGAATGTGGAGCAGTTGAAGGGATTTGAACTCAAGGAGAATCAGAATTAAATTTCTGTTATAAAAAGATCTATATAGATGTATCATGCATGATAGTGCTGAGTCCTGTAAGACGAGAATCAAAGAAGATTTCCTTAATACTGCCTGTGAAATATAAAGAATGCCTACAGAAATGCAGAAGTAGTGGGAAATAAGGATATGGAATTTAAAAGTCAACAGAATGATAAGGGGCAGATGCTTTTGTTCTTAGGAAGATCTATGCCTGAGTTCTGGCTTTATTTGAAACTTACGGTATGACATTTGGAAAATAAGTTAATGTGTCTACTCTTGGATTGCCAAAAATTTGAATAATCACAGTACATATACATAAGGTTGTTGTGATGAGTCAATGAAATATTAATAATGCTTGTAAAGGCTGGGGGCGGTGGCTCATGCCTGTAATCCCAGTGCTTTGGGAGGCCAAGGCGGGCAGATCACGAGGTCAGCAGATCGAGACCATCCTGGCTAACACGGTGAAACCCCGTCTCTACTAAAAATACACACACAAAAAAAAATTAGCCGGGCGTGGTGGCGGGCATCTGTACTCCCAGCTACTCGGGAGGCTGAGGCAGGAGAATGGCGTGAACCTGGGAGGCGGAGCTTGCAGTGAGCCGAGATCGCGCCACTGAACTCCAGCCTGGGAGACAGAGTGAGACTCCATCTCAAAAAATAAATAAATAAATAAATAAAAATAATGCTTGTAAAATACTAGGACAAACCTGGTATATTACAAGCCTCAATAAGTGTTATCAATTTTGGTTATTAGGAACACCCCAAGTGAACAAAAGGGCCAAGTAGAATCACAAATTGCAAGCAGCATTTGAAAAATGTTTCAGCCACACAAATGTGAAAAGATATGTAAAATAAATTAACGCCAAGGGATAATTTACGCCTAGCAAATTAGCCAACATTAATAGAAGGGTAATACCCAGTGTGGACAGATAGGTGATACCATGAGCACTCAAGCTTCCAGTAAAATTGTGTGGTCATTCTAGAAGGCTCATTAGTCAAAGGCCTTAAAAAGCACATCCTCTGACACAGCAATTCCATATTTAGTATACTATGGAAATAAACAGATAAATGTGAAAATATAAATAAAGATGTCATTTGTGACATTGGTGGTGACACAATAGTGGAAACAATATAAATATTCAACCACTAGGAAATGCTTAAATAATTTAAGCTGTAATTTATAGAATAAAATGGTACTCAGCCTTTAAAAAGATAAAAGAAATGAATATTGCTGTGTAAATGTCAACATGGCATTTAATTTTTAAAAAGAGCAGTTTGGTGTAAGCTAATTTTTGATTGAAGTCATAAACACCCAATTCCATATGATAAATTTAATAGATGTGACTGAAGTTATAGGCATATTAAAAGTTGTTAAAGAACATAAGGGTTACAAATAGAGAACTATGAAGGGAAATTGATTAATAAAATTCTCTTTGCAAACAAAAGCTCCTTTTGCGGCATTAGTGTTATGAAAATAAAACATTTTCCTCACAAATTAAAAGGGGTGAGGATAGATCATGTGTCCCAATAATTTTCTGAATCCAGAGTAAACAACCTCAATTTATTTATTTATTTATTCATTTATTTATTTTTGGTATTCAGTCCATACTTCTCAACTCTTTTTCATTTCCTCTCAAATATTTTCTTAATTTGTTTGTTTTGCTAGACGTACTCTGCAGATCCTAAACATATGTTTTTATTACATTTGAGTCAAGAGGTGAGTGATGGCTTGCTTTATAATCAGAGCGATTTTTGTTAAATCATTGGTAAGATCCTTTACTAAGAGAAGGAGAGGCATCAGTGTGAGAGTGTTTTAGGAGCATCATAAGGAAATCAAACATACTGCAGAAGATATCAATTTAATCAACATCTTTTTTTGTGGGCCCTCTCCTGTCCTGATCCCTAGTGATATAAGTCAACTGGTTTGACTAACTCCTTCCAGCTTCTTTCCCAGAAGTCTTATAAAAGTATGGTAAACGACAGTCTTTTTCCTCTAGGAGCCTGAGTTAAAAAGAACATTTAATCCTAGAACTGTTGGAACCACTTATTTTTTCTGTCATGAGACAAGACATTGCCTAGAAAATGAATCACATACACACACAGGACACACAAATACACACACACAGAGAATATAAAAGAATATAAAGATGTATTCTTATGATTTCTCTGAACAACTGTATCCAATCATGTTTGAAGAGAATTCTATGCCTAGACCAGTGGTTCTTAAAGTATGGTTCCCACCTCTGGAAACTTATTGGAAATTTAAATTGCCAGTCCCTATCCTGGACCTACTGAATAAGAAACTCTGGAATGGAGCCCAACATTTTGTTTTAATTTTAATAAGCCCTGAAGGGGATATTCTCATGAATGCTAAAGGTTGACATTGCCCATACTTTTCAAATACATGAGCCATTAGATATCTTATTTCTATTTCTTTTCATTAGAAGGCCCTCAATAAAATAGCTGCTAAATAGAGTAGATTGGCTAGAGATTGCTGATAAGTATTGTGGACCCAAAGGAGGTTGAAATTATTTTTTAGTGACACCCAAAATATATGATTATTTGATCTCATAGGTCTACTTTAAGTTGTCCAAAAGTACTAGAGTTGGCAAGTGCTGTGGGTTTTCAGGGAGGTAATTTCAGAAAAACAAGAGCAAGGTAGTAGAACTTTAGCTGAAAGTTCAGGAAGGAAATGAAGCAATAAAGGAAGTGACCAATGAAGTTATAAGGTGAACTCCTGGGTCAAGATAGTAGAATAACATCCAAGGATGTGTGTAGGAGAGTAAGGCACAAAAAACAAAACAAACAAACAAAAAAAAAAAACAGGTGACTGTGGTCATTTTCATATAAATATTCAAATTAGATCAGTCATTAGGACTAAATGTTCAAGGTGAGGACATAGGAACAAATGACTGAAACTGATTGATGGTGAAGGTTGTTGGTGTTGAGAAGGTTAAACAATTTTGGATTCCTGAATCAAACTCATGCACATCCACAAGAATTTGGCCATGTGCCAAATTCCATAATGAACAAGGAAATAGCCAAAATAGTGTTAAGTGGGAGCACTGAGGTATTTTAGGATGTCACACCTAGGTGAAATGAGCCTCATAAATGGAAGCTGTTATGCATGACTGGGAAGTTGTGACTGAGAAATCACACGGACAGTTATGAGAACTATAATGTGATCTGTGGGACATGGTGCGTAGGATGCAGGATTATAGACCTCCCCTGCCTAGTAGAACTAAGAGAAGCAATACTTAGAGGAAGACCGGCAGTTTTCCATGAAGGCACAGACTTGGAGGTGGTATCTTGAAATGCTTACAAAGAATGATGCATTCATTGCCTGGATAAAGTGGTATGATGTTAAAAGACAGAGAAAAAGCAGAAATAAGCATGCATTACTGAGCTTCCATTTTTTTCACTAAGGAGAATAATATTCAGAATGGGAGCAAAGAAGATGAAGATCATTTTACTCTCTGTTATTGTGCATTAATATTTACCTTAGACAATCTAAGATTGTAGCTGATCTATTTCTATAAATAATTTGTAGAAATTCTTCACAGGAGCTTTCTTTTTTATTTTCTTTTTTAATCTTATATTCTTTTCTTTCTTCTTTTCTTTGTTTTCTTTCCTTTTCTTTTCCCCTTCTTCCCTTCTTTCCATCCTTCCTTCTTTCCTTTTTTCCTTCCTTTTCTTCCCTCCCTCCCTTCCTTCCTCCCTCCCTTCCTCCCTCCGTCCCTCCCTTCCTCCCTTCCTTCCTTTTCTTCCTTCCTTCCTTTTCTTCTCCCTTCCTCTCTTCCTTTCTTGCCTTCCTTCCTTCCTTTTCTTTCCTTCCTTCCTTCCTTTTCCTTCCTCCCTCCCTCCCTCCATCCCTTCCTTCCTTCCTTCCTCCCTCCCTTTCCCTCCCTTTCCCACCCTTCCCTCCCTTCCTTCCTCCCTCCCTTTCCCTCCCCTTGCCTCCCTTCCCTCCTTTTCTTCCCTCCCTCCCTCCCTCCCTCCCTCCCTTCCTTCCTTCCTTTCTTCCTTCCTTCCTTCCCTCCTTCCTTGTTTTGTGTGTGGTGAATGAAGCCCAGCATTTTTAACATTTCTCCCTCCCTGACTTGCCAGGGCTACAGTCTCATGGCCCTTTGCAGACCTAGCACTTGTGACTACCTTTATTATGGAGTGACAAGCTGACTTTAAGCAGGGCACTAGGCTTCTGAACAGTGCTTATGTTGACTGACATGGGAATATCACTATTAGCATCAAGGAAATTGATTCATATCGTGACTGAAATACCCATTCAAGTATTGTGTAGGTACCAGAAATCTATAAATTTGTAAATGTGAACAACTGTTCTTCAGCTTAATAGGTAAGAATTATTTCTCCAGTTCTTTACCCAGCAAAGAAAATATCCTTAACAGTATCTTCAGTCAATGACACAATAACCTTAGCAAAAAGTACTCTTTTACTTTCATAAATTGATCAGACATTCTTAGATTTCACATTCTGGAAAAATAATAAAACGTAAGAGTTTATGAGAACACAAAAGTAATGTGGCTTTCAATTCTTTTTCTTCAAAATGTTATATGTTTGTGGATGCTTGCATTTTCTGTTTTTGTTTCTTTCTTTTTTATAATAGTGGATAGTCCCATGATTAGGTTTAGTTCCACAATCCTAGGCAAAGAGAATAAATAAATGAAATAATAAAGTGCATTTTATATTGGAAGCTGTATTTTAGACTGATTCATTTCTGCTATGTGTTCATAGAAGTCTATTTGTCATCGAGCCACATGTTTCCCTTCCCATTTAGGCAAGCACCACATATGTAAATCTAGTCCCAGCACATTTAAAAGCACATATATTAAGAATGTTAAACATTCTCTATACATCAAAAAAATGCTACTGAGTGGCTCCCTGCAGAAAATATCTATCTCTAGCTAATGAGTTTTAATGTATGCTTTTCTTGTACTTTGCCTTTCTTTACACATCAATCTGTTCATGGCATCTGTCATGCAAACAGTAACAGGGAAACCGCTGGGGCTGTCAAGAAAATGACACCTTTCTCCTTTACCAGAATCTGAAAATGATGCCCAGATTTCTCTGAAATTCTCCAGGCAAACTATGTCTTTCTTTTAAAACCAACACCATCTGCCCAGACAGACATTTGTGAGCCAATTGTCACATAAAAGATTTTAGCTGATTTCTGATGTTCAAGCTTGTTACATTAGGGTATCAAGCTTTCATTTAACTAGATGGCATACTTTTCACATTTCAAATCGAAGATGGATACAATAGAATACAATGACATGCATTAACCTTAGCCAAACTATAAAATGGTAAAAAATGTAGCATTGAGCCAGGCACAGTGGCTCATGTCTGTAATCCCAGCCCTTTGGCAGGCCTAGGTGGGCAGATCACAAGTTCAGGAGTTTGAAACCAGCCTGGCCAATATGGTGAAACCCCATCTCTACTAAAAATACAAAAATTAGCCAGGTGTGGTGGTGGGTGGCTGTACTCCCAGCTACTGGGGAGGCTGAGGCAGGAGAATTGCTTGAACCCGGGAGGCAGAGATTGCAGTGAGCCAAGATCGCGCCATTGCACTCCAGCCTGGGCGACAGAAAGACTCTGTCTTTAAAAAAAAAAAAAAAAAAAAGTAGCATTGGCTTATATCTAAAAATAAAGGCATTCATATTTGTTTTAAATAAGTAAATATATACTTTTTTAAAATTTTGTGATTTTTAATTTTTATGGGTACATTACACACATATACTAATATATATACACATACATATGTAAAAACAAACATATATAAACATAAATATATATAAAAACAAGACCATTTTTAACCTAATTCAGCTAGTTAATTTGATTATTTTTCCCTAATCCATAAACTTTCTCAAACATTGATTATCTTAGAGAAAAAATATATAAATATATATTTTTTTCATGAATACGTATACAGGTGTGTATACATGTACATTTCACATAATGTAATTTTTTCACTTAAAAATGTTAGCATCATTTTGTGTAAACAAATATGCACATGCACAAATTTTAATGGTGTCAAGAATTTAATTCTATGCATGTACCATATGGGTAACCTTTTTGAAGTTGTATTGTTTTGCTATTACAAAAAACTGTCTGATGAACATTCTTCTTTTTCTTTTTATTTTTTTTTGGGGATGGAGTTTCACTCTTGTTGCCCAGGCTGGATTGCAATGGCATGATCTCGGCTCACTGCAACCTCCACCTCCCGGGTTCAAGCGATTCTCCTGCCTTAGCCTCCCAAGTAGCTGGGATTACAGGCATGCACCACCACACCTGGCTAATTTTGTATTTTTAGTAGAGATGGGGTTTCTTCATGTTGATCAGGTTGGTCTCCAACTCCCGACCTCAGGTGATCTGCCTGCCTCGGCCTCCCAAAGTGCTGGATTACAGGTGTGAGCCACCGCACCAGGCCGAACATTCTTACATGTATGTTTTTATAAATGTGCATAATTCTGTTCATTTTTATAACTCTCAAAGAGTTGTGATTGATCATTAAGATAGTATAAATATTTGAAGGATTTTGATATATATTGCCATGTTGTATAAAAATTATTAAACTTCCTGTGGCAGCACATGAATGCTGTCATTTTGCCATAACTTTCCAACGGTAGACATTTCAATTGGTTATCTCCTGTTAATTGAGAAATGGTCTCATTGTTTTAATTGGTACTTTGATAACTAGTAGGATTTTACATTTTTCAAAAGTTTCCAGAACATTCTGTATATCCTTTTGTTATTTATATCCTTGGCCATTATTTCATAACAGTGTGATATGGTTTGCCTGTGCTCCCACCCAAAACTCATCTTGAATTGTAGCTCCCATAATCTCTGCATGTCCTTGGAGGAACCCGGTGGAAGGTAATTAAATCATGAGGGTGGGTTTTTCCCATGCTGTTCTCCTGATAGTGAATAAGTCTCACAAGATCGAATGGTTTGATAAAGGGCAGCTCCCCTGCACCCACTCACATAGTTGCCGCCACATAAGACATGCCTTTGCTGCTCCTTCACCTTCTGCCATCACCTTCTGCCATATGGCAGCCTTATGGAACTGTGAATCCATTAAATCTTTTTTCTTTATAAATTACCCAGTCTCAGGCACTTCCTCATAGCAATATGAAAATGGACTAATACATAGTGTTCAGCCTTTCATCATTCATTGGTAATAACTGTACTTTCTTTAACAATGTAAATCATTTTTATATGATACAAATTACATGGATTTCCCAGATTTCCACTTGCATTTTAATAAGGCTTATGGTGACTATTTTACTCGCAAAGTTTGTTAATTATTTATATCAATATTATCCTTTATGGTTTTTATCTTTGTTATCACCTTTACAAAATTTCTCTCTACTCTATGATTATTCAGATATTCAACTATATATTCAATTAGAACTTTTGGAGGCCGGGTGCCGTGACTCAGGCCTGTAATTCCAGCACTTCGGAAGGCCGAGGCAGGTGGATCACCTGAGGTCAGGAGTTCGAGACCAGCCTGGCCAACGTGGTAAAGCCCCCTCTCTACTAAAAACACAAAAAATTAGCCAGGTGTGGTGGTGCACGCCTGTAATCCCAGCTACTGCAGAGACTCCAGCAGGAGAACTGCTTGAACTCGGGAGGCAGAGTTTGCAGTGAGTCGAGATAGTGCCACGGCACTCCAGCCTGGGTGACAGAGCAAGACTCCATGTTGGGAAAAAAAAAAACACAACAACAACAACAAAAAGCAACTTTTTTAGTTTGCTCTGTATGGAATATATTCTAATATATATCATTTATTAATAAATCCACTAATGATTTGAAACATGTTTATCATATGCTATGCTTTTTACAAATGATGAAATATGTTTCTGCCTTATAACCTTTAAGCTTTTTGTTTATTCCTGCACTAGGAACATACCGTTTTAATTTTTTCATACACTGAAATATCTTTTATGGTAAATTCCTTTTCCAATACTGTCTCCAACTCTGTTCTTTTTGTTTTTAGGAATTCTATAATTATTTTCATATGTTGCTTATTCCAGGTCAATGTTAGAATGATTTAAGTTCTCAAAACAAAACAAAACAAAAGACAAACAAAAAAGGATGTTACTTATGTATCTGGATGTCATGAAAACCTCTAGATATCTCTCATTACTCATTTTTTCTCTTCTTCCATTTTCAACAGAAGCCCCAAAATGTTAGCTGAATCTTAGCTGCCTACCCTTGCAACTTATTGTGGCTATGTGATTAAATTAGTGACAAGGAAAGTGAGTGTAACTGGTGGGTACAACTCCTAAGTCATTTTTAAAAAATATATTTCCCTAGATCATTCATTTTTGTTTTGATACTTGAGAGAAATACAAACTTCTCTTTCATTTAAGATAGGATATGATTGAATATTTTTCTACCATCTTAGCCCCAAACCTTACAAATAGAATTGCATTCTGGAATATAATATACTGACAAAAAACCTGGAATAAAAGGAGTTGTCTCAAGAATAGCTTAAAAACTAGAAAGGACACAGACATTATTATAGTCCTGAAACTTGGTCACCCATTTTATGACCAGGGAACCTATCTGCAGAACACTTGCTGGCAATCACCTAGAAGTTAGATTCATTACTTACTATGGCTGTAGCCTGAAGGAAATTGATTGAGAAAATGCAGAATGTTAATTTGTGATGGCTGCTCCTCACTGCTTTTAGTAATATATAGTGAAGAGACATTCAGCCACAGATTGGCCAGTTTGTAAGCAAAAATGGAAAGGAAATTAGCTGTGCTTAAGGGAGATCCTGTCCCTGGAAATGAACTGGAATTCTAACTGATTGAATGGCCAGAAATTTGAGGCATTAATAGGTTAAAAGTTACAACTGCTTCTGAATTCAAACAGCAGGAATTAAGATTACTGCCAAAAGGCAGGCCGGAAGCAAAGAAGAGATTAAGAGTGTTGCCTTACCACATAAATTTATGGTTCCAGATGCCTGAAGGGAGTCCCCATTATAGGACATAGCGGGATAATAAACTAAGCTCAGAAGCCATCCAATCTAAGAAGAGATTGAACAAGTTTAGGCAAAAGAGCTCTTTGGGATTGTTTATTTCACATACAACTAGCTGGAAGCAAGTTGACCAGAGAGTACTGAATTTTGGCAGGAGTAATGTTGGTCAATAAATTACAAACCAATAAGAGAAGCCTATGATTGTTCCAACTCCAAGGCAGCTCTGGATTGTCAAACTTCCATAGTCTTGAATTTCTCCGTTATTCACTGAAAGAGTGACCATTAGTATAATGGTCAAGGAAGGACTTGCGAAGGACATGGCTCAAACAAGAGCCATGAAGGACAGTGAAAAGGAAGTTGCTTCTTGAGAGAAGGATCAGGGTTGATGGCAACACAGGATTAACCAATCAACCTACCTCCTCTGGGGTAAGGAGTCTTCTGCCAAGTAAGATTTGATACCTGTGATGGACAACTGAGTGTTTTCAAACCTTCTCTTTTCCAAACAATAGTTTGCTTATTATTTAAGCTTTTTAATTCTTAATCTTCCCTGAACAGACTGTGTTTTTCTTTGATATTATTATTTTCCCAATCCCTAAAACTCATTCTTGAAATTAATGCAAAGAAAGCAGCCTTACCCATGGATTTTTGTCTTTGAACGGAATGCAAAAGATGAGTGGAACCTTGAATTACCTTTCTGAAAAGAGAGAAAGAGAAAGAGAGAGAGACAGAGACTGTGTGTGTGTGTGTGTGTGTGTGTGTGTGTGTGTGTGTGTGGTGTTTTTTTTTGTATGGGGACCAGGGTATATGTTTACAGACTTAGAAAGTCAGAGGTGCATGGACAGAGACTGATAGACATTTCTCAACTTGTGTTCTCTCATTCTTCCTTTTAGTAAGCATGGCAATTTTCAAATACAACCCAATTTTTTTGTATACTCTTCCATTAAAAGGTGCATTCTATGCCTTCTCTTGAATCTGGTGGGCTTTTTCTGTATTGACTGGTAGAATACAATGGAAATGACACTCGGTGACTTCTGTAAGCCTCCTTACAGTACCATCTTAAGGCAATGAAGTTTGTATCTCATTCCCTGTAATGAACACAACTCTATTCCTAGGGAGTCAGTCCTAAGGAGCCTGGACTTGCTTTGTAAGCAGTCTAATTCCCCAGGGACTGCCTTGCAGGAAGAAAACACCAAGTGGTCCATGTGAAGAGACCACATGGAAAAGTTGAAAGATAACAAGAGAAATGTCTGGCCAGCCACCAGCTGCTCCACTAACCTACAGCTCTATGCTACCTCCAGAGACCTTCTAACCACAACTTGAGAGAGGCTGAGCCACAATCACCTAGTAAGAACCCTTCCTAAATCCCTGATCCTCTGAAAGATTGGAAGTGAATAATATGATTGCTGATGTTTTGAGTCACTAAGTTTTGAGTTGATTTGCTTTTAAGCATTCCACCCTGTTTTTGAATAGTTACAGATTTCATTTCCTGGCCTCCCTGGCACCCAGATGTGTCAATGTGACTAAGTTCCGCCAATGAGATGTGTGCAAATTCTAATGCATCTCATTAAATATTTCTTACTAGGAAATAGGCTTCCTAGTAAGCCTATTTCCTCCTTCTGGCTTACTAGGAAATTACAAAAACTACAGCAAATTTGGAAGCTACATGCTAAAGTTAACAGAATCACCTTAACATCTCTGAGTCTCTCATCTCCCAACTGATAGATTAAGGAGAAATAAACTTTCTCACTCAAGTCACTAGATGTTGATATTTGTTAGAGCACCTTAGCGTATACTGAAATAAATGTGATAATATTGCAATAAAGGTGGAGACGTATGTTCAATATTGAAAAATGTAATCAATACATATTTTCCCAGAAAAATATGAATCAACCTCCATTTATTTGATGTAAATTTTCTTCTTCCAGGAATATTTTATAGTTTGCTTGTTCTTGTAGAGTTTTCATATATATCTTGGTCCATTTATTCTAGACTATTTTATATCTTGTGAGTGATTGAGTGAACCCTTTTCGTTTTATAATTTGCTTGTTTTTATATAGTTTTTATGTATACCTTGGTTTGTTTATCCTAGAGTATTCTACGTTTTTTGTGCTGTTGAGTAAAATATTTTATTTTTGTATTGTCTAAGTAGTCACTGGTATAAGAACACAACTGATTTTTAGGTCTTGATATTGAATTAATCAGCCCTATTATTCTATCTCATTTTTAAATTGTTTCTTTTTGTTTTTCATACTTTTATCAATATAATGATATTGGTCACACTTGCTCTCTGATGACAGTAACATTCAAATGCTAACTCTCCTTTTCATGTTTCACTTAGGATTTTCATGTATGCTTAGATTTTTTCAGTAATATATTACTATGAAATTCTGCAACTTCATTCACAAATAGAGATATTTGTCTCTAGCATTTTCTCATAATTCTATTCTCATTTTGTTAGATTTTGTTCAAAGTTAGAGGGATTTGGCAAAGGGGTTTCTTTCTTTTTGAATGCCGGGACACTTCAATGACAAACAAATGTCAGGTTTGGAGGGTTTGAATGAGCACATCTATGAAATATTTTAATTTTTCTGCACCAGGTACAATTCTGAACAATTTTGATACTTCCTTAATGTCTTTAGGTATAGAGAGTCATTAGGGTTTTCTATATCCTCTTGAGTCATTTGAAGTCATATTTTTTTTCAAAAAGCCTCATCGCTATAAAATTTTTATCAAGAAAATTTTTTAAAAGAGGAAGTTATGGTCAATTTTTAAAAAGGGTTTATTCAGGAAAAAAATCATAACAGATCATTTAGAAAATGACTTATCAAAACTTATCTGGGTAGTGGAGAAAGGTGTAGTTAGAATAACGTGTATAATTTTAAATGATTTTAATTTTTAAACATAAAAGAATGAGGATAAATGCATTTATTTATTTATTTATTATACTTTAAGTTCTAGGGCACATGTATACATGTGCCATGTTGGTGTGCTGCACCCGTTAACTCGTCATTTACATTATGTATATCTCCTAATGCTATCCCTCCCCCCTCCCCCCACCCCACAACAGGCCCTGGTGTGTGATGTTCCCCTTCCTGTGTCCAGGTGTTCTCATTGTTCAATTCCCACCTGTGAGTGAGAACATGCAGTGTTTGGTTTTTTGTCCTTGCGATAGTCTGTGAGAATGATGGTTTACAGCTTCATCCATGTCTCTAAAAAGGACATCAACTCATCCTTTTTTATGGCTGCATAGTATTCCATGGTGTATATGTGCCACATTTTCTTAATCCTGTCTATCATTGATGGACATTTGGGTTGGTTCCAAGTCTTTGCTATTGTGAATGGTGCTGCAATAAACATACATGTGCATGTATCTTTATAGCAGCATGATTTATAATCCTTTGGGTATATACCCAGTAATGGGATGCCTGGGTCAAATGGTATTTCTAGTTCTAGATCCTTGAGGAATCGCCACACTGTCTTCCACAATGGTTGAACTAGTTTACAGTCCCACCAACAGTGTAAAAGTGTTCCTATTTCTCCACATCCTCTCCAGCACCTGTTGTTTCCTGACTTTTTAATGATTGCCATTCTAACTGGTGTAAGATGGTATCATTGTGGTTTTGATTTGCATTTCTCTGATGGCCAGTGATGATGAGCATTTTTTTGCGTCTTTCGGCTGCATAAATGTCTTCTTTTGAGAAGTGTCTGTTCATATCCTTTGCCCACTTTTTGATGGGGTTGTTTGTTTTTTTCTTGTAAATTTGCTTGGGTTCTTTGTAGATTCTGGATATTAGCCCTTTGTCAGATGAGTAGATTGCAAAAATTTTCTCCCATTCTGTAGGTTGCTTGTTCACTCTGATGGTAGTTTCTTTTGCTGTGCAGAAGCTCTTTAGTTTAATTAGATCCCATTTGTCAATTTTTGCTTGTGTTGCCATTGCTTTTGGTGTTTTAGACATGAAGTCATTTCCCTTGCCTATGTCCTGAATGGTATTGCCTAGGTTCTCTTCTAGGGTTTTTATGGTTTTAGGTCTAACATTTAAGTCTTTAATTCATCTTGAGTTAATTTTTGTATAAGGTGTAAGGAAGGGATCCAGTTTCAGCTTTCTACATATGGTTAGCCAGTTTTCCCAGCACCATTTGTTAAATAGGGAATCCTTTCCCCATTTCTTGTTTTTGTCGGGTTTGTCATAGATCAGATGGTTGTAGATGTGTGGTATTATTTCTGAGGACTCTGTTCTGTTCTGTTGGTGGATGTCTCTGTTTTGGTACCAAAACAGGATAAATGCATTTAATTTAAAACTTGAAAATCCAAATGTAAGTAAAATAAATTAGGCTGATAAAAATGAAAATACAATCCAAAACAGAAATATAAAAATAAAATATTTAAAGCTAATATTTACAGAAGGAATAGCAAAATAAAAATCACTTTGCAATAGTAACAATAAGATTGAACACATGTATACCTTCAGGAATGAGAAAAATTATTTAACTGGGTGTGTGTGGTGTATTTTTATAATGTACATGGAATACTTTCATTTTTAGGAAAATTTGGAGCTTACTTATTTGCTACTTGCCACAGCCTCTGAATTTCTCAATACCTGTACGTCCTCAACTGTGTGTTAACTTTTTATACTATCTCAATTTGTTATCATAGGGTGTTTTAAAATATATGTATGCTAATCTACTGTGCTGCCTTCTACAATATTTCTGACAGATGGATGGCTAATGCTTTATACTTTGATCACAGTTTATAAAGTAAATCATAGACCATGAAACCGTTCAAGATCAGAGAGCACAAAGTGGCTACAGAGTTCATGTGTGTAATTGTTTAAAGTTATCTGAGTGATACTTTTTATTCTAACTTCAAATTTAAGTTCTCCATGTTTCTCTGGATATCTTCCAGCTAATGGTTATAAGTCATTAATGTTGCACTTATAACTATTTTACATTTTCAACCATTATTAAGATACAATAATGCAGAGTAACTTTTAATGCAGTTCTCAACATTATCCCCTAACAATCCTAAACTATAAAAGATATTTCTGGCTGGGCATAGTGACTCAACCCTGTAATCCCAGCATTTTGGGAGGCCAAGGCAGGTGGATCACCTGAGGTCAGGAGTTTGAGACCAGTCCAAGCAACATGGTGAAACTCTGTCTCTACTAAAAATAAAAAATAAAAAATTAAATTAAATAAAAAAAAGCCGGGTGGCATGCTCCTGTAATCCCAGCTACTTGGGAGGCTGGGCGACAAAGCAAAACAAAGTCTCAAAAAACAAATAAACAAACAAAAGATATTTCTTACAATATTTAAAAATGTATATCAGAAATATAAGAGATATCAATGCCATAATAAAAGGAAAAAATTTACCTAAAGAAAATGATACTACTCCCTGTTTCTTTTTTAAAGCAATTTTTACAACAATAAAAATACGGAATCCTGTCAGTTCTGTTAAAGGTCTTTTCAGTGAAACATTGATTAACTAATATGAGACATTTAATTAACATTAATTTTTTCTACAATCTGCTTCTAAGAATTAGAAGCAAGCTACTAGAAAACAAACTAAAGTGGAGGATTAAGAAGGGGGAAAACACCCTCCAAATTATAGTCCAGGATCAATACAGACTACTTCTAATCATCTTCTACAACTGAAACCTACTATATTACCTTGCTGGGATTGGTATAATCCCATCCCAACAACTACCAACACAATCTTTTTGAAAGCTGATTTTGTAGAATTTTTTAAAAGGAGAAGAGTTTAAAAGAATTTTTTAAGGGTCAAAGCAAAACACGAGTTTGTTTTGAAATCTTTTTGCACAGTTGAAATCACAAAGTGTGAGAACTTTTTGGGGTGTGAGAGGTGAGGGTATGTTTCTCATTCAGCTTGGTAATTAACTACTTAAAATAGTTTGCTCATTTTAGAGCCCAATTGTTTGAACTGAAAGTTTTCCACAGCAAAGGAGAGGAGCCCTGAATAAATGCACCATTTGCCCTTGTTATTATTATTATTTTTTACTTTAAATATATTGAAGCAAAGTTTACCTTAGTCTCCTAGATTTGTTTTCATGGGAACATTTGCTTTACATATGCAAAAGCATCCCCCTATAGCATTAATATGGCTTATTACTCTTCAAAGAAACCGTACTTTTTTATGAGCTGTAACAGATGAGTCTAAAAAATGAAGGCTTTCAAGTTTGTTGACTCTAGAACTGTTTTGATTTTTTCTCCCCACACTGCAATAAATGCCCTTTTACTGATTTGACACTGGAAATAAAAAAAGCAAATTCTGTCAGCATAAGTCACCCAAGGAACAATATCTGTGCTTGTCTTGCTTATAGTTTTTCAGCACCCTAGATATTCAGAATAACTGAACTTCCTGGACCCCTACCAGGTTATCTATATCTGATGGCTGCTGTGCTGTAAATTCGTACTGAAAACTATTATAGTCTCCTGAAATGCTGCAGCTCCCCAGATAAAATGGTAACTTTTCTGCAGATTTTCCTGTCAACTTCAACCTGGAGGTAGGATTTAGGAAAGTTACATGCCTTCGTCCACTGACAGAGAGAGATTTCCTCACCGTCTTCAGAGCACCCTTCCTGGAGCCCAGCATGAAAAATAGCACACAAATATTGTAGTAATAAGGCTTTGCTATAACAGGTCCAGAAAGGTTGTCTTTAGGCACTTCCATTTTTAAAAGTCCTGATAAGTCGGCTCAGCAAGAACTCATAGTAGTTTCTTGTTAAGTAGCCTTCTAGCATGCTGCCGAGCAATTTGGCAGTTATCATCTTGCAGATTCATTAGTTTATGCTCGAAGTTACTCATTTGCAGATTTGAGTTTCTCAGGGTGAAAAATAGCTTCTACATTTAGCAGAAAAAGGCCAACAACTCTTTGAACTGATACTTCAAAGGGTCTTGGTGAATGGGTATCACAGTGTACCCTGAACCTATGCTTAATGCAGATGTTCAAAAACAAAATACAACTCAGTTACTTATTGATTGATTAAATGTATTGTGCATTGGTTAGACTGTTATGAACTATGTAGAAGAAGGTAAAAACAGGGAAGAGAAAGGAAAAAAGGAATGAGTACCCCAGTTTGTTTAGGACTCAGTGGGTGTCCCTAAATGTGGGATTGTGATAAAACTAGAAAAGTCCTAGAGAACCAAAATGAGCTGGTTACCCTAATTCTTAAGTGCCATCCTAGTTATCTCTATCCTTACATTGTAGAGTTCACTTGCAGAAAAAAATTATCATTTGACCCTTTAGCAAATAAACTGCTCAAAATGAATTAAAATAATATATCTCTTCTGTCAGTTCTGCTAATTAGCAAACACTGTTATAACCTGCTTGTCCCTTTTTAACATCTAAATACTCTCAAAATAACTATTTCAAATAAAATTGTTAAGTATGTGAAGAACATTCTAGTTGATATTGTTTAAATTTGAACTCTGTTCCACCTGCCCTCGATCCAGTTTGGCCACCTGTGTCAACTCTATGCATCACAATCCAGGTTGGCCATCTTTGTCCACTCTATGAAGTTCCTAACTGCATGGTGGAGAAGATATGGATTGAATGTCACTTGAAAAAAAAAAAAAAAACTGGGTGTTATACAGGCTATCAGTTTTGACAGTGAAAAGTAAAGATTTAACCCTCCCTGTTGCTGTTGCCTCAAGGTACACTTGCATAAAATAAACAAAAATAGTTTCTATAGGTAAAGCTTAGGCAATAAAAAGAAAGCAACAACTGTGTTAAGAGAGACTCTAAGAAAGTTAATCTGCATTGTTTGACCTAAAAACTACCATAGCTTGTTTGAATTACATGGCCACCTGTCACAACTGTGCTTGAGATTCTCTAAAACAGTAGGTGTTTGTCACATAAATGGAATGTGTAGGATTTAAATTATTGGAGACCCCTGAGGCCACCCCAATCAATGTGAAAGTTTTAAAACAGAAATAACATGGGTCAGTGTCTCTTAGGGTCATGCCATACTTCCTGTTAATAGCTGCCTAGAATTCCTACAGTGATGTTAAACATTAAAATAAAAATATCATCATTGTACTTCTAACAAAGTTAGCTTATCCTAGTCATTAAGATTAAATACTGAAATATCCTCTTTGTAGATATGTATACATCATTGCCAATGTTACATAAAGTGTGAGTCAGTTTTCAAGGTGATGATAACAGGTGATTGACTAGATGATGCAATTTTGCCATAACCACCAATGGAAACTAAAATTTCACAATATATGAAACGATCTCTTTGTTAAAGGCTTCCCTCACCCCATGTTCCTCTTTCAAAACACCTAGAAAAGTGACAAAGCCACCTACACGCAAGAGTGAATTGGTTAAGGAAAGTTTACTTTTTGTCTTTCCATTCTCTTTGCTGCCTTCTCAAACATCTCATGATTTCTCCAGATGAAGAAACTAACAGCTAGAAGGGAAGATGTAAGCAAGAAGGAAACACTACGTAAGCAGAAAACTCTGTCTGAAAATCTTTGCGAAACTTCTGTCACATTCTCTATCCATAACGCAACTGCTTTTCAAAGACACACTGCAATTTCTTATCAAGTCTCAGCTGTGACCTCTCCCATATTGGCCCTCTCACTCCCTAGTGTGTTACACATTGAACTTCTTGACTTGCCTAAATAATGCACATTTCACCCTTTATCTTGACCTAGGCTTTTATTTCCTAAAATGCTCCTTTCTTTATTTCTTTACCTCCTATTTTTTTTTCAAGACCAAGCTCAGTGTCACCTGTGATAGATACTTCCTTTCCAGTGTTCTCTTACCTCTTTCATTATACTTATTGACACCTATTTTGTTAAAAGTAATTAATTTTTCCAATCATAATATTGAGAAACCCAATATACTACATGTAAATTTAGTATATACATCATCTACATATAGAAACACAATTTGGAGTCACCTGTAAATTCGCCACACAGGGAAAGTCACTATTTAACTTTGAGTTATACCCTCCCAACATACATATGATTTTGCTTTTATGTTCCTTGACAGGCAGTGTTCAAGCTATTGTCAGCACTCATTTAATCCACTTGTGCTTTGAGATACTTTGTAGCTTACATAAGTTAGAGCTATATAAGGAGTATGGGGACTCAAATAATCTACCTAACTTCTTTTGCAGAAGAATAAAGTGAGGATGAGAGATACTTACTGCCTAAGTCTAGATCATACAGCTTGTATCAGAATTTAAACTTGATTTAGATAAGGCCAGTGTGTTCAGTTGCATAGACTGTGCAATATGCAGGAGAGCCTGTATATTTACCAAGCTGTGCACCAAGGCTCAGTTATGCAGCATCTAGAGAAAAGGACATGAGAGTACCATCTACTTACTGTGCACATGCAAGGCTTCGAGTACCAGTAGGTAGAAAAAAAGGGAAGGGGGTGCATATTGTTTCCAATTCGGTTGATAAAACTGAGTCCATTAAGCCTAGGGATGGAGCTGAATCCAGGTGAATTATTAACCAAGATGATGCTTTTTTCTTGATTTCCCAATGCCTCCTTTCTAATACAATGTATTTTTTAAAAATACTCCTTGTTGGATATTACTGTGTAATTTTGAGATATTTGATTCTTAATAGACATAAAAAAAGAAATCCTCTCACCAATTCCATTATCATTAATGGTAATTAATTTCTCTAATCCCAGTCTGAAAACATGGTGGAAGCAATATGCAATGAATTGAATTGATTGATTAGTGGAGTACACAGTTGGAAAGCAGGCCTGACAGCAAGCCAATAATGAGCGCTTAAAGATTTGGCCATGACTTTAGTCCATATATTGCCTCCTGAATATCCAGCAAGTTACCTTACATATAATAAGTGCTCTTGAAATATTTAAATTAATTTCTATACTACAAAATGGGAAATACCTGAATTTGAGGTAGCAACATTATAATTAGTTATACCTCATAATAATAAGAATTTCAATTAGCCAAATTAGAATCTAAGTTAGAGAAAATGATAGTTTGGGGTTCAAGACCTGCTATCGACAATTCTCTGTCCGTTTCCATATTCTGCTATTCATACTTACAAATTGTGTGATCCTGAGAAAATTCCTCATCTGTAAGATGGCTATGATAATAGTAAGGCAGGCCGGCATAGTGACTCATTCCTGTAACCCCAGCACTTTGGGAAGCCGAGGCAGGTGGATCACCTGAGGTCAGGAGTTCGAGACCAGCCTGGCCAACATGGCAAAACCCCATCTCTACTAAAAATACAAAAATTAGCCAGGTGTGGTGGTGTGAGCCTGTAATCCCAGCTACTCAGGAGGCTGAGGCAGAAGAATCGCTTGAACCCGGGAAGCAGGGATTGCAGTGAGCCGAGATCATGCCACAGCACTCCAGCCTGGGTGACAGAGCAAGATACTGTCTCAAAAAAATAATAATAGTAATATTAGTAACTCATAGGGCTATTCTAAAAGTTACAAAAAAGTATGCACAGTCTGGCATATGTCAAACATTCAATAATTGTTAGCTATGATTATTATTGACGTTCTTTACTTATTAAATTATATTTTTCTTATAAAACATAACTATTTAATAATATCTAGCAGAGTAGTTTAAGGAGATGCTTATAAGTTACCAAAAAGAAATGGTTTCTCCCAAAGTCTTATTCCAATAGGTTTTTTTATGTTCCCATTTGCATAGGCAATTGATTTAATCTTTTTTTTTGCCAATTGTGAGCTAGAGTATATCAGAAAATAGGAGAAATATATGTGTGTCTTCCAAATTAAAACCAGGATGTCTAATTTGAGATAGTGTTAAAATACAAATACCATCATGAAAATATCTCTATAACTTTTTGTATCTCAAAATGGAATCAGTTATTTTTCAGAAAAGCTGTACCATCAGTTGAAACTGCATTTACTGTTCTCTTCTGTAGGAAGAAAAAATTTAATAATTCATGTGAGTAGATTTGATTTTGGGGGAGCTTCCACAAACCATCTTAATGAGCTTAATTACTTTGTGAATAGGCAGAAAAAATAATATGTAAGATGGGGGAAAATGTGCCATTCCTGAAGCAATGAGTTTAGAGGAGGAGGCTGGGCATCCTCTCACCTCCCCTAACCTAGTCCTGTGGAGTAGATGACCCCAGTGTGAGCATGAAACTGGCTTTCTAGGGCCGATCAGCAAATTCGTTTCACATCTTTTTTGAGGAGATGTGCGTTGAAAGGCTAGAGTGAAAAGTCAGAAGTATTTCATTCATTGGACAAATAAAATTATTGTACATTTGTGAATGGCATATGCTTCAGATTTCAAAGTAGGAGGAAACACTTACTGTAATATTATGGAGTGATTTTTGCCAAGTGAAGAAAGCAAGGAGCAGAAGAGTTTTATGAAATGCTAAAACTTACTGTAATATTACGGAGTGATTTTTGCCAAGTGAAGAAAGCAAGGAGCAGAAGAGTTTTATGAAATGCTAAAATAAAATATTATTTATCTAAAAGAGGGGGAATAAAAATTATAGGAGCATATTTGCTTATATAAACAGAAAATATTTCTAGAATAGCACATGAGAAATTGGTAACATTGGTTGTTTTTGCAGATGGGACTTGAGTGGTTGAGGGCCAAGGGTGGCATGGAGTCTTTTCAATGCAATCTTTTGAATTTTGAACCATGTGACAGCTCTGCTTATTCAAAAATAAATAAAATTAAAGTAAAACTGAAAGATATTTTTATACTTTTTTTCAACCATCATCTTTTTTTGTTGTTGTGGCTGCTGCCTCTTTTCTCAGTTTTCTTCCAAATATTTTAGTAAATGGCAATGTCTTACAGGATTTCTATACAATTATATTATGTAATAATTGCTCTTCCTAGTGAAAATGTCACATTTCATACTGAAGCCTCTGGAAGCTATGTATAATTCAAGTATTAAACTTGCATCAACATCTTGTATCAGTTTCCTAATATTTACTTATACCTTCTGGTCTGATGTTTTATGAACTTCTTCCTTTTCTGAAGAAACAGAGCCAGGGTCTTCATAGACCTTGAACTGTGATTTATTTTCTTTATCCTAGTTTGACCCACTTCTGCATCTTGAAGACTGCTAACTCTTTGTCGTTGAGGATGAGAAAAAAATAAATTCCTGCTGGCTCTGGGAATATAAATTATAAGAAAGTGAACAAGATAAGTGTGGTGTAGGAAATTGACTTCCCTTTTCTGGATGCAAGCTTTCCGAAGCCTTCTCTTTATGTTTTCTAATGCAAGAATAAAAGAATTAAAAAATTGAGGCAACTTCCTAACTACTGTATTAACAGTTCATTTTATAACATTTTGGATAATTATTTTAAGCTTTTATCACCAAAGTTCTGTTTAGAACCAAAGGGAACAAATTCATACCCTAGAACATTTGGAAATATAAGAAAAATTACAGTTTTACACACATACAGACACACACACACACATACATATGAGATATATATTAAATATGTGAAAATATATATTATAAATATATTTAAATATATACATATATAAATATATATACTTATATATATTTATAATATGTATTTGAGGTTTCATGGTTAAACTCTTATGACAGTTTTATAATATACATCACAAGAATGTATACTGGGGTTTTCTGATGGCTCTTCTTGGCCTGTGGCCTAAAATATTGTATACTTTAGTCACAAGAATTAACATATATTGGTTTGGAAATTATGGATATATATTAGAAAACCGTAGCTACTGGCATACCACTTAATTTGCAAAGTCCTTAAACATAATTTTCTCATCAGATGAAACCACAAGTAAGGTAAGTAAAACCAACAGACATTAGTCAGGGACCATTTACGTATTACCTACTCTGTGTTAGTTACTTTCCATTTCTTATCTAAGTCCTATAATGAATCTGATAAATCATTATTTGTGCTCTCATTTTATAGATGAAGAAATTAAAGCCACAATAAGTAAGTCAGAATTACAATTTTGGGGACAGAAAATTTTATTGGTTTAAATCATGGATAAGGAATCTACCCGTAGTCCAATTAAATGTAGGAATTTGGAGGCAAGACCCGGTATTATGCAATTGCTGGTTGCCATGGCTCAATTTGACAGGTAGTTTTCAGAAAAGGCAGGTGGGTGTGTGGGCTCGTTAGGTACCACAAAATGTTCAGTATGTCATATAGAGTTGCACAGCTGTACCCTGAAATTTAAGTTCCATCATGAGCTTATGAAGCCCCTCTCCCTGGAGGCAGAAATGAGTATGGAGAACATACCAGTCAAACAAAAGGAAGAGCACATGCTTCAGAACCAAGAGCATGTCAAAGATATGGAGCTACTAGAGAATATGTTCAATAAGTGTTTGTTAAGTGACTGAATGCACTAAATAGAATGGTAATATGGAAATACAAGTGTGATGCACGGAAGGCCAGTGTGGAAAGTGTATGGGAAATATTGAAAGGAGTTATTTGATTCAGGATTTTATATGAGTCTGCCACAGTGTTTGGGTGAAAGTTGATGGTGATGAGACCCATCCTTGGACTCTCAGCATGGCGAATAAAAGTTTAGATTTGTCTCTGGAAAGATTATTCTGAAATCAGTGTGAAAACTGGATTTCAGAGGGGGTAAGAGCAGGCAGAAAGATTAATTAGGAAGTTACTAGATTAATTCATACAAGAAGAGTTGAGGATGTGCTAAGACAATCACAGCTATAAAAAAGGAGAGTGACTCAGATATAAAAGCAGAGTTGGGAGGGCTTGACAATCATATCTTCAGGAACAGACAGAGATTACTTAACTACATAATAGACTATTTCCATTCCTCTTTGAACAGGGTAAAGGTGTACAGTTATCCCCTTAACAGAATGTAAATTCCTGGTCCTACAAATGAATTGTCATTTGAGAAAGCGGTTTGCTTTTGCATATTCAAAATGTGTTTTTTGGATCAGTTTATCAATTCTGATCAATTTTAAACAATATAGATCATTTTTAATTTGTTCTCTCTAAAGGTTGAATTTAAAGTCATATCCATCTCCATTTATATCAAGAGTAAATTTTTCTAAGTTTAATGTTGAAAAACACTAAGTCAGCTCCTTTGGTTCCACAAGATAGATTTAAAAAGTGAGTTTTTTTCCTAAGGTTGTCTAAGAGAAAAACAACTTCACAGATTAAATCATGCCTTCATTTAGATCTAAGAGGAAAGTTATGATAATTTGTCTCCATGGAGGCAGAGCACATCTCTGGGACTTAGGCTTTCTTAGCTTGTTTGCTGGACTTTTTTTCCATCTGCTCATTGCTTTCTTGATTTTATATATCTGTGAATGGATAATTATCCCCCACCATTTTTGTCTCCTTACTGTTGACATTCTGTTTTTATCAGACTTGTTTTCCCTTGATTGTTTTCTTATAGCAATCATCATGCAAGAGGGTGATATATTTTTTCATTTAATTATATTCTTTATTATGCAAATTTTAAGATTAATAACGGCACAAGCAGATAAGAAAAAGTCTCTTCAGAGTTTCTGTAGTTATACCCGATAATGACAAATTATTTAGACCAAATCACTCAATTCTCTTACAGACACATTTGAGATCATTAGAAAGAGTTGAATTATCATTTTGGCTAATAATGAGTAGGAGCAAGCATTAATACACAAGAGCCAAGTAGAAGTAAAGTTACTATTAAAATATTTACAATGGTTCAGTGAGATATATTTCTCTAGACAATTAAGACAAAAAATATTCATGTTTTGTCTGAGAAAAACACCTCTGTTGTCAAGATATCAATTATCATTAAATCAATTAATACTTATAAAACCTACATTTTCCTTTTAAATATTTCATATATTAAAATTGTGGCTTCCGGGAACTAATAGATCTTTAAACTTTTTTCCTGAAAAACCTACTTTTGAGTGTCAAAAATTTAAATAGAATAATTTAAATCTGGTGACAGAATGATCAACAAATATTTTTATTATATTTTACAGAAGAATATTTGGAAATCAATTGAAAGAACCAGTTTTTAAACCATCAAAGATAAGGACATTGATTTTTTTTTTTTTTTTTTTTTTTGAGATGGAGTCTCTCCCTGTCACCCAGGCTGGAGTTCAGTGGCACAGTCTTGGCTCACTGCAGCCTCTGCCTCCCGGGTTCAAGCAATTCTCCTGCCTCAACCTCCCTAGTAGCTGGGACTACAGGCGCATACCACTGTGCCCAGCTAATTTTTGTATTTTTAGTTGAGACGGGGTTTCACCATCTTGGCCAGGCTGGTCTCAAACTCCTGACCTCGTGATCCACCTGCTTTGGCCTCCCAAAGTGCTGGGATTACAGGCGTGAGCCACTGCGCCCGGCCAGGACATTGGTTTTAAAAGTTGTTAATTTAGTTATTAAATGAAGCTGTTAATACAGCTTATCTATATGCCACACTGTTCATGCAGAGAATGTATGCTATCATTTATGGAGATCTTCATGATGTAGAAAAATATAAACATTGCAGACACAAGCATAATGCTATATTATATAAAGCATATTGAATGAATTTTCTAATGCTGATATAATAAATTACCACAAATTGAGTAGCTTAAAACAAATATTTGTTATTTTACATTTCCACAGGTTAGAAGTCCAGTAAGGACCTCACTGAACTAAAATCAAGGTGTCAGCAGGACTGCATTTCTTTCTGGAGACAAGAAAGAAGCATGCATTTTCTTGCTTTTTCCAGTTTCTGGAGACTCTACTTTTCCTTGGTTCCTGGCCTCCTCCTCTGTTCAAAGCCAGCAATGGCAGGTTGAGCCTTTCTCCTAGTGCCTCATTTTGACTCTGTCACCCTCTACGCTTTTAACAAACCTTGGGATTATACTGGGCCTACCTGGATAATACAGGATATTCTTCCTGCTTAATGTCAACTGATTCACAAACATCCCCCTTTGCCACATAACTAAACATTCCCAGGTTCCAGAGATTAAGCCATGGGCATCTTTAGGGAGTCATTATTCTGCGTGACACACATACATTGTATGTATTCGCCAATTTGTAATTACGTGTAAATTACATAAAAAGTCGTTTAATTTCTTAACAAGTTACAAAGCATTTCCAATTTATATAAATTTAGTTTTCTTTGAGTAAGTAAATGTTATAGAATTAAACGCAAATTGCCTGTATTCATAAAATAGTAATAATAAAGAGGTATAATGCAGGGAGCAGAGACTTAAGGCAGAACAGAGCATTGAATACTGAGGTCCATTAGGTGCCCAAGGCCCCTCTTTTGAAACTGTCCTTCCCTGAAGACTCTAGCACTGTGGGCATGTGATAGACATGGCAAGCCTGCAAGCTCATCAAATGCCTTCATGGTCAATCTCCCATTGTCTTGATCTAGCTTCCTTCTATTGATAATTTCCTTATCAAATAACCACTTGGCCACAGCCTTGGTTTTTCTCTCCTAAGCTTGCTTGCATGCCTCCTTTCCTTTCCTTTCCTTTCCTTTCCTTCCTCTTCCTCTTCCTCTTCCTTTTCCTTTCCTTCTTTTTCTTCTTTTCTTTGTTTCCTTTCTTTTCTTTATTTTCTTTCTTTCTTTCCTTCCCTTCCCTTCTCCTTTTCTTTCTTTCCATTCTCCTTTTCTTTTCTTTTCTTTTCTTTTCTTTTCTTTTCCTGAGACAGGGTCTCACTCTGTCACCCAGGCCGTAGTACAGTGGTATGACTGCAGCTCACTGCAATCTTGACCCCACAGATTCAAGTAATTCTCCCCTCTCAGCCTCCAGAGTAGCTGGGACTAAAGGTGCATTCCACCACACCTGGCTAATTTTTTGTTTTTGTTTTGTTTTTTAGAAGACAGGTTCTCTCTGTGTTGCCCAGGCTGGTCTTGAACTCCTGGGCTCAAGCAAACCTTCTGCTTCAGCCTCCCGAAGTTCTGGGATTACCAGCATAAACCACCACACCCAGCCCTAAGCATGCTTTTTAATTCTTTACATAGCGAAACTGAAAAATTTTTAAATCTTTATGTTGTTTCCCTTTTGATTATAAATTCTGTCTTTAAATCTTTTATCTTACAGTAGTTTACTGTAAACAGTTAAAATAAATCATGCAGAACCTTGAACACTTTGCTGAGAGATTTCTTCTGCCAAATATCCTAGTTTATTGCTAAGGATATTGTGGAATTCTGCCTTCCACAAAACAACAGGGTATAGATACAATTCATCCACATTCCTCACCACTTTATAACAAGAATGACTTTTCCTCCAGTTTCCAATACCTTGTTCCTTATTTACGTCTAAGTCTGCATCAGAAGCATTTTTTATTTATTTTTCTTTTATTTATTTATTTATTTATTTATTTCATTTTATTTATATTTCTACCAGCATTCTGATCATGACAACTTGGATAATCACTAAGGTGACTGAGGCTCTCTCTACAGCTCTTGTGTTTTTCTGAGCCCTTAACAGAATAGCCTTTAATGCTCTGTTCTTGGCAATCTGTGTGTTTTTTTTCCAGTATGCACCTCCAAACTTTTCCAGCCTCTACCCATTACCAAGTTACAAAGCCACTTCTACATTTTCAGATATTTGCTAAAGCAACAATCCCACCTCTCTGTATGAAATTTTGTCTTAGTTCCTTTGTGCTGCTATAACAAAACACCACAGACTGGGTAATTTTAAAAAAATGGAAATCTATTTCTCTTGATTCTGTAGGCTGGGAAGTCCAAGATCAAGGTGTTTGTAGGATTGATTGGTGTCTGATCAGGACTGTCTTCTTTTTCTACCGTGGTGCCTTCTTGCTGAATCCTCCAGGCAGGAGGAAATCTGTGTCCTCACATGGTGAAGAAGACCCAGGGCAAGAGAGTGCTTTCTTTAGCCTAATATCATTTATAAGGGCAGAGCCCTCATATTTTAGTCATCTCTCAAAGGTCATACTACTTAATGCTGTTGCACTGAGGGTTATGGTTTAAACATGAATTTCAAAGGGGATACCATCATTCAAACCATAGCAGATGGAAAAAAAAAAAGATGCTTGGGAAAAATAATCATTTGGGCTTTCATACTGTCTTTATCAGTTTGCAGTTTTCATCTAGTTTCCCAATCATTTAGCAATATGGTTTGTATCTGTGTCCCCACCAAATCTCATGTCAAATCGCGGGTGTTGGAGATGGGGCCTGGTAGGAGGTAATTGGATGAAGGCAGAGTCCTCATGAATGAGTTAGCACCATCCCCGTAGTGCTGTGATTACACTCATGATTGTGAGTGAGTGAATTATCATGAGATCTGGTTGTTTAAACATGTGTAGCACTTTCCCCCCTTTCTCGCTTCCTTCTGGTCTGGCCATGTGAAGTGGCTCACTCCCCCTTTGCCCTCTGCCATGATTGCAAGCTTCCTGAGGCCTCCCCAGAAACAGAAACCACAATGCTTCCTGTGCAATCTGGAGAACCATGAGCCAGTTAAACATATTTTCTGGGTAACTACCCAGTCTCAGGTATTTCTTTATAGCAATGCGAGAATGGACTACTGCATTAAATTTATGTAAGCTACATAGTTGGAGAATGTAAGCTACATAATTGGAGAAGATTATAGCATGAAGATTAGTACCTTTTTCATCATCTCTTCATTTTAATCATTGTAGTTTTAATATAAATAATTTATTTGGATAAGTAGTTATACAGAAAAATAGTAGATGATTTCTTCAAAAAAATTAATCGTTGAAGTGACATTGTCAATGAGTCATTTGTAAATATTGAGGGGCATTACTATACAACAGGGTTATTATGAGCTGCATCTACAATGCCAGTACAGTAAAACCTAGAACAATTGAGACATGCTATAGATTTGTAGTTTTATGGTTGTATTGATTTATAGAAATTTTGAAGAGGATATTTTTGAGGTTATTCCCCAGAATAATCTTTATGAAAAGCCCTAGGCTTTATTCCTTTAATTCTTAGTGCCAAATAAAGCTTTACCTCTCATGAGTCCCTGGCATAATTTTCTTTTACTGACATTGAATCTTGTGGCTATTCAAGTTTTCTTCTTCCTTAGCTGCCAGGGATCAGAGAATCAAATTTGATATTGACCTCTAGCAACTGAATAAAACATTATGTTATGAATCTTTCTGTCCTAACTTATTCTGGTTTAGTTAACTCTCATTTTTTTCTCCTTTTTTATTTTTATATCATACCATATTATTTATACATATATCTATATAAGTCACATTAAATTATTTGAAGAATAAATATATTAAGACAGTGTGTTGAATTAAATGTTGTGACAACTAAGTTGAAACATTTAAAGTAAAGGTGAATTAAGTGTACAGATGTTAAAATATCAAGATTTTTGTCTCAATTAGCTATGAAGGTCTTCTAAACAATATATTTAGGGGCAATTTTACATATCTGGAAGCAAAGTAAGAATGAGAAAGTATACAAATTCTCTCGCTATAGAATCTAAAAATGTGATGGTCGTGATATTCTGACTTAATATTGTACATGCATAAAATTATTGATTATATTAAATAAATACATTGGATAAAGGGATCTAATAAATTTTTAAAATTACCTTTTCTTTATTGTGACTCTACTGATCTTGTAGTTGTATTAGTGGAATAGCTCAATACTTTTGTGAACATGTATTTTATATTCTACTCCCAATTATTTATTGACATCCTAGAAAATTATACACCTTTTAAAATAACAAATCAGAAATTATAACAGAATTGGGTGGAAATGAAAGAAATAGGCCATCTAATGCATATGTGTGGCTTATCACATTATTTGCCTTTATTACATGAATATTCATCCTGGAGGATGATATTTTAAAATCTAGTAGAGGATAATGATTACTTAAAAAATACTTAAGGATACTCTGAGGTTTAGTAGTTAAAGCTTTTCCTGTTGGAAGAACTACGTGTTACTCTTAACCACATTATTGGCTGGTGGATCTAGCATTAACAACAAATCTTGAACAACAGCCTCACGAGACCTTTGTTGGGTACCCACAGGGAAATCATCTCCCTCACTGTGTCTTGGCTTTAAAAATCCCTAAATATGCATTAGCCAGATACAAGTTTTTCAAAGAAATATGTTCAGCAGAGCAAAACAAGATATAAAATATACCATCAGACATCAAAGAATGTATTGATGCTACCATATGGTGAAAATAAATACTAGTTCTAAACCTCTCAAAAGACAAGTTTGAATGCCTCATCAAGGTCAAAGAAAGTCAATAGATTATCACCTAATAAACTGACAGGTGATCAGGTTTCTCCATCGCTGAACAGGCTTAAGTCCAAAGTATGTACCTATTTTCCCTCTATTTTTTTTACTTTAATTATATTGTATCAGAATTGGTTAAAAAACTAAATTATTCCATATTTGTTTAGTCATATTCAAGGAGCTGTCTTGGAGAACTTTATCAATTATAACTCCTCCAAAAATGTCAAAGCCTCAACACAGTAAAATATACAACAGAAAACCTTGCTTAACATATTTTTCTCTTTTAATGTAAATTGAATGGGCCAAATTTTATGGCCTAATTTGATTTTTCCACGCTCTTATAGACACAGTCACAGTCTCAAAAGAGTTTCATCACATTGAATTAGTGCAAACCAACGTGCATTAAAAGATAGGCATAGCAGAAGTCCTACTTCAGATAAAAACATAGCATTTTCAATAAAAGGATATCTACTTTTCTGCCTAGTATGTTCACAGAGAGACAAATAGTAGGCTTTTGGCATTACACCTTAAGGTCTTAGAGTCAAAAGCTCTATTCTTGTTCAGTGATAGGTTTTAAAATGAAAGAAGAGGATTTTTGTTTTCAATGACAATTGTCAAGGGATATTAAAGGGCCTTGAAAATCCAGAGATAGGCACCCTTACCTGTCTTGTAACATAACACAACTAGCATTAGATCTAATAACTCAGGCTTTAGCTCAAGGCTTTGTGAGTACTGTCACAAGGATCCCTACTGAAAATCGTTTAAGCAAGAACACCTACATCCTGGTTAGTACCTAGCAGAATATTAAAATAGCAAATATTAAAATAATAAGCAAAGCTGTGTTTGCAAGGGAAAGCCAGATAACAGTGTAACAGAAAGCTGAGTGGAGTCTATGGCAGGGATGGATCAGGTGGACCCAGGTTAGATAACCATATACCTTTCACCATTTTTATTTTTATATTTTTATATGGAACTTTTATCATGATATAAGATGGAACATTAATTTTATTTTTCTCATACTGATAATTATGCATTAATCAGCATCTCTATTTTTCCAAATGTAAGAATTTTAACATATTTTTATTTACTTAAAACTATCCCTTTACACTATTATTTTGTACTGATAATAATGTCATGAAATTATTATTTGTATGTGTGTGTGTGTGTATATATATATATATATAAGCTAAATTGGCAAGTGTGATCTATTGATTCTTGCATGAACTAATTTTCCCTAAGTTTTTAAAGAAGTAGATATTGTAGTAGTTCTTTCATCTAAAATCTATGGTTGGTAAAGTTTATAAATTATTGCATGCCTGAGGGCGTATTTATTCCACATTTATTTTCGAATAGTATTTGTGGCTAAAGAACTTCCAGCTAATTTTTTTCCTTATACTTTCGAGATACTATTTCACATGTCTTTTTGCATCTATTGTTTCTGATATTTTGTTCTCATTTTTTTCCGGTAACTTACTGCCCTCTGATGCTTTTTAGCATTTTGTCTTTATCTTTGATGCATTCAAGTTTCACCAAGCTGTAGTTAGTGTGTGGGTTTTCTTTTATCGATCCTGCTTTTGAACTCATGTTTTCCTTATATTCCTACAATTCTTCGTACTTATTTTGTCACATATAGCATTTTATCCTTTCTCTTTAGTTCTTTGGATCTCTAAAAGATTTGGAATATTGGAAAGTATCCTCTATACTCTGTAGTTTTATATTTCTATCTTAGCTCCTGGTCTGGAAAGTGAACTAAACAGATAGGAAAATCTTCTCTTCCACCACATGCAAGATAAAATATTTTAAGATATGGAAGAGGACAAGAACTCTTCCCATTCCAGAAGCAAGAATAAACACTTAGATAAAGGTATAGGCAGGAGTTATAGCCACACATCTCACAGGATTGACAAGGCTGCTATTATATATTCTGCTTCTAAGGTTTTAATGCCTATATCGTGTTGCAATTGCAAGAATAGTAGAAAATTGAAAGTGGCTCCCTACATAAACAAGCAGTCAGTAAAATATTGTGTTAACCAAAAGTAAGTATTGAAAATTTTATTCCCAGTAGTTTAAATTTAACATGTATGTAAAAATAGGGAATGTTTCCAACATAAAACTGCACAGATTATTCATGGAATCTTAAAATACGTTATCTTCATGTTGCAAAACTCATGAACTGAGAAACAAATATAAAAACTGATATATAATCATTGAATAAATGCAAAACCATTCACAATCAAGGCTCTGTAGGCTGAGACCTGTCTAAGATTCCCTGTAGAAAATGTCCACAAACAGGGAGCTAACAGACAAATGATAAATCATTTCAGAAAGTAAAATACTAAGAAAGTACACAGATTTAACATACAGAATTTGAAACCTAGTGTACCTGTGAAGGTAAAGTCTAAGTTTCTATCCCAAAGAGAATTAAAAATGCAGTGTTTTAAGTAATCCACACTAGCAAAACAATTCTTCCATATGCCTACTTTGAATTCCAGGTTCTGTCCATCTTGTTATGCAGTGGCTGACACTGAATAACTCTTACTTGGGGCTCTGGGGTTTTGAGAAACTCTTTCTCACTAGAACACATGAAGAACTAAGCATTTTCAGGGGGAATAAGGTAATCATAGGCTTTGGCCACCCTGGCTTGATACGTTATTAAGGGCACAATTCCGTCTTAGGGAATTGTACTGTTAATTTACGGTTGTATTTGCTCAGCTTACTCCTCCTTTCTTTCTTTTTTTTTCTTTATACTTTAAGTTCTGGGATACATGTGCAGAACATGCAGGTTTGTTACATAGGTATACACGTGCCATGGTGGTTTGCTGCACCCATCAAACCATCATTTTATCATTGCAGTGGTCGCTGTTTTCTGGCTCTGCAAAATAATAGGCTTATTTGGAACAATATACTGAATCTGATATTTGCACCAGGGAGATCCCTTTATTTGGCTGAAAAGTCTTAAAGCCTTTGAGAAAGGTGCTGAACATGACTTATTCGGGGGAACAGAAGCAGTTGGATCTTTCAGCCTTGAAAGAGTCTAAAGATGTGGATTCTGTTTTTTCCAATTTCTGCATATAACCCTTCAAGTTTTTATTGAGTTTATTGTATAAATATTTGGCAAGAAAAGAAAGGTGGAACCAACCTACCCAAAAATTCTGTTTTTTATTTGTTTTTTTTTCTAATCACTTCACTTTAGTGAAGGCTTTTTCTCTTGCATGCATTCTGCTTTCCACATTAGGGAAGGCAACATTGTAATAGATTATTTCTATGGCATAACAAGAACTGGCAGCTCTCCAACCTGCTATATTTTTTTCTTACCATCCATTACTTGCCCTCTATGTCAATGCCATATAATTTAGATCTTTACCATGGAGCGCTCTTTCAGGTTAAAAAAAAATCCCATTTTAGTATAGTAAAGGTTACCAAAGCAAAACGATACAAAATGCAGCAGGTTAAATGATATAAAAGTGTTTTTCTCTCTCATGTAACAGGGGAGTGCTACCGTTTGTGGGGGTCTCTCTGTTTGATATGGTCATTCCCAGATTCACGTTCCTTTATTTATGTTTTCCACTGTTTACTAAGATGTTTGCACTTCTGATTTTCCAAAACTGGGTTACCCTGTATCTAGATTCCAGACTACATGTTTTAAAGGCAGCACCTAGAAGTGTATACATATATATGTATATATATAAATATATGTGTGTGTGTATATATATGCAAATTTCAGATTCATGTTATGGGAGCATGTGGGGTAGTTTAGTTCCTGGTTTGTATTTTCCTTACATGCTATAGACTGAAACTCAGCTACATGGCTGTACCTAACTGAAAAGAAAGCTAAACTATACAGTCTCTAACTGGACATCATGTTCCTGCTTAAATTTGTGGCTCTGTAAATTCAAGGAAAAAGCAAAGAATGGATACTAGGGAACTGTTGGCTGTCTCCACCTAGGACCTAAAAAAGTTGAGCACTCTTAAAGTGCATTTAGAATAAGTATAGTTAAAATGTTGATATAAGTATATCACAAAAGAAAATAATATTAGGCTTCAAGGGACAAAGAACTTTAGCTCTACCTAAATGTGTTCAATGAGAAAAAAAAATAGACTGAAAGTTTGATGTCTTAAGACTAATTACCCAGTAAAAAAAAAATAAACCTGTAAAATGTCTACTGCCACTTACAAAAGTGGTATTAAAACTCAGGGATTTGTGGATTTACCAGGAAACTATATTTTATGAAGGTAATAAACACATCTTTGATAAGCATTTTGGTACTAATTCTATCTTTTCCCTCTCCATTCTATTTTTCTGACTCCTCTTCAAACTCCTGTGCCCTCTAAGGGAGTGTTTACCAAGCATGATGCTCATTCTCTTTTTTCTCTCCATTGCCAATTTCAACTACTTTTAATCTGTCAACTGTCATTTTAATGTAAATGATTGCCAAATATACATTCCTAGTCGCAATTTCATTTTTGAGTTCCTGTTATGTATTTCAAACTTTTCTTTAAGAAGTTTTTACATATTTACCACAAATAACATAAAATACATTGTGCTGCAAAACCCACTAATGCTTTCTTTAAAAAATATGTTCGATTGCTCAGTATTCCATTTTTCCACTAAGGGCTGCTCCATTTTTCTATTAGTCAATCATGAAATGATTCATTCATTCATCAAATATATATTTAATAGCTACTGTAAGATTGGCATTGAAGATTAAATGGAGAATGAGACTAGTAACATTTCTGTACAAGAAACTTAATATTTATGTTTGATAGAACAATATATTACACAATTCCAGATTTTGTGTGTTGGGGGCTGCTTGCCTGTGTGCATGCTCTGTAGAAATAAATGTTGTGCTGTGATGGGAATCTCCAGGGGGAACTGGAGGTTTTGTCAGGGGAAGTCTACTCTACAGGGACCACTGAAGCTAGTATTTAAGGGTAGCTATTAAAGACCCCAACAAATGTGTTTGGAACAGAAGATAAAGTAAACATAAAGATTCTGACATGAGAAATAGCTTTTTATTTTGTTCTAGGAAGAGAAAAAGGGTCAAAATAACTGGAATGCAAGAAAGAATGGCATGAAGTCAGGTGGAAAGCATGAAAACCTTGAAGGTAGAATTTGGATTCAATTCTAAGTATGAAAAGCAATCTTCCCTGGAGATATAAATCTGTGAATCATAATCATCTAAGTCCTGATAATAAGTGAAATTGCTTAGAGAGAGATTACAGATAATGAAAAGCTTCTAGGACAGAAGTCTAGTTTTCTTCACTATTTAGTGGTTGATGTGTAAGATCTCCCAGAAAAAAAAAAGAAAAAGGTTAAAAAAGAATTTTCAGTAGGACAGGATGATAATGGGGAGAATAAAGGTAAGAGCAATTCAAGGAGAAATAGTCAGCTGAATCTTATGATACTAAATGAGAATAAAGCTAACGTCCACTGGATTGCCAAAATGGAAAGTCACTCATGACTTTGCAAAACTATATTTGGCAGAGAGGGAGGATGATTTATTTAAGGTATACCAATTTAATTTTTCATAATTATATGGAAATCTTTCTAAAATAATTTCTTACTGTTGTCTTAAATTTAGCAATCTTTTCCTAAAAGCACAATCATCATTAGGTATATTAACTCTTATATTATTTGTTATTGCTGCAATTTGATGTTATGGGAGAAGGTGGGGTAGTTTAGCACCATCTATCACTAGATAGTGATGGATGCGTGTGTATATGTCTGTGTGATGTTTGTTTGCTTGAAATGTATTTGCTTTTAAGCTTTTTCATTCCCTTCTCTTAATGTTAAGCTACATAGTATGACTCTTTGCTGTCTTTGGTGGCATAGTTAAATAAATATATACTTGATTAAAAATGTAAAATAACTGGACTCAAGTTTCAATTGATATATGTATAATTTTGTATAATTTGTTGAAGAGGTTAAAGCAAGTTATCTCACTAGTAAAAATCTCATCACATCTTTTAACAAAATGGTTGTGAGAAGCAAATAAGGTCTGTGAAAGCATCAGTGAAACCACAAAGCACTATATACTTATAGACACTGGTATTCAGCTGAATATTACTTATTCTATTAGGTTGGTGCTGCAAAAGTAATTGCGGTTTTTGCCATTAAAAGCAATGGCAAAAACCACAATTAATTTTGCACCAACCTAATAGAAACCCCTTCTCTTCTTAAATAATTTACTCTTTGCATTCTTGGAGCTAGAAATTTCAATGATATTTATTATCATCAGTCTAAAATAGAGGCCAAAGGAATTCTTGCTTAGTGTTAGCTACAAAGATTATTTTGACAAATGCTCCTACTCCTCCCCTATCTTAACAGTGTTGTAGGTTGTTAAGGTTGTCTCTAAGTGACCTCTGGAAGTGAAAGGTTGCTTGCTGTGCTCAGGCTTTGCCAAATATTATGTAACAGGATTCACAAAATATGAATGGCATTTGTGCCTTTTATTGCACTGTTATGTCTTCTCATTTAATTCTCAAGACGATAGTGCAATAAAGAAGAAATAAGCTATATCAGTGGCAGCTATTGCTAAAATACTGGTTTTCTAAATCAAAATACCAGCCTCATGGGCCCAGGAGCTTTGTAGTACAGTTTTTATTCCAGAAAATAATTGTTGAATATGCTAAAAGAACAAAATCAAATTACCTAAACAATTGTCAGAGTGATACATATAATGGTAGATTTTTTTCTCTTGTGTGTTTATTTGCATAAAACTTTATGCCAGTGCTCCTGTGAAATAGATATTTAAAGTGTAGAAATCTTATTATGAGTTAGTATTTAAATATAATTTTCAATTTTAATTAACTGGGAAGAATAAACACCTATTAAATGACCTCCTAAATCTGGAAATAACAAAATAGACCAGAGTTAATTAAAGTTTAGAGTGTCACCAAGTCCATGTGTCTTCTTTCTCAGTTTGTATCTTTTCTTACGTTTCCAGTGAAAAAATATCTCAAAGATTTATAATCCAGATGAAAACAATCTAAGGCTTTAATCTACACAGTTTTTGAAGTTGTTTGTTTACCTACAACAGTATTAGGGCAGAGACAGTAAACTCCAAAATATGGTGACAGTTTTGAAATTATCATTATAAGTAGTATTTGGGGGAGAGAAAGATACACATGACATTTAGAACTTTTCCTTCATCTAGGCGAGTATGTCAACATGTTGGCCTAACAAGGTACAAATATAATGTTACACACTATTGTTAAAGGCCTAATATGCCTAAAAGTGAGATTTTGCTTTTTGCCTGTTTTAGTTTTCCTTACATTATCAGAGGATTCAGTGAAAATTAAACTTTGTAAATTTTTATGACAACTGAATTAATCTTTAGAGATAAGCTAGAACCATATGGCAATCTATACAAGTTAACAAAATTTAAAGTTTGCAAAGAAAATCTGAATGGTGGCCAGTCTAACCCTAATAAAGTTCTAAAAGCCTCACTGATAAGTGACTGTCATGTATGTAAAAATTTTTATTAAGGTCACTGCCTAGAAGGAACTGAACCCCTTATTTATCTAACTTTGTTTGTTTGTTTCTGTTAAGCAAAAGCAAAATAATAATAATAATAATAATAATAATAATAATAATAATAATGGCTAATGACTGGGTAGGGTTTTGAGAACATTTAGGTACCCCTGAGACCAGAAGTTAAGAATAGATACTTCAGAAATAAGGAGAGAAATATTATGAAGAGATGACAATAAATGTTAATTTTCTCTTTCTAGTGTTAAGTACTGTGTTTATAATGCACTACAAATTCACACTCCTTTCTGACACTCCTTCTCAGGTTTCGCCATGTTGTCATCTTTAAAAAATATGACATCGAAGCCACCAGCCTTCAGAAGATCTGGGAAAAGCACCCACAACAACTGATCCTTTTTACCCTTAATTCATTGGGAAAGCAGTGTGTTAAAAAGTTTTATAAAATATCTGTCAAAGTTTTCTTGTCTTCATCTCAATCTGGATTACATTAAATACATTGCAGATGTGGTTGTTAGATTTCTAATTTATTTTTTAATAATCACCAGCTTTATATATTAATATATAGTCCATAATGGTGTTTTAATAGAAATCAGAATATGTATTTGTGTTCCCCTAAAGTAAATAGAGTTTAATGCCTCTTGTTTATGTTTATGTCACTAATTTTCCTCTAAATTTTAAAAATTACCAAAATGAACACAGTCGTTAATCTCATTGTTTAGAAAAAGAATTAAGTCACAAATAACAAAATGGTTATTTTTATGAAATCAGAGTGTGGCAGGTAGAAAATATTTGAAGAAAATTTCCAATAATTTATATTCAGCCATAGCTCTTTAGTTGCTATAGGACTTGAGTAAAAGTTTCCCTTAAGCTTTATTTTTCTTCCAGGGGTGACATAAAGCATTCCACTATAGTGAAGCATATTTGTTTTTATTTCCTGGATGGAGAGTGAGGCCAATGTCTAATAAGGCTATTTAGGCTGAAAAAGGAAGACAAATAGCAAATAATTCATAATATGTAGAATAATAAAAGAAGAAAGAAACCTAATTATTTATTTATTGTCTCAAAACTTTAAAATTCTATAAAATGTGGTCAATGGTGGAATTAAAATTGAGTGAATAACTTCAAGGTAAACAATGTAAAATGCGTATGTATAAATTAATTTCCAGACTTTAATTATTTACTTAAAATAGGTTAAAACCAATATGTTCAAATTTGTAAGATGCTTTATAGATTGTCAGTACAATTGAAACTTCAGATAATTTCATTCTCAAATTCATACTTAATTTTTCAACTAACATCTTAGGTATCTATAATGTCATTATTTGCACAAGGAAACAGAGCCCTTAAATAGCTTGCCATTTACTTGAGGCTAAAAATGTATGAATAACATGATACAGGTAAGAATGGTCTGAGTTTTAACCCATTGGTCTTTCTAGTACATCAGATTGATACTTCATCACATTATTTTTCTATTCAAATTTTTAATTCAAGATTCAAAGCAATTAAGGTATGACTTTCGGATCTGATGGAATGGAAAGGCTAGCAAATTCTATACCCCCAAAATGAGTATAAAACTCAACAAATTGTCAAAAACAGCCATTTTGGGGCCCTGGAAATTGAAAAAAATTCAAATGATAAATTGAGTAGTATTAGCACACAAAAAGCTGCTAGAATTTCAGGTAGGAATGGTTAGATTCTGCATCTTTTTGTGTGAAGCTGCTCCCATCCCTCTATACCTACCTTAGGGGACATCTGCGAAACTTCTCAGCACAAAATGACTCTGTCCAAACCTAAACCTCTACACTAAGAACCTGGACCAAACTCTAGCATGGGCTTCCTGAAACAGTGAGCTGTGTCACTAAGATATCCCCACCCGCTTTGAAACGCCTACCTGAAAAAGCTTGCAATTATCACTCCTTTCTCTTCCCCTTGGAAAACTTGAACATATTGGTTTTAATCTATCTTTCCCCTTGGAAAAGAAGGGAGTTATACCACTCAAAAATGTCTCTTCAAGGACCTTGGAGCCCACCCTTTGAAACAGAAACATGCAGGAAGATGGCTCTTGCTTTCTAACCTTCCCATCCCTGTGGAAAGGTAACGGCCCTACTGTGTTGAGTGCTTTGCTCCAACTTACACAACTGGCTCTTTCATAACCATAGGAGAAGTTTCCCTCTTCTCCAGATAAAGCACCAATTAACAAACCCAAATGGCCTAATCACATGGATCCCTTTGCCCTCTTCATACCCTTCCCTCTCTTTTCCTTACCACATCTCAGTATTTAAAAGTTCTCTCATCTTTTGTTTTAGAAAAATCAAGCCTAGTTTTACACTGAAGTCTCTGTCTGCTACTACAGTAGAAGGTGAATAAAATCTGTCTTTATAGCCTTTAACAACTTTCTAGTTTTGTTTCTCCGTAATGGCACAGCAGATTTTTAAGGATGAGGCTAACTCTAAACCAGTAGCGTTGCTGTCAGAGGAGGATGAATTGACTTGGAACAGAAAACAAAAATCCACACCCAGCAGCATTGTTAGTATAAGCAGCAAAATTCATAGGAAGCACATAGGGTTTCTGGTTGAGGTGAGTGGTAGAGAGTCCAGAAATTTTAAAAAGATATCATATAGTTAATCAGAAATCTACAGAGGGAATAGATAAGCTCTCCATATATACCTGAATGACCGGGAAACTACAGGCATGTGCTGGTAACACCCAGAAGAGCTCCAATACAAAGTAAAACCTGAGGCAGATATTTAAATTGCTTAAACATCAAATGAATGTCTCAACCCACACATTAATCTACACCCGTGAGGTAGAAGTTTTATAAGCTTGAAGATATTGCTCTGTCTAATCACTGGTTAACTACTAGGCTATGCAGACACAGGAGCAACCCCTAGGAATTTAGAATTAAAAATGAAAATGAGACAAAAATTACTGAGTGGAGACATCAGTGGTTGTATTTCTCAGGACAAATAATTTGCAGATTAAATACAGCCAACTTTTAAAATTTCAGAAAAAAGGGAGAATCTGGAGATTATACGACATAATATCTAAGGATATACTTCTCAAAAAATTATGAGTGAAAAATATTAAAAAAAAAACTCATCCTCAGAACACAAAAGTAGTAAATAGAAATGAACTCTGAGTGTGATCAGATGTTGGATTTAATAGAAAATGCTTTCAAAGCAGTTATAATAAATATGTTCAAAGAACAAAAGAAAATGTTTTAAGTATTGAAAAATATGTTTTAAGTATTGAAAAATAATTATAATAATAAGACAAATATAGAATTTCAGTAAGGAAATAGAGACTATAAAAGGAAAGAAAATAGAATATCTAGAGTTGAAAATAACAATTATCAAAACAGAAGATATACTAGAAGAGCTTAGCAGCTAATAAAATAGGCAGAAGAAAGATAATTGAACATGAAGATAGATCAACAGAAATTATCTAATCTGAAGAACACAGAAAAGTTTGAAGACCTAACACTTACAAATACATACACACCTAATAAGAAAATAGCAAGTACCTGAGGAAAAAAATTAACAGGATTGAAAGGAGAAATAGGAAATCACCAATTACATTTGCAGATTTCAGTATTACCTTCTCAGTAATTGAGAGAGTAATAAAACAGTAAATCAGCAAGGATATAGAGTTTGTTTGTTTCTTTCTTTCTTTTTCTTTCCTTCTTTCTTTTTTTGCTTTGAGACAGAGTCTCGCTGTTACACAGGCTGGAGTACAGTGGCACAATCTCAGCTCACTGCAGCCTCCTCCTCCCAGAATCAAACAATTCTCCTGCCTCAGCCTCCCAAGTAGCTGTGATTACAGGTTCCCACCACCATGCCAGCTAATTTTTGCATTTTTGGTAGAGATGCGGTTTCCCCATGTTGACCAGGCTGGTCTCAAACTCTTGGCCTCAAGGGATCTGCTTGCCTCGTCCTCACAATGAGTGCTGGGATTACAGGCATGAGCTACCATGCCTGGCCAGATTTTTTCAATTGATCTAGGTAACATATATAGAACATTTCACCCACTGATTATTGAATACACATTATTTACAAGCACACATGAAATATTCTGAAGGATAACCCATACAATTTTTAAAATTTAATGAAAATACAATATGTCTCGTAGGATACAGCTAAAACATGAGTTAAAATGGAAACTCAAAGCATTAAACAACTATATAGAAAAGAAGAAAGTCCTCAAATCAATAACTAAGTTGTCATCTTAAGAAACTAGAAAGATAAGATCAAAGGAAACCCAAAGCAAGCAGGAGAAGGAAAACATTAAAATCGGTGAAGATCAATAACAGAAAACATTTTAAGAGACAGAGAGAAATTGATAAACTCAGAAGTTTTGTTTTTTTGAGAAAAAAATTGATAAAAATAAATAGGACAAAGATTTCCAAAACCAGTAAATAGAGGATATCACTGCCAATATTAAAGAAATTAAGAAGGGAATATTATGAACAAAGTTTTGGCAACAAATTAGACAACTTAGATAAAATTTTTGAAAAAGACATTAACTTTCAAAACTAATTTTAGGAAATTTAAACAGGCCTATAACAAGTAAAGACATAAAGGTGGTAATTCTATTTTATCTTATTTTACTGATTTTTAATTATTATGGGTACATAATTTTACATATTTTGGGGGCACATGTGATATTTTGATACAAGCATACAATGTGTAATAATTAAATCAGGGTAATTGGGGTATCCATGACCTCAAGCACTTATCACTTTTTTGTGTGTTACGAACATTCCATTTTCACTCTTTTAGGTATTTTGAAATATATAATAAATTATTAGCTATAGTTGCCCCATGGTGCTACCGAAAACTCGATCTTATTTATTCTAACTGTGTTTTGCTCCATTAACAACCCTCTTTTAGTCTTCTCTCCTCACACCCTTTTCCAACCTCTGAAAACCATCATTTTTGGCAATGTAAGTGTTTTGAGAAATGGGAATGTTTTGAGAAAGTTCTGTTCCTTGAGGTGTGACATTAGGTTGTCATTTGTGCTCTTTCAAATTTTTTGATGTAGATGCTTAACACTATGAACTTTTCTCTTAACATTGATTTTGCTGTATCCCAGAGATTTTAATAAGTTGTGTCACTATTATCATTCACTTCAAAGAATTTTCAAATTTCCATCCTGATTTCATTGTTAACCCCAAAATCATTCAAGAGCAAATATATATATATATATAACCTCTCACATATTAGTAAGAACATGCAATGTTTGCCTTTCTGTGCCTTGCTTAGTTCATTTGATGTCCTCCAGTCCCATCCATGTTGCTACAATTGAAGGGATTTTGTTCTTTTTTGTGGCTGAATAATATTCCATGCTTTATATGAACTATATTTTTTATTGCATTCATCCATTGATGGGAACTTAAGTTGATTTTATATCTTGGCTATTGTGAATCATGCTGCGATAAACATGGAAGTGCAGATATCTCTTTGATGTACTGATTGTCTTTCTTTTGAGTAAGTACCCAGTAATGGGATTTCTGGATTATCAGGTAGTTCTATTTTTAGTTTTTTGAGAAACTTTCACATGGTTCTCCATAGGGGCTGTATTAATTTATATTCCCCAAAACAATGTATGAGACCACATACTAACCAGCATTTGTTGCCTGTCTTTTGTATAAAAGCCAGTTTAACTGGTGTGAGATGATAGTTCATTGTAGATTTTATTTTCATTTTTCTGATGATTAGTGATGTTCAGCATTTTTTCATATACCTGTTGGTCATTTGTATATTTAGTTTTGAGAAACATCTTTTCAGATATTTTGTCCATTTTTAAAATCATGTTATTTTTTTCTATTGAATTGATTGAACTCCTTTTTAATTCTGGCTTTCAATAACTTGTCAAATGGTAGTTTGCAAATATTTTCTACCACTCTGTGGGTTACCTGTTCATTCTATTGATGTTTCTTTGGCTGTGGATAAGCTTTTTGGCTTGGTATAATCTCATTTGTCCATTTTAGCTTTGGTTGTCTGTGTTTTTGATGACTTATTCAAGAAATGCTCAGACCAATGTCCTGAAGTGTTTCCTGAATGTTTTCTCTAGTAGTTTCATAGTTTCAGGTCTATGATTAAAGTCTTTAATCCATTTCAAGTTGATTTTGCTATATGGTAAGGGGAGTCTAGTTTCATTCTTCTATATATGGATATCCAGTTCTCCCAGCACTATTTATTGAAGAGACTTTTCTTTCCCCAATGTATGGTCTTGGCACCTGTGTTAAAAATGAGTTCATTGGAAATGCATTGATTTATTTCTGGGTTCTCTATTCTCTTCCATTGGTCTGTCTGTTTTTAATTATTGTTTTTTAATTTCAATAGTTTTAGGGATACAGATGATTTTTGGTCACATGGGTGAGTTCTCTAATGGTGAATTGTGAGATATTCATGCACCCATCACTCGAGCAGTGTACACTGTACCTAATATGTATAGTATTTTATCCTTCATCCCCTTCCCAACCTTCCCCACTAAGTCACCAAAGTTCATTACCTCACTCCATATGTCTTTGCATCCTCATTGCTTAACTCCCACTTATAAGTGAGAACATATAGTATTTGGTTTTCCATTACTAAGTTACTTCACTTAGAATAATAACCTCTAGCTCCATTCAAGTTGTTGCAAAAGACATTATTTAATTCCTTTTTATGACTGACCAGTATTCCATGGTGTATATATACTGCATTTTCTTTATTCACTCTTCAGTCAGTGGGCACTTAGGTTGGTTCCATAGTTTTGCAATTACAAATTGTGCTCCTATAATCATGCTGTATGTGTGTCTTTCTCATATAATGATTTATTTTCCTTTGGGTAGATATTCAGTAGTGGGACTGCTGGTTCAAATGATAGATCTACCTTTAGTTCTTTAAGGAACCTGCATACTGTTTTCCATAGTGGTTGTGCTAATTTACATTCCCACCAGCAGTGTAAAAATGTACCCTTTTCACCACATCCACGACAACATCTATTGTTTTTTAACTTTTAAATTATGGCCATTCTGGCAAGAGTAGTTTTAATTTGCATTTCCTTGATGATTAGCGATGTTGAGCATTTTTTCATGTTTGTTGGCTGTTTGTATATCTTCTTTTCAAAAATTTCTATTCATGTCCTTTGTCTTCTTTTTGATGGGATTATTTGTTTTTCTTTTGTTAATTTGTCTGAGTTTCTTGTAAATTCTGGATACTAAATTCTTTGTCAGATGCATGGTTTGTAAATATTTTCTCCCATGCTTTAGGTTTTCTGTTTACTCTGCTGATTGTTTCTTTTGCTGTGCAGAAGCTTTATAATTTAATTAGGTCCTATTTATTTATTTATTTTTACATTTGCTTTTGGGGTCTTAGTCATGAATTATTTGCCTAGGCCACTGTCTAGAAGTATTTTTCCAATGTTATCCTCAAGGATTTTTATGGTTTCAGGTCTTAGATTTAAGTCTCTTATCTATCTTGAGTGAGATGGGCATCTAGTTTCATTCTTCTACATGGCTTGCCTGCTTTAAAGAGAACTTTTACCTCCTTGGTTAAGTATATTCCTAGGTATTTTATTATTTTTGCAACTGTTGTAAAAGTGATTGAGTTCTTGATTTGATTCTCAGTTTGTTGTTGGTGTATCGCATTGCAATAATTTGTGTTGCTGATTTTGTAACCTGGGACTTTACTGAATTTGTTTATCAGATATAGGACCTTTTTGGATGAGTCTTTAGGGTTTTCTAGATATGCAAACATATCACTGGTTAATAGCAACAGTCTGACTTCCTCCTTTACAATGTGGATGCCCTTCATTTCTTTCTCTTGCCTAATTGCTCTGGCCAGGACTTTCAGTACTATGTTGAATAGCAGTGGTAGAATGGACATTTTTATCTTGCTCTAGTTCTCAGGGGGAATGTTTCAACTTTTCCCAATTTAGTATCATGTTGGCTGTGGGTTTGTCATACATGGCTTTTATTATCTTGAGGTAAGTCCCTTCTATGCCTAGTTTGTTGAGTGTTTTTATCCTAAAGTGCTGCTGAATTTTATTAAATGCTTTTTCTGCATCTATTGAGATGATCATCTGGTTTTTGTTTTTAATTCTGCTTATGTGATCTATCATATTTATTGACTTGTGTATGTTAAACCATCCCTGCATCATGGGATGAAACCCACTTGATCACTATATATTATCTTTTTGATGTGCTGTTGGATTCAGTTACCTAGTATTTTGTTGAGGATTTTTCTATCTAGGTTTATAAGGGATGTTGGTCTGTAGTTTTCTTTTTTCTTTTTTTTGTTATGTCCTTTCCTGGTTTTGGTATTAGGGTGATATTCACTTCATAGAATGATTTAGGGAGAAATTCCTCTTTATCTTTTGGAATAGTTTCAGTAGGATTTGTACCAATTCTTTTTTGGATATCTTGTAGAATTCACCTATGAATCCATCTGGTATTGAACTTTTGTGTTGGCAATTTTTTTTTAATTACTGATTTCAGTCTTGCTGCTTGTTGTTGGTCTGCTTAGGGTTTTTACTGCTTCCTGATCTAATCTAGAGTGTTATATGCTTCCAGGAATTTATTATTTTATCTTTTTTCTCTAGATTTTCTAGTTTGTGCATGTAAAGATGTTCATAGAAATCTTGAATGATCATTTACATTTCTGTGGTATCAGTTGAAATATCTCCAGTTTTATTTTTGGATCTTCTCTCTTCTTTTTTTGGTTAATCTTGTTAATGGTGTATCAATTTTGTTTATCTTTTCAAAGAACCAGCTTTTTGCTTCATTCACCTTTTGTATTTTTTTGTTTCAATTTCATTTAGTTCTGCTCTGACTTTTATTATTTCCTTTCTTCTGCTGGCTTTGGGATTAGTTTGATCCTGTTTCTCTAGTTCCTTAGGTGTGACATCAGGTTGCCACTTGTGCTCTTTCAGATTTTTTAATGTAGACATTTAACATTATGAGCTTTTCTCTTAACACTGCTTTTGCTGTATCCCAGAGGTTTTAATAAGTTGTGTCACTATTATCATTCACTTCAAAGAATTTTCAAATTTCCATCTTGATTTCATTGTTAACTAAAAAATCATTCAAGAGCAGATTATATAATTTCCTTGTAATTCTATAGTTTTGAGGGTTACTTTTGGAGTTGATGTCCAGTTTTATTTCACTATTGTCTAAGAATATACTTGATATAATTTCAATTTTTTAAATTTATTGAGACTTGTTTTATGGCCATATGATAATACAGCCTATCTTGGAAAATGTTCCATGTGCAGGTGAGGAGAATGTATATTCTGCAGTTGTTGGAAATAATGTTCTGTAAATATCTGTTAAGTCCATTTGTTTTAAAGTATAGCTTAAGTCCACTGTTCCTCTGTTGAATTTCTATCTTAATGATCTATCTAGTGCTGTCAGTGGAGTATTGAAGTTCTCCCACTATTATTGTGTTGCTATCTCAGATCTTAGGTCTAGTAGTAATTGTGTTATAAATCTGGGATCTACAGTATTTGTCACCAAGTAAGTTGTTACCTACATTATATGGTTTTATAATTGTATTGTTGTTTTATAGGCCCTATGAGTTTTATGCTTCCAGAAGGATTTTTTTTTTTCTGGTGAATATCAAGCTTTTGTTTTAAGATTTAGAACTCTTTTTTAGCATTTTTTGTAGTGCTGGTTTGATAGTGACAAATTCCCTCGTCATTTGTTTGTCTGAAAAATACTCTCTCTCTTTCATTTATAAAGCTTAGTTTTGCTGAATACAAAATTCTTGGCTGACAATTATTCTGTTTAAGGAGGCTACAGATAGTTCCCCAAGTCATTCTAGCTTGTAAGGATTCTTCTGAGAAGTCCGCTGTTAGTCTGATAGGTTTTTCTTTATAGGTTACCTAATGCTTTTGTCTCACATCTTTTATAATTCTTTCTTTTGTGTCAACTTTAGATAGCATGCTAACTATGTGCTTTGGTGGTAATTTTTTTTGTTATAAATTTTTCAGATATCAGTTTTCAAACATTTAGCATTTTCTTATCTCTCAGGAACACCAATTATTCTTAGGTTTGGACATTTTACATAATCCCATATTTCTTGTAGACTTTGTTCATTTCTTTTGATTCTTTTTTCCTTATCTTTGTCTGATTTGGTTAATTCAAAAGCCTTGTCTTTGAGCTCTAAAATTCATCTTCTACTTGTTGTAGTCTATTATTGAAACTTTCTACTGCATTTTGTATTTTCCTATGCACATCTTTCATTTCCAGAAGTTCTATTTGGTTTTCTTTATGCTGTTCGCCTCTCTGAAAATTGTTTCATTTATATCCTGCATTGTTTTTTAAATTTCTTTATGTTTGTTTTCACCTGTCTCTAGTATTTCCTTCAGTAGCTTAATAATCAGCTTTCTGAATTCATTTTCTGGTATTTCAAATATTTCATCTTAGTTTGGACCAATTGCTACAGAGGTAGTGTAACCTTCTGCGTTGTTATAGAACCCTATTTTGTCATATTACCAGAATTACTTTTCTTGTTTCTTCTCATCTGTGTAGACTTTCTTCAAATTGTTCTTGAATTGATTTTTTATTTGACTATGGTTTTTTAAATTTCTTTTTTTCCCTCTTAAGCATGTGATTTTAATGTTTATAGTTTATTATAGACTAATTTGGTTCTTGGTGCATTTAGGGGTAAAGATGCTGTATGAGCTCCTTGGTTATAAATAGTCTTTGTGTACTGGCTTTCTGAAATGCTGCTTGTAGTAGTTATGTATTCGGAGTGTGGGAAAGATCACTGTCTCATATAGGGTAGGAATGACAAGAATCTCTTGAAGTTTATTTCATTCCCCTGTGGTGTACACTTTTGCATTTATTTAATTTTTCCCTGGTATTGTATTTACTGCATTAATGGTTCAGGCTTCGGGCCAGTGGAGGTATTCCTGGGGAGAAACTTGTTGTAGATAAAGCAGGTAAGTAGATGCAATACCCAATGGTGGGAAGAGGTCCCAGCCTTGATGGAAGTGGCTGGGGGAGCTCTCAATTAGATGCAATGAGGTTTTACCAGGGTGAATGTTATGGGAAGTCAGGGACTCCAAACGGAGGGACTGGCTGGAGCCGCAGCAGAGGAACATAAATTGTGAAGATTTCATCTTAATATGGACATTTATCAGTTCCCAAATAATACTTTTATAATTTCTTATGCCTGTCTTTACTTTAATCTCTTAATCCTGTTATCTTCGTAAGCTGAGAATGTACATCACTTCAGGACTGCTGTGATAATTGTGTTAGCTGTACAAATTAATTGTAAAACATGTGTTTGAACAATATGAAATCAGTGCACCTTGGAAAAGAACAGAATAACAGCGATTTTTATGGAACAAGGGAAGACAACCATAAGGTCTGACTCCCTGCAGGGTCAGGCAAAAAGAGCCATATTTTTCTTCTTGCAGAGAGCCTATAAATGGACTTGCAAGTAGGCAAGATATCGCTAAATTCTTTTCCTAGCAAGGAATATTAATATTAATACCCTGGGAAAGGAATGCATTCCTGGGGGGAGGTCTATAAACAGCCACTCTGGGAATGTCTGTCTTGTGCATTTGAGATAAGGACAGAGATAAGCCCTGGTCTCCTGCAGAACCCTCAGGCTTACTAGGGTTGGGAAAACCCCACCCTGGTGAATCTGTGGTCAGACCGGTTCTCTGCTCTTGAACCCTGTTTTCTGTTGTTTAAGATGTTTATCAAGACAATATGTGCACCGCTGAACATAGACCCTTATCAGTGGTTCTGCTTTTGCCCTTTGCCCTATGATCTTTGTTGGACCCTTATCAGTGGTTCTGCTAAGTGCCAGCAGGAATCCTATGCACCTCCCATCCTCACTCCTGTTCCAGTGTTCCAGCTATTCAGATCAAACAGGCACCTATTTTTATCTGTAGAAATTTTGATGTTCCTAGTAGGGAGAAATTGTGACTCTGTCTCTTGTGCAATCCTGAACTTGGGAGTACTCCTCCTCTGGGGATGCAATCACCCTGAATTGTTCCAGAACAGCTGCCTATAGTTACATCCATGCTGAGTTTCAGTGGGAGTATCCCCAGCTGTGTCTGCAGTGGTAGATAAAGGGTGAATAAGAACCCATTCTCAAAGACCCATTATGTGCATGAAATTGGCCTGACTGTTGGAGTAGAGGTGCAGACTTTTCCTGCTGTATCCAACACTAATTGTGTCTTTGCTGAAAGAAACTTCCCACCAGCAGAAAGATCTGGGACTCAAGGCCTTCCATCTGGATTCTTTTGTCCCATGAGGGTGTTCCCTTGATATGGTGCTCTCCCACTTCCCCTAGGAGTAAGAGTTTCTGAGAGCCAGCCTACAGTGGTTGTTATTCCTCTTCTAGGTCTAGCCCTCCAATGGGGCTGCCATAGTCTGGGCTGGTGCTGGGGAATGTCTGTAAGAGATCCATTGATGTGACCTGTCTTCATGTTTCCCAGCAATGGGTACCTGCACAAGGTCTTATGGGGGTGCCAGGGGAGTGACAGTCTCTGTGAGATTCCTTGGTGGTAGATAGGCTTAGCGTGCTGGCTTTCCCAAGTGCTGGTTATGATAGTAGCAAACTTGTCATGTGGATAGACTCAGGATCTCTGGTTAGTCAGGGTATTGCAGCTAGTGGTGATAGCCTGCCTTTTCTCCTTTCTAGGTGCCATTTTATTGTAACTAGAGATTGTGTAATAGACTGTGTTAGTTGGCCTCCAGCCAGGACATGACACTTGTAAAAGAGCACCAGCAGCAGCAGTAGTAGTGGGATTTGAGTTTGCCCCACTTTGCCCAATGGAAGTATTCTGTTTTCTCAGATGATTACTGGGGCTATAAAGCTCCCAAAAGTTTATGCCCTTTGTGTTAAACTACCAGGGAGGGTGGAGGGGCACAACCAGGTGGGGGCAGTGTTAGTTGGGTCTGCACTCTGACTTTCCATGAGAGGGGCAAGCTGCAGCCATTGTGAGGGTGATGGGTGGTTCTCAGGTAATTGGGGTCATGTTCCAGAGGGATGTATAACTGCCTCTGTTGAACAGAAGAGTTCACAAAGGGAGTGGGAAGTAGTAGGTGGCAGTAAGTATTACCCAGCTGTCAGGTGGTTGGCAAGGCAGATCTCTCTCCTGCAGTGCTCCACTTACATCACTGGGTTAAGATCCAGGCAACCTGCACACAGAACTCAGACCTGCCACAGGCCATTAGCTTCCCCACAGAGATAGCAACTGCAGCTTTTAGGTCACATCCCCTCCCTGTCTGCCCACAAGGTTGGGCACCCAGCTCCTGTGTATGTGTCTGCAGTATACTTCCTGCTCACCTCCTGGGTCCTGGTCAAGTAACATCATTCCCACTCGAGATTATTTCACAAAATTCGGTTGGGAACTGTCACCTTGCAACGCCTTTCTGAGCTAGTTGACTGACTTCCCTCGTGTCCCCTTTCAGGTATAATTAGAAATAGCTTCCATCAGTCCATGCTAGAAATTTACAATGCCTAGAAGACACTTCCTGCCATTTCTTCTGCTTTTATATTTCATGCCACTCCCTAAGTCAGTTCCAGCTCTGGGTAGAATTAAAGCCTTCTCTTGTGGCCTGAAGTTTTAGATTATCTGGCAGGGATGTGTATCCTGGAGGCAGTCTCTTTCTCTCTCACACTCTAGGGACTTAACAATTTATCACCTGTCTCACAGAATAGTCTGCTGCCTGTCACTTCTTTGAAAGGGTCTGGATTCTTTTGGTTCCTGTCAAGTTTCTGCATTTTTTTCTTGGAACAAGGTTCACAGTGTGAATCTATATACACTATTCTGTCCTTCCAAGTGGGAGAGGCACCCTAACAGTGCCTCCCATCTGTCATGTTGGAGGAAAAAAAAATCTATATGTCAGTTTTTATGCCAATAGCATACTTTTTTAGTTACTATAGCTTTATACTATAATTTGAAATCAAGCAATGTAATGTGTCTTGCTTTCTTCTTTTTTGTTCAGGATTGCTTTGGCTATTCTGGGTGTTTTTCAGTTCCATATACATTTTAGGATTTTTTCCTGTTTCTGTGAAGAATGTCATTGGCATTTTGATAGAAATCACATCAAATTTGTAGATTGCTTGTGTAGAATAGACATTTTAACAATATTAATTCTTTCAATCTATGAACATGGAATATTCATTTTCTTGAATCCTCTTCAGTTTCTTTTATTAATGTGTTATGGTTTTCATTGTAGATATCTTTTACTCCTTTGTTTAAGTTTATTCCTAAGTATTTTATTTTATTTGCAGCTGTTGTATATGAGATTGCTTTCTTGTTTTCCTTTTCAGAGTATTCACTGCTTTCTACAGAAATGCTATTGAGTTTTATAAGTTGACTGTGTGTCTTGAAACTTTACTGAATTTGTTCATTAGTTCTATAAAATTTTTTTTGGTAGAGCCTTCAGGATTTTTTAAATAGAAGATTATATTGTCTGTGTACATGAATAAGTTGACTTCTTCCAATTTGGATGCTCTTTATTTCTTTCTCTGGTGTAATTTCTCTAGCTAGGACTTCCAGTACTATGTTGAAAAAAGTGGTGCATGTGGGTGATAAGGTTTGACTCTGTGTCCAAATGAAAATCTCGTGGTGAATGTGATACCAAGTGTTGAGGTGGGGCCTGGTAGGAAGTGATTGAATGATGGAGTTGGATACTAATGTTTAGTACCATCCTTCTACCGCTTTGTCATGATAGAGTTCTCACAAGATCTGGTTGTTTAAAAGTGTATAGCACTTCCCCCTTCATTCTCTCTTCCTCCTGCTCCTACCATGTAAGATGTTCTTGCTTCCCCTTTGCCTTCTGCCATGATTGTAAGTTTTCTGAGCCCTCCTTAGTCATGCTTCCTATACAGCCTGCAGAACCTGTGCTAATTAAATCTCTTTATAAAATACCCAGTCTCAGGTAGTTCTTTGTGGCAATATAAGAATGGGCTAATACAGAAAATTGGTACCAGAAAAGTGAGGCATTGCTGTAAAAATACCTGAAAATGTGGAAGTGACTTTGAAACTGGGTAACAGGCAGAGGTTGGAACAGTTTTGAGGGCTCATAAAAAGACAAAGAAAATGGAAAGTTTGAAACTTCCTGGAGACTTGTTGAATGGTAGTGACCAGTTATTATTTATATTTCTTTGTTGAATTTCTCTGGTAGAATTTCAAATTCCTTTTCCATGTTACCTTGCAATTCATTCAGTTTCCTTAAGATAGCTATTTTGAATTTCCTGTCTGAAAGGCCACATATCTCTGTCACTCCAGGATTGGTCACCAGTTCCTTATTTTGACTGATTTCATGTTTTCCTGGGTGTTCTTGGTGCTGGTAGATGTTTGTCAATGTCTAGGCATTAAAGGGTTAAGCATTTATTACAGTCTTTGCAGTCTGGCCTTGTTGGTACCTGTACTTCTTGAGAGGCCTTTCCGTGAATTCAAAGAGGATGGAATTTCGTGACCTAAGCATACCACCACTGCCACTGTTTAAGACTAGAAAAAGGAATGCTGTGAATCTTTCAGACTCCTAGATACATACCCTTGGTAGACTTGGGTAAGATAAAGGAAAATTTTCTGGGCAATCAGGCAAAGTCTCTTGCTCTCTTCCCTCTTTTTTCCAATGAAAAGGAGTTTCTCTCCATGCTAGGCTTCTTGAAGTTTGAGTACATGTTATGTGAGCACTCATGTAGCCACCACAGCTGACACTGTACAAGGTTGCTCTCGAAGTCTTACAGACCAGCATAATCCTATGGATTACCCAAGATCTGTAGCCAGTACTGCCAGGCTGCCAGTGACATTTATTCAAGGCCCAAGAGTCCTTTAATCAGTAGGTGGCAAATTCTGCCACAACTGGATCTGTCCCATTAGGGCTACAAATTCCCATCTAGCCTAGGTTGGGTCTAGAAATGCCATCCCTAGGAGCAAAAGCCTACAAATTGGAACTTCAGGATTCTGATAGGTGCTTTTTTTTTACTGTGGCTGAGCTGATATCCAAGTTGAAGAACAAAGTGTTCTGTACACTTCCCTCTCCTTCCCCCAAGCAGGAGTCTCTCCTGGAGTTGCACTGCTTGGAATTGGGAGAAGTGTGACATCGGCACTTTTTTGGTCACCATAGCTGATGTTGCACTGGGTTGTGTGCACCCCAAGTGCACTGCTTTTGAGTCCTGCACAATACCAGGGCTTGCCTAAGGACTGCATTTACTATGGTCTGACTGCCACTCAAATGTATTCTGGGCCTCAGGCAACTTAGCCAGTAGTGAAGCCAGCTGGGACTCAGGTTCCTCCCACTGGGGCAAGGAATTTTCCTCTGACCCAGGGCTTTATCTAAATGCTCTCTCTGTGCATGTCAGCAGAATTCTTCCCTATGTTGTGTTCTGCTGTGAAAGGACAGCACTGAATTCTAATTCAGAATCCCATATTCACATTTATTTCTCTCCCCAAGGCACACAGATTCTGTCTCTATACAGTGCTACCTGGAATTAAGGGAGTGGTGGTAGCCAATGCAAGACTGTCTTTCCCACTCTCTTCAGTGCCTTCTTTCTTGATATGATGTTCAAATCAGGTACTGTGATTACTCATTGGACTTTTTGGTTCTTATGAAGGTGCTTTCTTGCATGTATGGTTGGTTAATTTGGTGTGCCTGTGGATGGGGGACAATCGCTGGAGGATTCTATTCAGCCATCTTGCTCTACTTCCGCACTAGAACTGGTAATTTTTACATTTGCCAAAAAGAAAATCCCAGCCCAGATGACTTCACTAGCATATTGTATCAAATATTTAAAGAAAAAATAATGCCAAGCTTACATAAAATGTTTTAGAAAATATAGGAGTAGGAATACTTTCTAAATCATGCTATGAAACCATTCTTACTCTGTGTGATAAACCATATTCTAAAGATAGTCCCTCCCCACAAATTCACTAATTTGTTAGTTCCATTTATAATTTAGGTATTTCTACAAAGGGATTTTACAGATGTAATTTATGGTCCAAATCAGTTAACCTTAAAATACTCAGAAAACTCCCAAAAGAAATCATAGAAGAAAATCTTTGTGACATTGAATTAGGGAAATATTTTAAATCTATGATTCTAAAAGCAATATCTATTAAAAATCATAAATTTGACATCATGAAAATTTAAAATGTTTACTTGTCAAAAGAAAGACAAAAAGAAAAAAATCCAGGTAGGCTGAATCTAATCACACAAACTTTTTGAAAATAACAATATCTGCAACTCCTACCATAAGAATTCAAGAGATGGCTTCTATTGGCCTTGAGGAAGAATGTAAACCACTATGTTGTTAACTGCAGATGAAAAGAAACATCCATTTAGATGTTCAAAGTTACCCTCAGCTAAAAGCCAGCAAGAAAATGGGGAGCCTAGTAGTATAACAGCAAGGAAGTAAAGTCTACCAATAACCTGAGAGCTGAGAAGTGGACCCAGGTTTCAAATGAGAACCTCGGCATCAGCAGACATCTTGATTTCAGCTTGTGAGATCTCAACAGAGGATTTAGCTAACTGCTCCTTTGATGCATGGAACTGGGATAATAAATTTGTGTTGTATCAAGTCACAAGTTTGTAGTCACTTGTTACGGCAACAGTAGCAAACTAAAATATTGTGATAGCAGAGCTAAAGATAAATAGAGAAGAAACCAATATCCTTCATGAACATAGACACTATAATTCTTAACTAAATATTATTAAATCAATGCAACAGCATAGAAAAAGATTATACACTGTATTATCCAATTTTCACACTGCTGATAAAGACATACCTGAGACTGGGAAGAAAAAGAGGTTTAATAGACTTACAATTCTATATGAATGGGGAGGCTTCACAATCACGGCAGAAGGCAAAGAGGAGCAAGTCACATCTTAAATGGATGGTGGTAGGCAAAGAGAGAGAACTTGTACAGGGCAACTTTTTTTAATAAAACCATCAGATCCCATGAGACTTATTCACTATCACGAGAACAGCATGAGAAAGACCTGCCCTCATGATTCAGTTACCTCCCACTGGGTCCCTCCCATGACACATGGGAATTGTGAGAGTTACCATTCAAGATGACATTTGGGTGGGGACACAGAACCAAACCATATCATTTTGCCCCTGGCCCCTCCCAAATCTCATATCCTTACATTTCAAAACCAATCATGCCTTCCCAACAGGCCCCCAAAGTCTTCACTCATTTCAGCATTAACTCAAAAGTCCACAGTGCAAAGTCTCATCTGAGACAAGGCAAGTCCCTTCCTCCTACAAGCTTGTAAAATCAAAAGCAAGCTAGTTACTTCCTAGATACAGGGTGGTATAGGCATTGGGTAAATACAGCAGTTCCAAATGGGAGAAATTGGCCAAAACAGAGGGGCTATGGACCCATTACAAGTCCAAAATCCAGCAAGGCAGTCAAATCTTAAAGTTCCCAAATGATCTCCTTTGACTCCTGTCTCACATCTGGGTCATGCTGATGCAAGAGGTGGGTTCCCATGGTCTTGGGCAGCTCTGATCCTGTGGCTTTGCAAGGTACAGCCTCCCTCCAGCTGCTTTCATGGACTGGCGTTGAGTGTCCATGGCTTTTCCAGGTGGATGATGCAGGCTGTTGGTGAATCTACCATTCTGGGGTCTGGAGGACTGTGGCCCTCTTCTCACAACCCACTAGGTGGTGCCCCAGTAGGGACTCTGTGTGGGGACTTCAACCCCACATCTCCCTTCTGCACTACCCTAGCAGAGGTTCTCCATGAGGGCCCCGCCCCTGCAGCAAACTGCCTGGGTATCCAGGCATTTCCATACAGCATTTGAAATCTAGACAGAGGTTCCCAAACCTCAATTCTTGACTTCTGCACACCTGCAGGCTCAACAAAACATGGAATCTGGCAAGGTTTGGGCTTCTACCCTCTGAAGCCACAGCCCAAGCTGTATGTTGGCTCCTTTCAGCCATGGCTGGAGCAGCTGGGACATAGGGTACCAAGTCCATAGGCTGCACACAGCATGGGGACCCTAGGCCCGGACCATGAAACCACTTTTTCCTCCTGGGCCTCCAGGCCTGTGATGGGAGCACCTGCTGTGAAGACCTCTGAAATGTCCTGGAGGCATTTTCCCCATTGTTTTGGGGATTAATATTCGGCTCCTTGTAACATGTAAATTTCTGCAGCCAGCTTTAATTTCACCTCAGAAAATGAGATTTTCTTTTCTATTGCATTGCCAGGCTGCAAAGTTTCCAAACTTTTGTGATCTGCTTCCCTTATAAAACTGAATGCCTTTAACAGCACCCAACTTGCCTCTTAAATGCTTTGCTGCTTAGAAGTTTTATTCTCCAGATACCCTAAATCATCTCTCTCAAGTTAAAAGTTCCACAGATCTCTAGGGCAGGGGCAAAATGCTACCAGTCTCTTTGCTAAAACATAACAAGAGTCATCTTTACTCCAGTTCCCAACAAGTTCTCAATCTCTATCTGAGACATCTCAACACAGACTTTATTGTCCATATTGCTATCATCATTTTGAGGAAAGCCATTCAACAAGTCTGTAGGGAGTTCCAAACTTTCCCACATTTTCCTGTCTTCTGAGCCCTCCAAACTGTTCAAACCTCTGCCTGTTACCCAGTTCCAAAGTCACTTCCACATTTTCAAGTATCTTTTAAGCAGTGCCTCACTCTACTGGTACCAATTTACTGTATTAGTTCATTTTCACACTGCTGTTAAAGACATACCTGAGATTGGGAAGAAAAAGAGGTTTATTAGGCTTACAGTTCCACATGGATGGGGAGGCCTCACAATCATGGTGGAAGGCAAGGAGAAGCAAGTCACATCTTACATGGATGGTGGCAGGCAAAGAGAGAGGGCTTATGAAGGGGAACTTCTCTTTATAAAACCATAAGATCTCATGCAACTTAATCACTATTGTGAGAACAGCATGAGAAAGACCTGCCCCCATGATTCAGTTACCTCCCACTGGGTCCCTCCCATGACATGTGGGAATTGTGGGAGTTACAATTGAAGATAAGATCTGGGTGAGGACACAGCCAAACCATATCATATACCATGATCAAGAGGGATTTATTCCTGGAATACAAAGTTGGTTTAACAATCTGAACATAAAATTAAAAGAAAATTTTTAACAGAAGGAATAACTAATTACTTAGGTATAAATGTAACAAAAGAAAAAACCTATATACTGAAAAATACAAAACATTATTGAAAGTATCTACATAAATAGTGCAATGTCTTTCACTCATAAATGAGAACATGATATTGTTAAAATGGCAGTACTTCCCAAAATGATCTACAGATTGAACACAATTTTTATAAAAATTCTATCAAGTTCTAGTTGTAAAAATTAGTGTCAATTCTTATTATTCTTTTAATTGACAGATAATAACTGTACATATTTATGTGGTGCAATGTGATATTTCAATACATCAATACAATGTGTAATGATCAAATCAGGGATACTAGCATATCCATCACCTCAAACATTTATCATTTCTTGGTGCTGAGAACATTCAAAATTCACTCTTCTAGCATTTAAAAATACAAAATAAATCATTGTTTATTGTATTCATGCTATAGTGCTATAGAATAATGGAATTTATTTCTCCTATGTAGCTGTGCTTTTGTTTCCATTAACCAACTTTGACCCTTTCCCTCTTCCCCCTGCCCTTCCTAGCCTTTATTAATCACTATTTTACTCTCTACTTCTATGATATCTGTCAACATTTTTAGCTTCCACATTTGAGTGAGAAAATGTAATATTTATCTTTCTATGATTGGCTGAATAAGTCATCTCTGCAGATGATACAATCATATACATGTAGAGAAAACTCTACTAAAAATATTTACTATTGATAAACAAATTCATTAAAGTTTCAAGATACAAAATCAACATAAAAAATCAGTAGTGCTTCTATACAACAAAGAATTAATGGATAAGAGAAATAAAAAAAGCAATCCTATTTACAAGTGCTACAAAAAAATTCCTGAGAATAAATTTAACCTAGAAGGTGAACAATTTCTATAAGGGAAACTGTAAAATACTGATAAAAATTTGAAAGGACACAAAAATGGAAATACGTATCATGTTTATGGACTAAAATAATTAATATTCTGAAAATGACTGTGTTACCAAAGAAATCTACAGCTTTAATGCAATCCCTATGAAAATGCCAGCAACATTCTTCACAGAAACATAAAAAAATTCTAAAATGTGTATAAAACCAGAAAACACCCAGAATAGCCAAAGCAATCCTCAGCAAAAAAGAACAAACCTGGAGACATCACATTATCAGATTTCAGATTATACTATAAAGTTGTAGTAACCAAAACAGTTTGGTACTGGTATAAAAACAAACACTTTGACCAATGTAAGAGAAGAGAACCTGGAAATCAATACATGCCTTTACAGTAAACTCGTTTTTGAGAAAGGTACCAAGAACATACATTAGGGAAAGGACAATTTCTTCAATAAACAGGGCTGGGAAAACTGGATGTCCATATGCAGAAGAATAAAACTAGACCTCTCTCTCTTACCATAGAAAAAAATCAACTCAAAATGCATTAAAGATTTAATCTAAGACGTGGAATTCTGAAACTACTAGAATAAAAAATTGGAGAAACACTTTAGGACATTGGTCTCGGCAAATATTTTATGGAGAAAATCTCAGAAGCATAAGCAACAAATGCAAAAATAGAAAAATGGAATTACACGAAGCCAAAAACCTTCTTCACAGCAAAGGAAACAATTGACAAAGTGTAAAGACAATCTGCAGAATGGGAGAAAATATTTGCAAGCTACTCGTCTGAGAAGAGATTATTATCCAGAAGATATGAGGGACTCAAACAACTTAGGAAACAAACAAACGAACAGCAAACAAAATAATCTGATTAAAAATGGGCAAATGAGCCAAAGAGACGTCTTTCAAAAGAAGACATACTAATGGCCAATGTGTTCATGACAAATTGCTCAACATAACTAACTGTCAGGAAAATGCAAATCGAAACTGTTATAGTTTGGATCTGTGTCCCTGCCCAAATCTCATGTGAAAATGTAATCCCCTATATTGGAGGTGGGGCCTAGTGGGAGGTGATTGAATCAGGGGGGTGCATTTCTACCTTGGTATTGTGTCATGATCATGAGGGAGTTCTTGTGAGATCTAGTTGTTTAAAAGTGTGTGGCACCTACCCCCGACCTCCCTCCTGCTCCAGCTACGTAAGACATGCCTGCTTCCTTGTCACCTTCTGCCATGATTGTAAATTTCCTGAGGCCTCCCCAGAATTAGAAGCTGCTATGCTTCCTATACAGCCTGGAGAACCATAAGCCAATTAAACCTCTTTTCTGTATAAATTACCCAGTCTCAGGCATTTCATTATAGCAATGTGAGAATGAACTAATACAAAAACCACAAAGAGATATCATCTCACCCCCATTAGAATGACTATTACCAAAAAGACAGAAGAATAACAAATGCTGGCAAGGATGTGGAGAAATAGGAACTCATACAGTGTTGATGGAAATGTAAATTAGTACAGACATTGTGGAAAACAGTAGGAAGGTTTCTCTCAAAACTAAAAATAGAACTACCATATAATCCCACAATCCCACTGCTAAGTATATATCCAAAAGAAAGACAATCAGTATGTTGAAGAGATATCTTCACTCTATGTTTACTGCAGCAATACTAATAATAGCCAAGATATGAAATCAACCTAAGTATCCATCAACAGATGAATAAAAAAAAATGGTATATAAAATATGTTTGGAAATGTAAAGGATCTAAAGTTGCCAAACTTTACTATCTAATTTCAATACTTATTTGAAAATTCTAAGACTCTAGATCAAGCATTGCCAAAAGACCAAAAGGACAAAGAAGTATATATTTTAGCTTTTTTGGGTCATACGGTCTTTGTTACAACTACTCAAATTTCTCATTTTAGTGTGAAAACAGTCATAGACAATACATAAATAAGTGCGTGTGACTATGTTCCAATAAAACATTATTTACAAAAACTTTCAATGGACTAGATTTGTCCAGGGAGCCCTAGTTCGCTAACAACACATCTAGACAATATGGTCTTGGTGTAGGATAGATATATAGATCAATGCAATGGAATTGAGTACTGAAATGTACCCTTACAGTTATAATCAAATGATTTTTGACAAAGATGCCAAGGCAATTTAATAAGGAATGCAGAGTCTTTTCAACAAACTCTGCTGGGACAATTGAATATTCATATACAAAAATGTTCTTAACCCATATATTATTCCACATGCAGAAAATAACTCAAAATGAATAACAATTAAAATAACCACAAAATTTCCAGAATAAATTATAGAAGAAAATCTTTGTGACATTGGATTAGGCAAATATTTTACATTTATGATTCCAAAAGCAATATCTTTTAAAAACTAATAAATATGGCTTCATGACAATTTAAAATGTTTGCTTGTCAAAAGAAAGAATGGAAGGAAGGAAGGAAGGGAAGGAGGGAGGGAGAAACGAAGGAAGGAAGGAAAAGAAGGAAGGAAGGGAGGGAGGGAGGGGAAAAAAGAAAAAGCAAGCAAGAGAAAGAAAAAAAGGAAAAGAAAAGACAGGAAAGAAAGAAAGGGAGGAGAAGGGAAGGGAGGGAGGGAAGGAAGGAGGGGAGGGGAGAGAAGGGAGGGCAGGGGAGGGAAGGGAGGGGAGGGGAAGGGAAGTGAAAGGAAAGTGAAAGGGAAGCGAAAGGGAAGGGGAAGGGCAAGAGGAAGGGGAGCCACGCCACAAACTGGCAGAAAAAATTTGAATTTATGTTTGGTCAACAATTTATTTACAAAATATGAAAAAAACCTCAAACTCAATATTAAGAAGACAAGTGATATAATTAAAGATGAGCAAAATATGTGAATATTTTACCAGAAATATACAAGTAATAATAAGTATATGTTCAACATTATTAGCCATTAAGGAACTGCAAATTAAAATCACAATTCGATAACACTCTATACCCACTGGATGGTCTGATTAAAAACACTGACAACACTAAAGGTTGGTAAAGTTGTGGATAAACTAGAACCCACTTACACTACTACTGAGAATACAAAATGCTAAGGGTACTCTCATAGTTCATTTGTGCTGATATAACAGAAGACCACAGACTGGGTAATTTATAATGAACAAAATTTATTGGCTCACTGTTCTGGAGGCTGGAATGTCCAATATCAAAGTGGTGGCAGGTTTGGTGTCTGGTGAGGGCCTGCTCTTCACTTCCAAGATGTTGCCTTGAACACTGCATCCTCCAGAGGGGAGGAATACTGCTTCTCTCATGTAAAAAAAGTGGAAGAGCCAAGAGAGAGACTCCTCTCCTGAAAGCCTTCTTACTAAGGCATTAAGTCCACTCATGAGAATTGCTATGGTTTGAATGTTACTGCCTCAAAAATTCATGCTGATATTTAATTGCCATTTTAACATTATTAAGATGTAGGATCATTAAGAGGTGATTAGGCCACCAAGACTCTTGTTAATTAATGATGTTATCAAGGAAGTGGGTTTGTTATAAATGAGTGAGCTCAAACTCTTCCCCATTTCTCTTGCCCTCTTTTTGCCCTTCTGCCTTCCACCATGTGCTGATGCAGCAAGAAGGCCCTCACCAGATGTTGACCCCTCAATCATAAACTTCCAGCCTCCAGAACTGCGAGTCAATAAACATTCTGTTTACTACAGTTACTTAGTCTGTGGTGTTGTGTTAAAACAGTAGAAATGGACTAAGACAATGTGAAATCTTCACAGCCTAATCACCTCTGAAGTCCCCACCTCTCAAAACCATTACTTTGGCAATTATATTTCAACATGAATTTTGGAGGGGACAAGCATTGAAAATAAAGAAGTTACCTTGGAAAGCAGTCTGTTAGTTTATCAAAGCATATTCTTACCCCAAAACTTAGCAATTCCATCACTAGATATCTAACCAAGTGAAATAAATATACCTTTTCACACAGAATTGTATGTGAATGTACAATATATAATCTGGTTCATTATTTTTGCATTATTGATAATAATGTACTATTATTGATAATAACTCCAAACCAAAAACAATTTAAATGGTAGAAGAATAAACAAAATGTGGTCTGCTAATATATTGGAACACAACTCAACAATAAAACAGAACAATATGAATGAACTTCAAAACCATCATACTAAGGAAAAGAAGCCAGATATGATATACTACATATTACATAATTTAATTTTTATAAAATTTCCAGAAAATAAAAATAGAGACTGAAAGCAGATCAGTGGTTGCCTGGGCCTGGGAGTGAGAATAATGATTACTGTAAATAGCATAATGAAACGTTTTTACATAATAGAAATGTTCTAAAATTGGATTTTAATGATGTTTACACAACTCTGTAAATTTACTAAAAATAATTAACCATATTCTTGTATAGTTGATTTTATAATTAGTAAAATTTACCTCAATAAAGTTTAAAGAAAAAGAGATTGGAAGCACCAGTTAACCCGTGGCTTACCATCAACCTTGGACACTATTTTAGATTTGAGTTTCTTTTTTGAGAAGTTTCAATGATTTGAAAGAATTGATAGCTTATGACTTAGTGGTCTTAGGTGTCTTCCAAACAAGCAAGAGACTATTACTTTAATAAAAATAGAATAAAACTCATTTTATCTTCCAATTACCATAATGATCCATTGAACCCTTTTATAGATCTAACATATATTATAGGATATCAGGCATGTTATCTTTCCTAAACTGTGAAATATTTTGCTATTCTAAGAATTATTTTATCATTTCTCACTAATTATTTGTATATTTAAAAATACTAAAATAACGGTAAAATTGAACAATTCCACATACACATCTGTCTAGGCCTCATCTTCACTGTCTGTCTCACAATCTAACACAACATATCCAGAACTTTACTTGGTATCTCCCTTTCCACCACTAACCAACATGGACCTGGTTCTTCCTGAGCATGCTGTATTTCACTTAGTGACACTATCTTCTGCCCAGTTCCACAGCCTGGAACTTGAGAGACTTCTTAGAATGCTCTTACCTCCTCACTTCTCCACATCTAATTGATCAGCAAGTCCTGCTAAATCCACCTCTTAAGTAATACTATTATCCCCTTTTCCCTGTTGGTCATCTCCTTTCTTGGATCCACCATACCCTCTCCTCTGGATTACAAAAATAGCTCTATGGCTGAATTTTCACTGCAATCCTTAATCAACACTCTAACTAGAATCATCTTTTAAAAATATGGACACAGGCTGGGCACAGTGTGTCACGTCTGTAATCCCAGCTCTTTGGGAGGCAGAGGCGGGCAGATCACCTGAGGTCAGGAGTTCGAGACAAGTCTGCCCAACATGGTGAAACCTGTGAGGCAGAGGTTGCAGTGAGCTGAGATCGAGCCACTGCACTCCAGCCTGGGCAACAAGAGCAAAACTCCATCTCGATAGATAGATAGATAGATAGATAGATAGATAGATAGATAGATAGACAGACAGACAGACAGACAGACAGACACAAGATGGATAGATAGATAGACACAATTATGTCTCTCTGCTTATAAGTAATCAACTGGTTTCTAGTAAGTTTTGAATATAATTCAAAATTCTCAAAATAACATATAGCCTAAAAGATGTAATTCATACCAACTTATGTGCTTCCTCTGTGGCCACTCTTTCCCTGATTCTGTGCTCCTGCCTTTTAGTCACCTCTATGCTGTTTCCCACTGCAGGCTTTTGTATCTGCTGTCTCCTTGGCCTAGAAAGTTTGTCTCCACATTGACCTACTTTCTTCCAGTCGCCCTTCAGATCTCAGGTGAGATGTCTCTTTCTCGTTGATTTCCCAGGCTAATCTCCCATCTCTTTTGTGTGATCTCTTATTACCACTCAACTCTTTTCTGGAGTGCTTTTTGCAATCATGCCTAAATAATGAATTGAATAATGTATTGTTTAATGTCTGTTTCTCCTACTAAAATATAAGCTTCAGGAAGCCTTAAAAATAACTTCCAAGTTTCCACTCCTGTGTGCTAGCAATACAGTGGTGCTATTGGCTGTGATGAGAAGGTTCACAAGAAATTTTACTTCAAGTTGGATGTTGGTATTTGTCCTCAAGTGGTCCAATTCAGTGGCATCTTTCCCTATGTACTACAGTTTAAGTTATAGACTATATATAAATTTCTTACGTTTGATCAGAAAAAGAGCACAATCTAAAAATTATTTATCTCTATAGTTGAATGTTTAATATTTAGAATGAATTTTGTTGATACTAAATTAAAAATAACAAAAGTATAACATTTTTATACAGTAAATGCATATTGAAACTGACAATTAGATTAGGAATTTTAAACATTCTACATCTATTATAGCTAAAAATGATTAGTTTCTCATAGTAAAAAAACAATTTGAATTTGGAGACAAAAAACTTGTCTGTCACCTTCTTACTATATCTCATCTGCAAAAGACCTTCCTCCCAGGTTAATAGTGACAACTAAATGAGATAATGTTTGAAATCTCTTTGTAACCCTAAAACACTATACATATGTTAATTATTGTGTGTGTGACTATTAAAAAGAGAGATTAAGAGATAAACTAATTATATTTTATGTTCCCATAGGAAAAAAATTGAAATACACTTTTGAGACTGTCAATATCTTCCATGTGAGTTTTGTTCATATAAGATCTGAATTGGAAATTAGTTATTAATTTCAGAGAAAATATCATATTCTTATAAATCACATGCATGCAGTAAGTGTAATTGTGCTTGACTTTCTAATGTACAAAGTGTGACTGTACACACTGCAAATATCACATATTCAACTATTTTAATTACGAAATGCAAGTAAACCTTTATATGACACATTAAAATTTTGCACACACACACATATAAGTTATGTGTGTGTGTGTGTAAAATCATTAATTGTATTGAATAAAGGCTTATTTTCTCTTCAAGACAGAAAAAGGTGCTGATTGGCCTACCTATAAACTTCAGGCTTCCGTGGCCCTGTGGGATATTTAAATGAGGGAGTAACACCTATTAGTGCAGAACCTAATGTCTGTAACTGTTAATATTGACTGCTGCATCAGATTAGACAATATAGACACAGCTAAATTAATCTCCTACAGTATGTCCTTTGAGAGCCAGGAAAATGTATTCTCCAGTCTACCCCAGGAGTGTAGTCCAGTGATGTGAGCGGAGACATAAATGTAGAAGTATTATGTCCTCCTCTTTGTATAATGTCTGAACTACTTCATTTTTATGTGAGCAGTGATGCAAGACCAAGGTACTGGTTAGCCCCAATGCATATAGGATCGCTGCCAGAAAAATCGTTATTTTTATATACCTGTGCCCTGCCTCTGATTCTTTACTTAAGAGGCATCAGCCATTTTTGTAAATGTTGATGATAAGCTAACCTTCAGTAGTTATTTTGGGGAAAGAAGATGAAGGTTTGAAATAGCCCAGATGAATTTAATGAATATCTAACCTCCTAGCAGGAATATAGGAGTTGACAGCAGCAAAATTACAGAATCAGAGAAGCCAGAAACATTAAAGTGGAACTGGATGACATCCTTAGGACCATGATTTTCAAGAGTGGCATGGAATCTTCTGCATATCAAATTAGTCATCAGGTCAAATTGCAAGTGAATTCAGCTCCTGTGTAAAACTTCAGAATTCCCACAGAGAGGACTTGGAAAGCAAAGGTATCCCTAGTTGAGCAGTCAGAGCACCTGATTCCTGTATAATTACACAGAATGAGAATTTGATACATGACAGTAATTACCTAGCTGAAGGTGCAATTAGCCATTTGTGACCTCATTCTAAGTGGCAACTAATTAACCCTTAATGTCAAAAATGTCAACCTTCATCAAGACACCAAAGAAAAGTACTACATGATCAGCTAATACTTGTTCCAACTTATTAATGGTTGAATCTGTCATTAGAAATGTGAGTATTTCATTTTTACATCAGCATTAATGTTAAGATGTGGACTATGATCCATTTCTTTTCTTTTGAGGCTACATTTCCCCTCGTTATATTTGTATGTATAAAATCCTTTTATAACATAGGAATAATATTTCATATGCATATATAATAATCATCCCTCAGTGAGATGAAATAAAATCAAGGAGGTATATAGAGAACTATAACTTGTCAGTGATATGTGATTTCTTATGGCTACAAAAATGTCACAGAATTTGAAAAGATTTGTAACTACACTATCATTATAATAATCAACACTTCTCAATTATTAGCCTCATTGGAAATTTATTCTGTTACCTTGTTCTTTAAGTGCTGAAGACATATGAAATTTACTCTGAGATTATAACAAGAAGCATAAAATTATCATTTTTTAAACCACCAAATAATGGCCCACAATTATTATCAATCTATTCTTTTTCCTTACTATTTTTTAGCACTAAAAGAAGATATGAAAAGTTACTGATGTATATGAGTTTGCTTCGAATAAGGGAAAGTGCTGTACTTTTCTTCACAATCTTAGGGTAAGAGTAACCTCAAAGACAATCTCACAATTAGCATGGACCTACAGCCACTTGTTTCTAAATAAATCCACTTATTAAATAAGATCACCTTGGTAAATATTTGTTTTAAAGATTGAAAATAAAATCTAGTGCTGATATTTCATTGTTTTGAATTCATCACTGAAAAAGTATTAAATGTGCTGCTGGAATTTTTGTAGGGTTTTGATTCATCTGCTTACTCTTCAACGTTGTTTCAAGGGTCTAAAGTTAATCTAGGTAACTTCTCTTTTCTTTAAACAAGGACCAAGCTATTTTCTCAAGCACCTTACAGTCTTACCTTTCTGGAACAGCAGGTGCAAGACAAAGAAAAAGTACATAATGAGTGTAACACCATATTCTTTAACTTCTAAGTGTGGCATCTCAGAGTCCTGATCATTTTACCTATGAGTTCATAACAGGTAACTGAAACTTGTTCAAAATGATATTGACACTTTAAGTTGTTTAAAATTACTCTAAAAACCCATTTGAGACTTATAAATGAATATAAGAACAAATACAGATTACTTCAATCTCCTTCAGTAAATTATAAAATAAAGTATTTCTTTGTACTTACTTTCTTTAGAAAGGTATTTATAGCATTGCTGTTTCTCTGAAGCAGCCAGAGGAAGCCATGCACACATGTTCTATGTTCAGTTCAAGATGAGAAACACCTCTATAGATTCAATAATTTTTCAAACAAAAAAGAAGGGAAGTAACACTAATATATCTTCAAGATCCTGGTTTCAATTATTTTGGATAAATACCCCCAAAATGAAATTGCTGGATTATATCATAATTCTGTTTAAAAAGTTTTAAGTCACCTCCACAATGTTTTCCATCGTGACTGCATCATTCTGCGTTTACACAAATACTGCACAAGAGTTCCAATTTGTCCACATCCTCACTTCTGGACAGACTTCACAGATTTTGCTTAGTGAAATTCAGTCCAAAAGCCCACATCAACTGCTTAGATACAAGTTTGATGTGTGAATTTCTGTCTTGGCACTAGAGAGAAATTGTTGTTGTTGTGTTACAATGGCCATCCTGACAAATGTGAGGTTATATCGCATGATTTTCATTTGCATTTCCCTGATGATTCATAATGTTGAACATTTTCTCATATGTCTATTGGCCATTCGCATGTTTACTTTGGGGGAATGTCTATTCAACTCCTTGGATCCTTGTGTAATTGGATTATCAGTTGGTTTTTGGCTATTGATTTGTGTGAGTTCTTTATATATTTCATATATTAACCCATTGCCAGATATATGTTTTGTAGACATTTCTCTCATTCCATAGGTTGCCTGTTCACTCTGTTAATTGTTTACCTTGATGTGTAGAAGCTTTCGTGGTTCCATATAAATTATAACCTTTTGTGTCTTTCTGAAAAAGTCATTTATTACAGCATTATTCCCAACAGACAAGAGGAAGAAACCACCTAACTGCCAATTAACAGATAAATGGATAAAGAAAATATGGTATAAACATATAATGAAATACTACTTAGCATTAAAAAAGAATAAAATTCTGTAGTAAGCATCAGCTTGGATGAAACTTGAGGACATTATGCTAAATGAAATAAGCCAGCCAAAGAAAGACAAATGCTGCATTATTCCATTTATATGAGATATCTAAAATAGCCATATACATAGACTCAAAAAAGCAGAATGGTGATTACCAGGAGCTGGTGGGAGGGGGAAGTAGGGAGTTACTAACAAATAAATGGGCATAAATTTTAGTGAAGCAAGATGAATAAGTTTTAACATTCTGGTGAACAATGTTATACCTATAGTCAACTATACTGTATTGTGTACTTAAACATTTGTAAAGAAGGTAGTCTCATGTGTATTCATACCATGATAAAATACAAACATTTTTAAGAAAAGAAAGAAGGTAAAGCTTCTTATGTAGATAGTAAAGCAAGGAGTAAAAACAAATAAAAAGAAACTACTACTTTCTGACTAATTGAAAACAAAACAAAACTCTTGTTTATTAATGAAATACAAAGTCAGGTGATTAGAAGAGATGATCTGCTTCCAAGGGGTTATCGTATTTGCTCTGATTTCCCATTAGTTCAGATTAAAAGTCAAAAACTACACAACACAGATGGTAAGCTTAGCAACCAAAGTGGAACATTAATCCAGCTATTTCCAATGCCTATTTTAGGTTTCACATCCACACTTCCAAGGCCCACACCAAGCAGGTCTGCCGCTGAGCCACTTACCCTTTCTGCTTCTTTTCACTGGTGACAGGCTGCTCTGGGCTCTCTGAATGAGGGCCAAGCATCACACTCAAGGGAAACACAGCGGCTTGGCTCTTATTCCAAATTACAGTTGTTTATTCAAACCCTTATAGTTACATGTAACAGTTTGTTGGCCAAGAGAGAAATGCACACATCAAACATGTATCTAAGCAGTTGACTTTGGCTTTTTGATTGAATTGCACTAAATAAAATTTGTGAAATCTGTCCAGAGTCACACATTTTATATGTGTGAATATAAGTCATTATTTCATCTTTAAGGTTTTCGATGTTAGTGAAATCTATCTGGATGCTTTTAATAAATGTTTACTGAGTAAATATTTTAACAATAAAATATTTCTAAACATCTGGCTCAATATTCTAAAACACTAGCATTAAATTTTTGTTATAGCTAAAATATTTTAATTAGGAAAGACAAAACTTTGTCACTAGTAAGAAATTATAAATTATTTCTAAAGTAACATAATGAAAAAACTTAGCTTAGGGGATACTATAAGAGCTTACAAATGAATTTCTGCATTATTTCAATTTTCCAAATATGTGTTAACATTTTTTATGTTAATAATTTAGCAATCTCTACTGTTTTAAAAAATAATGTTCATTTTTCTTCATGAGATGAAACTTTCAAATTCCAAAAGTATAATTTACACTAGTATCACATATATTTTAGTAAGCAAGGGAGCTGACTTTCAAATGCAGGTAGCTGCAACTATTTTGTCTACAAATAATAAGAACTATGTTTTAAATTTTTTCAAAATGTAATGAATAAGAGACATCACTCCTATAATTAAAATGCAGAGTTTGTCATGTTGTTTTCCTCATGTGGAATGTTCCACGGCCATCTAGGTTTTGTCTTACTTGTAAGACAAAAATCAAAGTATCATAAAGCCATTTATATGCAAAAATCATAAAGATGCATGTGGATACACATATACCCATTGCTATCTAAGACTTTCTCATCTCTTACCATGTAATTGTTGTTATTCAGAAGGGTGAGAATGTTTACTAATTGTCTTTCAGGCTGTTCCTGAGAAAGCTTCAAAGAATGTGTTAGTTTTAAAGATCATCTGGATGGGAATGGTATGATTTGCAGTAGAGAAAGAGGAAATGTATTTCTAGAGGAAAAATGGTGTGTGTGTGTGTGTGTGTGTGTGTGTGTGTTTGCATGTATGTTGGCATGAAAGTTGAAATACAGAAAGGGAAAAAATTTAAGAAAAAGTAAGTTTTTCTCAAACCAAGAATATATACAATGTGGGTTTAAACAGGAAAACGTAATTGTTTATCTGATATTTGTTTTGAAAGCATGAGAAGATCATATGAAATTCCTGGGTCATGAAAAATAAAGTAAAACGTATTTCTACTTTAGGATTTTCAAATCATTCTTGATTTATACATTTAGTATCTCTTTCCTCTACCAAATTATGAGCTTTTTTCTAAGCAACTATGAATGTCGATTGTTATTTTCCACCCAGTGCATAGCACAAGGTACAATATCAGTGTAATGGGGAAAGATTGCAGGACAGAAGGAAAGAATATCATCTCGGCCGGGCGTGGTGGCTCACACCCGTGATCCCAGCACTTTGGGAGGCTGAGGTGGGCAGATCACCTGAGGTCAGGAGTTCCAGACCAGCCTGGACAACATGGTGAAACCCCGTCTCTACTAAAAATACAAAAAGTAGCCGGGTGTGGTGGTGCATGCCTGTAATCCCAGCTACTTGGGAGGCTGAGGCAGGAGAATCACTTGAACCTGGTAGGCAGAGTTTGCAGTGAGCCTAGATCGTGCCATTGCACTCCAGCCTGGGCAACATAGTGAGACTACATCTCAAAAAAAAAAAAAAAAAGAGTATCATTTCAGAAAACTAATTGTTTCATTTTTCACTTCTATTTTTGAAATAATCTCAGATTTATAAAAAAGTTGCTATAAAGGTGCAAAGAATTCCCATGTAACCTTTACCCAGCTTCCCCAAATATTAGCATCCCATTAATCCACATTACAATGACCAAAACCAAGACATTAACAATGATACAATACTACTACCTAATCTAAATAATTGTTCACATTTTGGTGAGTGTTCCATTAATGTCCTTTCTGTAGCTCAGGATCCAATGCAGAACCATACATTACATTTAATTATCATGTCTCCTTTACTATAGGGGAATTGTTAAGCCTTGTTTGATCTTACAGTGTTAACACACTTCAAGAATAATGGCCAGTTATTTTGTGGAGTGTTCCTCAATATGAGATGGTATAGAAAAATCCTAAAACATTCACAAATAAAATCTAGAGCTAATAAGTAAGTTAAGCAAGGTTGTAGAATATAGATAAATAGACATAAATCAATTTTATTTCCATACACTGGTAATAATCCAAAGCTGAAATTAAGAAAATAATTGTATTTACACTAACATCAAGAAGAATAAAATTACTAGAAATAAATTGTAATAAAGAAGTATAAGGCTTGTACACTGAAAACTAGAAAACATCATTGAAAGAAAGCTCAATAATGAGACTAACACATGAAGACATAATCCCATGTTCATGACTTGGAAAGTGCATGATTATTAAAGTGGCATATTCAATTATTATTGATGGTATAAAGAAGTTCCATAAATTAAGGAGTTTAGAAGTCCAAAATGATTCTCATCAGGCTGACATCAAGATACAAATAGGGCAGCATTCCTTTCTGAAGACTCTAAGAGATAATTTGTTTTTTCTTCCTTTCCAGCTTCTAGAGACTGCCTACAGTCCTTGGCTTATGGACCTGTCCATCTTGAAAACCAACAATGTCTAGTGGAATCTTTCTTGTATCCCATTGCTCTGACACTGACTCTTCTGACTCCCTCACTATGTTTGGGATCACTCCTGTTTACAGTGGCCCATCTCAATAATCCAGATAAATCTCCCTATTTAATGTCACCTGATTAGCAACCTTAACTTCCCTTTGCTATATAACATAAAATACCCATAGTTTCTGGGGACCAGGATATAGAAATCTTTGGGGGACTATTATTGCCCACCACAGATGGCAATACTCTCCAAATATATTTAGAGATTTAGTGTAATCCCTATCAAGATCTCAGTTGGCTTTTTTCAAATTTACAAGCTGATCTTAAAATTCATATGAAAATAGGCCGGGCGCGGTGGCTCACGCCTGTAATCCCAGCACTTTGGGAGGCCGAGGCGGGCGGATCACGAGGTCAGGAGATCGAGACCATCCCGGCTAAAACGGTGAAACCCCGTCTCTACTAAAAATACAAAAAATTAGCCGGGCGTAGTGGCGGGCGCCTGTAGTCCCAGCTACTCGGGAGGCTGAGGCAGGAGAATGGCGTGAACCCGGGAGGCGGAGCTTGCAGTGAGCCGAGATCCCGCCACTGCACTCCAGCCTGGGCGACAGAGCGAGACTCCGTCTCAAAAAAAAAAAAAAAAAAAAAAAAAAAAAATTCATATGAAAATAAAAGGGACTCATGATTTCCACAACAATCTTGAAAAGAAAAAAGAACTGGAAGACTCATGCTTACTGATTTAAAAAGTTACTACAAAGCTACAGTAATTATGATTACATGGTATTGGCATAGGGATAAACATATAGGTTAAAGAAATTGAATTGAAAATCCAAAAAGAAATTCATACATTTATGGTCAATTGATTTTCAACAAGGATGCCAAGACAATTTAATGGGTGAAAGAATAGTCTTTTCAACAAATGATGTTGACAATAGGACACTGGGAAATAAAAAGACATACAACCCCCAAATTTAAATGTGCAAAGGATTTTAACACACATTTTTCCAAAAAAGGTATATAAATGGTCAGTCAGCACAGAAAACTGGGCTTAACATCGTTACCCTTACATGAAATGCAAATAGAAAACAAGGAGATATTACTTCATACCCACTTAGGATAGCTCTAACAGTAATTGAAAATAGCAAGTGTTGTCAAGGATGTAGAGAAATACCCTCATGCACAGAGGATGGGAATGTAAAATGAAATATTCATGTTGAAAAACTAGATGTCAAATATAGGAATTCCTATATGACCCAGCAATTCTACTTCTAGCCACATATCCAAAAAATAAAAACATGTCCATGCAAAAACTTGTACACAAATGTTCACGATAGCATTGTTCACAATAACCAAGAAATGAAAACAACCCAAATGCCCATCAATTGATAAATGAATAAACAAAATGTATCATATTTCTACAAGAAAATATTATTTTTGCAATAACAAAGGAGGAAGCACTGCTCCATTTTACAATATGAAAGAATCTTGAAAAGCTAGTCATAGAAGACCATGTATTATATGAAAAGTTCAGAGTAGGTAAATCTATAGAGACAGAAAGTAGAAATGTGGCTGTTTAGGGCTGGGGGTGGCTTGGAGTGGGGAAAAAGAGTAATGACGGTTGCACAACTCTGTGATTAGACTAAAGCCATTATAAAATACACTTTAAGTGGGCATGTTTCATGGAATGTCAATTATATCTCAATAAAGATTTTTAAAATAAAAACAAATCTAAAAGTAATAACATTACTAACTAAAAAAACCCCTGCCAACTCTTATAATGCTCATATCTTTCAGTAAAGAAGAGATCCATTAAGGTTTTTCTGAAATGAGAAATTGAAAGCCATAATTACAAACGTTCATAAAATTGTACAGATAGATTTACTCCAAACATAAAAGAAACAGACATAATGTAATATTTGGGTAAAAGCTCTGCCAAAGCTGGAGTGAAATACAAACCATCAAGTTTACTCTCAATACATTTTCATGAGAGTTTTCAGGGGAAAATCTGAGAACATCTATATGTTACCCAGGCTCTTCAAATCTCTGCCTTCCTGCTGCAAACCACCTTGCCATGCATGCTGCCTCCTGTCTCACAGCAGAAGCCTCCACTGTAGCCTGCTTTTCTATTCACTCATTCTTCAACAAAATTTGCTATATTTCCTTCCCTTGTGATATTGCTCAGATTCTTCCTTTAATGCCCACTCCCATTTCCTTTATCTTCCCAATCATTTTTTATAATATATCAAATATATTCCTACCATCTCCTGAAATCATTCTCTAAAAATGCCAAACAGCGATCATCTCTTTGTTGATTTGCTATAAAAATAAAGTGCAGTTTTAATTACATAGTAAATTATATAATACATTTTAGATTAATTTACAAGGTGTTTAACTTATATCTGAAAATAATTTTAAATCCTTCAAGAACAGTGAGCGTGCCTTAATTTTCTTTTTCATACCTTATACAAGAGACATACTAATTAATGCACAAGGATTTGCAAAATGCATCAATGGCTGGAAGAATGAATGACTACCAGTGGTTTAAGTGTGGAAATAATGTCATTTGAAAGCTTATTTATTTATTTGACACTACATTCAAGAGCCACTAATTCTTTACTAAATCATGAAGTGGAATAACTAGCAGAAATTAGGTTGAGACTTAAAAATGTCTTACATGATCTCCTGTTGCATATCAATGCACCAGATAATCCAATAACCTTAGGCAGAGTGTAACACGTAGCATTGTTATAAACCATAAAAGGTGAGTTTTCAGGGCAATTACTCATAATTTATTAAGGAAACTGACCTTTATGATAAATTATATTTGGGAACTGCATTGTCTTGATATCAAGTATTTTTCTTGAACATGCAAACATCATCTATAATGTCACAGAAGTTAGTTGTGATCAATTCAACATCTCTCCAGTTGTGCTAAGTCACATGAGGGTGCAGTGACCCCCATTATCAAATATAATGCAGGCAATAATGTGACTACAGTTTTTAGTCATATGATGCTTTCTCGGTTATTAATAGTTCAGTATTGGGAGTGAGAAAATGGAAAATTAGCACTATGTCAGGTGATTTTATTGCTTGTAGATTTAGCAGTCTATAAGAAAATCTGTTCAACAATAAACACATTGTAAGGAAGAACTCTAACCTACTTATTTTCTTGTGTCTATTATACATTCGGTAAACTTCAACTTGTGACAATGCAGTTTTAAAAACATAGGGTTTGAAAGGCTAAAGAAATCTAATTTTAAGATGTCAACAGAATAAGGAAACCTAAGCTATGATAAGATGCTTATTTCATATACAGATATATAAGATCTAATAGAGAGATATATAAAATCTAAATATAGATATAATATAGCTATAAATATTATAGACATTGATATAGATATCTATCTCTATCTGAATCTATCTATTAGATTTTCAAAGGAATAAAGAAGTACTAATCATTCCCTAAAATTCTTTGAAAAAAGTTTCTGAGACCAAACTGGAGCAACCGTTACATGTAAGAGAAAAGACAGATGTTTTTGGAAAAATTCTTTTGTACATAGTATATTCAAAATTTTTATTGTAGGCAACATTGCATGGTGATGAAGACCACAATCTCTGAAGCCACACTACCTCGGATTAATGCTGGCTCTACCACTGAACTTACCTGTGCTAAAGTCTTTTGTTTTGAAATATCCATGTTCCCTTTCTTCCTTTCAGTAGCAGAAACTTGTGAGTTTTAAAGAGTCATATGGACATCCTGCGGAGTTGAATTCCCAGCCTCTCTTGCAACCAAGTGTGGCCATGTGTCTGAATTCCCATCAGTAGTGTATGAAAAGTAATGGATGTTATTTCTAGATTCTCCCTTGAAGAAACTTAGCTTGGCTCCTCTCTCTGTTTGCCCCTTATCTTTAGTTAATAATTGGCAATAACTGATGCAGCTGCACCGGAGCCAGAGGTGGAAGCTTCCTGTTGAGAATGACAGAATCATTATATTAGTCCTAGTCCCTGGGTGATGACTGAGTGGAGCTTATATCCCTACCACGAACTATAAAACAAGTGGAAGATACACTTCTGTGTTCTCTAGGAACTGTACTTTTGTTCTCTTTCTGTTAGCAGCTTGACCTATGCTTGTGCCATAACCAGCAGACTATTTCATAGTCATATGATGAGAATTAAATGACCTGATATGTGTAAGGCACGTAGAAGAGTGCCTGGCAGCTACTAAATTCTATAGACTTGTTTGCTATTATTATCAATTATTTTAAATACCAAGTAATCAGAAAAATACTACTGTATTAGGATCTTAGAATGATTTATGTTATTAAATAGAATCCCAATATCATTTATTAAGTATTCATACTTTACTCATATGACATTTTCAACCAATCCATTTTATTCCTTACCAAAACCTACAAGACAGGGAAAATAAGGTACGATACCTGGAAAAACCGCATTGTGTTTAATTTACTGTTATTTCTTTTTTTCTGAGTAACACATAAAGTAAGAGAAAATTAAAAGAAAGAATGACTAATAGTATATTCTTGATTAACAGTGTAGTCTTTGAAGGCAATCTTAGTTTCATGTCCCAGCTCTGAAACTTACTGCCTGGGCAAATCATTTGAATTTGCTGAATTTCAGATTCTCCTCAGTAAAATCATATAATAGCAGTTCCTTGCACAGCTGGCATTTTATTGCTTCCTCTCATTTTTTAGTTCTTTCCTCAGTTTTAGCAGCCACACGGTGTGGATTGGATTGACCCTCTCTGACCCCAACAGTGAGACTGATTGGTCTAATCCAATGTTGTCAATCACTACTCCCTTTCCACAGTGATTAGTACATGTAATTTAAGCCAATAAGCGTATGGCATCTTTTGGCCACTGTGTGTGTGTGACATGTGTTTAGGGAGGGTCACATCAGCATGAAGCCCAGCATGATGCTGCGCAGGGTACCAGTGTCTCTTTTTCCCCAAGTGGCTAAGGAGATGAGAGTGCTAGCTGTTGCTTAAAGGTATCTTACAAAGCTAGTGCAAAGTTGAAATCAGCACAAAAATAGAGTCTAGAGAACCCTATAAAAACAAGGCCAGGGTTCTTTTTGACCCAACTGGACTTTTCAGTAAAGGTAATTGTAAATTACCTTTACAGTTTGATCTAGTTTGATCTGGACTTCTTTGTTAGTTTAAAATCAGAGGCATCTTAACTGTTTTATGTTTTTTGTGTATAAAGAAAATGTTTTTGGGAACAGTGACTTGCATATCGTAGAAACCCAATTACTACTAGATTATACAATGAAAAACAAGAATAGTAACGTTTATATGTCCTAAGATATTTTTGGAATACTGTTATCTTTGAAATAATGCTCACCAATTATTTATATATAATTAAGCTGTTCTATGCTTCTTTTAAAAATTAGCATATGTGCTTTCTAAAATACAATATATTATGTTAGTCCCATTATATGACTTCTAGATATCATGTACAGACAAGTACATAGGAGGGGCTCACCTGAATAGTATTTTTCTATTTTATATGTTAAACACTACTGAATCTTAAATCAAACTAACTCTAATTTTAGTTCACCCATTTTTAGCTGTTATTGGCAGTTACACGTGTCTCAGAAAACATCCTGCCTAAACGTGAAAGGCTTGAAAATGGCCAGTTATGAACTTTGCTTCTGAAATTATTCAAAAAGAATTCAAACTGGGTAAGCAAAGCATGGAATAATATTAAATGCATTCCATAAAATAGTGAAATACCGATGAAGAGCAGAGGAGTACTGGGGGAAAGGAAACTTGGCTTTAATTAAAATGGAGCCTTGGGAGTTAAAATGTAGCCATTTCCGAAAAGACAAATCCAATGGGTGAAGTTTCAATGAGGTATAATCACAAACTTTGGCTGAACAGCACACTAGGCAAATGCTTGAGTAGGCACAGATTTGTGGCTTACAGTTCCCCATCACACACAAAGTATATCAGCATCACATGAATTCCTGGCTTCACTGAAGTAGTCGCTTAAAAAAATGCATGTACTGTATTGACTGTGCTGTTGTTTCCTTTTCTTCTTTGATGAATTGGCCAACTCTGTTGACTATCACAAGCTACTATATAAAAGCATAATTGCTTACAGGTAAGAAGCGTCACTATTAGGATCATTTCAGGTGGGGGGAATCCCAGTGCAATACATGAAAATGGGGGTATTACTTTGCTTAATAAGTTAAAAATTGTAAATCATCTAAATGAATGTTGTGAAAGTCAATCATACAGAAAAGTATCATTAGTATGAGTAAATGACACATTGTACAGGAATAAAGTGGTGCAAGACACTGATACTTTTGAAAAAATGGAAAAATGGAATTTCTTTCACTTTTGATTTGAATGTACTCTTTTCTTGTACAATCAACCACAGCTATGTTTGTTCAGAGCAGTACCAAAAGCATCATGAATTCTAAAATCTCAGTTCACCTCTAGGTCTGCCATTTTCTGGTCCTGCAATAAAAGCTCTCTTAGTTTTAATGTATTCATTGCAAAAATAGAGATCTTCCTCTCTTAAACTTGCTATGAGGATTAAGTAAGAAAATGTGAGTAAAATGGTTTGAATATAAAAAGCCGCTTATTTCTATGTAAAATCCTCATTCACTACATAGAAAAATAGTCATTATAGGTATATTGGTTAAGGGAGGGCTGGCTCTAGAAGCATGTAATCTAAATATTGCAGTAGTATAACATAATATTTATTTCTTACTGATATATTAATCAAGAGTGGGTGCAGAGTTAACAGAACAGCTCTGCTACATACAACTATTCAGGATCCATACTCACAGCAGCTCTACTGTATTCAATTCCTGCTTCACCAGAAATTCAGGCATCCACACTACCTAAAGTGGAAGGAGTTGAAAAGCACAAAGATGCTATTTTGAAGGATATTTAATGGGCTAAGTTACTCTTACCCATTGTGAAGTGGAACACCTTTCGTATACACCTGGGAGTCTGCTGTATGCCCAAAGAAAAGAGGAATATGGTTTTGATGAACAGCTAGTTGTCTGCCACGTCAGAACCTTTCTGTCTACGTGAACCTTTCTGCCCATAAAATGAACATAACCAGTTCCTTCCCAAAGGAGACTAGCCAAAGTTCCATCTAGTACTTGTGTCCATATTCAATTCTAGAGTCTCTGAGTGATTCAGAACCTTCTTCATCAGATCTGTTCATGGTTCCTTTTTGCTTCCCCACCATGCGTAACTGATATGGTTTAGCTGTGTTCCCACCCAAATCTCATCTTGAATTGTAGCTTCCATAGTTCCCACATGTTGTAGGAGGGACCCAGTGGGAGATAACTGAATCATTGGGGTGGTTTCTCCCATACTGTTCTTGTGGTGGTGAATAAGTCTCACGAGATATGATGGTTTTATGAGCAGAAACCCCTTTTGCTTGGTTCTCATTCTCTCGTGCCGCCACCATGTAAGTTGTGGCTTTCACCTTCCTCCATGATTATGAAGCTTCCCCAGCCACGTGGAACTGTGGGTCCATTAAACCTCTTTTTCTTTATAAATTATCCAGTGTTGGCTATGTCTTTATATGCAGCATGAAAATGGGCTAATGCAGTAACATGTGTAAAACAATGGGTGAAATAAAGATAAGAGCAGTAAATACTCTCATTCTGAAAAAAGAAAATCAGGAAAACTTAATAATTAGTGGACACTTAACCACAAATGGACTCTTACAGGATTCACTGTACTGAAGCCCTTTCCTGGCAACAGGGCAGATTCCTTGTTTAGAATCAGTTCTACTTTTTGGTCCATTGGTCTCTCTCTCTCTCTCTTTCTGTCTCTTTTTCTCATTCTCTCTCAATTTATTCAACTATGACTACCCTGAAGTTGTCTGAGGTTTGGGAATGAAAGCAACATGTTTATTATTACTTATTCCTATGCTTGCTACAGAATTCAGTCCCCATTTTAAACTAAGAGTTCTTAAGGCACCTTTGTTCCTGAAAGCATTTTTCACTTTTCTCTCTTAGCATTTGGGGTCTACTAGTCAATGGTTTTCCCAATGATTTATGGCTCTTAGCCTCAAGAATGTTTCATTCTCTTGAATCTCTGAATGAAAACCAGCCAATTCTTGCCCAAATCTACCTTTTTAACAACACCCTGCCAAAAGTTACAAGTTGCCAATATGTGATGTGCACAATAACCTCCTGAGTTTTTCCAGCCTCCTTCCTAGAGTTACACTCTTGAGGAGAAGACTGACTTCCTAGTTATCTCTAGCACAATTTTACCAAGTATTATATTTTGTCACAGCATGATATCAGTCATTAGAATTTCAGCCTGATATCTCTATCTATCTATTATCTATCTATCTATGTACCTACCTACCTATCTATCTAAAATTAGAACTGTACCTTATTTTAAGTTGTCAGTATCATTACAATAGTCAGGGCTTGCTAACTTCTAACCTTCAGTAAACTCCAAAATTTTAGTGTCTTAATAACATTAGAAGTTTATTTCTTTGTACTTAACCGTCCTGGTGGGGATTGGAGGCAATAAGAAGCCTTCCTGGCTGTGTGGAGAGAGACAGAAGCAGTCTGGACTCAGCTTCTCTGAAACAAACAGTGTTTTAAGAACTGGGGCAAGGGAGAGATCACAGGCCATCTGCTTTTGCTAATTGGCTTTACTCAAAGGAAAAGTGAACTTTCTCTTATCTTCATCACAGGAGATAGTTAGTTTTACAACTTGGAGCAAGGTACCCAGCTATTTCTCTGGAAGGACTGGCATTAAGTTCCTATTCTCTCATAGAAACTGAGACAAAGTGGCTCTATTTATTTTGATGATTGCATTTCAAGGGGATGGCCCCCAGGTCCCTGAGAAAAACTGCAAGAAGCTATTAAAAAGATTTACATCTCAAAGGGACAGATAAATAATTTATAAGTTTTCTAAAGTAAATGCTTTAAGAAAAGGGAGGCCAGGAGCCTTAAGTTAAGAAAAAACCTGTATAAAATTTAGTCAAACTGAGGGTAACTTCAAGGCCCTGGTCGATAGCCAGTGAAACAGATTAACAGCCATTCTACCATCTTTAATATAAGACTTCTGAGGTCATCTTGGAAGGTCAACAGAAAAGGCAAACAGCCTTGTGATGAACAGAAAAGATAAAGAGCTCATGTGAGAGTGTTTTGTCATTTCCATTCACATGTTATTGAATACTTATATATCTATTTTTTTCTGTTTTTTTTTTTTCTTTCCAAGTTTAATTTTAGGTCCAGGAGTAAATGTGCAGGTATGTTACATGGATAAATTGTATGTCACGAAGGTTTTGTGTACAGCTAATTTTGTTACCCAGGTAATGAGCATAGTACCTGATAGGTAGTTTTTCAAACCTCACCCTCCACCTTCAAGTAAACTCTAGTATCGACTGTTCCCTCATTTGTGTCCATATATATTTAATGTTTAGCTCCCACTTATAAGTGAGAACATGCAGTATTTGGTTTTCTGTTCCTGAATTAATTTGCATAGGAAAATTGCCTCCAGCTCCATCCATGTTGCTGCAAAGAACATGATTTCATTATATGCATATTTAATTAGAGAGAATTTAGGAACTTCTCACACCTAACTGCAGAAGAGGCTGGAAATGTAGCAATCAAATGGGATTTCGATAGCTTTCTCTGCAACCATAAAGAAAATAATACAACAGTTAAAATGTAGACATATTTTAAAATCTTTCCTCTCTCATATGGAGCAGCAGCCAAGCAGAGGGAGGTAATGAGAATTTAAGCCAGTAAAGACTATTGAGTGAGAGTAAATTTAACCACAATCAACAGGGCATATCAAGACAGCATGAAACTTTATAGGCACTAGACTTCAGGAGGATATTGGAGAAAATCGTACATATTTAAGATTAAGTATTTAGCAAAAGAAACTGAGTTTAGGTAATTTATATATAAAGGGATACTATTTTAAACATATTAGGTAAATCTTTCCATTTATAAAATGTCTTGGAGGATACCCAGTTAGGAACAATTCACCAAATCAAAACAAAACTGGTTTTGGGAAGAAAACTCTTCCAGAGCCAGTGGGCAGAGGCCACAGGTTTCTGCTGCTTCTGCCAATACTGGACACAGAGAGCTACTTCTAGAGCTAATGCCACAACTAACTGTGGGTATTGGATATAGTTGCTGCTGCCTCAACCAAATGAAAATTTCATGTTTGCTTCTTTATGTCACTAATTCACAATTCAAAATGTGGAGTGGATGTACTTAATTGATGGAGAGGATCACAGTTTCATATCTAGAGAAATGATTATCTGGCAATTTTAAATTTCATGGAAGATGAATTCTGCCTGAATGTAAAGGATTTCACAAATATGACAAATGTGTCCAGGGACTGGCTTGTCAAAAAAAAAAAAAAAATTAAAAGAGAGACAGAATGGCAGTATCAGCGCCAGCCCATTAGTCTGGTTACATGATCAGTTAAAGATGGAAAAGCAAACTGTGTTTAGAGAAAATAATTTGTGTTTGATAAAATACTTAAGGAAATTGATGGGAATTTAATTTTTTTTTAAATACAGTTATTTTATTTAAAGGGTCAAACTAATTCAATCATCAAATTGACAATTGCCAATGTTAGTCTTCATTTGTTGAACAAATATGACACAGACACCATTTTAGAAAATCCAAGATGATTTATTTATCTGTAAGATGTAGAAGAATGTCAGCATAATCAAATCAGCAACCTTCTTTGAGTAAGAGAAGGTGTAAGTGTCAGGACTCTTGGAGCCTCTGGAGAGGGCACACAGGAGCACAGGATGACATATGAGTCAGTGAATGCCACCTTAGACTTTCTGGAAGCTCAAATGCTACTTTTCAGGTGTAGACTCCTATCCATAAAGATGGGTCAATTCTGGTCACAGCCTTGCCTGAATAATGGCCGAAGACCTCAGTCCTGTGTAGGTGCACTTCATCAGTCTCAGGGTTATGCAATGCTTGATATAATTACTGGGTACTGTAAACAGAAAATCTCAGCCTGAATAAACTTTCTGTCCATCACTTTCAAGCCCTGTGTTAAAATCAGAAGGGTGAGTTATACAGAACTCCCTGAGAGTCATCAAGTTACAGGAATTATTTCAACCATTTGGGCAGTGGAGGGGAAAGCAAGCTGGTAAGCAAATGAGCAGTTTTGATAAAGCAAGCATTTTAAATAACAAGATAAACCAAGGTAAGTCATGGACAAACTGATAATAAACATCTAAACACTAATAAAAGTAAGAATATTGTGCTTTTACACAGTGATTTATGTTTTTCAAAATATCTTTGCATAGAAAATTCCTACATAAAGCATTTAGTTAAATTGCAGTGCATATTGAGCCTAGAGAGATAAATTGATTTGTCCAAGTTGAAAAAATGAATATATTATTAGAACAAATATCAGAAATTGGGTCTTCTAATTCCTAACCTGGTGCAGAATGCACTATGGTACATGGTACTTGACATAGATTCTGAAAAATATTAGGATCACAAATCTCAGAAGAGTCATTAAAATTGCATTGAATGTATTTACTTTATGGTACAAAAACTGGGAATCCGATGGCCTTCATCTGTTAATTAGGACAGAGTTAGTACTGTATCATCCCCAAAATAACATTTGTTATTAAGTGGGTGGCACATTTAGGTTCAAAAAATGTCATTCATCTGAACAGAGTAGGTAGAAAACATATGCTTGGATGAAATTTAAAATTATATCAATTTGGATAGTTTTTAGCAAATATAAGATATCCTAATGAAAATTCTTTCTTGGTCAAACCACTATCTGGAAATTGACTAAAAAGCAAACCTCCCCCAAACAATTGCTAAGCAATTTTTCAAATATCAAAAAAAGATACTATAAAAAATAAGTTATTGTTCCATAGCTCATGATAATTAAGTTTATCTTGGGGCCCGCCCACTTCTCCATAAGCGCCCTTTCCCCTGCCTCCTAAATTGTAAATATTCTCAAGTAGCTCTAAACTAATCCAGTTTGGTATTGTTAACCCTAAAACATAAAATTCTAAAACATTACCTCTCCAGTAGTACTTGCATTTTAATAATTGGAGGCTATATAATAACTAAACAATGAGTTTCTAAATTTGCAATTTGAGACTAAGTGTCATGAAAAATACTTTTGCTTAATAGGTCATATCTTGCATCCCTCAAATTATATAGTCTAACAGCCACCTGCTACACATAAAGCTGTTTCAAATTTGGAAAACAAAGAGAAAGAGTGACCAAAGGGCAGAAATAGAAAAAGAAGATTTTAAGCTATAAAATACATTTGTAAATTTTTCATTTTGATAGATTTTTACATCTTTATTAAAAACTTTTGCAAAAAGAATACTATTTAATCCTCATATAGACCTGGGAAGGGAATACGAAAAGAAAGAAAACAGACATAATGCTAAGCAGGATATGTGGCAGCATCAGGTAAGAATCTACTTGGGAGGCATTCAAGAAGGAGGAATGGCTTGAACTCAGGAGGCAGAGCTTGCAGTGAGCCGAGATTGTGCCACTGCACTCCAGCCTGGGCGACAGAGCGAGACTCCGTCTCAAAAAAAAAAAAAAAAAAAAGAATCATTTTTCCTGTTTGATAGCTGATAATACTGAAACTCAGATTAATATTCAAGAAGTCCCTACTGGAAATTTATTACATATTTTATATTGAGTACTTTTACATATTTCGTCAGGGTAAACCTTCAGAAGAATATTTAATTTAGGTGTTAGTTTCCCTATTTTATAGCAGCAACAATTGAGGCAAAGGGACAAAGGACTTGATTTAAGAACATACCTGGAGTATTCCTTATTCATTTTCAGTAATCCTCTAGACACCTTCAGATACCATTTCATGGACCCAGAATCATGCAGTTTGCAAATGAGTTAATGAGGATTTTCAAATCTCCTGACACTATGACCAGTTCTCTTTCTATTACACTTTGTCAAAACAATGATAAACATCCGAGTGAAAAAGAGAGATTTAATTAGGCTGCTTGTCTGCAAGAGGCCAAATATCTGGACATTTTAAACCAACTGGATGGCTCAATGATTTTTAAATATTTTCCTTAAATATGGAAAGTGAGTTTATGTCTACTATATATAGAACTGTAACAACAGAACATGTATAACCAGAATAAACAGCAAGGAACCATGTTTATGTTGTTCCAGCTGAGTGCTGAAAAAGATCATATGACTAGGATCTAATATGTGATAATTTTAGCCAACATGTTTAATATGTAAATACACAAACTAAAGGTCACATAAACATGTATTAAGCAAAATTAGAATTAGTAAATAATATTATAAGCTCCAACTCCTACATCATTTGTCTACAATGTAATTTCCACGAAGAATAAAAGAGAAGCTCCTTCCTATGGACTGAGCCACAAGCACAAAGATGAATAAACAAGGGAAATAAGCAGAACTTCAATAAGTAATCCTTCTTAGTTCTCTCAAGGATTATTTTCTCATTTTATTTTAATGAGTCCTTAATCAAGATGTATTAATTTTCCCTGAAATGGTCCAAAAACTCAAGATTGAAATTAAAGCAATTTGAGATCAACTGGAGAATATTTTAAGGGTAGGGAATCTTAATAAATATGATTGATGAAATGATAAATGCTGTAGTAATTGAAGTAAAGTAGAATTTGAGACCAAGTTAAACAAAATATGCATTTAGGGCTTTCAAAAAACAAATCCTCCACACATGCTAAAGTGTAATTTTCAACACTTGGGTTTATGAGGCCTAATCACTGGGACTCTAGAAAGCCCTGCGTTTTCCCAAGGGATGCAATAAAACCCTCAAAGTATTCTTAAGGTTAAATTATTGTTAATAGTTACATAGGTTGCAACAATATGAAACCATAAAAAATTGGTGGTAGAATACAAATTCTATTACTTTGGAACAATACTAAATATATAACTGTCAATATAAATTATTATTGATGAAAAATATATTGGAAGTCCAAAAACTCTTGGGTACATCTAGCCAATATCAGGAATGTTATTTTCCATTTCATTTAGTATTTACAAGAAAACTGTATTGACTATTTAAAAATAATTTGTAGAACAATCTGTTTGCAATATATTATAATGTCAGAGGAAGTAGCTCCATTTTCAGGAAACACACTGCCTGAGAGTGCTAAGCTGCTGGGAAATGAAAGCTCTATTGAACATCACAATTAGGAAGAGTAACCTGGCAGAAAACACACCATAGACGTTCTGGGCTGTGACATCTGACAGACTGGTTGAAAATCCTCGGTATATCTCAGGTCCATAACTTCTTATCTAAAATTTTCCCAATAAAAAAGACAATTTTTTTTTCCAAAACACATTTGGTGAAGAAATGAAATCTGAACTGATGTGAGATTATGTATAGTTCTTACGTACCCCATATACTATAAATATTCATTTATTGATGTATTTAAATACAGAGTGTATCCAGACTATACTGGGAGTGTTCTATATTATAAAGTATATAAATCACATTAGCTTTTTGAAAGCTGAACCATTATGATGTGCTAAACATATTGATCTGCAAGATTTTGTAGTAAAGTCCTTTGAAATAAAGTCCTTTCTCAGTGTTTTTGTATTTATGAACACTCTGGCCTTGGACAAGCAGCTCTGTTTGCATTTGGCCCAGTTTCCCCACGTATAATTGGGACAATATGGGATATTGTAATACAGGATGTCAGGGAGTGGGGTAAAGGAGATTATATTAAGTGCATGAGACACACTATGTCCTCATTACATGGTAACAATTACAACTAATTGAGCACTAGACAGTATAGAGGCCAAGAGTCTTATTTTTTCTTCAAAGACAGAACTTGTTTCCTTGATTGATACAAACTATACTCCTTGAACATCTGAGTAGTTCTTGAACTACTTTAGTTGAAGAAGTAGGCAAGAGGTAAATAAACATTTATACTCTTATTACCATAATTAAATAAGAGAGACCAGTGCTAACATCTTTCTCAGAACTTTACAGTTGGGAATCTGAAACAAACCTGCATAGACCTGACAGGGACAGGAGACTAGAGGGGAAGAGGTCCCATTGATTACAGACCTATAGAAAGGGGGTGAGACAAGTATTTTGCCTTAAAAAACAACTATTATGTATCAGTAAAAAAGGAAAATACGTTACCAGTCACAGCTTGCCTACATCCCTGGACCTCTGATTCAAAATGAAGGAGTTTTAAAATGACACCATATTATCCCTTTCTTACCTATCTTTCTTTTTTGTTTATTAAGGCTCATTCAGTCTATAGGTTTCTGTTCAGAAGAAGTTATTATATGTTAAATACTTTATAAATTATTTTCAATTATGCTATGTGGAAATTGCTAACACAATGAGTAAATAAGAACTATACTTATTTAGAAATATTAAGGTGTCAGTATTAGAGAATACACGAAGTATTCCATTCAATAACTGAAGAAACAACTGTGCTCCTCAGAGATATGACAGATTTTTGCCTTGTGGAAAAAGCTTCAATGTCAAATCACAAAATTAGAGGTGACCCTTATAGATTTCTGGAAGTGTACTTACCAGATTTAACCTGCAATATCTCTAGTGTTACATATATTCAATGTTACTAGGTAGAATTTATAATGGAAAATACTGTTATTCTCTACCAGATTCAAAGTTACATAAGTTGGTGGTATAAAAATGATAAAGAGAGGCAGAACCTTTACATAGACTTGCTTCACTCTCCTTCCTATGCTTGGGAAAAATCTACTCTGCCTTACGATTTTATTTAAATAATTCCTAGATTACATTTTCCCCCATCATATGCAGGAATGTTTCTTATGCTAATTCCCATGCAGAGGTTAGAAAACATATAGACAAGAAAACAAACAAAAACAAGAAACTCAGCGTGTCATGTTGGGGTGACATGAATAGTAAAAGATACAGCTAATGAGAAGCATTGGCCACAAGTTATTATACTAAGGACAGTTACCAAGCTCAGGTGTATAGATTTTTCTCATCTGAAATGGGAAATCAACTAAGGATTTAAAGCAAAGCCATATTGAGTTAGAGCAGTAGTAGTGCAAAAGAGAAAGGCAAAGATTAATTTGGAAGACATTAGGAAAACAGAATCAATAGGAGCAAGGGCTGCCTGTATGCACAGAGGAAAGTTAAGACTTGTTCTAGATTCTAAGGTTGAATGCCTGGAAGAATGTTTATCTTCTTAGAAAACAATGTAGAAATGAAGAGTAGGTTTATTTAAAAATATGTTGTTAGGTTTTTTTTTCTTGTTGGATTTTAAATCATTAGAAATGACTAGGCTTCATTCAGTAGACTTTTAAAAAAATCACAAAGAATAATGGTTTTTAAATGACAGTTGATAAATCAGAAATCTCTAGGGACTACGTGACAAAAATACAGAGTCCTATGCCCCAACTTTGGAGATTCTAGTTTAGACATTAGGTGGGGGCCCTGGAAACTGGTATCAAAAACAAAACACAACAAAACAAATTTTCCAATGATTCTGATACTCAACCAGGTGTGGGAAACACAGCTAGAATGCCCCTGCCTTTGGCTAGTTAAGCATATTAAAATTGTAGAGAAATTTTTAATGAATAAGGATGATGAATGGCAAGAAATAAAATAAAAGCAAAGCTGTGAATGTCAGTAAAAGTTCAGGATGAGAGTATAATTTTGAGAGAAAAATAAATAGATTTATCTTGACACAGAGATCTAATTTAATTTTAAATTAATTTTTTATGTTCAATTTGGAAGAAAATATATTTACTTTTTCCTCTTAATTTTTTTTACTCATAAATGCTTGCTCTGTAAATAAACCTACACTTTTAATTTAAGATTGTGCCAAATAGCTGGAGGTAATTTTTCTTCCTTTCTTTTTTCTTTTTTTTTTTTTTTTTGCTGCTCCATAAACATGTTGGATCATGAAATTGCCATTTTAGTACATTTTATTTAATGTTTACTCAGTATAGTTTGTTAGGTGCTGACACTATAGTCATTTCATAGCAGATATAATATGGTTCTTTCATTTCTTGCCCATGCTCCAATTTAAATTGTCCTCATCCCCACCTTAGTAAGCTAACCAATCCTCCTGTTTGTGTTTATTCTAATTTTTTTCAGGCCTTGTGTTTTATGTATCTTTGCCATAAAAAGCTTTATAATTAATAACTTTACAATTAAAAAATGATATAAAATGGAATAAAACAACTTTTTAATTTCTTGGAACATAGATAAAATGTTAGAGAAAAGAAGGCAATTAGAAAAGTCATTAAGAACAAATTATATTCATTAAATCCCCTGGCATTATTCCAAATGGAAATTCTTTTGATAAGAGAAATCAATGTGATTATTATCCAAGAATGAAGAATATTGGGATTTATCCAAGGGTAGTATTAAGTATCACAATGAGTTTGTGTATAAAGAGCTTTAAGATGAAGAAATATTTTTTATGCCCACTAGCTGCATCCATTTAGATATCCAAATTTACCAATGTCTTTTGTTCTGTAAATTAACTAAGATCCTACCAGGCACCAACGTCATGGGCTGATGCATAAGAGTCTATGGGACAGGGAGCTTGGAAAGGCTCTCAGTTTTCAGTAGAAACTCTGACAGGATCATGACAGAAGCAGTTAAATGCATGAAAGTAGAAAATGACCCATACTCACCTCAGAGCTATTTCAAGCTTCCCAAGTATACATCCAAAATTACATCTATTGATCTTTATTTTCAGGGATTGAAGACACTGGTATTCAGGAACTCTTTAAAATGTCTACATTAACTGTAAACAACATCTGGACAGAAATTTTTTTCTGCATAGAGTTCTTAAAATGGACCACAAGGTCTTTTCACCTCTGACAATATGGGCAAGCAGACAGACACTGTATTACATGGTTGCCACTGGTCATTAGTTTTCCCAGTCAGGATGACCAAGATGACTGAGTCCAGTCTGAAGGCCAGGTCACAGTCAGGTCTAAATTTAGCATTCTCCATGGCTTTCCTATTAACCTCAGATCTGTAAGTTAACCCACAGCAGAGTGCCCAACTGAGCGTATAAGGCAAAGCCATGGCCATTCCCAGACTCAAAGTGAAGGCTTGGAGTCTATTATTTTTTGGCTGAGGGAGGGTCAAGAGTATCCCAAATTGAATCAGGAGAACAGAATAGTATGAGTTCACTAGTTAGACTACAGAATCAGATCTGATACCTGGCGGAGAAGAAAAGGCAAAGGTTCCTGCTGAGGGGAGAGTTTTTATGGTGAGGTGACAGAAAACTGCAGAAGAATGAGTGAGGGGAACATTCTCTTCAATTCTGTGAGGAGTTCGCCCCAGTTATCAGTGAGCTCTCCAAGAACGAGCCTTCTCACAGGAGTTGCATCAGTGGCAGTGGTAAAGGGCAGGGAAATTTTCCAAAAGTGTGAAGACAGCAGACCTGTAAAAGCCACCATAATGGAACAACATGAAGCAAGATTGTGTGTGATCACTTGTAGATCACCCCCAAGGATCTCTAGACAACCAGATAGTTTCGATGGGGTAAAGTGGTCTTACATAGCAAGACTGTTTGGGCATAAAAAATTACTGACATATTTCATTACTACCTACAGCAAATGAGGCCCAGGATCATTCAGATTACAGAATTTTACATATTTCATCTGATAGAATAATAATAATAAAAAATTTTCATGATAATTTTTTAAATACACATTTTGTTTTGAAATATTTTTGGTTTACAGAGATCGTGAAAGGCAGTACAGAGTTCCCACATGCTTGTCACGCAGTTTTCCCTACTGTTTATTTCTTACATAACCGTTATGTTTCTTGAAGAGAATAACAGGGTACATTAATATTAACTACACACTTTATCCAGATTTCATCAATTTTCCACCAACGTCCTTTTATTGTACGAGGAGCCAATCCACAGTAGCATAGTATTTAGCATGATTTTTTAAATTATAAAGTAATTCATTCAATAAACACATATTCTATATCTAAATAGTGTGAAAGACATAATCTATATCTTCAAAGATATTGCAGTTTAATAGGAAAAAAAGGCAACTGAAGTATATTATGATAAATGCTATAAAAGGAGCAGGCACAATGGACCATGGAAGCACACAGATAAAGCTAAGATAGTTGGTGGAGGTGACAGAAGGAGATAAGAGTTAGAAGGCAGTTGACTGAAGGTGGAAGAAACTGCTGTAGGTAGAGGAAACATATTTAGGCAAATAAATCTCTTTTTAAAATTATCAAACTCTGTATATTTACAGTTTTGTAAACCTGCTTTTTAATTTTTTTCATGAAACATCTTTTCCATTCTCTTCTAATTATGAACAATCATGAAATGTGGCATTGTTGGTTCTTGGTAAACTTATAGGCTTTAACATTTTCTAGCATAATTTATCTTATCCATTCTTAGTGTTAATGCAACCCTGTAGTACTGACTCTCAACTTCCTACTTGAATATATGTTTGTCTGTTCTTTTAATGTTAATATTTTATTAGAGCCATTTGGAATTGTGATTGTAAACTCAAGGAGGCAGTAACCTATTAATGTGTATGTCTCCAAGTGACTTAATCCCATATACTGATGGTTCTTTAATAAATGCTAAGTAACTATTTCCCCTTTGTTAGATTTGGAAAACAGGTGATTATTATGTGTGTGTATGTTTAAGGTTTATTTGCCTGGCGGGGGGGGTGGGTGGCAGGTGGGTGGAGAGAGAGAGAAAAAAGTTGTTTCTTCTTTTTCTTTTGAAGAAGTACTGGGCTGAAAATAATAAAATGGAAGATAGAATCTGATTTCCTGGAACTGTAATTGAATGTTGAATAGAACCATGAAATTTTTAGTTCAGTAAGGTGGAAGACTAACAATACCTTAATTTCTTCTAACTTCCTACTAAAATATCAGTGAAGATACACAGGTAATGTTTGTGAAGCTATAAGTTAAATTAGACCTAGAATGATGTAGGTGAACAAAAATACAGACATATAAACTTAGGCATACACTTCATGTCTTCAAATGTAGCCTCAAAATAACAAATCATTTACATGTATTTATTGAAGACTGCTAAGTAAACAGAGACCATAACATTTTTCATTTCTCTTTTCCTTTGCCTTCATATACCACAACTGTTCTAACTACTTTAAGAAATTAATTTTCTTAACCTAAAGAATTTCATTCAACAACTGTAAAGCATCCAATATTTTAACCTACTTGCAAGCTAAGATGTTAGCTTTCACAGTTTCGTGGATGCTGGCAGAGGATGTGAAACTTCCTCTGGATCAAAGATGAAGAATATTTTATTACTCACAGAAGTAACAATAGCCAGAGCATCAACATATTGTGCCAGTTTCCTGAGTTCCGATTCCAGAGAATTGATATGAAAAATGTGAGATTAAAGAAAGAAAACTGGATTATGTCATAAAAGAGGGACAGTTAACCTAGGGAACTAAAATATTTTATATGCAGATCTATTCTTGCTCTGGTTACAGACATTTATCTTTATTGTACTGGACACTAAGCAAACCTTCCTTTTGCTCCAGAGAGAGACAGAGAGAGAGACTATCTTTATCTACCAAGGCTAACCACTATCTAAGTATTATTTCAAAGGTAATCTGAAGCAAAAAAAAAAAAAATACAGTCAGTGACTAATTCACAAGTTCAAAACATGAGACACATGGGGAATGGTCTTCCTAATACATTAATCTTTGCTCTGTATGCCTCTTACTTTTCTCCCCTTCCTTTTTCCTATTAAATTTCAGGCACAGAAGCTCAGTCAGTACTCTATCTGGCAAGCCCAGGTTCTCTATGAAGAGCTCTGAAGATGAAAAAGTGTGAAATGTTCAAAGATATTTCCTTTTGTGAATGCGTATGTGTATGTATTCTGAAATACAAATTATATGTATATTTATGTCTTGGAACTCAACAATCGTAGAAAATTTGTGTCTGAAAAGCATCAAATCTATTAAAAAAGGATAAAATAATTGTGGGTTTTAAATAAATATAAACATCCTTAACTAAAAGTGTAACATAATTGTTTTTATTTAGAACCTCAGTTACATTTTCTCAGTAATTCGAGAGTTATATTTCATACTTTTCTTTTAAGCTTTTTAAGGTGGAAAATTTTAATCATATAGAAAATTACAGTCAGTGATACAATGAACCCACACCCAGCTTGAACAACTATCAATAGGGCCAAACGTGCTTCAGCTATATTCCAAGCTACTTCTTACACCCCAGATTACTTGTAAGAAACTTCAGATATCCTAATTATTTCTTCTCTATATATTTAAACTTGAGAATCACATGTCTATCTTGATCAATCTCTTTTATGAATTGATACACACTCTCATGTCTCTAGCAAGGAATTCAGTACTTAGAAATTTTTATTTCAAAAATAAGGCTTTTGGCGTGTTATTTCTTCATTTGATACTCTCTCTTATAGTTTTTCATTCTAAAATCTTAATTTTTTATTTCCTAATATAGATCTCAGGAAGACAGTAAAGCACACAAAAATATGTAAGAATGGCATTGATATTAACATCTAGTGCAATGAACATACCTTAGAAGAAAATGTAGAACTATCTATTTATGATATAAACACTGTATTTTCCCTACTGATGAAAGTATATTTTAGCAAAAATAAGGTCACATGGAGAATATATGAAAACCGACAAAATTAAAATGACATAATGAGAGTTATGAGTATAGAGTAATAAGGATATTTTGGCCTTGATTTGAGAATGGTTCTGTAGAAAAAAGCCATTTAGGAAATGATGTACAGTGGGTGCTGGGAGAAATAGTCTTTCATAGTCTCTCCCATGAACAAAGGAAAAATAGATTTTATCTATGATACTGTAATGAAAACAGAGAATTTGACATGCAAAGGAGGAAATTCTCAGGAGGACAGAACTAAATAAACATCTGAGAAGTTCAAGGAATTAGGCTATGTACCAAACACGTCTATTCTTGGTGAAAGTAATCTGTCAGGATCCAGGTGTGTAGTTGCGGGAGTGAAGTGAAAATGGAACTAAAAAATGTATTTGCAAATGCCCACCAGAACACATGGCTTCATTTTTAATAATTAAAAAATACTCAGGTCTTTTTAAACTATCACACACACACATAAGCCAATAATTATTCTATTTTGGGGAGGGGTGCTATTTCTATAGAATACAATAGAATATGTTAGGAATCTGTTGATGCCATCAGATGTATGCAGTTAAGTATGATCCTTAGGAGCCATATTGAATGAATTCACTGGCGAAAATACAAAACAAAAGAGAGAAATGCATGAAATGAAAGGAAATAAAACCATCAATGAAATAACTTACATTTCTCTCACCTGAAAGAAGATCAGATGTTGCAAAACTCAACTCCAATGATTGGTGGTACACAACTGGGTAGCTTATCTAGAAGGCAGTGGAACAGATGAAAGGAATGAAAACTGAGAGAGAACAAAAATGGGGACAGTTCTGGTGGACATGTAATGGTGTCTCAGACTACAAAATGTGTGTGTTTCCAAAGGAAAAATAAGAGAAAATGGAGTGTAAACAATTATCATTTATACAATTTAAAAAGGGGGGAAGCGCTCTCTTAAACTGAAATAATTCAAGTTTACAAGATAAAAGATTTTTATATATAAAAGCAAAACAAACAACAAAAATAGCTGGGCATAGAGGTGCATGACTACAATCCCAGCTACTTGGGAGGCTGAGGCTGGAAGATCCCTTGAGCCCAGGAGCTGGAGACCAGCATGGGGGAAAAAAAAAAAAAAAAGTAACCTGTTAAAATACGGCCTTGCATAGAGACATCAAAATCAATAGCAACAAAGCAAAAAATGGCAAATGGGATCTAATTAAACTTAAGAGCTTCTGCATAGCAAAAGAAACTATCAACAGAGTAAACAGACAAACTACAGACTGGGCAAAATTTTTCGCAAACTATTCATCTGACAAAGGTCTAATATCCAGCTTCTATAAGGAACTTAAATTTACAAGAAAAAAAACCTCATTAAAAAGTGGGCAAAGGACATGAACAGACACTTTTTCAAAAGACATACATGCAGCCAACATCACTGATGATTATAGAAATGCAAATCAAAAATACAATGAGATACCATTTCACACCAGTCAGAATGGCTACTATTAAAAAGTCAAAATATAACAAATGCTGATGAGGTTGCAGAGAAAGGGAATATTTATACACTGTTGGTGGGAGTGTAAATTAGTTCAACCATTGTGGAAAGCAGTATAGCAATTCCTCAAAGAGCTAAAAGCAGAACTACCATTTGACCCAACAATCTCATTACTGGTGATATAGATATACCCAGCGGAATGTAAATCATTCTACCGTAAAGACACATGCATGTGAATGTTCATTGCAGCACTATTCGCAATAGCACAGACATGGAATCAACCCAAATGCCTGTCAATGATAGACTGGGAAAAAAAATGTGGTCCATATACACCAGGGAATACCATGCAGTCATAAAAAGGAATGAGATAATGTCCTTTGCACAGACATGGATGGAGATGGAAGCCGTTATCCTTAGCAAACTAATGCAGGGACAGAAATCTGTATATCACATTCTCACTTATAAGTGGGAGCTAAATGATGAGAACTCATGAACACACAGAATGGACACTGGGGTCTACTTGAGGCTGGAGGGTGTGTGGAGGGAGAAGAGCAGAAAAGATAACTGTTGGGTACTGGGCTTAACACCTGTGATGAAATCATCTGTACACCAAACCCCCATGACACAAGTTCACCTATGTAACAAGCCTTTACATGTTCTCTGAAACTAAAACAAAAGTTTAAAAAAAAATAAAAACTCAAAATTTGGAAAAATATGTTCTGATAAAAAAAACAGAAAAATCAAATTAATGTAGGGAGAACTAAAATACTTTGCCCTACAATTATTTCCTATACGTTTTCAGAATTGCTTGATTGTTTTTACACTTTTTTCTTTAAAATATTATCAACATAAGTCATATAAACATATATTAAAAATTTACAGGGCCAGACGCGGTTGCTCACGCCTGTAATCCCAGTACTTTGGGAGGCCAAGGCAGGTGGATCACCTGAGGTCAGGAGTTCGAGACCAGCCTGGACAACATGGTGAAACCCCGTCTCTACTAAAGGTACAAAAATTAGCCGGGCCTGGTGGTGGGCGCCTGTAATCCCAGCTACTCGGGAGGCTGAGGTAGGAGAATTGCTTGAACCCGGGAGGCAGAGTTTGCAGTGAGCCAAGATTACACCATTGCACTCCAGCCTGGGGGACAAGAGCGAGACTTTGTCTCAGGAAAAAAAAAATTACAGTATGCATTAAGGGATAAAATGAAAGCTAATTTCCTGCATGACTACCTGGTCCCCTTATCCCTGACCTGAATGTAACCAATAACCAATAGATAGTTGTGTATCCCTCATTAAAAATTGTACATACCTCTGTATAAGATGATTAGATAGATCGAATTCATACTTTAATAAATGGTAACGTAGCATTTGCTATGCACCAAGCACTGTTCTAAACAGTTTAAAATGATCTCAGAAGCTATTATTTTCTATGGAATATTTAACGTCTTTTAAAAGTAAATTTACAAATGTATGTTATTAATTTGCTTCATATATTAGTCTATGTAGATTCATGTCATTCTTTTAACAGTTGTATAGTATTTCAGGTTCTTAGACTTTTTTCATCAATATTGTAACATAAAGTGCTATTTCTACCCAGCTTATTATCACACATGTAAAATCAAAAGAAAATCTTCTTAAATATGCAACTCAAAAACCCATAAATCACATAAATTCTTAATGAAATTACTAGTCTCCAGCCAAAAATAAGCATCTCAAAATCAAAAATGCAAGAATGCAATATGAAGGCAGCCATATGAACAAGAATAAAAATAGATATTGGGACAAAATACATTAATGGGACAAATTATTATATAAAATGATTACAAATAACTTAATGTTAAAAATTGGTTAAATTAACAAAGACCCCAAATGGACATAGGAATAAATATTCTGAAAAATTATTTATTTCGCAGAGAGGAAGAAATATCTGCTGTTTTAATTTCTGTAACTAATAGTGAAATATAACAATACTATGCTGTTTTGGTGACTATGGCCTTCTAGTCAGGTAATGTGATGCCTCTAGATTTGTTCGTTTTGCTTAGTCTTGCTTTGGCTATGTGAGCTCTTTTTTGATTCCCTATGAATTTCAGGATTGCCTTTTCTAGTTCTGTAAAGAATTATGGTGGTATTTTGATGGGAATTGCATTGAATTTGTAGATTGCTTATGGCAGTATGCTCATTTTCACAATATTGATTCTACCCATCCATGAGCATGGGATGTGTTTCCATTTTTTTGTGTCATCTATGATTTCTTTCAGCAGTGTTTTGTAATTTTCCTTGTAGAGGTCTTTCACCTCCTTGGTTAGATATATCCCTAAGTATTTTATTTTATTTTATTTTTTACAGCTATTGTAAAAGGCGTTCAGTTCTTGATTTGATTCTCAGCTTGATCGCTGTTGGTGGATAGCAGAGCTACTGATTTTTGTACATTAATTTTGTATCCTGAAACTTTGCTGAATTATTTATGAGTTCTAGGAGCTTTCTGGAGGAGTCTTTACAGTTTTCAAAGTAAACAATCATATAATCAGCAAGCAGAGACAGTTTGACTTCCTCTTTACAGATTTGGATGCCCTTTATTTCTTTCTCTTGTCTGATTGCTCTCTAGGACTTCCAGTACTATGTTGAAGAGAAGTGGTGGGAGTGGGCATCCTTGTTTTCTTCCAGTTCTCAGAGCGAATGCTTTCCTCATTCAGTACTATGTTGGCTGTGGGTTTGTCATAGATGGATTTTATTACACTGAGGTATGTCTCTTGTATGCCGATTTTGCTGAGGGTTTTAATCATAAAGGTATGCCATATTTTCTCAAATGCTTTTTCTGAGTCTATTGAGATGATCATGACCAATAATTCAAAAGCAAATGCAACAAAAACAATGATAAATTTGTGGGACTTAATTAAACTGAAAAGCTGCACAGCAAAAGAAACAATCAGCAGAGTAAACAGACAGCCCACAGAGTGGGAGAAAATCTTCACAATCTATACATGTGACAAAGAACTAAAACCAAGAATCTACAAGGAACTCAAACAAATTAGCAAGAAAAAAACAATCCCATCAAAAAGTGGGATAAGGACATGAATGGATAATTCTGAAAAGAAGATATACAAATGGCCAACAAACATATGAAAAAATGCTCAACATCACTAATGATCAGGGAAATGCAAATCCAAACTAGAATGTAATACCACCTTACTCCTGCAAGAATGGCAATAATCAAGAAATAATAGATGTAGGTGGGGATGTGGTAAAAAGGGAACACTTTTACACTGCTGGTAGGAATGTAAACTAGTACAACCACTATAGAAAAGAGTGTGGATATTTCCTTAAACAACGAAAAGTAGAACTATGATTTGATCCAGCAATCCAACTACTGGGTATCTACCCAGAGGAAAAAAAGTTATTATATGAAAAGCACATGCATGTTTATAGCAACACAATTTGCAATTACAAAAATATAGAATGAGCCCAAATGTCCATCAGTCTATGAGTGGATAAAGAAATTGTGGTGTGTGTATGTGTGTGTGTGTATATATATATATATACACACACACACATACACACACACACACACACACACACACATATAAACCATGCAATGCTATTCAGCCACAAAAAGGAATGAAATAATAGCATTCACGGCAAGCTGGATACAACTGGAGACCATTATTCTAAGTGAAGTAACTTAGGAATGGAAAACCAATCATTGTATATTCTCACACGTAAGTGGGAGCTAAGCTATGAGGATTCAGAGGCATAAGAATGATACAATAGACTATGGGGGACTCTAGGGGAAAGGGTGTTGAAGGGGGTGAGGGATAAAAGACTACAAATTGAATTCAGTGTATACTGCTTAGGTGATGAGTGCACCAAAATCTCACAAATCACCACTGAAGAACTTACTCATGTAACCAAACAATACCCATTACCCCAAAACCAATGGAAATAAAAAAGATAAAGAAATACAGTTTTAAGAATTCAGTTGAAATACTTGAAGTTAAAAATGAAGGAATTTTTTAAAAATAAATAAAATACATAACACTAAACCAGAAACACATGTTAAACAGAAAGCAAATGCAGAAGACGGATGTTTAAAAGAAGATGACAATACTAATGTTAAAATATTTTTAAAGGTATAGAAGCTATAATATGAAAGAGTTAATTTCTGTATTAAACTTTTGATCTTCCGAATTAAGCAGAAAAAGCTCATAATTATCATAAGACATGTACAGATACAAAATGATGCAAAAAATATAAAAATTAAAGTATGTACAAATCTACATCAGCCTAGTACAAGTAAAAAGGAAGCGAGAGTAACAATATTAATATCATTACAAAGTAGAATTTAAAATAAAAGTAAATATAAAAAACTTTTCTTAAATATATAATTCAAAGTGAAAATGAAATAATCATAAAATCGTATGACCTGAAAAACACAGTCAAAATGTATATTTAAAAACTATTCAAGCATAGTGACTAGAGTAACTAATAACATATTATATACTTAAAAAATTGCTTAGAGTGTAAATCTTAAATATTCTCACCACAGACACAGGAAGGAAAACCATGTGAGGTGATGGATATTTTAACTAGCTTGATTGTGGTAATCATTTCACAACATATACATATATCAAAATATTACATTGCATGTCATATATATATACATATATACAATTTTTATTTATCAATTATACCTCAATGAAACTGGAGAAAATAAAATAACTAGATAAAATTTTCAAATGTATGCAATGCCAAAAAGTTCACAAACTTAAAAGACAAAAGACTAGAATAATATTTATAATGTATGACAAGACTTCAATCCTCTAATAATAAAGGGCTTCTGTGCATCAATAATAAAATCACTATTTAATTTTTTTGATGATCAAGAACATGACCAAAACATATAAAAAGGGTTGTATTTTCTGTAGTAATTAAAAGAAACACAAATTCAAACAACAATGCAATTCATTTATTGTCTGTCACAAAAAGGTTAAAAAATGATAAAAGCCCAGTTTTTAGCAATAATACAGTGAAATAGACACGTTAATTAATTACCAATGAGTGTTTAAGTTGTTAGAACTTCTCTGAAAGGCAATTTAGGAATATGTATAAAGAGATAATGTTTGTGATTTTAATGAGTAATTCTGCATCTGGAAATTTCCCTTTAAAAATAATCATTCACATGCTCAAGAATATATGTGCATGAATATTCATCGAAGAGTTATTTATAAGAGCAAAAAAACAAGAAAATAAACTAAACATTGAGGATGTAAAAATATATTATATCTATACAATGAAATTTTATATTACCATTAATCCACATATGAATAGACACATTTATTGGTAAGAAAATATTTTATCATAATTTGTTAGGGGAAAAAGCAGGTTATAAAATAGCATGAATGAACTAATTGTTGTGACTACATAAGTATATCTGTGTTTCTAAACCAAAAATAATTGAAAAACATATGCAAAATATTATGCTTAATGAAGAGAAAGACAATCTGATGAAATATTTAATAGAGCACACATTTTCTGAATGAAATGCAGTAAAACTAAGATGTACAATAAACAGCTGACTTAGGCTGAGTGCTTATTGCTGTGTGTGTTCAGGAGCTGTTCTTGGCATACTTTACAAAACAGACAAATTTACCTTGATTATGATGGCAGTGGCCAGCCGTCCAGAGCTGCCACCGCCATCACACTGGCTGCAGTGGGGAGATGCGAGTGGTGGTGCCAAGAGCAGCTGTGGGAGTGGCGGAGTGGCTGTGGCGGCTGTGGGACCCCTGTGCCCCGCATCCCGTGTGCCCTGCGTCCTTGAGGTGGCTGACTGCACTGCTCCCATCCCTGCATGGCTGGGTGGAACCAGGTCCCAGGCCCAGACCCTCCATCACTCTGAACCCTGGCCACATGTTGCCTCTGTCACCCGCTGCCGCTGCAGGGAGGGTGCGGAGAGGAGGCAGACAGACCCGGAGCTACCCACTGTGGGTCTCCTCTGAGCTGTTGTAGCACTCGATAAAGTTCCTCTTCATCTTGCTCACCTGCAGTTGTGTGCATACCTCATTCCTCCTGGTCACAGAACAAAAACTTGGGACCTGCTGAATGGCAAGGATAAAAGAGCTGCAATACAAACAGAGCTGAAACATGCCCCTTGCTTGCCACATTGTGGGCCAAAAGCAAAAAAAGGCTGTGGCCCTTTGGGGAGCCAGGACCTGGGAGCCCCCTGAGCCAAGGTTGTGACTTCCTCTTTGGAACCCTGAAGTTCCTGGTATCTCCAGCTTCCAGGCGCCACTGCATTCCCTGGTGCCGACTGGGGAAGCTGCTTGAGGTGCACCTGGTCCAGCTGCAGCCTTGCAGAGAGTCGGCACCCATGCTGGCACCTGGAGCTGCCCGCCCCACGGCAGCAGCCGTTCTGTCTGACTGCACGGTGGCCAGACCCCATGCTTGCTTACATACCCCTTGTCACTCCACGCCTGACTCGCAGTCTCCCTTGCAGGCATGAGATCAAGGCTGTTAGTGTGAGCCGAGTGCAGCCTACCAGGCTGAATGAGTAGAATCAGCCCAGCAGAGAGGAGCTCTTAGAAAACTTGGGCAAAGGCATCACTGGCCACAGAGGATTCCATAACATTTAGGTGCTAGCAGACTCGTAGGGTAAGACAGACAATGAACAAAATAAGAAAAATACATAGTTTGTTAGATGGAGATTAGAACTACAAAGAAAAATGAAACAGGAAAGAGGAGCAGGGAGATACAGTTCTAAATAGAAAGATCAAAGAAGTTTTCACTGAGAAGATATTTGAAAACAAATATACCTGAAGGAGGTGGACGGTCATTTTAGGCAGCAAGAACGATAAATACATCGTGTTTGGGAAAAATGCAAATTACCAAAAGTAATTCACGCATAGTAAGAAAAATGGAATAAAACACTGATTATGGTAAAAACTGAGAGATCTCAAGAAATCAAGATTTTAAAAGATCTATGTTCAGACAACTAATAGTTAAAAGAAAGCACCAGCGTCATATAATTTTTAGATTTATTGTTAACTCCCAAGGAGCACTCTATACATGAAAAGTATATTTGTTGTTACAATATAAGTATTATAATAAAGGAAGGAGGAGTTATATCTCAGAAATAGTCCACACTGGCTTCCAGAAAAAAAAGCAATATTTTAGCCAAGACATAAAGTGTGGATAGAAGTTTCCAAAGCAGATAAGGTAGTAATGTCCATTCAGACAGAGGGTGTTGAAATGCATGAAGACATGGTGATATGAGAAAGCATGTATGTGTCTAATGTCACATGGCAGACGTTAAATATGGTGGATATCAGGTGAATGTTATTCTACATAACAAAATCTACTCAAGAATGGTAAAGGGGAGTTTTAAGCGAAGAATCATTTTCATGCCAACTATCAGTTTATAGTTTAGGAAGATCTACTGATGTTTGATTGATGAGGAGAGAAAATAAGGAAAAACTGTGAAAGAGGCTGCATAAGAGGCTATATAAGTGACTTTGGTGAGAGATGATAATATGACCTGAAGTAGCAACAAAATGGAAATCTTAGAAAAGGGAACTCTTATACGCTATTGATGAAAATGTAAATTAGTACAGCCATTACAGAAAATAGTATGGAGTTTTCTCAAAAAGCTAAAATTAGAACTATCATGTGATTCAGCAATCCTGCTACTGGGTATTTATCCGAAAGAAAGGAAATCAGTATATCAAACAGATAACTGCACCCCCATATTTATCATGGCACTATTCACAACAGCTAAGATATGGAATCAACATAAGTGTCCATGAACAGATGAATGGAAAAAGAAATATGTAAAAACAGAATAAGCATTCTCAGGTGTGCTTTGGGTTATTAGATATTACTCGTGGTTTATCTTTTCACCCACACTTATCATTTAATGGTCAATCTTTTCAAGAAGGACCAAAGCACTGTCTTCGAGTAATTGATCATGTTGTTCACATTCCCTTCAATCCTGAGCAAACTTGGCCCAGGATGTCCTTACACACTCGTTGGGAGAACATGTTTAAGATGTGTGGAAGCATTCTTCTCCAAATAGGGATATTGTGCAAGAAATGCAAGACTCTAACAAAGGGTAGAAATAGATAATCTCTAATGTCCCTTCCAAGTCTCTGATTATATGATAAGCTATCTGTCCTGTAAAACAATAAAAATTTTACTCTTGGGCATGGTTGAAAATATATCGACATATATCACTGTCATGATTTTACAGGAAATAGCAACTGCACAAGCTGTGACCAACTCAACATGCCAAGGGATTTAATATAATATATGACCAGACTCATCGGACTAGACTACTTTATTGCATTCCCCAATATCAGCGGGCTGGTTGTCAAGAGCTGAGGGTATGTTAAAGCTACTTTAAGCAGAAAGCAGTAAAATAGCAGAAATATGTTAAATATCTTTGTTGAAATGCCCTTTTCCCCTATTTTCCTCCTTTCTGCCCTCTAACATATGCCTGCACTCCCCAATGCTTCCTACCATTACAAGCCTATTTATTTGACCTTAATTTTTTAATACTTGCTAACACCTCTTTTAACTTTACTTTGTTGTAGAAACTTTTACTCCTACAATGCAAGGGTATTTTTTATTTCTTTTAATATAATTTTTGTATTTATCAATGACATTCATCCATGGTTTTAGGAAGTCAAAAGCAATACATGTATTTTACAATAAAATGTAGCAGTTCCTTCTCTTTCTGTTCCCAAGATGATCTACATTCCCCAAGTGTAACCACTTTCAGCTCCTTTGGCTGTTTCTTCTGGCATCTACTTTTATGTTTCTAAATAACATGTTTTTTGAGTTGTTTCTCATCGTTTCCATTTTAGGTATTATCTATTGACTTCCTACTATGGAATATGATGACTTTGCCATTTTTCCCTTCCTCTTCTCCATATACAAATGTCTATAGTTTATCCTTCAATATACTTATATCTGTGTTTATAATATCAGTGCTAGTATTTACTGCTGCCTTTTAAAATAATATTCTGCTTGCGTTGGAGGTACAAATTTTTTCATTATTGCATGTAATTATTTTTTCATATTAATCCCCAAACTCTCAGACATAGGCGTAAATCTTGTCTCAATAAACAGTAAAGCACATCAAGTGCCTCTAAGATTGAGTTCCAAACAGCTCTGTTTTCAGTCCTCTGCACCCTCCCTTTTAAAAATCACTGGTGCTTCTGATTCTTATGTTTTCTGGCATTTAGCAGTGTGAACCAGCTTGCTTTTAAGTCTCCCCTGCTTCCTACCCCATCTTCCACTTACCCAAACTGACTGGCTTTGTTTCTAGCTTCCAAAGTTTTGTTGTTGTCATCTCTCATTTCCTTTTTCCAAGCCCTTCTTGATTTAAGCTTTTTAAAATTCTATTTAAGTGAAAATCTTAAGATTTATGCTTTTTGAGTTTTTCTTTAATTGCAAATTTTCTACCCAGTACAGGGTATGCTTGGTTCATGCAATAATTGGCCATTTTCTCTGACAAGACCATGATTTGGCATCTTTCAATAACCCCCATTTTCTTACAGCAAAATTTCATTTGTTGTTTCTTGATTTTTCATGAGCATAGGCTAGTAGAGTAGGCAAAAACAAAAACCAATTTGTTTTAATGCCCATAATAATTAAAAATTCTGTTTTCAAAAAGATGGATGAAATTCAGCGTCATAAAGTATAGTAATAGCAGGTAACATCACTGAGCACTCTATTTCATGTACTGCTTTATGTGTATTTATTAATTCACTTGATCTTCATAGGAACCCTAAGACCTTAATGTTTTCATTCGCTTGTTTTTTCTGTGTACATAAAAAAAATGATTGTTTAGTATCATTAATAATAGAACTCTAACATAGTATTCACATTTTTCCATTTAATTTCCAACATTCACAATTTTCCTTCCTCTGAGAAGCTGGGGACCTGATTTTTCCTCTACCCTGAACCATTAAATATAGCACCCTAACACTCTGACATTATCCAATCATTGAAAGATTTGGTGCTTAATTTTATTTGCTCACTAGTCTCAAGAGATGAATATGTTAAAATGTCTGATTATCCAATAAATAGATGGTTTATTTAAAATACATTAGTATTAACAAAAATGCACAAACTGTAGATATTGAATATCTTGAATGAGAAACAGTATATTATCTATGCTATTTTAGTTGTTATTATTCTTCTATGTGCTAGTGACAGTAGAGTAAGGTGGTTCAAGTCCCAGCACTACAATTTTTTAGCTTTATAATCTGGAGCAATTTATGTAGGCTCTCTCTTTCAGTTTGCTCATCTGTAATAGAGGGTTAGTAACTCCTATATCATAGTGTTGTTGTAGGGATACAAGAAGCTAATCTCACATGGGTAGCATTTGGAACAGTATTTTCCATACATAGAAAGTGTTAATCATTATGCAACCTATTGACAAGCCTCATATTAACTCTGAAAGGAAGGTATTATGTTGCATTTCTTGCAGATAAAGACACTGGGCCTCAAGGAGAGTATGCACCCTGCCCCAACTCCATAGTTCCTACAGTAATAGTCTTTGGAATACTTCAAAAGTGTCAGATGAATTGAATAAAGACATCAGTTGCAAGAGAAAAATATTTTCTCGTAATGATCCAAGACAAGGAAGGAGTATGAAAATTATGGGCTTTAATGTTTAGCAGCCCCCTAGCCTTTTATATTTTCAGCAGATATTCTGAAAAACATATAGCTCTAGAGAGTAAGAATGATTGATATAAAAATTTTATTATTCAATTTATTTTGCAGCACTGTTCACAATATCCAAGACGTGGAAACAACCTAAATATCTATAAACAGATGAATGCATAAAGCAAATGTGATGTATACATACAATGAAATATTATTCAGACTTAGAAAGAAATTCTGCCATACGGGGCAACATAGATGAGCCTTGAGGACCTCATGCTAAGTGAAATAAGCCAGTCACAAAATGACAAATACTGCATGATTTCACTTAAATTAGGTATCTAAAATAGTCAAATTCATAGAATCAAAGAATGGAATGGTGATTGACAGGGCCTAGTGAAGGGGGAAATGAGAAGTTACTAACCAAAGGGGATAAAGTTTAAGTTAAACAAGATGAATAAAACCTAGCGATCTGCAATACAACATTGTCAGCAGTATGGTCAACAATACTGTCGAATATTGTTGTATTTGGTTGTACACCAAAATATTTGTCAACAGCATAGTCCTCATGTTAGGCATTCTTACCAGAATAAAATAATTTTCAAATATAAATGCTGAAGGGTGTTTTCTGAAATTGAAATACCATTTTTTAGTGATAGCAAGACATTCTTAAACATATATTATGTGACTACAGGTCATGTGTGATCTAGCTTCTCTGGTCTCTCGTAGCCTCATATTTTGACAGTCATTCTTGCACATGTATTCTAGGCACCTAGAACTTTGCATGTTGTGCTAGCTTCTACAGAGCTTTAACACATCCTGCTCCCTAAACTAGAATATCTCCCCTCCTATTCTTAATCTAGCAAATATCTAAAGATCTTACAGAGCCTTCAGGTCTGAATTTTTTTTTTCTAATTTCCTTTGGAAGTGTGAACTGTTAGACTTAGTTAAGCCCCCATCATAAACTCCCATGTTACCTATATATCTGCTTTATAATACTCTGCCGGTTTGTTACTGTTTATTTGCTTATGTATAGGAATTTGCCTTTTTCTGCCAATCCTAATTTCCAAGACTACAGCAAATATCTCTCTCTCCTTTCCCCTATATAATTCTACTTTCAACTCTAATGCTTAATATTGTACATTTCCCCTAAGTAGATAGCAAAAAATGTTTGTTAACTAATGACAAATTACTTTGTAAAATTTGCTCCTTCCAGTGCCTAGCCATTTTCTAAACATGGAAGACCTCTTTTTTCTTTTTTTAAAAAAAAAGAAAATAGGCATGGTGAAGTGAGAGTAATTCAGCAAAAGAAAATTATCTACCTCCACCTGCTCTCCAATATATTTTAATAATAAGTCTCCTGGAAAATTTGCCTGTTATAAATCTAGATTTATGTTTTTCCCTCCACTTACTGTTTTGATTTTACACGAAAAAAATCTTGTTATTAAAGAAGTCAATGTGTTCTTTTTGAAATTATTTTGATCTGCTCTCTAAGATTCTTGAAGTGAAGGAAGAGTAGAGAAAAAAAAATCACATTTTATGTTAACATGGCTGAGAAGAGAGTTGTACCCTGAAAAAGTTCTTCAAAGTTCCAAGTAGTTCTTTTATAACAAAAACCCACTAGGCAAATGATCTCTTTTGCTGTGTGCCGATCTGACTATATAAGAACAAATTTTTTACTTACTAATGCTTAAGGGAAAAAGGCATCCTTACTCGGCTTTCATGGTTAACCAATTGTCACTGTTCTGCAGTCTTGTAAACAAGCAGGTAAGACAACTGGGATTCATTTTAGAGATCATTAGAAAAGAGCTGAGATGGACTTAGTGAAATTTTAAAAGTCAATACTTAATCAAGACAACACATGCCAAAAGATAGACCAGTATTTTCATCTGACAAACAAAACATCAGCTCCAGGATCATTATTGTAAAACAGAGTTGATGCTACAATTCCCAGCACACTCAGATAAAAATTTACCACTAAAGTCTAATTCGATTTCCTTATCAGGCAATTAGTATATTATTAAAAATTCACAGCAGGGTCAATCTCCTGTTGATTTGCATAATTAAGTTACCTTCTCCGTTAAATTAAGGGAGTTTTGTACTCATTTCTAGGGCAGATTTTTTAGGATGAAAAAGATTTTTTTTCACATCATAAATGGAAGTATCCATGGCTATATTCTTTTCTTTTTCCCTTTTAATCTTTCATAAAGTTCAAGCTGTCAGATTCTGGCAAGAGATACCCAGTTCTTTCTATTCTGTTTTCTGTTCTCTCACTCTCTTGTGCTCTCTCAGAAATATCTACAAATAAAATGTTTTTTTAATACATGCTAAAAGCATAGTTAGTGCTTCCCAAAACTGCAATTACTTTTTCACCAACCTTATACTGGGCTGCCTGTCACCAAGGGAAACGAATAATGTTAGTGAAACCTCATGAGGTTTATAAGGCTAGTTTAGATAAGAGGCCAAAAAGTGTTTTCCAATTGTATTTGAAACTTTTGAGTCCATAATGTTTGGCCAAAGCCTTCCTCTTTCAGTTTTTTGTTAATACTTTTATAAGTAAAGAACAGTTTCTTGTGGGAATCTGACACTTCTGATTTGGATCTTAGCCAAACACAGGTAATTCAGAAATATACACCAATATTTTTAAGTTAAATTTAGTGATTATAGAATAGTTTGTTTTAGTTTATTATTTTTGCTTATTATCCAGTATCTACTGAGAGCCAGGCAATATGAAAGATGATGAGGCCAATAAGTTTACTGCCTAGTGAGTGAATAAGATTACATATTTAATGAAGAGTACGTGGGAGCCCAGATGTGCACCTCTTAGGGACAATAAGATGAGATGGTACATTTGCAGGGAATGACTGTTAGTTCTGTGTTACTAGGTAAACCATTTTATCTTTATGTCTGAAATGTCCATGCCACCTTCAATTCACCTCCAGTAAAGAAAATGATACAAGGAAAACAATTAATAACAGTATTCCGTGTTTAACATAATTTCTATTTAAATCTGTAGCTCTGCTAAGCTGTAAGAAAAGAAGTCACATATTTTTAACACTGAGCACAGAGTAGGCATGCAATTGGGAGATAATATATTTTTTATTTCAAAATTAGTCACTTTTTGGGGACTCAAAGTTCTCATATAAATTACTTTTTATTATTTGAAGTGAAAAATGTTTGTTCAATATTAGTCAATAAATGGATAGGGACTTATAGTAAAATCATGGTAGCTTGTTTTTTAATATAACATGCTTCTTTTGTTAGGTAACTAGTTGATTTATCTCCAGAAATATTGTTCTAAAATTAATACCTACTTTCCCAATCAAAGTCTAGTCCCCAATAGCCATCACTAACATGTCTTGTTAGAATGGCTGTAAATGATTATGGCTGATGATTCTCTAGTTTGTTTCAGAAACCCTGTGAACCGAACATTTTTTCAGCATTGCTAAGTAAGAAGATACATGGAGAACTTCTGTTTATTTCTGTTTTTTATATGTGTGCTTCCATGTTTAACTTCAAAGCTGAAAGTTGCTCAATTTGATACAGGCTCTCATGTAAATCAGTAATAACAGACCAAAAATATTAAGACAAAAACCAATAATTATCCAAACTTTACAGAATATTAACAAAGAATTACATATGGAAGAGATAGCAGAGAATAAAAAGGGAGATGACAAGCAATCATGATAGGAATAAATAACAAAGGATTCTAGACATTATTGTTAAAAATGCTTCATTATTACTCAAAATTGGTCATTTCTGTCCTTTCACATTTTCATTACAGGAAAGATTTTCCACAAGATAAAATAAGGACAGAAAGAATTTTCGATGAAAAGTCAGGGCACACACACCTTAAAGGTGCTCTTGGAAGAAGGCTCATTTGAAAAGGCAGAAAGTAAATGATTGACACTCTGCATAAGGGCTTTGAAAGTCAAGGCTTTGACATGTCATTTGTTAGAAACCCTATTATAATAACTGACAGCCATACCCAGCAGATGCACCATAGAAATGTTGTGCCAATTTCTTTTCTAAAAAACATTAAATATTGTGAATTTTAATATGAAATATTCGGCAGCAGAAACCAGTACTGCTGCTTCTTGTTGACAAGGTAAGAACTAAGCATCATGCACAAAATTTTAAAAAGTATAAAGGTTACAAGTGATGAAAATCATATCAAAGAGTTACAAGAGCGCCACAAAGCAAGATGATTTGAAAAGTGGACAGAATGAAAGATTTAAAAGCACAGAGGCTCCTTTTATGTATAAGAACTTCTTTTTGAGGGACAAACCTTGAAATCAGCATTTAGAATTTACATAAGACTACTAACTAATGCAAAATGTTTTTTGACACAAGATCAGGGATGTCTAAGGAATGGACACACGTTAAATATTCCCAATTCACTGCTTAAAATCAGGGATTTACTTATTATTCAGACTCAAGGAGGTAGAAGCCGAGAAAATGTATTTAATCTCTTTCCTACTCGCTGAGGTAAGAAAAATGACCCATGAAGGGATAAGACTAGACTAAATTTTTGGAAAGAATTGGGCACCCACATCGATCACCCCTCCAGTTTGTAAAACTCTATACTTACATAATTTGCATAGCTTTGAAAAGGAAAGATTTGAGAAAACAGTATTTAAGTACTCCTGAGTGCTAATCTTTCCACTGAAGGGGAACATGTGGGCATAGGGACATGAGCAGATGAGTCAGATGAGGGCTGTTATTCTCTCGCATGTACTAGGCACAGCTCTAATGTTAACCCTGTTAGAAAATGCCTGTTGTCCTCTTCCTTGCTATCGGTAGAGTACCAAGAACAGCAATTTGACACCCTGTAAGTGCTCAATAAATTTATGTTAAATGAATATAGTATTTTGTTCAGAAATGATATTACTGCCTTCTATTACATAATTCAGTGATACTTTTATCAATTTGGAAACTGAGTCACATAGTGACTGGATGGGCACTGGAACGCATCAGTATAATGCGCTCTGTAGGACCTTCCATACACTATCTTTTTTACTGTACCTGAAAGGCTTCCCCATCTTATATCTTGGCTTATATATGGGAATGTAAACATCTGATTTAATGTTATTTTCTCTCTGCTAATATCAGTGCATAGAATGAGTATTTGTTAGGTCAAAATCCATTTTCGTTTCCTAAGCCCACACAAATGTCAAAAGTTGGAAAGAATTCTTGTCCATATGAGAGCAGCCAGCAATTTAAAATGATCCCATGGATATTGGGAGGGGGGAGATTTCTAAGGATGACAGCTAGCCTCTGATCTAACTGCAAAGCCTTTTTAAATGCCTCATTGTGGTTTTCACCTAATGGCTTGTTGAAGCCATTATGCCCAGTATAAGAATCCTTCGACTTTGGCACCTGAAATGCAAGCCTAGAAGGCATGTCTGCTATTGATTAATGAATGAATTAATTAATTCAAAGAGCCTCTGTTCTTAACTGAAGATGTGTGTGTCTCAGGCTCAAAGGTGGAGTGGGGGAACAGATTATAAATGTCTAAAAGCATAAGATTAGCAATAAAATCCAACCTTACCTTTTTACTGCAAAATCTAACCTATAAAGACAAAAGATAACCTCTTTGCTTTTAGAAGTGTTAGAGGTGATTTAGAGAACTTTATTAGCAGTCCTTGCGCTCCTCCCATCTGCATGTAACTTCTCGATTAGGGAATTACCTTACAATATCCCTAATTAATGTTAATTTATGCCCGTTTAGTGACCATAAAAATGTGTCACCAAATTTTAATTGCATGGGGAGGGTAGATAGATGAAAGTACTAAAGAATTAGTGTGTCATTTACTAAAGAGACCTTTAGGAACAATAAAGACCATCTGCCCTGTCAATCTTCATACTCTAGAGACAACACTACACCTTAAAATCCAACGATAAATAAAATTTTCCACCATAGCAATGAGGGTAAATGTTGCTCTTCTTCATTATTTGTGTCAAACCAGGATAGGTGGAACTTTCAGAGAGACAACTTGTTGCAAATGCTGACTGTTCGTTTTAAAATTAAGTTTTAGTGGTAGCAAAGCATTTTTATAGAACAAAGGTGACATCTATTATCCACTTAGGTCTCAAGAGTATATTTTTCATAGGTTGTTAATTAAATAGTTCAGAAGGCAGTTTTTGAAATGTATCAGGTGAATTCTTTATTTATGTATGCCCCAGATTCCCAATATTCATGTACTTAAATGAGAATTTCATGTCAGTAGGATTTTGCAGACTGCAGCAATGCTATTTCTAGATATAACCTAAACTTTCCTTTAACACTCCTGCCTTCACTAGCAACTGACTTCAATATATAACAAAGCACACCTGCTGTGCCAAATTTTAAGGAGACTTAGCAGGCAACAAAATGCATCTTTGTTGATTCCTCAGAGCCTGGCACATGACATGGGTTCAATAAATCTTTGTCGAGTGAGTGAATGAATGAATGAATGAATGAATTCAGTCATTTGCCAACATGGTCTCTATTCTTCTAAATAGTTCCTGACATTGTGGTATTTTTTCCTTCCCATTTACCACTATATGCAAGAAGAAAAATCAACGTATTTGTTCAAAATAATGATAACCATGCCCAAGACTCTGGCACAAACTCCTATTGGCTTATATCAGGTTAATAACGTAATTGCAAACATCTTTGGTACTGTCACCCCCAAAGCTTCCCACTCCCCCATTTCAGAAGGATTCCAGGAGATTCAGAGTCTTATCTGACAACAGTTGTGCAGAGGAAACCACCCATGGTGCATAGCCTACTTTGCCCAAGTAGACTGTTCCTAAAGCACCTTTTCAGACCACAGTAACAAGCTGCAGAGACTCCTCAGGGCCCCAGGCTATGGCAGTGAGGCAGTGATCCTTTCCTGAGTAATATCAAGAACAAACAACAAACATCTCTCTCCCCATCCAGGATGACCATAGCCGCTATTAGCAAATCCTTGAGTCCCTAGATCTTGTGATTTAGCCTTGAGATGCAGAAGTGTCCTTCTGATAAGCAGGAAAGCACAGCTCTGAGGCAGTTCTGGTTTGGTTGCATTGAGGTCTAGTTACAGTCTCACAGCAGCTGGTCAGGAAAGAGAAACTCATAGATGCTCGACCAGGCATGAAGACCCAGAGAAAGAGGACAGGGGCCAGGGCAGCAAGGAGACCAAATTTTTCTGATGAGGAGATCTGCCAATAGTGATGCAGAATGATGTAACATTAAAAACATCAGGTTAAAAGAGTACGTATGATATCAGGACCATTTTGTTAAAAATAATATATATGTCTATATTTTCTATTTAAATTATCTGTTTGTATAGATAAATAATACAGTTATATAATTGAATATTAATTTATTTATATAAACATAAATATATCTAAATTAATATGCAAGTATATGAGAAATATTCTTTCTCTCTATTTATGTCATATTTGGCAGAAAAGGAAAAGAAAACCACTTAACCATGTTTTCCTAATAGTGTTAACTTTCAGCAAATACAATTATTTTAAATGATAAAACTAGGAAAACGGATACTAAATTTTACTATGTAGTTGTTTTATATCATTTCCTTTGGATACACCAAAATTTATCACATCAACATCTATATGTATTTACATTTATATTATTTATTACATTCTGCCCTAGTTTGGTTGACTTTCTTCAAAACTTCAAGCAGTGCCTGTATGAACCTATTATTTGGAATGCTATTCATACTGATAACACTACTCAAATGGGAGCATTTGTTGTGAAGACTAAGGTCAAATTCTGCTATTTTCTCCAAGTCTTCAACACCCAATGTTTCTTACTTGAGCTCTTTTACATCTGGGCATTTATAAAATGTTCTCTTTTCCAACCGCTATATTCTATAGGCTGGCACCATTGAATTTGTATAGAAATGTGATTAGAAGTATTTTCTCCTTAATTTATGAAAAGTTTTTTTTCTTAAGAGTTAAAATTACAAAATAGCATAATTTACCCCCAGGAAGTTTAAAACCATTTAGTCCATTTTATTGACTCCTATCCAGAAGTAGGACTGAAACATATGACAGAGGCAGAAAATGAAAACGTTGAAACAAAAAAATACCAAGGTAATCTCAAAAATAGAAAAGGAAAAGAAAACAAAAGAAGGATTTTCTTCCACTTTTTAACCAAATTCCCTTGGGTAGATAGAGTCTTTAATGCTTTGGAAGGTCTTAGGAAGGAAGAAAGTTTATCTTGCTGGCATCAGGAGTGCTATCCTGGGGATTCTATTACAGAGAGAGTGAAAAGGAAGGCTGGATTATCTATCCATCCAGCTCAGGGTCACCTCTGTCTGTGATATTTCTTATGATGGGCCTGAAAGCTAAATATGTGGCACTTCAGACTATTTTCATTAGTTAAGGACACAAATAGACTTTGGACTTAAATCAACTTCATACTTAACTGAGTATCAGGAATATTTAGAGGACATTTCAATGACTGTCCTCTTTCCTAAAAATTATTTTCTTTTTGTCGGTAAAGAAGTGTTTATTTGTATTCTATATGCTTACTTTCATTCTTTTTTTTCCCAGCACAAGGTCAAACAACCTATTGTTTCTCGGGAAAATGAAAGGGTCCTTTTTCATACATGCAGGGTATAATTAAAATATATCAAGATATGTGGCAGTGATCTTTGAGACACTCAAACACTGACTGCCAAGTAACAACTCTAATCAACCTGTGAAGAGACTGCCAAGTAGAATTTTGCAGTTGCTGGCATACAGAGACTGTGCCAAGATACATGTGCGAATATATGCAATAAAGGAGAGATAGGGAATCTGAACTGTGGAGCTGAGATATCCACCAACTTTCAGCTACTTCACTCAAATTTTATATGGCTGTTAAAGGATTATTTAGGCACTTGGTGCCTAGCAGTAACATTGTTTATCACATAGAGTCATTAAGGATATGTTGATAACATTATTGCACAAAATGGCCTGATAAGCACTAGAGATATTTTATTAATAGCTGTAAAAACTCTGGAATGTACTTTTTGGTTTGCTTGGATTGAAAGGAAATACCACTAAGCATATGATGCTGGGGAAATTTGACCTGATATAAGAAAATGTAAGAAAAATAAAATGAAAGGACCTATTCAAGTGTGAGAAATAAAATAAAGGTATACCTATATAAACATAGGCTTTCACCTCGTCATGTATTTCATTCTTTATGGAGCAAAAAATGGATGAAGGAAAATCAGGAGGCAGCACAATAGAAAACTTTAATTGATTAGAATGCCAACAGCAAAAAGAGACTACTGGAAGAATCAGTTAAAGATTAGAGATATGCTATTGCAAGCAAAACAATCTTAAATGATGCGGCACAGGCAGATATTAGAAAATAAAATAGGAAGAGCTGAGAGCCTGTTGTTAAGGGAAGTTTGTTTGGCAAGCTATTCTGTACTTTCTGATAGATCTATTTACTGACAAACTGATTCTGATTTACCCACCAAATTATGATGCTAGAACTCTCAATCTCTCTCTCTCTTCTCTCTCTCTCTCTCTCTCACACACACACACACACACACTCTTACATAGATACAAAACCTAGTCAGAATTAAATACTATTTTGCCCTTCAAGGTATTGTTAGGGAGTAAGGAATGTTATCTCCAGAAAATAACAATGAAGAGAAAGCAGTAAGGTCATAAAAATGTACAATGTCTCTGTCATAGATATTTATAAATAAAACTTTTGAAAGTGTTGGATAATTGATTTAAATGACCATAATAATTTCAATTCTTGAGCATGTCCGTGGTGGACATATGAGATTGTCCAAATGTTAATTTTATCATTAGATTTTAGGATGCATTTGCATTTTTGTCTAAAAAGGAAGAGGTTTCTTGATAATGAATAAATTTCAATAACACAGAACACTTGACTTAGAAGGAGCATGGAAAGTTTTTATTGTTCTTGCCAAAGCTTACAGCAATTTAATGTATATGAGAAAACAAAATACCACCTCTTCTATTACTGTCAAACATCAGCCTAAGAAGCCTGTTTTTCTTTTTGTAATTTTTTTCTTTACTATCTCTTTCTGGAAAAAGTGCTAATATGTTTACATTTCAAATATTTTTTTTTTTTTCCTGCTGGGAGTCAGGCCAGTAAGAGGAAAGCAAAATGTCAGGAGAAGCAAATAGTGATGTAGGCAGAATCAATGACACTGCTAGGAATAAAAACTTTATTTCTCATATGCCTACTAAGTACCATCAGAAGAGATGCAATAATAAAAACACTGTCTAGGCTCTCAAAATCCTAAAATCCAGTAAAAGGAGGAGAAAAGTATATAAATGTGTGTATGTTAAAAATGTAAAATAAACTAAAAAAATATACAGAATGTATCTTGAAAGATAAAATTGATTTTGATAGGTAGAGATTTGAAGAAGAGAATTGTGAGCACAAGGAAAGAATAGGTTGTATGAAGCATGAGAAATTATTAGGTAAGAGTTGGAGGTCTAACTGACTAAAACATTGGAATATATACATATATTTATATATATGGAACAGGAAAAAGAAGATAGAAAGATAGGTTGGAAACTCCTGCACTCTCATGGTAAACATAAATTTTGATTTTCTCATACTCCTCTGACTGACTCTTTCAGTCTTCTTACTGAGTTGTTCTTCTGACGTTCCCTGAGTTTTATCCTTGACCCAACATTCAAGATGTTCTCTATGGTCACGTAGACTAATCTCCTTTATGTGTGATGCCATCAACATACATCCTGATAACTCTCAAATGTGTTTCTCTAGTTTGAATGACTAAACCCGTCTCCTAAGATCTACATCCATGTTTCCAACTACTTAACAGATGTCTCATCTCAAATACCCCCAAATACCCCAAAATTAACATGTTGCAACTTGCTTCTTCTCTAGATTTAGTGATACTATCATTTTTCTGTTATGAAAGTGGGTACCTTATTAAACATACTCTTTGTACAATGAAGGAAATTGATCTAATAAAATATTTATTAAAGCAATTCAATAAGCATAGGAGACCATCTTCTAAGCTTTGCACCCCCCTTCTCTTTTCATAGGGCATGAAACCAGCAGCCACTTGACCCAAGGGCAGCTGGTCTATGTGCTAAGCAGTTGTCTGCAAGGAAGGCTGGTGCAAAACTCTGAGCAAGGGGGAAAAATAATGACCAGGCCAGCGAGATAATATCAGGAAATGAAACTTGAAATATGGAAAAAGTATTGAGCAAATGACTCAGAAGTCAGAGAGAAGTACATTAGCAGAAGTCATTAGCAAAAGTACAAAGAGACAAAGAGTGAAAGGAGAGTGGTAGAGTTGCATAAATAGAGATGTACTGGAGTTGAGTAAAACAATTCCTGTGGCCCACTGTAGATCTCTAAACCTAGCAAATGCCTGATGTTCAGTAGGTACTCCACAGATTTGTGTGGATTTTCTCACTTGGAAAGAGATTATGTGGCCCCTAGAACTTTCTGACTTTTCAAGCATATGACTCTGAGAAAAGAAGGAAATATAGAAGGAACGGATACAGGATAAGACATTAGAAGTAATCGGGTCTAAATTAGTGTAAAAATCAAAAGGATAAACATAACAGAAAAATTTGGAGATAGACTCTTCAATACTTACACAATACAGATAAAGGCAAAATAAAAGATGACTCCAAGTGACTGCACTTGAATAGTCTGAGATAAAGCTACATCTTCGGTAACATTATGGAAGTTTGGAGGAGGAGTTGGTTGGAGATGATGTGGATGAGTTTGGTTTTATAAATAGGGGTTAGAGACAAGATAAGGAATATTTCTCATGAAGGAAAGAAGTATTAGTTGAATATATTAATAGTATTCTTCATAATATTTCATATTAAATACCATACAGAGTACACTAATGAATACTATTAATAAGAAAATATATTTATATTTAAAGATGTATTAAAACTATAAATTTCTTTTCAGATCATTTTCTGTAAGCTGTTGAACAGAATCTGGTACTATTATTTGTGGCATAAATTGAAATATTGCTATAAATTACATCTCATGGTTTTATTTTCTCTGGTAAATGTTGCAGTTTCCTGATTAACTCCTATATTATAATGCCCTATCGGTTAGCTGTAATTTCTTATTGAGAAGACATTATCAATCCTAAGCTCCTTCATCTTAGCCAATTACCAAAATTAGTGGTGCTTATTTTCTGAAATGAATCGTAAAAGTCATTTTATAATTTGCTAAAATAAACACATTAATTTTTAATTAATTTGTTACCATATTAGAAATGTTTCCTATAATCATAATTACTAATCATTCTATCAAGGATTTTCCCCTCTCACACATAACCAAGGGCTTCCTAATTTGACTGCCATTTTTATTAGAGTGTTGTTCATCAGTACTACTACTTGTTGTGATCATCAATATATAATATAATATAATATGATTACATATTTTCATTAGATTTATTATGATAGACAATAACTCTGTTAGGCCATTGGTCCTTTGGCATTGAGCACATTTCTGCAATTAGCCTATTGCCATCACATTTGCAAATTTTTCTTGGTTAGAAATTACGACATATTTTTTCCCTTGGGCCCCAGTTTTGTTGCCTATGTAATAAGGTAGCAGGTCTAGGTGATATTTAAGATCTCTTCACATCTAATGTTGGTTAATTCTTGACTCTTGTCTAAGAGATATAGTGTGTTTTGTCTAATGCCAAGGTTGCAGAATTACTGTATTCTCCTGTCTCATTGTATCACATTTTTGGAATTAATATATTAAATATCAGGGCAGCTTGAGTAAATGACATAGCACTGTGACTTACAGAACATGTTCAAAAACATTTTTCTTACAGGTATTTTCACTTCTTTTTTTTCTCATCTCTGATTTTGACACACATTGAAGGAAATGCAAATAATAAAAAGAGTAGGTAGAAGAGTAGGAGCAGCAGCATTGCTCTCACCCAATAATGCTGTCCCTTATGAAAATGTCATAGACAGACAATATTTCTATTTTTTCTTGCATTTTCATCTATTATTGATTTAAGAGCAAATCATTTAATTTTGCTGTCAACTCTTGCCCTATTGAATGATTAATGTTGTAGAAAGAATGGCCTGCTCTTCATGGGTACTTGGTATATTTGCTGTATTTTTCTTTATGCACCATTGTTAAATAGCTGATTTATACCAGTCGAAATGTCATCATTCACCATCAGAAAATGAGGTTTCAACTATTGTATAAGGTTATTGGGGTTATATCAATAATCCAACTGAGAAAAAAAAACTAACTCAACTCTTTATTTTCAGTCAACATGATAGAATGCTTTTAGATTCATTTAAAAGCTATTGCATAGCCAACCTTTGCCATTTTGTTTCCCTTCCATTTTTCAAAATAATGTATTTTTCATTGGTGTTTGATCCCACCTTTGGGCAAAAAAATAGCATGTTGAAATTTCTATTTAGTAACGACTACTTTTCTGGATTATGGGGTGGGACTAGAACGAAGGAAAATGAGAGAGAAGAGGAAGGTAAGAGAGAGTATTAGAGGTAAGATGAAACTAAGATGAGGCAACAATATTTAAGTAGACTTAAAATGATGTAGATGCTACATCAACAGAGTGAGGTAAAGAAAAAATCAAATTAAAGGTAATTCCAGATATCTGGTTTAAGTGCCCGGATGGTGGTGTCATTCATTCAGATTGACAATATCAAAGGAGATATAAATAATGGCAGTTTTGATACAGTGTAAAGAGTTGAGTGTGAATATAATGGGTTTGTTTATACTTAATAAATATGATGCGCCTATAAGGAAATTGAATGAACATAGCCAGCACAGTGTTTGGGTCCTGTGTTACCCAGCCTCCAAAATGGCCCTCAATGATTCCTGCCTCCTGATATTCACACCCTTTTGTAATCTCCTTTGTAATCTCCTCCCATATTGCATCAACTTTGGTCTGTGTGAATAATAGGCAGGGGCAGAAATGATTATATGCTACTTCAGAGGCTAGATGTAAATAGCATCATAGTTTCCCCTCTTGCTCCATTTTGGATTACTCACCAGAAGAAACTTCAGCCGTATTTGAAGGATACTCAGGCAGCACTGAGGGCAGGTCCATATGGCAGGAAACTGAGGCCTTCTGTCGACAGCCGTTGGAGCCATCATGGAAGTAGATCTTCCAGCTCTGACCAAGTCTTCAGATAACTGAAGCTCCCATCAACAGATTGTCATATTTTGAGAGACACTGAGCCATAATATCTAGTGAAGATGCTCCCTGTTTCTGACTTTCAAAACTGTGTGAGATTACAGACTTTTGCTGTATTAAGCTGCTAAGCATGGGGCAATGTATCATGCAATAGATAACCAATACAGGCCTTAATAAAGAGAACTAGCAGGGCACAGTGGCTCACACCTGTACTCCCGGCACTTTGGGAGGCCCAGGCAGGTGGATCATTTGAGGTCAGGAGTTTGAGACCAGCCAGACCAATGTGGCAAGGCCCTATCTCTACCAAAAACACAAAAATTATCTGGGTGTGGTGGCATGCACCTGTAATCCCAGCTACTTGGTAGGCTAAGGCAGGAGAATTGTTTGTACCTAAGAGATGAGGTTGCAGTGAGCTGAGATTGTGACACTGCACTCCAGCCTGGGAGACAGAGAGACTCTGTCTCAAAACAAATACATACATACATACATACATACATACATACATAAAACATAAGTACATACATACATACATACGTAAAGTGAACTAGAGTAAAGTTGCAAATCTTTGGCCTCAATTTTACAATTTTGATAACTTTAACTTTGATATTGTATAGAGGGAGGAATCTGAAATACAGCAACATTCAAGGGCTAGAATTTAGGGGGAAAAGCTCAGAAGACTAATAGGCATGAGAAAAATCAAAAAGGCCAATATCATAGAAGCCAAGGGAACAAAATATTTTGTGAAAATATTTGGGGGAAGGGTTTACAGAACTGACAAATGCTTTGAGAGGTCAAGCCAAATAAAGATAAATATAGAGATAGGAGGTCATCTGTATTGAAAGCAGTTTCAGAGAAGGGTTGAAAATAGAAACAAACAAAAAAGGTGAACTGAAAATAGACCTTAGATTGTTCTGAGGGCAAATGCCTATTATGATCATGAGCACAACTCAATGCTAAAGTTTGGTACAGCAGCAAGTTTTAATTCTGGAAGTGAATTAAAACTTAGAGTACATCTGAGGTATACTCCACACTCACAGGAGCAACATAATTACCCAAAGACAATTGTTCCCTATTGAAGTCCTCAGATTTCCAAGGGGAATGATGTACCAAATATGAGTGCAAGTGAATGGATCAGCAAATACTGAAGGATACAAATCACCAACAGTGAGCATCAACAGAAAAACACTTCTTGAAAACTTCAAAGATTGACATTTTCCAAAAAGAATGCCAAACGGTTATGTATAAATAAGTAAAAATTAAAATATGGAATTACAAAATGATCGAACACAAAAAGAATTCCAAAGACAAATAGCCACAGTTGAAAAGAAAAAAATCAGAAATCTAAAAACATAATGGAGGCTCAGGCCTGTAATCCCAGCACTTTCGGATGCCCAGGCGGGAAGATCACATGAGGCCACGAGTTTGAAACCAGCCTGGGCAACATGGTGAAACACCGTCACTAAAAAAATACAAAAAAATAACCAGGTATAATGCCTGGTAGTCTCAGCTACTAAGGGGGCTGAGGTGGGAGGATCACCTGATTTCGGGAGGTCAAGGCTGCAGTGAGCCATGATTGTGATTGCACCACTGCACTCCAGCCTGAGTGATAGAGTAAGACCCTGTCTCAAATTGAAGAAAGACAAAAAGAAAAAAGAAAGAGAAAAAAAGAGATAAGAGGAGTGGAATGACACCATGAAACAGAATGAAAAGCATCCGGACCTATACATGAAGGAAAATAATACATGATACAGGTGATTTTGCAGACCTCTTGGGAGACTTTCATAAATGATACTGGGACAAATTATAGTCACATGAGGAAAAATAAAATATTGCTACTTCAAAACTATACCAGATGCATTCAACAAAATCTTACTGAGCAATTACCATGTGCTAGGCACTGCATTTATTAGTAGGCATCCAGCAAAGAGAGGTACAGCCTTCTGAAAGTAGTTTTGTACTACTTTCAGCTCTCTGAACTTGGTGTTCTCATACCCTCTCACCCTTCTGTGCATTTGTCTATGCCACTTTATTTTCCAGAGATGTACCACTACATCTAGCTTTGTCCTTGTGCAGAAATCTTTTCTAAACTTTTTAAGACTCAGTTGAAGTATTGTCTCTTGTGTGAATTAAGCAGAGACAACTTCTTCTCCCTTTTGTTTTTTTATTTTCCAACTTTATTTTAAGTTGATGGGTCCATGTGCAGAATGTGCGGTTTCTTGCATAAATGAACGTGTGTCATGGTGGTTTGGGCACAGATCAACCCATCACCCGGGTATTAAGCCCAGCATCTATTAGCTATTCTTTCTGATACTGTCTCTCCTTCCCCTACCCCACCCTCCAACAGACCCCAGCGTGTGTTGTTTCCTCCCATGTGTCCTGTGTTCTCATTATTCAGCTCCCACTTATAAGAGAGAACATGCAGTATTTGGTTTTCTGTTTCTGTGTTAGTTTGCTAGGGATAATGGCCTCTAGCTCCATCCATGTCCCTGCAAAGGACATGATCTCATTCCTTTTTATGGCTACATAGTATTTAATGGTATATATGTACCATATTTTCTTTATCCCAGTCTATCATTTATGGACATTTAGGTTGAGTCCCTGTCTTTGCTGCTGTGAATAGGGCTGCAATGACATACACGAGCATGTATTTTTATAAGAAAACACAGAGAATCTCAGTAAGATACTCCACAAGAAGATCATCCCTAAGACATTCTTCTTATTGCCACACGGCACTTACTCCTCTCCCTTTCTATACGGCTCTCTTAAAATGTTGATTAACATCTTTTCCTTAGTTTGCTATGTCTCCACCAAAATATAGTTTCATTGAATCTAGAGAATTTTATACTTCCCTAGGATTTAGAATGATTTTACATTCTTAAATGGAATAAAATTTTAAAAAACTAAAAACTCAAAACCCAACACGGACTTAATGTATTGATTCTTTTTATTTTTTTTATTTTTATTTTTTTATATTTTTTTATTATACTTTAAGTTCTAGGGTACATGTGCACAACGTGCAGGTTTGTTACGTATGTATACATGTGCCATGTTGGTGTGCTGCACCCGTTAACTCGTCATTTACATTAAGTATATCTCCTAATGCTATCCCTCCCCCCACCACCCCACGACAGGCCCCGGTGTGTGATGTTCCCCTTCCTGCATCCAAGTGTTCTCATTGTTCAGTTCCCACCTATGAGTGAGAACGTGCAGTGTTTGGTTTTTTGCTCTTGTGATAGTTTGCTGAGAATGATGGTTTCCAGCTTCATCCATGTCCCTACAAAGGACATAAACTCATCCTTTTTTATGGCTGCATAGTATTCCATGATGTATATGTGCCACATTTTCTTAATCCTGTCTATCATTGATGGACATTTGGGTTGGTTCCAAGTCTTTGCTATTGTGAATAGTGCTGCAATAAACATACGTGTGCATGTGACTTTATAGCAGCATAATTTATAATCCTTTGGTATATACCCAGTAATGGAATGGCTGGGTCAAATGGTATTTCTAGTTCTAGATCCCTCAGGAAACACCACACTGTCTTCCACAATGGTTGAACTAGTTTACAGTCCCACCAACAGTGTAAAAGTGTTCCTATTTCTCCCCATCCTCTCCAGCACCTGTTGTTTCCTGACTTTTTAATGATCGCCATTCTAACTGGTGTGAGATGGTATCTCATTGTGGTTTTGATTTGCATTTCTCTGACGGCCAGTGATTATGAGCATTTTTTCATGTGTTTTTTGGCTGCATAAATGTCTTCTTTTGAGAAGTGTCTGTTCATATCGTTTGCCCACTTGTTGATGGGGTTTTTTTTTCTTGTAAATTTGTTGGAGTTCTTTGTAGATTCTGGATATTAGCCCTTTGACAGATGAGTAGATTGCAAAAATTTTCTCCCATTCTGTAGGTTGCCTGTTCACTCTGATGGTAGTTTCTTTTGCTGTGCAGAAGCTCTTTAGTTTAATTAGATCCCATTTGTCAATTTTGGCTTTTGTTGCCATTGCTTTTGGTGTTTTAGACATGAAGTCCTTGCCCATGCCTATGTCCTGAATGGTATTGCCTAGGTTTTCTTCTAGGGTTTTTATGGTTTTAGGTCTAAAATTAAAGTCTTTAATCCATTTTGAATTAATTTTTGTATAAGGTGTAAGGAAGGGATCCAGTTTCAGCTTTCTACATATGGCTAGCCAGTTTTCCCAGCACCATTTGTTAAATAGGGAATCCTTTCCCCATTTCTTGTTTTTGTCAGGTTTGTCAAAGATCAGATGGTTGTAGATGTGTGGTATTATTTCTGAGGGCTCTGTTCTGTTCCATTGTTCTGTATTTCTGTTTTGGTACCAGTACCATGCTGTTTTGGTTACTGTAGCCTTGTATTATAATTTGAAGTCAGGTAGCATGTTTCCTCCAGCTTTGTTCTTTTGGCTTAGGATTGACTTGGCAATGCGGGCTCTTTTTTGGTTCCATATGAACTTTAAAGTAGTTTTTTCCAATTCTGTGAAGAAAGTTATTGGTAGCTTGATGGGAATGGCATTGGATCTATAAATTACCTTGGGCAGTATGGCCATTTTCACAGTATTGATTCTTCCTATCCATGAGCATGGAATGTTCTTCCATTTGTTTGTATTCTCTTTTATTTCACTGGGCAGTGGTTTGTAGTTCTCCTTGAAGAGGTCCTTCACATCCCTTGTAAGTTGGATTCCTAGGTATTTTATTCTCTTTGAAGCAATTGTGAATGGGAGTTCACTCATGATTTGGCTCTCTGTTTGTCTGTTTTTGGTGTATAAGAATGCTTCTTTTTAAATTATTCTAAATTATAGGGAGTTTGGGTTTGTTAAGTAACATTGTATTAGAGAAAATTATTTAATATATGAACAGGAAAGTCCAAAATGCAAGAATAGTAATATGAAACAAATGATGATAATGAAAGGCTTTGACTTTGGTTTCGGTCATGTAATTTGCTTTGGCCAGTAGGATATTAGCACAAAAACCTCAAACAAGGAGATGAGATATACTAGGATGACGAGTGTTGCTTCTTCCATCACTATTAGCATAAAATGGCCTGGTGAGCTCACGTGTATGTTTTTCTTTTTTTTCTTTGCTTGTTTTTGTCCTTTGAAAATGCAAGTTTATACATAACTCCTTGCAGGTAATAAGATTCTGATTAAAAGGCTCTATTGAACTGTGACTTATCTCTCTGCATGGAATTTGCAAATGCTAATGAACTTACAATTTTTCTTATGTGCCTCACAGACATCCAGTTCACTTTGCTCCTACCTGATTTCCAAAAACAAAACAAAACAAAAGCAAACTTCTAGATCCCATGACTGGCCTGAAGTAGGGCTTATTTACTTAGCCAAAAATGTTCACCTCTGACAGTCACACATAAGTCCCAAACCAAAGCCATACCAGTCAAGATTCTAACTCAGGAGTAGCCTATGCCTCTAAGCCTGGCACCAGATTTGCTTTTATTATTAAGCACAGTTCTGTAGCCTGGCAGAGCATTCACTGAAGCCACCAGAATCAGTCTGCAAAAAATTGAAGTTTTGTCTGAATCATAGGTGCAACATAAAGTAAAAGACAGCCCTGGGTGAAAAAAAAATGAGGTCACAGCAAGAAAGGAGTTTCCTCAAGTTACTAAAAAATCTCATATATGATAACAAAGTAAATCAAAGAGCCATAACAGAATTTCTGAAGATATCAGTGCTTTAGTGACATGACAGTTCAGTTTATTAGAACACAGTGATAATGAGGCCATGCTTTAGAGCCCTGATTGTCCTTCTTACTTTGGCTGTGCTCCAAGACCATGGACTTCACCCTTACCCCAAATCAGTAGCCACGAAATATCTGATGTCAGTTACAATGGAACCGGGTGAAAGAGTGTTGATGAAACAGTGAAAATTCATCATTGACCACTGAAAAATGAGGTCAAGGTACAGGCTCTATTGACGGAGCCTGTGAGAGGCTGAATAAACTCATTTCATGATAAGAACACAATGCTACAGAGCTGAGGATTCATCAATTGTCCGTTTTTTTCTCACTGTTCTTTGTTAATGTTATTTCTTTCATAATGTATTTGCTAATAGTGAATATGTCACTATAGGCTTCTCTGTGACCTTAATAACTAGGTTTTCTAAGGAAGGGGAGTCATTCATACTCCATATGCAAAAATTCAAAATGGCTGCTTAGTAGGAAATACTTCATTTTTTTATTCTTAATTTTTTTCTAATTTTATTTTTAATTGACAAATAATTATTGTGTATATTTATGGGGTAAAATGTGATGCTTTGGTACATGTTTACAATGTGGAATGATTAAATCAGGGTAATTAACAAATCTATCACCTCATGTGCTTACCATTTTTTAATGGTGAAAACATTTAAAATCTATTGTTTTAGCAATTTTGAAATACAAAATGACTTATTATAGTCATCATTCTGTGCAGTAATTCACTAAAGCTTATTCCGCCTGACTAAATGAAACTTTTTTCCCTTTGACTAACATCTCCCCCTTTGTCATTCACCCTCTTCCCCCAGTCTCTGGTAACTGTTAGTCTAGTCTCTATTTTATGAGTTCAACTTCTTTAGATTACCCTTAAACATGAGATCATGCAATATTTGCCTTTCTGTGCCTGACTTATTTCACTTAATATCCTACAGCTTCATCCATGTTGTCACAAATGACAGGATTTCCCACCCCATTTTAAGGCTGAATAGTATTCTAATGTGGATATATACCACGTGTTCTTTATCCATTCATCTGATGACGGACACCTAGTTTGCTCCCATAACTTAGCTAGTGTGAACAATTCTGCAGTAAACATGGGAGTGCAGATGTCTCTTTGACATACTGGTTTCCTTTATTTCAGGTAAGTACCCAGAAGTAGGATTGCTGGATCATACAATAATTCTATTTTTAGTTTTTTGAGGAAACTCCATACTGTTTTCCATATGGTTGTCTTAATTTACATTCCCACCATCAGTGCACGAGGGTTCCCTTTTCTCCACAACTTCATCAACACTTGTTATCTTTTATCCTTTTGACAACTGTCATTCTAAAAGGTGTGAGGTGATGGATATCTTATTGTGTCTTTAATTTGTATATCCCTGATAATTAATGATTATGAGCATTTTTAAATATATATCCCTTGGCCACTTGTATGTCTTCTTTTGAGAATTGTCTACTTAAGTCCCTTGCCCTTTTTTGATTTGGTTAATTGTATTCTTGCTATTTAGTTGTAGGAAATACTTTATTATTGGGGATGATATGGTGATAAATTTTTATAATAATGAGATATATTTATTTCATATATCAATTAAATATTTAAACACCAATTCTAAATTCCTTTTTACTTTGCTATTGTATGCATAACTTTATACATAAACTATTACTTGGATAAAAACTTAACCCTTTATTATAACATATGGAGTACCACAAAGTGTGAAATAAAACATGATGTAGCCAAGGTAATATAACTTAGTGACTTTTAAATATGTTGGTTGCTCCTTAAAAAACCAACAAGTCTATGACTGAGACTTTCATGGACAAAACAAAGTTATTCTAGGGATTTATAATTCTATATAGAACCAAAAAAATTAAAAAAGGATACTGAACAAAATAATACTACAATGCAGACTGTGGGGAGAGAGAGAAATTATGAGTTCAAATAGTCATGAGCATAAAAAACTCAAACATTTTTTTCTCAAATAGTCTTCCTCCAAAGTGACACTGGCCGGACAATCACCCAAATCTAGAATAAACCCCCATACCAAGGGAGGATACACACATACTCAAGTGGTCAACACACAATTTTAAACATTCAATAAGCTAAACGCCCACAATAAAAATATGCCATCAAGAGGGAAATGTAATGGATACAAATTATCATTATCAAGTTTCCTAATTGTGTGCAGTTATGAAATAAAAAATTAACTCATGGTTATAAATTAGAAAATGAAGATGAATTCTAGAATGATACAGAAACAAAAAAATGACTATCAAAGAGTGAAGAAAAATTATCTTGAACAACAAATATTTCAGATCATTGAAACTGTTTCAAGAAAACTCTTATGGACATGTTGAGGTCTAAAAAACCTGTATCAGGAAAATAAACGAAAGGGAAATATTAGAAACACATTTAAGTTTCTAATATTTTCTATTTAGAATTTGCCTCATGTTTAGTTAGCCATCTTAATTTGCTTGATTTAGCTGAGAGCAAACTGATGAAAAAAGAACACATAAGTGAAGAAACATTTTCATCACTCTGAAAATGACAATTTCCATGCACCAATTGTAGACATTTAATAAGTGCTGGTTAGAATATATATAATATATGAGCTTAAAAAAGTATTTTTAAAAGTTACTTTTAAAAATAAGGAATTGTAGAAAAGACATTAAAAGTTCTACTCAAGGTTTAAATATAAGAAATGATCAAGTAGACTGAATAGTATAATTGTTTAGGTAATCAGTCCGCATAAACTGATAACTTACTTGAAAAGGAGTTAATGAAAATACCTAAACAAAACTAAGAACACATTCAAAATGATTAGAGAGAGATGAGACAATATAAGAAAAGTGGCTTTTCAGTCAATAAACAATAGTGGTAGAGTTTTAATGTTAAAACACATACAGTATAATATTTATACTGCCAAATAAAAATAATTGGAAATTCCAGAAAAGTGTTTTTGAAGTTAGAGATGGTAACAATAGAAATATAGAATAACTATCTGAAAGGGAAATATGTAGGATAGAATTACAATGTCAATTTCTATGCATGTCTTTAATGGAAAAATTTTACTCACATTTCCAGAACATATTTTCATAAGACTGTAAGAACAGTTCGTTAGAAATTCTGTGAAAGATTTGACAAAGTGAAACTCTATTTTAAAATGGCTTAGCATCTAGTTTGTAGAAAATAACAATATGAATAAGAAAAATAAAAAGGAATAATTTTCAGTATTGTTCTATTCTTTTACTGAGTCATGAGACCAAACAATGACTTGGAAAGAATTTTACCATCTTCTTTACCTTACTTTTTTCATTTCTATAGAAAGAGTTATAGTGTGTTGTGTTAGTCCATTTGCATTGCTATAAAAGATTATCAAGACTGGGTAATTTAACAAAACAAGTTTAATTACTTCATAGTATTGCATGTTGTACAAGAAGCATGGTGCTGGCATCTGCTCCTGGTCAGGCCTCAGGAAGCTTCCAGTCATGGTGGAGGGCAAACGGGGGGCTGGCATGGATAAGAGAACGAGTAAAAGGAAGAGAGGGAGGAGGTGCCAGGCTTTTTTAAACAGCCAGATCTCACATGAACTAATAATGTGAGAACTCACTCATTATTTTGAAGCCAGCACTAAGCCATTCATGAGGGAATCTGTCCCCATGACTCACACACGTCCTGCCAGGCCCCATATCCAATACTGGGGATTACATTTCACCATGAGATTTGAAAGGGAAGAACACCCAAACAATATCCTATGTCGAACTTCTTCACGGGAGTTTTATGTAGACAAAGTTGAAAGCATCGTTTCTTCTAGTTGTGCTCAAAGTTTCTAACAGCACAGTCAGCCCCACACTGTCTCTATGCCCCCTGCCAAGCCTGCTGTCAATGCACAGAAATCCTGACTTAGCTTTTCACCCAGAAGTATCACCCTACAGCTGCACTCACAAAAGAGGACTCAGCATCTCAGAGAGTGTTATGAACCTAGCCACACATTGCTCCATGTAACGGGCTGAACCAAACCATTACAAAGGAGAAAGTTATTCTGGAAGCGTTGACAGTTCAGTCATGGCCAGGCACTCTGTTGACTGAGATCCCCTGACTAAATGTGAAGAGAAGGGTTAAAAACAGACAGATGCTGCTGAAATCAGGTGTGCAAGAGGTGATGCCCATTCAGCAGTTTTAGGATAAAACCTAATCAGCCTAGGGTTGTCATAGCAGCATTTTTAGAATAACATATAGGGGTGTCATAATGTCATTTTTAGAATAATATATCTACATAAATGTAACAAAACTAAATTGTCTGAGTTTATTCTATATGATTTATCTGCAAATTGAGAGAAAGCAACCACTTTGCTTTATTCTACACTGTATAATTCTCCTGCTCACTTTGTCCTTTTGGAGAATATTAAAACACAATTCGCTTTCCTTCAATTTGTGTGGATATGAGACTGGGATAGAAGTGCCACGTAGCTGACAGGTCATACTTTAAATTAAGTTTCCCAAATAAGAATTTAATCTAGTTTCAATAAAAGAGTTATTAACCACTTTTAATTAGGAAAAGCAGGACTGAATCTGGGGTACTTTCTTCAGCCTTCCAACGCAAGAAGTGATCATCAGTCACTGATGATATTAGGGCTTGTCTTCAAAGGGCTGCAATACAGATGCCCACCAAAGGAATCTCAGGAGAAAGGAAAGTGTTGAAATGAACAGCTCTGGGGATATTTCACAGTTCTCAGTTTGACTTAATTTGCAAAGGCACTATCTTGGTATCAATACATGGAGATTCTCTTTCTGAATTGACTAACGCTTTTGGCGTTCACAAAATAAAACCAACTAGGAGAACTCACAGCTAATAAAACTTGTTTACTGTGTATGCCCATGTACATTAGCAGGCTAGACATTTTGCAACCTTTTAATTTTATTTTTGTTGTACCTGCTTAAAATCCAGTAATAAGGAGTTTGCTTTTATTTGTGAGATTATAAATCAATGGCAGAATTAATCATAAATGGGTCATGTAATCACAAGTAATCACTTTTTCCTCAACACCTACCTTCCTCTACAGCCCAGTAAGTGTGACCAATAAAATACAAAAGTGAGAGGAACGTGTATTTGTGCCAAAAATTTAGAAGGGTATCTACCATTCACACTGCATACATCTTGAGACATTTCTGCCAGATTAGGTACAGACTTACACTAAGCAGAGTGTAAGCCTTTGGATTAAAATATTATTTTCTATTGGGGGTGGAAGCAGATAAGTAGGAAAACTCCTGCCACAACTATAGTGCTAGAGTGAAGTAGGGCTGAGACTGGGGTTGGGCCTTCCATGGCGGAAGGAAGTCAGGGGTGGAGGCCAAGTTGCATAAGAGAAGTAAGTAAGTAAGTATAAGAGAGCCAACCTGTTTCACCAAAGAGCTTGGAAATTAAGCAGAAGGAGCCTTGAGAAAGCCTCCCAGCCACTTCTTAAATTGAAAAGGAGAGAGCAGTCCACTAAAGGGTGCCAGTATGATGTCAGGACTTCCTGTTATGGAGGTGGCCTGCAATGAAAAAAAAGGCCACATAGCCAGGCTTCTTCTAACACTGACAGGATACCAGTTCACTAGGGTGTCCTTCAAGTTAGATGGGTAGGAAAAAGTCTGCCTTGTGAGAATGTACTTTGACTGGGGCTATAAGTACATGAAAGGCTTTGGAGTCCCGGAGCTGTTCCAGAATGGGTGGTTGCAGCACAGAGAAATGGGATCATAGAATTCTTTCTAGAGCAAGCCACAGCTACAATAACGAGTGAACACAGCTGGGTTGTTTCCCAAACAAGTGAGCAGAGAAAGTCATCACACCACAGAAAAGTTATACAGTCAAAGGGGCCACTCTGAAGAATTAGAAAAATCAAATAATATGTCACTCTCTGAAACAGAAGTACTGAAGAATGTTCCAGAAATTATCTACTTTAGATGTTCAAACATTCTGCACAGTCACAGTGAAGGACTGATCCAAAATCAGGAAAGAATGTTTAAAGATGAAAATCGTGATTGTGAATTTAACTATATTACAGATGGTGAAACACATGGGAAACTGCAGAATGAAAATAGTGAACTCAGTAACACACTCGAGAAACTCACCCAGAACATAGAAGAGATACATGAACATATGAAAAAAGAGATAGCCAGCCACAACAGACCTAGGATTCCCAATATGCTGATAACTGGAATCCTAGAAAAGGAAAAAGAAAAGCTAAAAACAAAATATATACAAAGAAAATTAAATAAAATACTGGGGCAAAAGACACAAAACTTTTCAGAGCTGAAGAAATAACCAAATTTTAGAACAAATTGAAGGTGTTTACTCAATAGTGAAGAAATTAATTGAGAGATCAGTAAGTATCCAGATTAAAATGTAGACTTTCAGTAATTACAGAAAAACAAACATCTAAAAACATGAAAAGTTGTAAGTGTATCAAAAATTTTCAAAGGACATACGTATTCAAAGTTTTCTACGTGCATAAAGACATTGCAGAAAAATCCACAATAACTTTACGGGAAAAGAACAATCACATTTTTCTCAATAATTCTTCAGCAATAATGTTTTATTTTTAGATTTGACTCCTGAAAATACAGGTAACAAAAACAAAAATAGACAAATGAGATTACATCAAAATAAAAGCTTCTGCACAAGAAAGAAAAAAATTAACTGTCAAGTTACAATACGATCTGGGAGAAAATATTTCCAAGCTTTACATCTGATAAAGGATTAATATCCAAAATACATAAGGAATTCAACTCTACAGAAAGAAAACCAATAATGCAATTAAAAAATAGGCAAGGAACCTCAACAGACACTTCTCAAAAGAAGACATAAAAATGGTTGACAGGTTCATGAAAATATGCTCAACATCACTGATCATTAGGGAAATGCAAATTAAAACCATAATGAGATATCCACTCACCCCTGTCAGAATGGCCTTTATCAGAAAGACTAAAGATAACAAATGTTGGGGAGGATGTGTTGAATAGGGAACTCTTGTCCACTGTTGGTGGGAATGTAAACTAGTACAGCTATTATGGAAAACTGTATGCATGTTCCTAAAAAACCTAAAAATAGAATTACAATATGATCCATCAATTATATGTGTCAGTATTTACTCAAAAGATTTGAAGTAAGTATGTTAAAGAAAGGTTTGCACTCCCATGTTTATTGTAGCAATATGCACAATAACCAAGTTATGGAATCAACCTGTTTTCATCATCAGATGAGTAGATAAAGCAAATGTGGTATATATATACAATGGAGTACCATTCAGCCTTAAAAAAATGGAGACATCCTGTCATTTTTAACAACATGGATGAACCTAGAGGACATTATACTAAGTGAAATAAAGTGAAATAGCTAGGCACATAAAGACAAAACAGCATATTCTCACTTATAACTGGAATCAAAATCAATTGAACTCAAAGAAGCAGAGAGTAGAGTGGTGGTTACAGAGGCTGAGAACTGAAGGAAACAGGGAGATGATGGTCAGAGGATACAAAGTATCAATTAGACAGGAGAAATATCTTAAATAACAATGTATTGTACATTTCAAAATTGCTGACAGTAAATTTTAAATGTTCTCACCACAGAAAAATAAGTATTTGAGGTGATGGATATGTTATTTAATTTACTTGTTCCACTTGTATTCATAAATCATAACATCACTTTGTACCCCATAAACACACAATTTTAATTTGTCAATTTATAATTAAAATATTTTTAAAATACATAAAATATATAAACAAATATGATGTACTTGACTGAAAAATTAATTGACAACTATAAGAATGGGAAAATGTAGCTATTATTTCATTAAAATGGTCAAAAAAAATCCTTGAAACAATATAGTTGTATTTTTGAAAGGATTGCTTTTTGATTTTAAATTAATCAAAATTAAAAATAAAACCTTGACTTAGAATATGGAATGTGCAAGAGTAATAAAATATCATAATAATAGTTTGTGTCTAAATGTAAATTATAGCAGTAAAAAATTATAAATAGTGGGGGGAAGTTTTTAAAAATTATAAAATCTGTTGATGTCTTAGGAGCATAAATAAATGCATTAGTTTATAATTAGAAAATATTGATAAGCTTTTCTAAACATTTGAAGGCACTAGTAGGAAAAAAATGTATACTTACCTTCAAAATCAATAGATTAAAAGGAGGAAAATAATGGGAAATGACAAAAAGCATGATGCAAACTTAGAGGACAAGCATATCTATTTTCCAATAAACTTAAATTAATTTTTAAAGCCACAATAAAAACACGCACTCTCATAATGGAGTAAAAAATCAAAATCCAACAATATACTCTTGATAAAATGCAAACCTAAAGTAAAGTGACAGGGGATGATTTGAAAAACAAATTGTGTGCTTGAATGCTTATCACCATGTAATTGATGACAGCAAAATCCTCAATATAATTTTAATAAATCTAAAGAAACTTGTTAAATAACTTGAGGCATTTATAACCTAAAGGATATTATTTTTAGTACACTATTGAGATGTAAGAATGTTAACAAAAAAGTAAGTTAGAAAAGCAGATTACAAAGTGTGATGGTCAGATTGCTCTTAGCCTTACATATGTGTATACGTCTCCATAGTTTTATCTCAGCGGTAGGGTAAGAATAGGGATCATTTTAATATTTATATTCTAACCTTGCTAAAATATATTTAGAAAATAGCTTATTTAAGAATAAAAATAAGCAAAGGAAAAATTAATACACGAACTTTGCTTATTCCATAAAGTGTGGAAGTTCCTGGCTCAGGTTTCTGTGATAAGTTGTTCTGCATCTATTCCAATGAGAGCAGCTTCAAAGAGAACAAATATTAAGGTTTTATTTATAGTTTTGTAAGTTCCAGTCTCATTTTCTCTCTTTTTCATTAATGTTATATTCAGCCACTAAAGGTGAAAGAAATTGAATAAAGGCAAATTTGAAATATGCAATAGCTCACACAAAATAGTTTAAGAGGAGCCTTAGAAATTGCTTTGCATAAATATAACACCGAACACTTAATTGTCTTCTGCCTCTTAATGTGCAGCTTGCACTATTAAAGCCAATTGCTTCCTATGTACCTTATAAAACAGAAATGCTGCTTTCTCTTCTCCAAAGAATAACCTGATAAAAACTTTCTAACCTCGAAAATCTTGCTTTATACTTTTCTTTAAAAATTCCTCTTCTTAAACCACAGATAGCACTTATTACATAATAGAAATAATAAAAAACAGAACACTAAATCTAAACCAGGTTCATACCTACAAAATTTCTATCTCATATTATTCAAAACACACAGATGATAATGAGATGAGACAATGCAGATAGGGGACATACAGTGATATAATTGAAAAGTCTTTTCTTTACCCTAAGAGAATGCTGGGAATTAACAAGATCATTTTTGTGAATGCTCAGATTAACATAAAACATTCATCAGATGATAATTTTTAAAGGAACGTTCACATTTATATGACAACAATCTTTCACAAAATTCAGAATTGTCAACAGCATTTGTATGGATTTTGAGATTTTCTTTTTCTTTTTGACCTCGTAGGCGGAAGTAACCATTCTCTTCAGTTCTCAGCACATGCTTGCACTTGGCTATGCCATACCCCTCTAATTATTTTATTTTCAGTGTCATTCCCTTTTTTTCCTCCTTAAGAAAAGCTGATCTCAGTGTACTTGAGTTATTTAAATATGCAAGCATTTTTTGTGTGTTGTCCTGTTTTTAATTCACTTTCTGTCTTTATTGAATACTACTTTTTATGTTTACTTGACTTTATTTATATATATATATTTTAAGCTCCAAATTGCTGTAAAGTATGTTTTTGCTTATATATTATGTATGTGATGTATATAATGTATACATACATAAAATTATGTATTGGCATCAATACATATGTACAGTCTTGTGCACATACCCAGAAGAGTAACTGCCAGATCATAAGGAATATACATTTTTCATTTCACTAGATTCTGCCAGATCACTTAGAAGCATGAGAATATTATTTGTGGTCACAGAGAGAGCTACTGAATTTCTTTCTCTCTACTTCCTTGAAAATAAATTCTAAGACCCCCTCTAATTTTCATGGTTCTGATACATATAGGTAATTGTTTAATTTGCATTCTCTCATCATTAGTAAGTCTGAGCATATCTTCTTATATTTTACTAGCATTTGAGTGCTGCTTCTGTGAATTGACTTTTTATATTCCTTTCCATGCTCTACTGGTGTTCTAGTCATTGTATTTTTGGCTCACTAGAGTTCCTTATATATTCTAGATATTAATGTTTTAGACACTGTGAATATTTTATTACAGTATGTCATTCATCTGTAACGTTAGTGAAGCAAAAATTTTTAATTTGAATGTAGCAAAATGCATCATTTTAAAATCTGGTTGTGTTTTCTGAGTCTTCTTAAAGGTAAATCTTTCAACCTTATCTTATAAAGATATTCACTATCATTTTCTTCTATTAGCTTTATTGTTTTACTTTAATCCATTTGAAGTCCACCTTTTCATCTGGTAAAATAGGGATTAAGCTTTCTATATTCTTTATGTAATAATACAGTTTTCCAGACTTCAGCTCCTAAAGAAGCCATCTTCTCTTCAATACTTTGTAGTGTCACCATATTTCAACTTCTTATATGTATATGTCTATATTTTTGAGGCCTATATTCTGTCATACTGGTTAGTTCACCTGTTACTACGCTGATACAATACTAATTTTTGTTGCAGTAACCATATAGAACTGAAAATATGGTCAGAAGCATTTCAGTTGTGGTTTTCTGACCATATTTTCAGTTCCATCATAAACAGAAGTACATAGCAAATATCACTGTCTTATTCCCAGTTAAAAATGTAAATATGCTGAAGTCTCTCAATGAATTATTTTAGCTGTGGGCTTTGGGTATATAATCTTTAATAAGTTAAAAAGCTATGTTTTTAAATTATAATGTATATTTTGAAATTAATTGTGTTTCCTACTTTTATGAGATAATCATGTGATATTTCTCCTTTGACCCATTAGTGTAATGAATTATAATCGTAGCTTTTCTAAAAGTAAACCAACCTTGCATGCATCATGCAACCATAATTGATTAGGACTTATTAATTAGGCAAGTGAATTTTATTAGCTAATTTTATATTTAGAAATGTTTGCATCTAGGTTCACAAGTAAAATATACTTATTTATTTTCTGATGGTATCCTTGTATAATCATATAAAAAGTTAACACTAGAATAAAAACTTTGCTAATTGTGAAGTGGTATCTTACTGTGCTTTCAATTTACACAATATGATAACTAATAATGTTTAGCATCTTATGTAATATATGCCGTCCATATGTTTTCTTTGATGAACTGTCTAAATCTCTTGCTATATTTTAATAATCAGATTGTGTTTTTCTTAATGAACTAGAGGGTAATTTTTGTGTTTTCTGAAAGTGTCTCTCTCTCTCTCTCTCTCTTTGATATAGGTTTTGCAAAGATATTCTCCCAGTCTGTGGCTTAGATGCTCATTTTACTGACCTTTTTTTTCAGATAAGAAGTGTTTACTTAAATTAAATATAATTAACTCATTTTATTTTGTATTGATTGTGCTTTTTCTGTCCTATCTAAAGAAATCTTTGCCTAAAAATTGCATATTTGTAGCTCTCACCTTTATGTCTATAATCCATTTTTAATTAATACATGTACATGTATGAAGCAAGGATGAAACACTATTTCTGTTCATATAAACAGCTATTTATTCCAGCACTATTTGTTGAAAAGATTGTTCTTTTTACATTTGATTACCTTGGCACTATTTTTCAATATTAGTTGCATATATGTGTGGGTCTATTTCTTGACTCTATTCTATTTTCTTGAACAATATACTAACTGTCATGTCAGTACCACATTGTCTTGATTATTGTAGGTTTATAAAAATTATCAAAATAAGGTAATATATATTCTCCACTTTTTCTTTTTCTCTATTATATATTGGATATTCTAGGTCCTTTGCATTTTTATTTGAAATTTAGAATCTATTTTTATTAAAATGCATGCTAAAATTTCCTTGAGATTGCATTGAATATATAGATCAGTTTGTAGAGTCTTGACAACCTGCCAATATTTTAATCCAGTACTATAATCTCTCTGGGATTTTTAAAATAGTATTCAGCATACTACATGCAAAAAAAATGTATAATATTTATACTTACGCATTTAACATTTTAATGCAATTATAAATGCAATTTTAAACTTCCACTTTTCTGTTGATGGGATATAAAAATAAAATTAATTTTGGAATATCGATCTGAAAGCTGCAACTTTGCCAAATACATGTATAAATTCTATTTCTTTTTATTATATTCAATAACATTCTCTGAATAATCATGACATTTTATAAATAAAGATTTTTGTTCTGTATATTTTCTTGTATGACTTTTGTTTATTTTTCTTTTTTTTTTGTACTGATAAGATCTTCCAGTAAAATGTTAAATAGAAATGCTGAGATTAGATATCTTTGCCTTCTTCCAGAATTTAGGGGGAAATATTAACTGTTTTGCTGTCAAGTACAGTATTAGCTGTGAGTTTTTTATAGATGTTTTTTACTAGTTTCAGAAAGTTCCCTTGTCTAATATATTTGCTGAGGAATTTTTACCATGAAGGTGGATGTTCCAACTCAAGGAGAGAGAGAATTTATCTTTTCTACACCTTTTGGTTCTACAGGGCTTCTCAACAAATTAGGTGATACTTATAATGTTGGTGGGAGTGGATCTTCTTTACTAAGTCCACTCATTCAAAACAAATCTCTTTCAGAACCACCCTCATAGACACAACCAGAAATAATGTATTACCAACTATCTGGACATTTATTATCCTAGTGAAATTGACAAATTAACTATCACATGGTATATTACCCATTTAGTTTATCACTAGATTCAATTTGCTCAATTTTTAATAAGAATTTTTGTATCTATGCCAGGTAGTAGATAGATCTATAGTTTTCTTTCTGTGTAATATATTTTTTTGATTTTGTAATCAGGGTAATTCTGGCCTCATTAAATGCGTTGGCACCTATGTCTTTCTCTTCTACTTTCTGGAATAATTTATGAAGAAATGATATTATTTCTTTCTTAAATATATGATAGAAATCACCAATAAAATCTGATTTTTATGTGATTTCAATGGTTTTAATTTGTTTTGTAGTTATAATGTTATTCATGTTACCCATTTACTTCGAAGTGAGCACTGAAAATTTCTATCTCTGAAAGAATTGTCTATTTTATCTAAATTGTTAAATTTTTGGCAAGAAGTTTTTCATAATATTAGCATTTTTTTATTATATAGGTTCTCTATTGATTCTGTCTTTCATTTCTGACATTAGTAATCTGTGCTTTCATTCTCTCATTCTCACTATTGCTTTATTTTTCCAATCAATCCAACTAAAGGTTTTTTAATTATACTGATTATTTCAAAGAACTAGATGATATTTATTTTCTTCATCTTTCTATTTTATAATTTTCTTTTGCTTAATTTGTGTTTAATTTGCTCTTCTACTTCTAGTTTAAGATGCAAGACTAGATTATTGATTTTAAATATTTTCCCATTTCTTATATATTTGATGATACAAATTTCCTTTTAAGAAACTTTTATTTGCATTCCATCAATTTTGTCATGAGTTTTCATTAGCTCTAAATTCAAAAAATCTAATTTCCTTTATTTCTCTAACCCATAGACTATTTAGAATATAACATTCCAGCTATTAGGGCTTTTCCAGTGTGTGTGTGTTTGAGAAAGAGGGAGAGAAAAAGAGACTGAGAGAGATTTCTAATGTTTTTCCTCTGTGTTTAAAGAACATATTATGTCAAATTTTCATCTTTTGAAATTTATTGAGACTTGTTTTATGGCATGGTATAGTATCTATCTTGGTGATAGACACTGTGTATTCCACAATTGTTGGTGTTGAGTCTAGTGATTGAGAGTATCATTCAGATTTTTGATATGTTTATTAAATTTTTGTTGAACCGGTCTGTCAATTACTGAGTGAGATATAATGAAATCTCCAAACATGAGTTTGGATTTATCATCTCTACCATAAGTTCCATCAGTTTTTGTTTCATATATTTTGAATTCTGTCATGTGAACATGTATTTATATCATGTCTAATATTAAAATCATCACACCTATCATAGCGAATACAGCTGTCTTATGCTTAATATACTCATGGTCTATAATTTCTCAGCCATATCTTTGTCTATTTATTTCTGTATTTAAAATAGGCCTCTTGTAGAAAAAATGTAGCTGATTTTTGCTCTTTTTCTTGCTTTTGAAAATAAATCAGGTCTGAAAGCCTCTGCTTTTTGATAGAAATATTCAGATGTTACAATTTGTAATTATTGCCACTGTTTTTATGTCTACCAATTTGCTATTTATTTTTATCACATCCAACTCCATAAATCAAAATTTGTTTAACATGTTCTATTCTTTGTTGATTGCAGATGTTCATTCATTGGTGGCATGCTTTCCTTCAATTCTTTGAACATTTAAAAAAATTCATTAAACATACTTATAAAAGATATCTTGTGAAACCTTTGCTAAATTAAACGTTAAAGCCTTTTTGAGGATCTACTTACTGCATATTTTTCTGAGTGTAGATTATTTTTGATATCTTTCAACTTTTGATTGAATATTAACCATCGTAAATAGCATGTTATATCAATGCTGTATTCTGTTGCATACTTCTGAGGGGTTTTAAAAAATTATTATTCTAGTCAACAGTGATTCAAACTGCAAACATTATCTTGTCCACTGTATGCAGCTGCTGATATTTTTACTCCATTTTCATGGTTTTTCACTGCGACTGTATTAACCTGAGCCCCTCTTGGTCTCCCATGTATCTGCAAAATTTGATGTCAACCGAGGATATGGCAGAGATGGGACACCTTCTCTTTGTGGGTTTCTAACACCTCCCCCAAAAAGTCTAGCTATTTTTCTGGTTTCCATCTCTGGATTTTGACACTTCCGGTTATCAGGCTTCACCTGTCTCCCATTCAGACTGTGCACTGTTGGGGAATATAATCATTTAAGAAAAACACCAAATCCACAGATATGGTTTTGTGTGACTCCGTCTTTCATAAGTCAAATGTTTTCTGGTCCTTCCTGCTTTTTCAGTGTGTCTTTTAGGAGGTCTCCTGCTCATATGTAGTTTAGCTATCAGTCATGGATTTGGGCAATATATGCATTAAATTTGCACCTTATTTTTTTTCAGCTCTCATGCTACCATAATTTCACTTTCAATATCCAGCAGCTTCTCCAGCCCTGATCTCTGAAACTTTAGCTAGTAAGGATGCAGCTTTTGTCAGTGCATGGTAGGTATAGCCATGGAGCTTGGCCAGCATCTTCACCCTCATGTCAGAAAACTGTAATCTTATCCCTTCCTTATTTGAGATTAAACTTTCCTCTGGCTCTGTAAGCTTTTTTTTTTTTTTTAATATTTTCTAGTCTTAAAGCAACATTTTCCCTTAATCCACTTAATCTAGTTTTTACAAATACTCTCTGCACTGAGTTTCTGTAACTACATCACTCCTCTGCTATTTAACAAAGTTCCTTTCTAGTCAAGGTTTTCAGGATCATGTATTTTCTAAAATCCTCGTAGAGCAAGAAAAGGCTAGGACATATGAAGCTGCAAAGGGCTACATGGCAATTGATGTCAATATGAAAATCACGTAATATTACCAACTTATAATCAGATATCTTCTCTCCCAAATTTCTCTTGGAAAAATGGACCTAAACTGCATAATAAACCTAGTCCTGCCTTATAACCAAAGAGGCTATTGTATTTTTTTCACAGAAGATGGTTGGTTGAGGCAGGCATTTCATTGCACAGTGCCATGCGATTCCTCAAATCTTCCTGTTCTTCCAAATACTGCTATTCCAATTATTGAATGCCTCATTTTTTTCTAAAAGAGAAACATTTCAAATTAAAGACACCTGGCATGTCAGTAAATTTAGATTAGACATAGAAGCTGACCGTGAGAATAAAAGGGCTTCCCTGTGGAATTTATATATAAATACTGTTGCCTATATTTGCTTCCAGCCTGGTAACATGAAAGTGAAGTTGAAAAGGAAGGAGTAGGGCAAAAGGCAGGACAGATTTACTCTCCAGAAATTGAATCAAGAAACCAGAAAGTGAAGAACCAAACCCTGTTGTTTCTATCTAATCTCTTTCTCTCTTGCTCATCCTAAGGTATTTCATGTATTTTCTCAATTCTCTTCTTTTCCAAGTCAGATCCACCTTAGGCTCCAAATAAGGCCATCTTAGACTAAATTTTCTATGAAATAGATTCTCTCCGTGATCTCCTCCAAATTAGGGTGAAGTATATGGAAAACAGGGAATTCTCTTCCAGTGCTCTGGAAAGAGAAGATATTTGTTTTACCAGATAAATAGACTGTCTATTCATAGCAAAATACAAAAAATGTCAAAAAGATTGATAAATAGCTAATTGAGTAATGACCTCAAAAATAAGAAATGTATTTTAAAATAAAACATTGATATTTTCTTATTGTGATCACTCTCATTTATAAGAATCTTCTCAACATTGAGAAATTTGAAAGCAGAATTTTTATTCTAATTTAATTGTAAATTTATTCTGAAATATAGGATCATTTCACTTTATTGCTTTCAATTTACTTTAGTAGTCTTTCATTTATAGTTGCATATACCATGCTTTATCTATTGTGTAGGACATTGTAAAACAAAGACATATTATATAAATGTGGGAAGTCATTATCATGCACTTACTATGCAAGACTGTACAATGCCCATAGCAGTAAAGAAAAGGAAATTCTCTGTATAGAGATTTTTTTTTTTGCATGTTGCTGATACATTTCTCAAATCACAATTATTTCCATGGTAACAGACTATGATATCAAAAAGACAGCCCACTGTCTGTTCTAAGATATAGCAGAAAAATAATTTGTCTCTGAATGCAAAAGCCTCTTAGTCCATCACAAATATTGTCAATAATTAGCAATAACAGCAAGGGGAATTCAATTACAGGCAAAGCAAATTGCTTTTTATTTAAATGTTCTGTTTTTAATGCATCCCAGTGTGAAAGTCCCTCTTTAAATTAGTGAAAGCATGTGTAATCTCAATACCTCCATTGGGGGTTGTAGGAATATATGTAGTCTCACTGTTTGGTTGAGTGTTTAGAAGCGTAGGATAAAATTATACTGCTGTAGGTACTTTGGAATGACAGATATCAATAACAATTTAGATAATGAAGTGTATTCCAGCTTTATTTCAATTTTCTCCAGCTGTAAAATTCTTGTATGCTAGCTTAATATATTCATGTTTATGTAAATTTAAATACAACCATTACTGTTTTATAGTAATTATAAAACAGGTTGGGTCATCTTTATTTCATTTTTTGATGCTTTTCAATCTTATGGAAAGGTTGAACTAATGTTCTCCTAGAAAAGAGCAAAGAGGGATTATCTCATTTTGGTTCCTGTCAGTTGGGTTTAATTTTTGCAGTAGTTGTCATTTTTGTAGAAATAGTAGATAAGAAATGTGAAAAATTTATGAAGAAGAACCATGGCATCTGGAGTAAGAACCCAAGATGTCCACCCTTCAGTGACCTCATTACAGAGATGAGAATAAAATAATTTAATTTGGACATCCTGGGTAAACATGCCTTGAGGTCAAAGTTTATCAACTAGTAAGAACTCCTCATTATATACCCCTTTGCTTCTCTTGTCTAAAGAGAAGTCATATTCCTAAAATCATCTATTCTGCCCACTGATTTGTAACTTGGCAAAGAAACATAGGCCATGCAAATTAGATCACTAGCAGAGCTGAGAAATTCAACATATGGGAAGCTACAAACTATAAGCAACTTTCTCTTCTGAAGTATAAACTCCACTATTTTTATTCCATTCATTTCAGAGTAACATATTTCCAGTTGATTTAGTCTACGTGAATACTAAAAATTGGCTTAGAGACACAATACAGGCAATTTTCAGTGATGTTATGTAGGGAAAGCATTTAGATGATTTTCATATATTTACCTTTATTTTTGCTTTTTTATATGTTGTGTTTACCTCAAAAATTATAATATGATTTCTTCAAGGCTAGATACTGTTGCTAAAATTAATGTTATCTAATTTAGAGTGTATTACATACAGCAAAAGATGAATATAATAGATTAAAGATGGTTAAAATACTTTGATACTTCTTCCATTGAGAAGTGGAATCTAATATTCCTTTTTTGCCCCCTTGAATCTGGGCTTGAATTTGTGACTTACTTAATTCATGACATAAGTGATGTTCTGGGACTTGGGAAAGTAACTCATAAGAAATACCATTCAACCCAGCAATTACAATACTGGGTATATACCCAAAGGAATATAAATCATTTTGTTTTAAAGACACATGCATGCGTATGTCCATTGTGGCACAATTCACAATAACAAAGACATGGAATCAATCTAAATGCCCATCAATGATAGACTAGCTAAAGAAAATGTGGTACATGTGCACCATGGAATACTATGCAGTCATAAGAAAGAATGAGATCATGTCCTTTGCAGGGATATGGATGAAGCTGGAGGCCATTGTCCTTAGCAGAGTAACACAGGAACAGAAAACCAAATAACATGTGTTCTCACTTATAAGTGGTAGCTAAGTGATAAGAACACATGGACACATAAAGGGGAACAACACACACTGGGGTCTATCAGAAGGTGGAGGATGGGAGGAGGCAGAGAATCAGGAAAAATAACTAATGTATATTAAGATTAGTACCTGGGTGATGAATTAATCTGTAAAAAAAAAAAAAAAACCCATTACACAAGTTTACCTATGTAATAAACCTGAACCTGTACTTCTGAACTTAAAATAAAAGTTAAAAAAAAGAAGCCTTGCAGCTTCTGCCTATGTCTCTTAAAACACCATCTCTGGGAACTCTGAACTTCCAGGTTAGAAGTTAGACTTAATCTGAAATTAGTATGAGGATGGCCATTTGTAAGATCAACAGTTGACCATTCCAGCTAAGACCAGCCTTAAAACTATTTCTGCTAGGGTGTCAGATATGTGAGTGAAGCCACACTGGACTCTGCAGAAGGGTCTACACACCAGAGGAATATGATTAAGGAACCCTGGTTGGTGCCGCATGGAATAATAAAATCTGCCACTTGACCCCTGACCAAATTACTAAACCACAAAATCTCTATGTATAATGAAATAGTTGATGTTCCAAGGCTCTGAATTTTGGAGTGGCTGGGTTGTACAGCAATAGATAAACTAAGATGAAAAAACAATGTGTGAATATTTTTTGAGATGGCAAAATGTTCTACTGACCAGCTAGAAATCTATATATCTGTTCCTTTTTTGCTATTGTATATAAAGGTAAATTTTATCTTTCTAATAATTTCCCACTTTTTTCCCTTTTCAGTACTGTAGCTATCATTGACATTCTATAGTCTTTTTTAAAGTCATATTCAGATAAAGTTAGCAATATTTTTTCTTGAACAAATGAAAATGTTTTGAAAGCACACAAAGGTACCCTACTTATATCTTTGAAAGTCTTATCAAATACTAGAATTACATATCATATTATAAATTTGTTTAAAGAATTTATGGAAATGAATCTTTTTATAGTTGTATAGCAGGCTCAGTTTTGTTGAGACCACACATTATTATAAATTATCAGAAACATAAAAATGTGCTATAATTTACAATTGAAATCAAGGAAAGAAAAGTTGGAAATCATTAAACAATTATCAATCGAATAAAAACAAAATGTCTAACTGCAAGCTGGCAGCCTCTACTTAAGGAAATGGAAATGCTTGAGGAGTACTTTAGTTACCCCATAGCGTCTGACACATCATATGTATTTGCTGAATTAATGAATTAGAGGATAAAGGATTTCTAGACACAAGGGAAAATACTTTTAATGAACGATAATAAAAAAATTTTAAGAGGCATGGGGATTACATTTGGTATTAAGAGAGTTGGAAAATAAGAGAATATACACAGAAAACAAACACAAGCAGAAGAAATTTAACATACTCTATTGCCTTGCCAATAGATAAACAGCTCTTCCCAGGGAAGAGATATAGATACTATCTGAAGAAGCAGCATCCTATATACCATGTAATAAAAAATAAGATGAGCATAGGCACAAAGGCACGAGAAATTCTTTTGAGATCCTGATAGAATAAAATTGCAGTGGTGCATGTAGATATGTCTCTAAGGCAGCCAGGGAGCAATAGAAACAACACAAAACTTGAAGTCAAACAGATTCACATTCAAATCCTAGTCTTACCACTTGCTATATGCATGACTTTCAGCAAGTTATTTAACTTTTCTGACATTCCATTCTACTAATTTTATATCTCCAAATGAAGATAACATCTCTTTTATTAACTAATTACCTAGTATCTGCCTGAGATAATATTAGATAGGTACCCAAGAAGTGTTAGTTCCTTTCTTTTTCTTTTAAAGGGTATGGAAACCACTTCTAACCATATATCATGTTAATGTAAATGCAAACTTTGTTTTTTTGTTTGTTTGTTTACAGTGGAGAGGTTAAATTGAAAATTGTATCTAACTTTTTAACCGACACCCAATTATCTTTTTATGTTTATTCATGTATTAAAAAAAGAAAAATAACAGCCCATCTCTGGTATGCATTCCTGTCTTAAGAGTTTAGTGGGAGTACGTTTTATCTCTGTTTTCAATAAAAGACTATGACTTTGGGAAATAATAGAAAATAGGCTAAGTAATTATATCAATCAATCAATCTTTCAAATGAATAAAATATTCCAGGAAAACAGCTTTTATTAAACAATAGAAATAAGAAAGAAGATTTTGAGATAGTGGAATATATAGATACAGTGTAAATTAAGACATAACTGAGATCAACAGATATGATTTAGAAAGAAGGATAATTGAAGTATTGCTCAGTAATTCTTAGGCTGAAAACAATGAAATGCAAATAATATTTATGGCTTTAGATATCTCAGTACCATTGAGTAGAAACAATTGTAGCTAATATTGATTGAACATCTACAAATATGCAGTTACTACTTAAATGTTGTACTCGCTGTTTTTAAATTATCTGCTTCTAAAAGCAACAATAGAAAGGAATACTATTGTTATCTCAGTTTTCCATATGAGCAAGCTATATTACTCAGAGTAACCAGTGAAATGTTGTAAAACTAATGAAAGGTTTAGATACAAACGAACTTGAAAATTTAACATGAGAAAGTAAAAACGTCCTATGCATGTTATCTGTTTTTCATGAAATAGAATATTATACAAATATGTGCCAGTAGATAATTCAAAACAATCAGATTACAAGGTACCAGTGGAAAAGAAAGCTGTTTTCTGATCAAGCCTATGCTTCAAGTTTTTAATGAACCTATTTGATTGCCCATCCCATTTCAACAATTATACTTTTAAGTACTGTTGGAGTCACACACCAATTATAGACTGCTAGATGCTGGCTATGGTAATTACTAATGTATTCCACCAACCCCGTAGTTGACATTCATGAGTTGTCTGTTTAGAATCAAACTCCCCCAACTTCATCCAGAGCGCTCAGGTTTTCCTTTGCAAAATTACCCACCAACTATTCTCAGTTGTGTAACAGTTAGGTAAGAGTAACCAAATATTTGTCATAGATTAGTTTAGCAACTGATACATGGTACAATTCTAGCTAACTTGAATGAAGCAGCTGTTTGCTGGCAGATTCTGAGAAAGGTAACAATCTGGAAGTATAGTTATTGTTGGTGCTACCATGAAGGAGATAACTTGAGAATCTAGATCACAGAGTAACCAACACAACTGCAAAGAAGTGCAGGAGGAATATATAAAACGTTGCAACTCTCTTGAATTTTGCAAATCTCTAGATCATGCCTGAAATCAGATTTAACTGTATTTTTCTGTTATGTGAGTCGTTAAAGTCACTTTTAAATTTAAGCTAGACTTCATAAGATACAATCACATAGAAGAGGATTTCTTAATGCCAGCACTATTTACATTGGCTCAGGTAAATCTTTGTTGTGGGGATGGGTGCTGTCCTGTGCATTGTAGGATGTTTAGCAGAATCCCTAGCCTTTGCCCTCTACATGCTTGTAGATGCCTCCAGTGACTACAATTAAAACTGCTTCCAGACATTGCCAAGTGTTTCCTGTAGTAAAACATCACTCTCTATTGAGAACCACTACCACAGAGTGCTAAAAGACATCACGTGTGCCTTCTCACCAAACATTCTCTTTTTAACTACAATGATTTTCATTCACGGATCCACATATTCTTTGTTTGATGCCTAAACTAAGCCACATGACTTTACTCTTTGACCATAGATTTGTTAGGAGACTGATAAATGATGAAATTTGGGCTGATAAATTTTATGAAAAGTTTGTGTTTACATCTAGAGAAACAACAGTTCCTTTATCTTCTGAAAATAGGTAATTCAATTAGATTTGTGGGATTATGCATTCCAGGGAATCACAGGCAACCACCTTATGACAATGTTGAAAGACAGCCCTTAGACCAAAGTTTACACAAATCAGAACTGGAAGACAAGCAAATAATATATTCTTAGCAATTCTATTATACAGTTGAATCAAACCAACTCTGAAGCCTTCCAGTTTCACGAGTGAATATATCCCCTTAATTGATAAGCTTGTTTGAATTATGTTATCTGTTACTTACAATATATGCATACTATCTATCTGATTCAAAGAATTTTCTTTGACCTGTAATATGAAAAACCTTCCAGGCAAATGAACAGAGATTAACCTCTGATGTCTGACAGAAGTTTCTGTAAAGATGGTAATGTTCTATATCTCTGTTACCCAACATGGTACTCATAGCCACATGTGACTACTGAGCACTTGAAAGTTGGTTAGGGTTACCGAGTTTAAATTTAAATTAATTCTCTCAAGGGGAAACTAGGTAGGAGAATAGGGAACTGGGGTGAGCAGGGGTTAAAGCATGAGCAGGAGAACAGCAGGTGCAGCCAGTTCGCAGAAGCAAGAGAACAGCAGGTGAAGCCAGTTCGCATAAGCAAAAGAACAGCAGGTGCAGCCAGGTCGTATAGGCAGGAGAGCAGCAAGTGCAGCAAATAGGCCTCGTCCTCGCTCCCAAGATAACAAGCCACTTCAGCCTCTGATTGACTGCGGGCGGGGTCTCCACTTCAGCCTCTGATTGGTCACAGGTCAGTCCTTCATGGGTGTGGCCAATTGGAGGCCTCGGGGTGGGGGGGCGGGGGGGCAGGCGGGAACCGAAGGGTGTCGCCGGGTTCTTTACAGCTTAATAAAAACCCTGATTAAGGAGGCTTTTGAGCCGCTTGCTCGAACTCACTCCTGCTCTGTGAATTGTGTTCGGTGGATCTGTGCTTTATTACTCTGTTCTTCTGTTGCTTTGTCTTTCATTGATTTTTTTTATTGTTACTTTGTGCGTTTTGTTCTTTCTTCAAATTCTAGAACAAATTAGAAAAGATAACCATGCAGTTGGAGCTTTGGTTGGCAGCAATTCTCAGCATCTAGAGATGGTTAGTGGAGATGGGGCTCTTAGCAAAATCAACAAGTAAGAACATGAAACCTGATATTGAATTGTGAGATGGATGAGGCAAAGAAACAGCGAAATTAGGCAACTATCAACATTCCAGAGAGGATCAAAGCTGGCAAGTTGCTCTGAAAGCCAACTAAAGTAGATATGAAATTTTAATTTGGACAAATCCATAGCACAGCCTACTCAGTCTTATATTTGGCAGCAAGAGCCGTGAGCATACGGTTGGAAGATCTTACTTAGGTCAGGGGCTTACCACAGGCCCAGTCAACTATGGCCAGGGTGAGGAATCACATAAGTACATGTTCATGACAACATTTGTCTGCATGTCCTCAGTGGGCGTTCAAGGCACTAATACTTTTTTTTTTTTAATTTGTATTTCTCCTCAGCCACACAAGATGTGTGGTGTTACCCTAGCTTTACTAGTGAATAAACTCAGCAACAAAACTCTTAAGTGTCCTTGCTACTGCATCAAGGCAGCCTTTATAGACTACAGATAAGTTTCTGGGAATTATTTCACAACCTCAAAACTCCTCCGCTTTCTCTCTTCCCCTCCTTTGTCTCTTCAGGAAACAATTCTAGAAATGCTTAGCTCAATCTCAAAATGCCATGCTTACTACATTAACTGTGGCCCTCTGTGGGGCAAGTCCCCTGAGAGGAATGCAGCTTGTATCTGTGCAGGTACCCAAGAGCCAAATCACTCTTTTTTTCCAAAATCTGAAGTACCTTCCTGAAATTAAAATGCCAGCTGCCCCTGAAATCCACAAGCAACACCTTGCCTGTGTGTCCTTAGAGTGAAAGTTTGGTTATGTACTTGAATTGCAAAATAGCAAAAAAACTGTGGAATAGAGGCTTTCTTATCTTTCCAAAGTCAAAACTGCTTCAAAAGCTCAAACCAAAGGGATCAGTGGGTGGGTGCTGCTTGGTGTGTTTTCAGCTATCTGCAAGAGCCTCAGTATCATGGCGTTTTACCTGCAAATCTGAACAGTAAACCCAACGGGAAGAAAACCAGGTGGGGGGAATTACCAACAGGTGCACCATGGTATAAACGATAAAATTCAATGCTTTTAGAAAAGAGTTGCAAAACCAAAGAGGTGTCAGAATCCTGTAAGCTCCATATACCAGGCCCTGCAGTGCTTTTCCCTGGTACTTTTCTGCCCCTGGCATAACTCACATAAAATCTGAAAAGTCAAAAATCTGCAGTTTTTAAAACAAACTGCTAACTGAATGAGTGGCAGTATTTGTGGGCTCATATTAAGCGTTCCTCCTTCTTCGGAGAAAGAGGAGGAGTTAAAGCAAACGTGAAATGAGGCTTGCCACAAACTGGATTTATAATCTACCATGCCTTTGGTGCCTTACTAAATGGGTGCTACAATAAACTTCAACAAAATGGCCAAAAGAAATATTAATATTGCTGCTGAGAGAAGTATTTTACTTTGCCCACCATTGTTTGAACATTTGGAGAGATCATGAGCAAATATTTAGGTTAGGGAGACATCTGCCAAGGTAAAGGTTTTCCAGTGAAAAGGGCATTTGAAACTTCTGTCTGGAATGTAATACTTCGCCAAATGAAAGCATCAAAAGGGAGAATAAAACATATAAAAAGATATATATAATTGGTTTTGGGAGGATGAGGAGTAAAACTAAAGGAGAGGAAAATAAGTGTTTAAGCATGCAGATGTAAATAAAATTTTTAAAAATCAGGCCTTTGTAACATTATTCATCTTACCAAATATAAGTATATAAAATGAATGAATTTAATAGGGAGAGACAAGAGGATATATGAGCTGCCCAGAGAGGTAAATTCCAAGTTTCAGCTAAGTTCTTTCCAGACTATTCTCTTTGGAAGTATTTTCTGCCAAAAGTATGCTTCTAGGCTCACCTCAGGTGATGCACTAACATTCTGAAAGCTTTTACCTAAACCAATAAGTGAAATTCCCTGATTAGCTACAAGCCCTGTAGACTTGGTAACTTTGCCCATTAATTAACAAAGGGACAAGTGAAAGGAAAGAAGACAGAGCAGAGAAGTGTAGGGCAGGAAGTCTTGCCATTTCTATTAAGCCCTAGGATAACAACAACAACAATGAAAATGATGTATATTTGCTCTTTTCTTGGCAATTTGTTAAAATAGCTAGGATTTGGTTTTAAATAACATAAACTAGCTGATAAGTGATCTCTGTATGTATGAACTTCCTTGTGTGTGTGTAAATGCACACATGAGCACGTGTAGTTTCACATATATATCCTCAGAATAACAAGTATAAATATGATGCATTTGTAAGTTCTGTTTAAGGAAATTTTATGCGTACTTCACTTCAGAAATTGTGATGCTGGGACTTTTAAAACATTGCAAATATATTTCCAAATAAAAATCAGGTACACATGTGTTACGACAAAGAGGCACTATGACTTTCCCTTCCTCTCAGAAATTAAAGTGGTGACTGCATTTTAAAGATACAGAGGGTATGTGGCAATAAAATGTTTATTAACTCAACTAGAAATATCAGACACAGGTAATTTTTCCTTTATAAACAACTGATCTATTTGGATAGGAAAATGTCACATTGAAACACAGAAGCACCTGGAGTGGGGATAGAGAGAAGATTGGTTGCAGGAATTCCAGATGAATTTCAAAGTAACACATCAGCCCCTGACAAGAACAGCACTGAAGAGTTTGATAACATAAATATGTAGAGGTTATGCTCCAGCCTGGAGAAGGTGTAGAAACCAACACTATCTAAATCTAATGTGATTTCAATATAAACCATATCTTTGCCTTCTGTATATCTCTATGGAATTACGGAATTTAAAACGGCAAATTCCATCTACACTAACCTGATCATTTTTTCCCCAGACGCTTGCAAATGATACTTCTTCAGAATTGTTAAACTCACTTCCCTAGGGATAAGAAATTAAAATATGCTTACTTCTGATTCTAATATAAATTATCAAAATTTACATAATCTTTAAGGAATGATATCTAGGTAAATATTCAGTGAATATATGCAAATTTAAGAATAATTCATTATATATTTGTTTATTAAAATTTGACTCAAATCAAGATATGTATAATAGTAGCATGAAAAATAACATTTTTTGATAGAGCATTTTCAATCTATTAATGAATAATCTCCAAGGTGGATTACTCTATAAACTCATGTTAATTATGTAGGTGACTTAGGAGATTTCACAGAATTGTGAAAGGATATCAGTTTTTAAGATGTTTCCTATTAGAAGACCAAGCTATATGATAAACATGTGAAACTTACTATAAAGACAAAGTTGTTAAAGAATAAACCTAAATGGGCTGGTAATGACAAGTACTTCATGAAAGTAATAGAATTTGAGCATACCTGAAAACATAGGAGTTCTATATCAAGTACTTAAGTGTTTCAATGGTAGGATATCAAAAATATTGAATACAGAGAGATAATGAACTTCTGAGCATTAATCTTTAAGATACAAATCTAGAAATCACAATAAGATTAAATGATTCTCACTAAACCAAAATGTGTTTGAATTCATCAATATATCTAAAGGTTTCATTTTATTTAGCAGGGGCATATATTTCTAAGGAATTGTGTAACAATATCAGAGGAAAAGGGCTGTTCCCATACCTTTTGCTTCCCAGGGAGAGAAGCGAAGGTGTTCAGAGGCTATTAAACCCATGATACATTCAACCTACCTTAGTCCAATTCCCTCATCTCTATGTAGATTTGCAGCTTCATGTTTCTTTCCTTCCAAGAGAATGGGATGAATACTAAAAATCAGTTTATTACAGAAGTTATGTTGCCTCTGAAGACAGTTATCTGTACTCATAACCTGGCTCTACCACTTACTACCTGTGTGACTTGTATAAGTTACTTACCTCCTTGTGACTGTTTCCAGTTCTGTAAAATGGGCCTAATACTAATGGCTACCTCATAGAATTTTGGGGGAGAATTAAGCAGATACAACACAATTAGAGAAATGCCAGGCATTTAGATAGTGCTCAAAACTATTTATAAATTACTATAATAAGCAATTTACATGGCCCCTGTGACAGTGGTTCCCATAAAAAAATGAGATTCTTTTATAGTATATGTAGCTTCAAGCCACACACATGGCAGAGAATGACTGCCCTGAAATGCTACATTTTAGCATATGTGACTGAGTTCCTACTGCCAATAAATGGGAATTTTGTTGCCATTTCTGTGCCATATATATTTCATTAATAAGATTTTATTTCCTGAAGACTTCATCCTTGGGCTTGAGTAAAATTTATACATCAAGACCATTATATGAGGACATATTCTGTCAGACTTCCTCTAAACCAACATTTTGCAAAGTTGCAGTTCCATGAAATACTAGTTTTATGACATGGACAAAAACAAAAGATTCCCTTGTCCAAAAAGTTTGGGAAATGCTACATATTACTCCTCTAAACTTTCATAGAAATTCAATTTCTATTCCTATCCACTAGAATAGGACTAGCTCTTCATTTATTCCTTTCTGCAAGGATGCCACTTCAAAAACTGGACTTACTGCTGGGTATGGTGGCATCTTTAGTCTCAGCTACTCCTGAGGCTGAGGCAAGAGGATAGCTTGAGCCCAGGAGTTCCTGAGCAACATAAAGGGATCCTGTTTCTAAAAAATTAAACAAATAGAAGTACAAACTAGACATGTTACTTTATGGTTTATTTCCTTCTAAGTATAGTCAGTGATGAATTATAAAATGAATTGGCGGCTGGGCGCGGTGGCTCACGCCTGTAATCCCAGCACTTTGGGAGGCCAAGGTGGGCGGATCACGAGGTCAGGAAATCGAAGCCATCCTGGCTAACACGGTGAAACACCGTCTCTACTAAAAATACAAAAAATTAGCTGGGCGTGGTGGTGGGCACCTGTAGTCCCAGCTATTCGGGAGGCTGAGGCAGAAGAATGGCATGAACTCGGGAGGTGGAGCTTACAGTGAGCCGAGATCGCACCACTGCACTCCAGCCAGGGTGACAGAGCAAGACTCTGTCTCAAAAAAAAAAAAAAAAAAAAAAAAAAGTGGCCGGGTGTGGTGGTTCACATCTGTAATTCCAGCGCTTGGAAGGCTCAGTCAGGAGAATCGCTTGAGCCTTGGAGGTCAAGGCTGCAGTGAGCCATGATCATACCACTGCACTCCAGCCTGGATGACAATGTGAGACCCTGTCTCAACAACAACAACAAAAAATAATAATAATTTAAAAAAATCAAAGTTTGGGAAAATCAATGTGTTTTCTTCTTTATGATACCTTAATTCAGGACTTTCATAATTGTTGCTGTTGACTATTGCCTTCTAAGTAGTTTGTTTCTATTTTAACCTTTCATCTAATTCATGTTCCATACTATAGTAAGTCACCTCTCAGTTTAAAATTGCCTATTTAAGAAATGGTAAATAATTTCCAACTTACATGTTATGGGCTGAATGTGTCACCCCTGAATTCATATGTTGAAATCTTAAACCCTAGTGTTTCTATACTTGGGGATAGAACCACTAAGGAAATAATTAAGGTTAAATGAGGTAATAAAGGCAGGACCCTGATTCTACAGGATCAGTGTCTTTAAAAGAGGCAACAGAGTGCTCAGTCTCTCTGTTCCCCTTCTCCCACCCAAACCCAAGGAAAGGTCATATGAGGCCACAATAAGAAGGCAGCTGTCTGCAAGTCAGGAAGAGAGCCCTCACCAGAAATAAAATCCCCCGGCATCTTAGCCTCCAGACTGTGAGAAAATGTTTCTCTTTAAGTCATCCAACCTATGGGATTTTGCTATTGCAGCATGACCTGGCTAATATATATGCCAATGAAGATTGATTTTGTTTGTGGATGCCTAATACAGAGTAAGACCTCACTTAACATCAATAATTGGTTCTGTGAAATTGTGACTTTAAGCAAAACAGCATATAATGGAATCAGTTTTTTTTTCTTATTCCCATTGTAACCAAACAGTGAACTAAACAATTATTCAAGGACCTGCAGTATACTGTTTCACTTAAAGTTTCAGTTTCCAAGAACCTATTGATGGCATTAAGTAAGGACTTACTGTACTGCATTATAAAAGCCTATTAGGACATGGTGCAATGAACTATGAGCAAAATTTGGGAATGGTCATGTGTGTATCATGTGGCTGGCTTAGGGCTTCCAGTATATATTTAAAATTCCTTAGTATAGTTATTCATGGCCTGGCCCTTCATGGCTTGACCCCAACATACTGTGGACTGAGGAACAGCCCAAAGGAAACAGTCTCAAAGAGTGGATCAGTTTCTTTATTAAAAAAAAAAAAATTATTCCAAGCCTAGAGGTACAGACTACTGGCTGGCAGCCTTCTAGAGTTTTCCCCAATGTCTTTCAACCTGAGCCTTCTCTCCTTTCAAATTTCTGAATGTCCCTCCCCTATCTTCCTCTTTCTCACTTTCAGCTGATGACCTTGCTGCGTGTATGCCATCCTGCAGCTATAGCCATTTTCTCACCTGACCAAATTGTGACAAAATCCTTATTCCTAAACAAAACCTGTCCTGCAGAAAATTCAAAACTACTCTACTTCAACAGACAGAATTTATTTCTTTTAGTGAATCAGTTACATAGGTGTTGGAGGGACTGAGGAGCCAAAAGTAAATACACAAGTAAAGATGATAGGAGGCAACGTCTCTAGAGTTGAAGAACAAAAGAAAGAGGTTGAGGTTATTAGAACCTGGAAGAAAAGCCTTGGGAAGCTGAAAACTGGCTCACTGAGGAGGGGACACTTCCCAGCTGTTGAGCTCCAAGAAAAGTTTCTACCTCTGAGGGTTGCAGTGGGGTTGGTTCTCAGGGTATGGCAAGAAGCTAGAAATTGGAACCAGGGGATGCTGGAATGACATTGAAGGAAGTAACAAGCAAACACAAAGAAGAAAATTTCTTATTTCTTCTTTTCTACTTCTAGGCTCCCTCTGAAGCCTTCACCTTGTAGAAACTGGCAGGAAACCAGCAGGCAGATGAGAAGTATAGTTTGCTGTGTGCTTATCCTCCATCACAGAGCAGAACAGAGAAGAATAGGTTTGAAATTGAGAGACAAAATATTTATAACTAGAATATTCTGCTACCTTCTTTCTCTCTTGCACTTTAAGTTTCCTTCCCCTATGATATATTTCCATCAGCATTCAAACATTTTCCTGAATCTTCCATGAAACCCTCACTGGACATCACATTCCTCTCTATAGCTACTGTCCTACATCAAAATTCTCAAAAGAGATATTTAGAAAGTCTATTTTCACTCAAGTAACTACCATGATTAACCATTTACAATGTTAAACTACTTCCATTTGGCCTTTACCCCCATTTGTTAGCATAATTCCATAAATATTAAGTCATACCAGTTTTTGCAATATGAAGGATCCTGCTTTAGGCTCATCTTACTCAACCTTAGAGTGCATTCAACCCAGGTAGCTACTCTGTCCTGGAAATATTCTCCTTTGTGGATTTCCATGAATTTTGGTTCTCTTAACTGGCCACTCTTTCAGGCTCTGATATTTGCAGCTCTTATTCCACTCTTCTTCTAAATGTTAATGTGTCACAGGTTTCAATGCTGGTTCATGACATTTCTGTAGCTTCACTGACTCTGTAAAGAATCTAATGTAGGTGTAAGTTTTGAATAGCATGTATTTATATGCTGATAAAGTCCAAATTTACATATCCAAATACTTTTTCGTTTTTAAACTTCAGGTATCCAATATTCAGATATTCCTCTTCATTGTTATAAAAGCATCTCAAACATAATATGGCCAAGATGATACTGTCGATTATTTTTTTAAAACCTCTTTCTACTTTAGTCTCCTCCAAGTCAGGACCTAGAATTGATTCCTACCTTTTGCTTACATTAAAATCTAAGAAATAATCCTTGATAATTCTATGTCTTTCTCATCCACATCTAATTCATCAGCATCTTTTTACTTCCTAATGTACCTGAAATTCATGCAGTTCTTGCTATATTCACTTTTAGCATTAATGATCCAAGCCACCATCACCATATAGACTACTGTTACAGCTTCTACACTAGTTATCCTGCTTCTAAGTTTTCTCATTCTAATTCAATTTCTCCATAGTTGCCAGAATGATCTTAAAAAAAAATCAAATCTTTTGACTTCTCTTTGGAAATAATTTATTTCCTTACTGCACTTAGGATAAGTTCCAAATAATATACTATGATCTAAAGAGCCCTACCTATTTATCTCACATCACCTTGCACAAGTCTCCCATATACAAATCACTATATCCAACAACACTGATTTTTTTTGTTTCTTAAATTTTTGAGCATTTATTTGCTACAATTAGGCTAAGCAGACTCCAGATCCTCCTGAGTATAGAGTCTAATAGAACATGCAAAAATTATATATATATATATACATATACAATTATAGATTTTAATATTGTGGGAAATAAACATGAGAATTCAGGATAGAAATTAGCATCATGGTTGATAGAGCTAAACTGAAACCCCAAAAATGAGTGTAATTAGCCACATAAAGGATGAGGAGGAAAAAAAATGTCCAAGAAGAACACCATGTGGATAGCTGGAGTTTAGTAAATGAAAGGGAAATAGGCTAGGGATATGGTTGAAGGAATAGCCTGACCAATTGGGTTATCAGGTGTTTCTTAACCTGGGCTATTGGGTCAGAAAGTCTTTGTTGTGGGTGGCTGACCCTGGGCACTGCAGGGTGCTTAGCAGAATTTCTAGCCACTATATGCAAGCAGCACGTGCCCCTAGTTTTGACAACTAAAACTGTCTCCATGTATTGCCAAATTTGCCTTGAGGAACAAAATCACCCTACAGCTGAGAACCACTGGACCTGGAATAAGAAGTTAGAATTATATTTTAAATATGAATCATGGAATCTGTGTTCTATAGTTCATCTAATAATTCATTCACTTATTCAGTATATAGTTACTGAGCACCTAATATGGGTCAGACACTATGGCAAGTACTTGGGATTAAAAAAAAATGAACAAGACAAATTCTTCCCATTTTGGACCATGTAATTGAGTGCAGAAGAAAGCTTCTAAATAAATAATACGACTAACTACATTTGTGAAAAGTACTATGAAGAAAAAGTGCATTTTTCAGTTAGTACAGTACAATTGAAAATAAAGGCAGGAAGATTTGGTCAATAAGCATCCCTTTACATATCAAAATCTTCGTTGTCTAATGTTCAGCTCCATCTTCAGTTGAGTTTGTTGGTATATTGTCCTTAATTTTGAGATGATTTAACATCTTACAAGATGGCATGTGTGTACTTTATATTAAATTATCCACAGTGACTGTGCACATTTTATGTAAAAAGAATGAGGCATACAGAGTTTGATAGTGATGTCCCAGTGAGATGAACATTCAATTTTCATAAATGAAAGCAGATATTATATATTGATATGTGTGATGTGACAAAGCGATGAAATAAAAAATGATTTTAACCTATAAACAGAACAATAAACATATGTGACTTTTAATGGAAACAATATACCCAATGGAGTGAAGGAGACAAAATTTTCTGAGTCATATGGAATTAATGGATATTCACAAAGGCCATTTTAAGGGAGGCTCAGAGGTCAGTGGAAATATATAATCATGACAGATCATTATCACCTTCATCATTCTAGACACTTCGCATATGCTTAATTGCACAAGCTGCTAGGCTGAATGTAGTACAAAGCAAGCTAAAAATTGTTGCCTGTCTTCCATATAAGGCAGATTATAACAAGCAAGTATAGTGTTAGTGCTTTCATAAGCCCAGCTTAACTGAGTTTGATTTTTGTCTTTAAGACAAAACTAATTTTGAACCTTTTCTACAAGACCATCTAAGAGGCCATAATAAAAATAAATGAAAATTTATAAGTTTATTGTGCATACAGGCTGGTCTCTGGGCATGGTTAGCAGGATTTCTCACACTTACTAAGCAAACATGTGTTTGGCTTCAGGGCTAAAAGCAAGCATTTCTAGTTTTAAATATTGTACAGAAAAGCCACCATTTCATTTAGGAAGCTACCTTTTGGCTCTCAGGGTATATCCAAATAAATGGTTGTTTACTGACTACTGACATAGACATATCTCATTAAAAATGTTGCCAAATGAGAATGACTGCCAGAAACAAGGATCACTAGATAGTGTATGTGGTTTTGGTTATTACCACCCATTTCAATCCACGTGCTGCTGTGGATAAATAACTGTTTTAGAATTAATTCAATTTGATTGACAATATCAGAACAACCTAGCTGTGTTAAACAGAAACAAAACTAACAAAATAATTTGCTTTATAATTCACAAAAAAGTTATAAGGCATTAAATTGTCCGTTATGGATTAAATTGTGTTCTACTGAACTTCACATGTTGACTCCTTAATCTGTAATGTGTATTTGAAGATACAGCCTTTAAAAGGGCAATTGAGGTTAAATAAAGCCATAAGGGCACAGCCCTAATTCAACAGGACTGGTGTCAAAAGGAGAGAGATGACAGGGATATGCAACGTAGGAAAGACCATGTAAAGACACAGCAAGAAGGTGGCCATCTGCAAGCCAAGAAAAGAGGCCTCAGGAGAAATCAACCAGCCAGCATCTTGATCATGGACTTCTAGGCACTGGAATTGTGAAAAAATATATTTCTGTTTAAGTCACCCAGTCTGTGGTATTTTGTTATGGGAGCCCTAGCAAACTAATTATTGTTCCACATTGGCAATATTACTCTAAGTTTGTTATTGTTATTCTTAGTTAATATATGGAAATAAAGATAATGAAGGTAAATTATTTGCTCTAAATTACAGAACTAGAGGATAAACTAGTACTCATTACAGATCATCTATGCCATAAACAATAAAACATCCTGACTGACCAAAGACAAGTTGTTCTGTCCATAAACCAAAACATTACAATTCAGTGACAAAAGAATGCTGGCACTTATAGAAAACATAAACTTTAACATATTGTTATTCAAAAAGAGGATAGGAAATACAGGTGAACTAGGAAAAAAAATCCTAAATGAAATTTCTTTAGAGTATTGCTTCTTTTAGATCTCTTCATAGGAATAGTTTTATTTATATTTAGTGGTTATGTTACACAGTTTTAAAATTTCTTAGTTACATCACAAAAATTTATTTCTTATATTTTCAAGTACTTTTAAAATCTGAAACACTGAAGAATTTAGAAGGTCCTTATTTATATATGTCTACATATGTGCATTTTACATGTCTCCTGATAAACCGGCATTTATACAATGTGTTAAGAGGCTGAACTTGTTACAAGGAAATAAAAAATATGACGCTGGAATTTTTATATACACTCGTGATTGGAGATATCTCTATGGTAGTTAATAACTAAGACTATCTCAAGGTGTCTTTTATTTCCTGAGTTCTTTTTCTCAATGAGAATTTTTTTTTCTCTCATAATAGATGGGGTCATTTTTATAACAGAAAAGTACAAGAAAGATCATGCAGGCTTGACCTTGATGTTTCAAATTTGTTAGCATTTTTAGACACCGGTTACTAGGTGTTCAAAGTGATAGAAAAATTGAATGTTGAGATTTGAACACTTTCACGTTCCACATTGTACTTCTTCAAAGCTATAACTTAGCAAAATCTTTGTCACATAGTCAATGATGCTACCATTTTAAAACATTTCATTCAAATTGAATCTATAGTTGTCAACTTTGAGAAAAAGCAAGTTGTAATATGCATTACTCTAGAATTTTTTTTATCTCTTGCCATTGTCTAAGAAAGCAAATTATTCAAAAGATCTTCAGTGTGTATGAAACACCTTTGTTGACTGCAAGGTGTGTTAAACGTTCTTTACCTGGTCCCGTTAACTGTGAGAGATTGTTTTAAGACATAGATCCTGTATACATAGTGCTAGAGAAATTCAAAACAGTTTCTCTACACTGCAAGATAATCCAAACTTAGTGATGTGGTTGGAATTACAAGATTAAATTCTTTCCCTTTATAACTTACTGGAAGTTGCAAGCTTATCTCTGAGGATAAATGAAAGCAATAGCTATATGTTTGTATATTTGAATACCTTGGTTCTTCTGGATTTTTTCAATGGACTTGGTATAGACAAGTTATATCTTTGAGATTTGAGTTTCTAACAGTCTCTTTATGCTTGAATGAAGGCATACAATCCATCACATGAAATACCTGATCTACACAGTAGCTCCTCCTTTTGATCAGGTCCAGCTTCCTATACTCAGTGATTAATTTTTATTATATTCATCTATACAAGCCAAAAATAGATTTTATGATGAAGGGTGCCAACTATTAACCAGAACTCATTTCGTTTTATTCCTGGCCTCTCGCCTAGGCTATATTCCTTAACTCCTTTGCAATAGTGTGTAGTCACATGAGCTGCATTCTAATCAATGGGATGTGAGTGGACATATGTGCCACTTCAAGGTCTACAGTTTTTCTACATCCACTAATTGAGGCACTTCCTCCTTGCAAGTTTCCATAGGAAGGACTGTAGAAGCAACCTTAGCACCACTGTTGAACAAGACAGAACTTCCTTCAGTGGGGAGTCCTGAATGAATGTATGGAAAAGATGCAGCCTCCTGCCCAGGACAAACACATAAACAAGAAATCAGCTTTACTCCATTTCAGCCAATATATATTTTGGGAGTACTTCTGATATTGCACTAACTTAGGGGTTATTTGCAGGAAATTTTATGACTTGGCCAAAAGGAAATTTTTATTTGGTGGTTATGAGATCATTGATTTTGGGTGTATTTCTACTATGAAATCTTCACTAATAAACATTAACTGGTGGTTTCATGAGTTGGACAAAAACACCAGAACAATAAAAATGAACATTCTACATGCTATTTCGAGTTGTAATTTCCAAAATGTTTGTTCTTTCTTCATTATAAATAATATACAAATTCATAATTACATGCATATACTACTATGATTAGCTAATATCTCAATGTTTAATATGCACATTAGGCAAGGGTCATACAATAGTGAATATAAATTCATGTTTTCAAAAGCATTCTTGATCATTTTAAATTTCAAAATTTAGGCCAGTTATCAGCTCTGAGAAAATTATTTCATTTATCTTGAAATACGACTTACAAAGAAATCATACTAAAACTAAAGTATTTCTGCCATTTTCTCATTGGTTTCTTATGCTTGTATGATTAATATCATTTCAATTGGAAATTTTCTTTGCAGGAACATTTGTAAGATGAATTTATTAAAATGAAATATAATTTATAAATCCACTCATATGGTCACATGTAAATTTCAATGGGTAGCAATACAATGAGTGAATAAATAAGTGTAATGATGTCAATCACTCTTCATTGTAAAACCTCTCCACTTCCAACAAGATCCCTCAGGTACTATGTGGGACAGTTGACTGGTTGTCTAAGAACTTTTGAGGATACTAGGATTAACATTAAATAGTATTAAAGTTTTATTTCATATTTATATGAAAAATGAATATAAATAGATATTTTAATATTTCCTTTCTGGGAAAGTTTAGATGTCATTAAAAAAATTCAAAGGTTTCAAGACACTTTTAGTCCAGGTTTATAGTTTCTTTAGCAACATGGTACCTCAAAAAACAAACCATGCTAGGCACAGTTGCTCACGCCTGCAATCTCAGCACTTTGGGAGGCAGAAGTGGGAAGATTTCCTAAGGCCAGGAGTTTGATTGAGACCAGCTTGGACAACATAGTATGAGACCCCATCTCTACAACGTTTTCTTAGTCAGGCATGGTAGCACACACTTGTAAGTCCCAGCTACTCTGGAGACTGAGGCAGAAGGATCACTTGAGCCTAGTAGGTTGAGGCTGCAGTAAGCCTGGATCACACTACTGCACTCCAGCCTGGGCAACAGAGTGTGACTCTCTCTAAAAAGAAATAAAAAAAAACAAACAAAAAAAGCCCACATTCTTATCTATTTAATTCCTATCAGTTTCACGTACTAGTAACCACCCAAAGTTCTTTGCCAGACATAGTTCTAAATTCTATTTTATTTCTTTGTTCTTAATCACTCCCCTCCCCATCATGCCTTCTACTTTCTCAACTCAGTGTCAGAGACCTTGAAATCATCTAGAACAATTGGCATTGATAGGATGATAACATCTTTTATCTGATCTTTGCTGCAAGTTTGGATCTTGGTTCAACTGAGAAATCTTAGTGGGTGTTTGTCTCTCAAAGCTGCTTCTAATCTTATCTCTCACTCTTTTAACTTCAGAGCAACAGCTTTGCCACCCCTGTCAGGCCTTTGATATCTGAAATCCCCTGGGTACTCTCACCCCTATTTCTTCCTGAAACTACCCAATTCTTGCTTGTGCTTATCTCTTTAAGTACACTGGCAAAAAGGAGCCAATCATAGCCAACATAACCTAACACTTTGGTTTTTCTAATTATTTCTAATCATTTCCATCTAATCATTTCCAGGGCTACAGACTTGGAGGTATTTAGTTTACCTTGCAAGTATCTCATGAGAGTTTTGCCAAATATTTTATAACTGCATAACATGAACCATAAGCTTCTCAGTCTCTGATATCAGTCTCTGTGCCATCTGTCTCCTAATTGCTAAACCAATTCTATGTATTTAGCAGAACTCCACTTCAATGCATTAGAGTAATACTAACTACTGTAATAGATAAAGCCCAAATTTGAGTGGATAAATTCAATGTTTGTTTTCTACTCATTTTTTTTCTTACTTATCTTAATTTAAATAGGTAGTAGGGCAAGTTTGAGGAAGTGAAATTATCAGCTCCACACGGTCATCAAGAAATCCATGGCCGGGTGTGGTGGCTCCCACCTGTAATCCCAGCACTTTCGGAGGCAAGGCGGGTGGATCACGAGGTTAAGAGATAGAGAGAATCCTGGCCAACATGGTGAAACCCTGTCTCTACTAAAAATACAAAAATTAGCCCACGTGCCTGTAGTCCTAGCTACTCCAAGGGTGGGGAGGGGTGGGGGAGGCTGAGGCAGGAGAATCACTTGAACTCGGGAGGCGGAGGTTGCAGTGAGCCAGGATTGCACCACTGCACTCCAGCCTGGTGACGGAGTGAGACTCCATCTCAAAAGAAAAAAAAATAAATAAATGGAAAAAAAAATCCACGTTCCTTGTATCTGGCAGTTCTAACTTGGCATCCTCTCCATTCAATTGGCACCTGAAGAAGAAAGTGATTAATTGCATATATATGGACCATACAAAACCTTGGTATGTTACTTTTCTTCCTGTTTCATGGTAACATTTCTCAGTGTCCCTTGCAGTTAATCTGCATGTCCAGAAAAACTGAGGAAAATTTTGGAAAATAATTATTCAGCTTCTTCAATGCATATATGATTGAGATAGTCTCCAAACTTGTTCCCTGCTTTTACTTTTTCCTTCTTGTAATTCTATTCTAAAAAACAAGAAGCCAGGCATAATGCCTTGCACTTGCTATCCCAGCAATTCTGGTGGCTGAGGCAGGAGGAATGCTTGAAGTCAAGAGTTTGAGGATTAGGGTGAGTGACAGAGTGAGAACCTGTCTCTTAAAAACAATGCTAACAGTTTTCTTTAAAGATAAGTCAGATTGTCTCATGCTGCTGCTCAAAACCCCAAAATAATACCCCATTTTATTTGGGGCAAAGACAAGGTCATCACAATGGCCTGCAGTGCCTTACATGTTCTGACCCCATTACATCACTTTGCTCATCTCTACAAAACTCCCGTCTCACCCAATCTGCTCTAGCCACACTGGCTTTGTAAATGTTCCTCAAACAGGACAGCACAGCCTGGCCTTAGGATACTTGTACTGTCTATTCACTCTACCTTGAGCACTCTTCTTCCAAACATCTGCATGGCTAAATTCATTATTTCCTTTAATATGTTGCTCAACTCTCGCCATTCCAATGAGACCTACCTTCTCCAGCTCCCCACAGCTAATAATCGCTGAACTTCGGAATCCTATATGCTTCCTGTGGTCTTCTGAATAGTTCCTGTTCTCCCCACTGCAAGACAATCAATAGGATTGTACTTTCTCATTGGCCCTCTTGTTTGGTTGAAACTACAAGAGGAGTCCTTGCCATATTTTGTATGATAATATTTGTAAATCTTTATTTTAGATGAATTTGGTGCAAGTTATTTTTTCTTGAGTACAACAGGGTATGGTTAACTTTTTTTCTAAAAATGTATACCTTCATTTATTTCCTGAACTCTGTCTGTAATGATTTGCATTCTTTTGTCCCTGCTGTTAGTTGACATCTACCGTAATATAGTCATGTCTCTCTAGTTTTGTTGTATTTCTTTTCTTACCTCCTCTTAATTACCCCTTTTGTACCTCTAGTCTCTAGTCTCTGTCTCTAATACATAGAGGTACCAATTTTACAACCCCCAAGGCTTGTCAGGTTAAAGATTAATGAGCAGACTATGCCCAAAGGCTTTGGAAAGGTTAAGCATAATTACAAATGGGTATTTTATGCAATGCTGGAGATGTGCAAGCTGTTTTTCAAAAAAGGGCAAGATAAAAGGTAATGAAACTTATGGGATTCATGTCAACTATTGTATTTCAGAAAAAAAGGTTTCTTTAAAATGATAAATTAACATGCTAACTGGAAGAGGTTGTTAGATCCTGCCCTGTTTTATTCATGATTATAACACATGCACACACACACACATTAACATATAACTGAGGACAATCACAGGTCTGTACTATCATTGACTTTTATTTTTTTTCTTTGTAAGAAAAAGCAACTTTTTCGTATTTAGAGTAAAAAGAAAAGTTATAGTTTGAAATAAATACATTAGCTGAGTATTGCTGTTGGAAAAATTAAACAGCATTCAGAGAAGAAATACGTAGTTTCCACTTGAAATTTTATAGCTTACCATGAAAAGAACTACTTTCCATGGAAAAATAAAGATTCTTTAGAGATTTAGTTACACAATTACTGTGAAATATAAGATGAACATCTGGCCATCCCAGCACCATGAGGATGGTAGTAGGATTATAGTAATTAAAAGAAATCCAGTCAGTGTGCTTTACTAATTATAAAGTGTTACCAGGGTTAAAACAGTCGTGTTTAGAAATCAGAAAGCAAAGCTTGTTGACCTGATTGGAGGTGGTTTTCTCCAAAATGTTTCAGAACAGGGGACTATGCTGGAATTAACTTTGCTAAAGAAAAAAAAAAAAAGAATATTGATCTGCAAATGCTGAGTTAAAAAGTGATATTTTTGCTGAAAAAAGATTAAAGATTCAAAGTTAATTCATTTCCTTTAAAGTGTTATTTATGCTCTGCCTAAGGGCAGCTCCCTCCCTTTGTCCACTACCTTCCTTCACTTGCTTCATTCAATGTCTTTGCAATTACCTCTCATGCTTACAGCAACATTTTTCTCTCTGTACAGAATCATTTCCATCAACTTAAGAACATGAAAGCTTTTATCTCATTTGAAAACGTGAGAGCGACAGGAGGCAGCCAAATGCTTAGGCGGATGGGGAAGGGTCCCCAGTGAAACTCCACCTCCAAGCCAAGGACAGTTTAAAGCCTGAAAGGCCAAGCTACAAGTTAAATCCTTAGACTGGATTGAGAATCTGTTTCTCCATTTGACATGTTTTCTCTGATTAGTCCCCAGCCTTCCCCTATTTCTCATATACCTACCCTTTCCTAATTGACTTTCTACACTGCTGTGCCCACGTTTTAAGAGTTGTCTTCACTGTAACCTTTTTGGCGTACTCAAAAATAAATCAACACACACTCTCCATTCTGAGTCCAAAGGCCCCCACCCAGCAACAAAGAGGGCATTCCTGCCTTCCGGTAGGCAGACCAACCCCACATGCCTCTCTGCTGAAAGCTGTTTCATTGCTCAATAAAGTTATTCTCTGTCCTCTTCACACTTCAATGTCCATCATATCCTCATTCTTCTTGGGCATGGCACAAGAGCTCCAGAACCACTGAACATGGGTACAAGCTATAACAGGTGAGCTGGGGAACACCAGTGTGGCCGATGAGGGCCCAGGTAGGGTGTCGCTGGCTGGGAAGTCCCAGGCTTGCAAAGTGACAAGAAAAATCCTACATGTAAAGGAAAAAATAAAGCACCTCAATCATGACTCCGTTATTCCTTTATACATAACCCCATTTTACTCATTTTCTTAATAGTAAAATTTCTTGAAGTACTTGTCAAGTTTTTCCTCTTTCTAACTTCTTGCTTCCCAATTTCTTTTAAGCTCACTACAATTAGGCTTTGAAATCACTCCAAATAACTGAAAAAAGCTATGGTCAAGGTAGCCAATGATCTTCTGAAATCCAATATTCCATTCCAGTTCTTAATCTTTGGCCTATCATGAGCATTTGGCATATAATTTCTTCTTTCTAAATACATTTCCTTCCCTTGGCATCCAGGACACCCACAAGTAACTGGTTTTACACATATCTCCCTGGTTGTTCCATTATATTATTCTTGATAGCTCTTATTCTTTCCGAGCTCTTAACGCTGTTTAGGAATGCCCCAAGACAGTCCTTGAACCTTTTCTCTCCTCTATCAAAACTCTTCCTTGATAAATTAATCCAGCTTCATGTCCTTAAGTATCACTTATGTGCAGATGACTGATATGGCAATGATTTCTACTGTTGATCAAATACCAATGTTCTCCCTCACATAATCCAGATCCTTTGTGGTGCAGTAAGTCCATTTCATTGGACTGGCTATCACTAATGCGTGATGTCAATCTCTCCTAGGCCAAAGTGAAAGCTTTATATTGAGAAAGTACAGTCCTGAGATGGAATCAACTTAGACATCTGAGTCAAGAGCTTAGAGGTGAGCTGCTTTAGGGAGAATGTTTGGATAGTAGACCTTGGATGAACAAAAAATAAAACTTTTATCCTTTAAGTGCAGAGTCAGCAATTTTTTCTATAAAATGACAGATGATTCATATTTTAAACTTACAGGCTATATGGTCTCTATTGCAACTACTCAGCTCTGCCATTATAGTAAGAAAGTAGCCATAGACAGAGAGTAAATGAATGAGAGCGGCTGTGTGCCGATAAAGTTCTATTTACTAAAACAAGTGCTGCGCTGGATTTTGCCTATGGACTGTTGTTTGCCAACACTTACTTTAAGCCACTGAGATATTGGGGTTTCTTTGTTATCACAGCATGTAGCCTAGTCTATACTTATTAATAAAACTTTCAAACTTATGTTTTTATTTCAGGCCTCCAGGGACAGGGAAGTCAGAAAATTTGAGAGGGTACCTAGGATGTGATTTTTTTATGACCCATAATTTTATTGGTCACATCCAGACTTCATGGCCACAATTAATACATGTGTTTATATTGTTCATATAAATCAAATATATATATTGATTTTGTTTTCTTTTTTGGCAGTGTAATGTTTGTATAGATTAGGTAGCTACATAGACTGAAGGCTCAACGTTGAATAACAAATTATTACAGAAAAGTAATGCTAAAAGTACAGGAAAGAATATTGTGTATTTAGAATCTGACCTGTGGAAAAATCTAACACTTGAAAACTAACCTGTGCCACCTCCTCTACAAAGGCTAAAGGGTGAATTGTGAGGGTGCAATCAGATAGATAATGAATAAAATATTTCTATTACCAGCCACTCAGAGGATAGATAATCATCAATGACAACTATCTGCTCTCCCAGAGAAAGTTGGGATTCTGCCCTTATAGCCACAGTATTGGAAGTAAAGCTGAGCAATGATTAATATTGAATTTTTCAAAGGTGAACATAGTCTAGAACAATAGAACAAGTTCCTTCCTTTACTTTTCTGGAGGGTATGCTATTAAAGCTGCTTTCAAAGATATGTCTGCTCCACTTCGTCCCACAGAATAAAAGTCTGCTTTTGCATTTCAAATTACCATGTAGGGCTACCACTACTAACTCAATTCAGACACAACCCTGGATACAGGACCATGATTTTGTGATGGCTGAAGATGACAGGTTCTCCTCAAACATGTTAAGTCCAAAGCAGGAGTTCTCCAACTTTCAAAATCCATGCCTATTTAATAAACATTTTAACCTCCTCTACTCCTAAATTAAAAATATACTATTTTAGGGATATGTTAAGGATTTTTCCCCATGTCTTTAAATCATCCTTGGTAATGACCACTCTACTGTTGACACAGAAATTCTAAACTTAAACCTGCAACCTGTTTTACAAGACTAACTAAACTAGACATTCAATGATATTGGGGATCAAAAGGAGAACTTTATACAATTTAGCTCTATTTTGAATAGTTTGGCAAGTGCAGTTATTAGGTGTTCATGACACTATCTCATAACTTCAATATTATGAAATTGAATTGGGAAATATCATCTATTTTTTGAAGATCAAAACTATTTAGAAACAAAACTAAGAACTTCTACTTTCATCTGTAGTTAATAGTTTCTTTTCATGTGCTTATTAAGAAATGTTGAGACCATAATTCCTTTATTAGTAATTTTGTTTCATTATTCAAGCAATACCATGATAAAGAGAAAACGCTATTAAAATAGATAAGGAGAAATTGTTTGGAAACTTTTTGACCACCTTATATCCAGGTGAGAATGCATTTACTGAGACTTTCTTACTGAGTAGACTTCAACACAAATTATGTCTACAAAATTACAAATATTGGAGAAGTCAGTTAAGAAACTAATATTTTAACAGCTTGCATAGTTCTTGTCCCTAAACTAAAATTTTTCTTTCCTGCTTGAGTATTTTGCTGGTGTTTTCCTAAGAATATTTCTACTAACTAAAAGATTTTTCAATTTAATAGTCTTTAATGGTACAGCAAGATGTTGTTCATTAAAGGGAGTTTATTTTCCTATTAATATAAGACAGATTAATGACTAAAAATGACAAAATCAAAATAAGAATAGAGAATAGGTGTATACAAAAAAATAAGAAAGCCTGAAGAGGTGGGTTATAACGATTACTACAGCTTGGGTAAATACAATACCTTGGAAGGCCACATTCAAGCTACAGGATAGAAGAAAAGGGCACATGCCAGTATTTATGCAATTCACAATGTTATCTCATGTGGCCTTCCCAACAATCTGATCAGTATTATTTTTTCCTCCTACAGAGAAACTAAGGTTCAGAAAGTTTAGGAAATTTTGTCCAAATTCTTTACATCGATAGTTGAACTTGTCAGTGACATAGAATCCCGTATGGCAGTACTACAAATCTAAATGCTGTAATTCATTCTCATAAATTTCAAGTTTAGTGCTTGGTCTGTGATTTTCATAAAGTCTCCACAATTTACCCAAAGTTTGAGAAATACTGTAGACAGCAAGTAGCAATGGCAGGGTTCCAAATAAATTTTTCTGTGTCCATATAAGAACTGTCTAGGTCTCAACCAAAACTAGCATTAGACAGAAAATAAAATTGATGTAATTTATAATCTGCTCATTTGAGCATTAGCATTGGACATGATGTTAATTAACCTTGGACATTAGACCTATCTCCTACCCCCTATTTTTTTTTTTTTTTTTTTTTTTTTTTTTTTTTGAGACACGGTCTTGCTCTGTCATGCAGGGTGGAGTTCAGTGGCACCACCACGGCTCACTGCAGTGTTGAACTAACTCCAGGGCTCAAGCCATCCTCCTGCCACAGCCCCCTGAGTAACTACAAACATGTACCACCACACCCAACTAACTTTTTTTAAAAAGTTTTTGTAGAGATGGGGGTCTCACTGTATTGCCCAGGCTGATCTCAATCTCCTGGCCTCAAGCGATCCTTCTGCCTGGGCTTCCCAAATTGTTGATATTACAAGCATGAGTCACTGCACCCAGCCTGTCTTCACTCAAGTGAAAGGGAAAGTATTCCCTGAGGTCCAGCACTTATTGTAGGTTTCCATTTTACACAGACACCATCTATACTAATTCATTTCATTACTACTTTGCTATACATTTAAATTTAAGTAGTTCCAAAGTTTTGTTTGGTTGCAATATTGGAGATAAATAGAAAATGTGGCTTCTGTTTTGTCCAGGGAAGCTCGAACTGCCATTGATATGATTGCTTGCACCAAGGAGGCTTACAGAAGCTGAAGCTTTGAGGTTTTATGGTTTTACCTATTCCCCCATTGCACATATTGAATTCATTAGCACATAGATTTAGAACCCCGGCTAATCATCAAAGGTAATGCATTGATGCTCTGTGGTCAAGTAAATTCTGCTAACAGAGGTTTTTATTTTTTCAGTAATTATTTATTGAATTACTGAATTTATCGAATTGTAATACCTTATATTTTTCAAATGAGAAAGTGGGCATGCATTTTTCCAAACAAAACCACTTTATACGCTTCATGATTCCAAAATTGTTCAAGCAAAATTTGCAATTTTAAGTATACTAGGTCTGGTAAAGATAAACCAATAAATAAAATAAGAATATATTTATATCTGTGCTTTCCATACCTTGCAAAAAAAATTTACTTTCTTTTTTTAAAGAAAAGTAATAGTTTGTTTTAGTCTTCCTTTAAATTTATAAATCAAAGCCCTCATGATCATAGAGTTCAGCCTTGGATTTATTTCCCAATTCAACAAGCACTTACTGGACACTACTGTTTGCACATTTCACTATTAGGTATTTTGGGTCTTTCAAAGGTAGACAAGAAGCGTTTCCTGACCTCAGAAAATGTATAATTCACTCTCTTAGGTCAATTTAGTGGAAAAGTAGTAGCCAAATAACTTTTTAAAATTCCAAAAACTGTCTGATAAATATTTATAATATGGATCTAAGGAATATTCATAGTATGGATCTAAGACAATTGATACATCCATTTCACCATCAGAGATCAGAGCTGGAACTGTTCACAGTATTAGATCAGGAAAGATCAGAGATGGTGAAGGAGTAGCAGCAGACAAAGGGGCAAGCATGGAGACCAGACCTTAAACAACAGACAGGGAGGGTTGCAGACAGAAGCCAGAGCCAGGGACACAGGAAAATGGTGGGCAAGGAATTAGTATGTGAGTACAAAATGCAGAAAAGAATAACATGCATAAGGAAAAGGGAACCTAATTTTACATAAGTGATAAAACAGCTTACTTCTAAAAGGCTAACATATGAGAGATTAATGTTCAGAAAAGCTCTACTGACAAATCCTCAAAGAAAAAATTAAAAATCTGCCACATTATTTAGGAAAGTGATCATTCGATGAAGCGCTCATTTGCTGTTGCTTGTTGTGAACTGGTCTGTTTTCACAATATAATACGACAACTGGGAAGAGCCGTTTTCAGGAGAGCTGAGTTCCAGTTCCCTCTTGTCGGTAGATTTCAGACATATGTGTCATAACTCCTGTGAGTTTTAATTTTCTCCCCTCTAAAATAGTTCCAGGCAAAGGACAGTTTGGGTGTAGAGTGAGATGAGAGATTTTAGTTCCAAGATTCCATAACATAGCAACATATAAACAATAGCACAGGATCAGATAGGAGAAGAAAGTGGAAAATAAGATAAAGGCATTGTGCATATGTGCACAGGCCATAGACCAGACAAGGAGAGAAAGTTATTACATGATATGCCATGGAAGAAGCAAGATTTAATCTGGTAACAAGACTTTTAATTGTTTAGGGGGAAATGTAAAGGGAAAGGTATGAGAAGAAACAAAGATACAAAATGTGTTTTGGCAATTGCAGTGGTTCAATGTGGCTTAAGAAAAGAGAACTTACAGGGGAAGAAAAGCTAATCAAAATTCAAAGACTAGGGATGGGATTCATGTGTTATGGTCGAGGACTATTTTTCTTTTCTAACATGACCATATCTATGATTTGGGGTGGAATCTCATGTATGTGGTGCTAGTGTCACCTCTTCTAGTCCAGACCTGTTGTCTCCAGCCAATCAATCATGGCTCTCTCCCACCCAACCTCTCAAAAGCCATCTCAACACAGGCAGCTGTTACCAATGCAAGAATATGTGCAGAGAAGCCAAAACCTATTTTCTATTTTTACATTTGAGAAACTGAGTGGATAGCTGAGGTAAAATGGAGCCAGAATTTTATCATTGGACTGGGAATCTGAGGAATGTAAGGAAGCAAAAGATGAGACCGCTATGGATGCTTTGCCACCTGCAATATGAGACACATAAGGAAATAGGACTGTAAGGCATCATCCTGGAACATTGGAATACTGGTAGTGCCCATATGAGGAAAGAGAAAGTTCAGGATGCAGATGAGAGGGGGGGATTTTATTCGGGCTCCTTGAATTCAGGTGCAAGCAGGGCATATTCACTGGGACTGGACCTTATGGCATGAGAAGAATTTGAGTGAACTGGAAAAGGAGTAAAAACATTTTAGTAGGAGTAAAAATATAATCAGAGTGGGAAATCACTGTAGTATCTACAAGAGTAGATAGTAAACTCAGAGCACACTCTTCCTGATAGTAATGTGGGGAAAATGAGGCTCCTAACCAGGTGGGGTTGATAATGGGATGCCCCCTAGTCTCCTCCTATTCTCCCAGGGCTTGACCATCTTCCCTTTTCATCAACATATTGAGAGTGGCCAGGGAAGCAGGAGTTCTTGTTTAAGCAGCGTGACAAATAAAGACACAAAAGAGTCAGTGTAAGTCAAGAAAAGAAGAATGCATATATGGGAAAGGCCCATGCATAATCTCAGCCTGCCTAATTCCCTAGCCTTAGTCGAGGGGTTAGTTTATGGCATTTGCCTTTGATATGCATAATGCCTGCTAAGTTATACTTCAGTAAAATATTCCACATTGTACAAATAAAACAGGCATTGTGTAGGATCCAAGGGCATTTTTCTGAGCAGTAGTGTTTTGTCCTGGTTTTGTATTTAATCCTCACAATGTGGAATAAACCTGTGGGCCTCTCAGAATCAGGGCCCGTCATTACTGTAATTGGAGACATCTGTTAAACTCAGTGACTCATCTCTTTTCGTCCTCAATTTACAGAAAGGAAAAGAGGGCTTTCCCATGTATGTCCGAGGGCTCATTAACCAAAAGTGTTCACGTATTGAAGGTGCAGAAGCAGCCTCGTTCTTCACCTGAATCAAGCCCTCAATCCACAGTGAGGCCACCTCTAGGTAATTTTGCAACATTAAACCCCAGAAAAGGTACATCTGGTGCTATACTTTCTAATTAATTGTAATATCCATATTTGAGGGTTTTTTTGTCATTGTTAGGTCATGAAATGAAAGTACAGAAGCAAATAGAAACAATAATTGATGTGCAATCAGTAGCTAAGGTGGCTACATGTGAAGTTAAATGGCACTGTAGTAAACTTATTTTTATCTTATGCCTTTGTTTGGAAAATAGGGTGAGTAAAAACAAAAGCACCCGACCTGTGGGGTAGATCGTTATGGTTGTACCTGTATTTCAAACATGGGTGAGCATGCGTCAAAAGCCTTATAATAACAGACACGAAGCAAGCTGCCCTGATGCTGATCATCCCTATGGGAGACAAACTTATAACTGGTCTCCTCAGGGTAGAAAAAGAATAAATGGGCTTAAATGCTATTTGCTGAGGCAAGGTCACCACGGCTGAATAGTAATTGAAGATGCATAACAGTCAACAGAGACATTTGGTCCTTCGTTGTCTGTAAATTAAGGTATTAAATTTGTAAGATACTGTTCTTAATTCACAGTTTTAATATAATTGTGTTTACTCAATCAGAGTTGTTCGACATTGTAATTTCTAAGTTCTAATCTGTTTATTTTAAAAAAGGCAGAGCAAGCATTGATTGTCCTCATTAAAGTTTGAACAGCAGCTATAAAAGCAGCATGGATGGAACTGAACATCAGCTTAGTGGGAAAAAAATAGGAAGTAATGGAACCAGGCAATGGAACAGGAAGTTTTTACACCTGTTCTAAGTCACTGTCTTAGTCTGTTTTGTGCTGCTATGAAAGGATACCTGACACTGGGTAATTTATACAAAACAAATTTATTTCTCATAATTCTGGAGGCTGGGAAGTCTGACACCGGCCTTCTTGCTGCATCATCCCATGTTGAAAGGTGGAAGGGCAGGAGAGCATGTGCAAGGAAAGGGGTCCAAACTCATCCTTTTATGAGGAACCCAGTGAAAACTAAGCCTCTTCCATGATAGTGACATTAATTTATTCATGAGGGTAAAGTCCTCATTACCTCATTATTCCTTAAAGGTCCCACTTCTCAACACATTGCACTGGAGATTAGGTTTCTAACATGAATTTTAGAGACAAATTCAAATCATAATAGTCACCTCTTAGGTTATTTGCATAAAAGGTTCAGCAAAATGTGTGTGTGACCAGGTGGTAGACGTCAAAGTTGCTTACAGCTAGAAGGATTTATCATAAATGGCTCAAAGGCAGCAGTAGGGAGAGCAGAAATTCCTAAAAGTCTGCAAGCTGGAGAAGTACTAGGGTAAGCATGTAGGAAAAGTGCCACAAACGTTTAGAAAACTAGAAGAAAAGCAAGAAAGAAAAATAAGTGTGGCAGTTGGCCTATAAAACCAGTTTTAAGTTAAATGCTTTTTTTTTTTTTCTTAAGAGTCTTGCTCTGTCACCCAGGCTGGAGTGCAGTGGCGCAATCTTGGCTTATTGCAGCCTCCGCCTCATGGGCTCCAGCGATTCTCCTGCCTCAGCTCCCGAGTAGCTGGGATTACAGGTGCTCACTACCACACCAGCTAATTGTTTTGTATTTTTAGTAGAGATGGGGTTTCACCACATTGGCTAAGCTGGTCTTGAACCCCTGACCTCAAGTGATCCACTTGCCTCAGCCTCCCAAAGTACTGGGATTACAGGCGTGAGCCATCATGCCCAGCTGCTTTTCTTTACCTTTCTCTCAAAACATTCTTTTAAAAAATCATTTTATTATGACCTGGCAATTTGATATTCAACTTAAACCAATCTAATCTCTGAATTAGTAAATAAAATAACTGTTGTGACCTATTGTGTTACTATGAAATTAGACGTGTGATCAGTCAACAGTCCAGGATGAATGGAATGTTACAGTTCATAATAACTTTATGTTATCATGGACAGTTAATGGCCTTTGAAAAGAAACACTACTCAAGCTTCAAATTCCAGCTGAACTCTGCATGGCATAAGGGCAGGAGAACTTCGACCAGATGAGTTCCTTTCACAAGCACATGTCACGCTGTGTGGATCCGGCTGTGGAAACAGTTTGCCAACCTTATCTTCAGAAACACATAGTCAGTGTTCAGACAAAGAATGTCAAAATAATGCTTAGTTTTTCTTTGGGTGATTCAAAGTGCTCTGGCCAGAAAATAGGCATAATAACCTTTCTGGCATGTTTCTCACTAATTGTCCTTCAAACCGAGAGAGGTATTTTCAGAAGATTGTTTGCTTGTGCTGAAAGATCAGGGAGCAGTGAACAGTGTGAAAGGTACAGATTTGGACAAAATCATGAGTGATATACTACATGAATGAAAACAAATCCATGCCTGGCACTGGTATCTGCAAAAAGCTCCGTATATCTATTATGTTATAGTAGAAAACTGTTATGGCATTCTGAGCATCCATGTGCAAAATCAAGATTTACATATAATGAAGTATATCTGTTTCCTATTTCTCCCTCTATCCAGTTAAACTTCCAGCGCTAACTTGAAACCAAGAAGATAAAAGCTTCAAAAATCCAGGACCAGAAAAGGGGGGATAGAAAATGTGACAATCCTTGTATGGATATATGGAAGGAATACAAAAAGAAGGGTCGCATATGAAAGAGAGTAAGGTGGCAAATACAGCTCCAATCCCTGTATTGCCTGCATCTCCTACCTCCCTTCTAGACAAAACAAAATTACTGGCAAAGTGATAATTGTAACAAAATATCTCATCAAGGGAAGTAGATGTGGGCTCTAGAGATGAAACACCACTTTGTATCCTGAAAAATGAGAGTGAGTAATGATTGGTAGGCAAACTCGTAGTGAAATAAGCATGGTAGAGAAAGACTAGCCTCTGCAAGCTGGGGTGAGGCAGAACTGAGGCAATAAGAAAATGACTTAGCAAAGTCTATTTTTCCCAAACTTCCTCTGCAGGGTTCATTTATTAAAAACAAAAAACAAAACTGTCAGTGGAGCAAAAACAAAAGTATTCTGGAGAAGGATACAGTGATTCCTCTGGTTTCTTTACTTCAAAAGTACTTAAAGATTATTTTTCTATCAATCTTAATATTCTTCTTTCTCCTTTAGTACTGAGATTTTGTTATTTATAGTGATTGTAGTAGGTTTTGGTTTGACTGTAAGTCTTTTTTTTTTTTTTTTTTTTTTTTTTTTTTTGGAAATGACCTCAAACCCTCTTTGGGAATTGACAAGCATTTTAAAACAAAGTCCAATCTTGGTACTTTTTAGATTTAAACTACGAGAATAGAGATGAAAATAAATATACATACTCATTTACTTAATTTATATTATACATCCCTGTGTATAAAAATACATACTTTATATTAAATATTTGCATATATATCTTATGACAGAAAGAGGGTGAATGTCTGACTCATCAAAAATAGTACATAAGTCAACTATTTGTTTAAGGTTAGCGACTTCTTTCACAGGAAGCTTAAGGGAGCTTAAGGGAATAAGTATAATGCTTCTAGCAGAAACAAAAATTAGAATGGTATTTACAACGATTCAGATTCTCCGAAAGTGTGAAGAACAATAATGCAAAATGTTTAGAACTGAAAGAAAATAAAGATTTTAAGATAAAAGCTGTCTTCATGTCAGTGAAATAAAGCCATGTGTGCTAAATTTTTTTCTGATTATGTACATTCTTCAGAGGCCTCTGGGGCAAAACAGGTGTCTGTAGTATAGAAACTATGTAGAGGAAACTGTGCTTCACTTTGCCAAAGCAGACACATAAATATGGAAAAGACAACTGTGTGAAAAAATAGTGATAGAAAATAGAATAAACCTGCTACAGCACTGCTAACTCTTAGGAATCTTACCATAAGCCAAGCCCTTTTTACGAGCTTCATAGGCGTTTGCTCCTAAAATGTCCTGACTGCCTTGTGACAGGCTCTGAGAGGTGGTGTGGTTTGTCCCAGGGCATGTACCTTATCAGTTGTGGAGCCAGCATTCAAATTGCAGTACCTGATTCTAGAGTTCATCTTCACCACAAAATACCTAAAAGAATGAGCAGAAATAGAAACAGGGTGAAATGGAGAGAGAGAACAGTCTCCCCTTTCCAACAGCGTTCATGAATGGAAATGCTTATGAAGGAAACATGTTAAGGAGATTATGAATGAAATATGTAGCTGTACTTCTCGACCCACTAATAATTTAACCAATATTAATTGAATATCTAGTAACTTCAATCAAGACACAATGTTAGCTGTTGAAGATACAAGAAATGTTTCTATTTGTTTGACTTCATATCTTTCCATAAAGATCCTTCAGGGTCTCCCTGGTACTTCGGGGAAAAAAAAAGTGGTTGGGGGAAAGCATTAGGGAAAAGAGCTAATGCATGCTAGGCTTAATACCTAGGTGATGGGTTGATAGGTGCAGCAAACCACCATGGCACACGTTTACCTGTGTAAAAAAACTATACATCCTGCACATGTACCCCGGAACTTAGAATAAAATTTAAATTAAAAATTTAGAAAAAATAATCCTTAGTTTGACGTTAAGGCCCTTCATCATCTAGCCTTATTTCCCGATAGTGCTCTTGTAGCCTGTTCTCAAGCCATTCTGAAATAGTCAAAGACCACCCCTGATGTTTTGGTAAATTTCTTTCTTTCTTTTTTGTTTTTGAGACAGAGTTTCACTCTTATTGCCCAGGCTGGAGTGCAATGGTGCTATCTCGGCTCACCGCAACCTCCGTCTCCCGGGTTCAAATGATTCTCCTGCCTCAGCCTCCTGAGTAGCTTATAGGCATGTGCCACCATGCCCAACTAATTTTGTATTTTTGGTAGAGGCAGGATTTCTCCATGTTTGTCAAGCTGGTCTTGAACTCCCGACCTCAGGTGACCTGCCCGCCTCGACCTCCCAAAGCGTTGGGATTACAGGCGTGAGCCACCACGCCCTGCCGTTGTGGTAAATTTCTATAGGCTCTTCTCTCTGGCAATATCCCTCCCCTACATACCGCTCCTATTACCTTTTGACCTGGCTAATGCAAACCCTTCAAAATTCAATTGAAACATATCTTGTAAAGTCTTGTCTGACAAATACAAGTCTGAGATAGGCATCCTTCCTTTCTGTTCACACAGCCCCTCACATTATTATTTTCAGTTTATTTTTCTCCACCAGTAACATGGAAAGTCTTTTCAAGCAGGCACTGTCTTTTACCTTTTATGCTCAGAACTAAGCCCGGCCATAGGAGCCATACAAATATATTTGTATTAACTTATATTTGTATTAACTTATATATGAAGGACATATTTTAAATAGCTACTACATAAAACACATAATTTATCAACTTTAAATAAAATAGAAAATGAGAATACAAATAAAAGTATTTGACTTGTTCTTCAAGTACCCTTTTATATTTCACAAAGGATTTGAGGCATTTTACAAAAATACATTAATAAAAAGATATATAGTTAAGAGTCAGTATAAAGAGAAAATAGTCAACTCTGGCATTGAATATGTAGGTAAAAATGCATGACATATTGTATTATAGAAGAGTGGTGGGGGATGGTAGTCTATGTATATGGTTCCTGGTGACCAAAGAATGATCTGAATATGAAGTCATATCAGTTCTTCAGAAGAAGCAAAGCTATTCTTGATTGGTTTGTACACTAAAGGGAAATTTCTTATTTGGTTTCTCATAAAGGGGATTCTTTATGTAATAAAGAGCTCAATGTTTCCCTATGCTTCTTTATACTGCATATAATAACACTTTTCACGTTGCCCTTTCAGATGAAGTCTTTCAATGTGGTTAAATAACCTAGTACTAAATCATAATTCAGTAAAAGTAAGCTTAAGAGGGTGTTGAAATAATCCTGGCCAATACAGTATATAGACCCTTGTGATTATACTTGATTCAAAGGTAACACTCAGGACACCTAGAAGAACATATGCTGTGTGGCCTTCAGGAAATATTTCAAAAATGTGATATCTCAAAATGAGCATTTAATAATCAAACATCAAGAAATTTGAGTTTATATTTGACAAGAACCTGGAAAAAGAAACTTCTGTTCTTCGGATTAAAGCACATTTCTTACATTCACTAACAATCAATCGAGAAGGATAAGCATAAAATAAGTCTAATGAAGATTTTTGCCTGAATGTATGGCTAGTAAACGATATTTAAAAAGTATGCTTGGTGAAGTTTTTAGTTTTTTTTTCCTTTAGAAATTAGTCTTAGGTCTACTCCAGCAAATAGAAAGTTGGAAAATTGACAAAAAATGTTTCTAGGACAAAGCATAATCAATGTTACCTCATTATGAATGTTTCTTAATGTTTTAATCTTAAAGAAAAATTATACACATACATGTTCACATGAAATAAAGTTCAGATGGAATTTCTAATGCCAAACAATCTTCCTGTTATATACTCCAAGATGAATGAGCTGCAAACTAAAATTCCATTAGTCAATATGCTTAAAAAGTGTATCTGTAAAATGACAAAATTTTTATTTTAAAATATCTGAATTTGTGCTCTAGTATTAATAAGGGTATAGAAAGTCCTGAAAGGCTTTCTCTGCAACACTAAGAATATTGTGGGTGTGCAGTTCTCTCATCTTTCAGGAAAACAGTGTTCCAGTGGCCAAGTCCAGACTTCTGGTGCTAGTTATAAGATCAGCTTTTAGAAGTGCAGCACGCTTACACTAGTGAATGTGCACGATCTGAAAGAATTTCTGCTGAAACCCACATGGTTGGTAACTGGTGCTACTGGGACCAGAACTCAAGTGCAGTGTGTTACCTTCTCAGTGTCTAGTTTCTCTTTCCCCTACCTAAGAGGACTCCCTTTCTGGACTACACAGATGAGATGAGCCATAATTGCTCAAAGTCAATTATTACATCCCATTTCTCTGGCAACAGTGATTGATGCAGTATCGTCACCCCTCAGTATACATAAAGGACTGGTTCCAGGCTTCCTAAGATACCAAAATCTGCAGATACTTTAGTGTCCATGCAACCCACATATAGAAAAAATGGGCCTCACTATATTCAAGTTTGGCATCCTGTGAATACTGTTGGATGTGGAACCCATGAATACAGAAGGTTGCTGTATACATTAAAAATAACTTGCATATAAGTGGACTTGCACAGTTCCAAGCATGTCATCCAAGGGTCAACTATGATGAAAACAATGAGCTACATGGAAGTAACCTTGCCATGTTTGGCAGAATTACAAAATGGCCCCCATGATTTCTATCTTTTAGTGTTACTCCAGGCTTGTTAAATTACATAGCAGTAGGGATTTTGCCAATGTAATTAAGGCTACTAATCAGATTAAGATACAAAGATTATCTGGATTGACCTAACTTAATCACACAAGCCCTTTATAAGCAAAACATTTTCTCAAGCTGGTAGGAGAGAAAGAAATCAGAGGCATGGAAGGGATTTGTCATGTAACTGGCTTAAAAATGGAGGGGGTTACATGGTAAAGAATGTGGGTAGACTCTAAGGGATGAGAACATCTGACATGTAGCAAGAAAATGGCAGCCTCAGTCCTACATCACAAGGAACTGAATTCTTCAACAATGAGAATTACCTTGGACAATAACTTTTCTTCAGAGTTTACAAATTAGAACTTGGTCTGGCTCACATCTCGAATTCACTCTCCTAAAACCCAGAGCAAAGAACCCAGAAACTCCTTGCTGGATGTCTGACCTACAGAAACTGAAAGAATAAATTTGCATTGTTTAATCTGTAGGTCTGTGGCAACTTGTTACACAGCAATAGAAAACTAATTGAATTTCTAGAGGTAAATGAGAGAACCCCAGATGCTTCTGGCAGTCATTTGTTAACATGAGGGAACAGTCTGCCAAGAATTGCATCAACACCACAGAAGAGGAAGGAAATAGAATGTGAAAGAGTGGAAATTTGGTGCCTATATAATCTGATCAAACTTTTCCTCATACCTGAATACTTTTGGATATTTTTAGTACACGAGTAAATGAGTTCTATTTGTTGTTTATACAGTTGAAGTTTGGTTTTCTGTTACTTTTACCCAAAAATACTCCAACAGATTCAGCAAATTTCTTGATTTCTAAATCACAATTACTTTCTCCACAATGACATTGGCTAGAAAATGGTAGCTCTTTTTCCTGGGTTTCAGCTTCTATAAACCTCTGACTTAATGCAATCACTATTATAAACATGTGAAATTAAGTACAATAAGAATATATCTATACAATTTAGGATATGGAGTACCTCAGAGGAGATATGTAAACTAAAAAAATACAAGTTAAAATTTTAATTTTGATAAATAAAATATCTGAAATGTTGAATATATTGATAGCTTAATAGCATACAGTTTGAAGCAAAAACATAATTTCACCAAAAGGTCAAATAGACATCATCCAAATTGAAAAAGAGAAGAAACCACTAATGTATATTAATAAACAGAACACAGTTTCAGAATGACACTATCAAACAATCTAATAAGTGTACATATATAGTCCCAGAATGAGAGGAGAGAGAAAATTACTAAAAAAAGATTGAAAATATACAACTGAAATTTTCAATTTTTAATAAGTAGCATCAATCCACATATTCAAGAAGTTTAGCAGATCCTAAGTAGGTCCAAATTTTTAAGAAGACTATATCTACAAACATTAGAGTAAAATTGTTAAATACTGATAAAACATAGAAAAGCTTAAGACATCCAAAACATGCAGGAAAACAGCAAGAATGACAGTTGACTTGTCAGGAGAAAAATGGAAAGTAGAAAATTATGGAATATGTTTTCTGTGTGGAAAGGGAAAAAGTCTCCTTTTTCATTTGTGATGTATTTGAGGCATAACTATTTTCCTTAGTCTTGTGAAGGGTTTTAAAATTTCATCTTTTAAAAGATCAGTTTTGGTGATTTTTCTATTCTCTATTTGATTCATTCCTGTTCTGATCTTTATTATTTCCTTCTTCTAATTTTGGGCTTAATTTGTTCTTTTACTCATCCATTGAGTTATAATGTTAGACTGTTTGAGATCATTCTGACTGTTTGAGATCATTCTTTTTAAATGCAGTTTTTTATCACCATAAATCCTCCTGATACTAATGCTTTTGCTGATTCCATAAGTTTTAGTAAGCTATGTATTTGTTTCATTTGTCTAGAGATATTTTTAAATTCTCTTTTGATTCCTCTTTGACCAAATGATTGTTCAGTAATGTGTCATTTAGTTTCCCTGTGTTTATGAATTAGCCCATTTTCTTGCTGTTATTGATTTCTAGTTTCATTCAACATGTTACAGTATGATTTCAAATCTTCCTAATTTTGTTAAGACTTGTAACCTAATGTGATTTATGCTGTAGAACATTTCGGGTACACTTGAAAAGAATGTACACCCTTTTGCCATTGGGTCTAAATTTCTGTATATTTTGTTACATTTACTTGGTCTACAGTATTGTTCAAATCCACTGTTCTTTATTCATTTTCTGTTTGAATATTCTATCCATTATTTAAAGTAGGCTATTGACACCTCGTACTTGCCTCCTGTTATTGTATTGTATTGTATTGTATTGTTTTATATAATGTAAGTAAGTAGAGCCACTCTTGCTTTTTTGGTTAGTTACCTTTGTGTGGAGACTCTTTTTTCCATCCTTTTACTTCCAGCCTATGTAAGTCTAAAGTAAAATAAAAATAAATGAAGACATTACAAGGGATGTCTCAGAAATAAAAAAGGACATAAACAACTGTATGTAAACAAATTGGATAATGCAGAAGAAATGGATACATTCCTAGAAACATGCAACCTACCAAGACTGAAGTAAGATCCAGTACAATAACTATCAAAATCCCAATAGCATTTTCTCACAGATATTTAAAAAATCCTAAAACTTTTCTTGAACCACAAAGGTTCTGAATAGCCAAAACATTCTGAAGAAAAAACAACAAAATTGAAGTTATCACACATCTTTATTTCAAATTATACTGCAAAATAATAGTAATTAAAACAGCATGTTACTGGCAGTAAAAACCATGATACATGTAGACCAATAAGACAGAATAGGGAGCCCAGCAATCAACCAGCGCATATTTCATCAACTAATTTTGGCAAGGGCACCAAGAATACATAATAAGGAAAAGAGAGGCTCTTCAATAAAAGATGTTGGGAAAACTGGATATCCACATGCAAAAGAGCAAAATTTGAACTTTATCTTACACTATACACAAAAATTAACTTGAAATGGGTGACCTAAATGTAGGATCTGAAAACATTAAAATTTAGAAAAAAAAAAAAAAACAACGTAAGTTACAATCTGGTATTGGGCTTGGTAATTAATTTTTGGATCTGGCACCAAAACTACAGGCAACAAAAGCAAAAGTAAACACATGGGAATGCATTAACCTAAAAAGCTTCTACACAGCACAAGAAACAATCAATAAAATGAAAGCACAGCCTACAGAATGGGAGAAAATATTTTCAAACCGTATATCTGATAATGGGTTAATATCCACAATACATAAATAATACATAATAACAATATAAGTCAATAACAACAACCCAAATAATGTTAACATAAAAATGGGCGAACGACTTGAATAGACACTTTTCCAGATAAGACATACAGATAGCGAATAGGTATATGAAGAAGTGAGTATTATCACTAATCATCAGGAAAATCCTAATCAAAACTACAACAAGATATCATCTCATACCTGCTAGGATGGCTGTTATCAAACAGACAAAATGATAACAAATATTGGTGAGGATATGAAGAAAAGGGAATTTGTATACACTACTGGTGGGACTGTAAATTGCTACAGCCATGATGGAAATCAGTATGAAAGTTTCTCAAAAAATTAAAAACTGTATAAACCAGAAATCCCTCTTCTGGGTACATATCCAAATGATATAAGATTAGTATTTTGAAGAGATACCTATACTCCCAAGTTCACTGCAGCATTATCCACAGTAGGCAAGATATGGAAACAGTCTCTGTCCATCAGTGGATGAATGGGGTGTGTGTGTGTGTGTATGTGTGTTTAAAAACATACATACATGAATATATACATACAATGCCATGTTATTTAGCCTTTAAAAGTAGAAAACCTGTCATTTGTGACAACATAGATAAATCTTGAGAAAATATGATAAGTAAAATAAGCCAGATACAAAAAAATTCATAGTATTACTTATATGTGGAATCCTAAAAGTTGAATTTACAAAAACAGATAGTAGAATGGTGGTTACCAGAGGAAAAGGCAAGGAGAAATGGGGAGATGTCAGTTAAAGCGTACAAAGTTTCAGTTATGTAAAATGAATAACCTCTAGCAATGTGAAGGACAGCATGAAGACTACAATTACTAATATTGTATTGTGTATGTAAAATTTACTGAGAGTAGAGCCTAAGTGTTCTCACCACAAACACACAAAAGTTAACCATGTGAAGACATGGATATTGTTAGTTTGACTATAATAATCTGTTCACTGTGTATATGTATAAGAAAATATCAAACTTTACATATTAAATTGATATATTGGAAAATATTTGACATTTTACTTAAAATTTAAAAATACATTATGTGACCTACCAGTTCCATTCTTATGCATATAACTAGGGAAATGAACACATAAGTTTACCCCAACATTTTCACATGAATTTTCATAGCAGCACTATTCAAAATAACCAACAAATAGAAATGACTCAGATGTCAATCATTAATTAATGATAAATTAATATTTAAGAAACTTGTATACCCATAGAATAAAATATTATTGAGTAATAAACAGCAGTTAAATACTGATATGTTACTCATGAAATAAATTTATAAAGATTTATGCTATATGCAGACATAAAATAGTATATTGCTTGATTACATTTGTATGAAGTGTCTAATATAGGCAAACTTATAGAAACAAAATAGATTAGTGGTTGCCTGGAACTGGGTTTGGGAAGAAAGATTAGCTGTAAATTGGCATGAGGGATTTTTATCAAAGTGAAAATAGACTATGAGAATGTTACACAATCCTGTAAATTTATTAAAATTTATTGAAGTGTATAATTAAAATAAGGGAATGTAATGGCATCTATATAAACCATATCTCAAGAAGTATTTAGAAAATAACAGCCAAATAGAGACATTTTCAGACAAAAGATGAAGAAAACTTATTACCAGCAGATCTGTACTTTAAAAAATGCTAAGGCAAATTTCATGCTATAGAAAAATTATAGAAGACGAAGGCCCAGATATGCCAGAAGAAATAAAAAGTACTTGAAAAGATAAATATAGGAGTAAATACATAATGGTCTTTTGAAAAAAGACTATTGGTTATTTAAAGCAAGCATAACAACATTTTTGTGGCTCAAAAATATATGTAGAAGTAAAATATATGATAACAATATTACAGAGACTGGAATGACAGGGTAAATGAAATTATACTATTATATAATTCTTTTATAGTTCAGGAATTTTTATATTAATTCAATATAAACTAAACTCTAGTATAACCACTGAATATTAAAAAAGGATTTGTAACTAAAAAGTCAATAAAGATAATGAATTAGAATGCTGAAAAAAATTCACTTTATCAAAGAATATTAGGAAAGAACAAAGGACTAATGAAAAGATGAAGGAAATAAAATCAAAGTACAAGATAATAGACAAAATTATCAGCAATTACATTAAATGCAAATGAATTCACTCAAAAGATAGAGATTATTAGATTGACATAAAAAATAAGCTAAACAACTATAGTTGACCCTTGAGCAACACACAGTAGTTAGGGAGGTCTTCATCCTCATTGTCCTCATGTTGAGTAGGTCAAGAAAGAGGAGGAAGAGGAGGGGTTGATCTTATTGTCTCAGGGGTAGCAGAGGTGGAGGAGGTGGAAGGGGGTACAGAAGAGGCAGGCACACTCAGTGTAACTTTTATTGAAAAAAGTGTGTGTATCTTTGACCCACAAAGTTCAAACACTTGTTCAATGGTCAAATGTACATGCTTTTCACAAATGGCATCTTAAATATAAAAATATGAATGTGTATACAATAAAAAAGGAAAAGAAAGCAGATGTGGCTATACTAATATCAGAACAAATAGATTTTAAGACAATAAGTATTACTAGAAACAGATGGACATAGTGTAATGACAAAAGTATCATTTCCTGAAGATATTACAGTCCTAAATGTGTATGTTCCTATGTGTATGCATCTAATGACATAGCTTCAAAGGTATGAAAAAAAGTGAGAGAACTAAAAGTAGAAGTAGATACAGTCATAACTGGAGATTTTTAACACCACTTTCTCAATAGTAAGTAAAATAAGCAAGTGAAAATAAGTTTACAGGAGGTTTAAATAATTCCAATAACTGACTTGAATGAATAGATATTCATAAAGCATTATGCAAATAACTACTTAATACACATTCTTTTAAAGTGCACATGGAGTATCCACCCCCCTAAAAAACCATATATTAGCCATTGTTTTAGTCCGTTTTCTGTTGCTATAGCAGGATACCACAGGCTAGCCCATAAACAATAGAAGTTAATCAGGTTCATGGTTCTGGAGTCTGGGAAGTCAAAAACCATGGAATGGGCATCTGTTAAGGGCCTTCCTGTTGCATCATAAACAGCAGAGGTCATCATAGGGGGAGAGGGCAAAAGCTTGCCAGCTCAGAATTCTTTTGCTCTTCTTATAAAGCCACAAGTCTGATCATGGAAGCACCACCCCAATGATCTTATCTCATTCTAATTACCTCTCAAAGGTCTCACCTGTAAATATCATCAACATCTGAATTTAAGTTTTCAACATATGAAATTTGGTGGATATAGTCAAACTGTAGCAGTCATGAAGCAAGAATCGAATACTTTCAAAGACTTTGAATCATATAGAATGTTTTCTCTTCACAACAGAAAAAATTATAAATCAATAACAAGAAGATATCTGGGATATTTTCAGGTATTTGAAAATTAATTAAATTATTGGTATTCAGTGGGTCTAGGAAGACATTACAATAGAAATTCGAAGTATTTTGAATTGCATAAAAATAAAAATGCAACTGGTAAAGAGTTAGCAATGGATCTATGACATTTTCCACACTGGGAAATATTCTAGGAAATTATTAACTTTGACCAGACCTATTTGGGATCATGTTAATAATGGTATTTACTAAAAGCAAGATACAGAAAAAAAATTATTTTAGGGGAATAAGAGATTCCTTAGTAAGATATATCTGATCTTTCCAAATCACTTATTGTCAAAAAGAAAATCACCTGGAATTTACAATTTACAATTTATGGAATGGCTGGGTAGAGAAAGAAAGTCACACAAACATTTTCAATCTACATAGTAATGGAGAAAACTTAGAAGCACCAAAAGAAAACAGTTTCTTTTAATAACAATGTCCCATCTCATGTACATTATGTTCTACCAAGCTATTCTGAATATAAAATGCCTCCTAGTGGGAAATAAATTGTCAAATTAGAAAGCTATCTACAGGATAAGGTCACTGCAATATTTTATATATGAATGACATATATATACATATATGTACATATACCCATGTGTGCATATATAAACACTTGTCAAAGCACTTTTACTTAGACTATATGTAATAAAATTTCTAAAAATCCAACTAATCAATAATGAAAATGCAAACAGTCCAATAAAATGGCAAATCTTGAACATTTTTACAAAATATCCATATGGCTAATGTGCATATGAAAAGTATTAATTATCAGATAAATGCAAAATTAAAACTGTGATAAAATATGATATGTACAACAAATGCATAAAGTTTTAAAATTTGACAATATTTAAATGGTAAAGTGTGGAACAACTAAAAATTTTTATATATTGCTGATGGGAGTCCAAAATGACACTGTTATTACTGTTAGGTTCTTTCTGACAAAGTCTGACACACACCTACCTTATAAGCCACTGCCATATTCAAAAGAAATAAGTGCATATGTCCACATGAAGTATTTTACTAGAATATTTACAGTAGCTTTATTCATAGTGTCCCCAAAGTGTAAACAATCCAAATGTCCATAAATAGTAGATTAATTAAATCATAGAATTCTTACTCATAAGAAGGAACAAGCCACAAAGTGTGATAATGTGAATAAACTTCAAACCATTATGTTGAGTAAAAGTCAAATAAGAAAGAGTGCATACTGTGTGTTTCCTTTTACATCATGTTTAAGAACAGATAGGATGAAAATCATTGTTATAGCTATCAGAACAGTGAACACCTCAGGGAAAGGGTATTGAAAAGATATCCCCCTGGATAGAAGAGATTTCTTAACAGTTGTAAACATATGTCAAAATCCATTGTGCCTTATATTTAAGATTTGAGTATTTTATTGTGTGTAAATCATAAATTAATTGTACCTCAATAAAGTACTTTTAATATAAAAGGGAAAACAAATTAGCAGACAGACCCAACTATTTGTTGGAAACAGGACAATAAAACAATGTTCACCAGCTCAGGAAAGATTACCTGCCTTAATAGTCTCTATATAACCATCTCATTCAACATCAATTTCAAATAACTAAGATGTATGTTGAAGAAAAACTAAGACAGAAAGATGTATTTTTTAAAAAATAGAATAGTGGTCAAACTATGTTCTGTTTTCAAAGATAGACTTTAATATCATAATTCTGAAAGTTCTACTGGATTCAGTTTTCATATAAACTTTAGCTTGTATAGACAGTCTTAATATTTAGAAGTCAATAATGGCTTTTTAAAGACTGGCATACAACTAGTTCTTTTTACTATGTCAAAATCCATACATTTATAAATAAAGGTAGGATATTAAATTTGAAAGTACAGAAATAAATTAATCATATATACTAATATGTTAAGCAATAAACTATAATATGTGTCACCAATGGGAAAAAAGGGAGAAGTAAACATCTACATATTTCTGAATTTCAAAAAGAATCGAAAACATTCGAGATTGTCAGAAGAAGCAAAGTTCATCTTAGCACTGACTCAACAGGAAATTTCTCAAGTGGAATTTTACATCAGGATGCTGTGTGATATAAAATAAACAATGGTGTCAATAATATTCTGCAATAAATGCAGTAAGAATGTATTTTCTGTCATGTTCTCTGATAAAAGCTGAAAATATGCCATTATCAAACACACCCCCAGTAGCAATTCTACAAAATTTAAAATAAATATCATCCAAAAATATATGCTTTCTCACCTCGAGGTAAAACTTAAATTATCTAGAGGGGTGGAAACCAGCATATCAATTTTACCTGCACACAGAAATGCTGGCAAATGGAAAGGAATGATACTCTATTTCTATAGATGTCACTTTAAGATGGCACCATAACTCATAACTCAGAACTCAGAAGAAATTGTAGGGTAGTTGTTATTTATAATTGGGATGTATTTATATGCAAAGTACCCAGTTCTAGAACTGGACAAAAATTTTAATATGGCTGCTAAAATAAATGGCATAAACTGTGTTCTCATCTCTTCTACAAAAACATACATTTTCCATTTCTGGATCCTGCAGTTCCTTGAACTATCTTCCAACCAGCAGGTAGTTATCCCAGTCTAGAAAATGTAACATTTGCAAATTGCTAAGCCTCTCAAAGTATAAAATAAATTCTAGGCTCAGTTTTTTCATCAGAAATTCTGCCCTTACTATATCAATAGTATTAATTTCAGAAATGAGCAAAATGATCTGTTTATATCAAAAAAAGATTTGATGGTGTCAGGCAGGAGAGATGTTTCCTGTCATGCCTTATTTACATCATAATATGATGTCTTAGAATTGAGCTTATACAATGGAGTCTGTGCTTGTGGACCTGTAGGTTATATGTTATCTCTCTAATAGACTGCCTGTAATTTCAGATGACAAATATTTTCTCACATTATCCAAAATAAGGAAATAGATGCTGCTACATATATGGGCAGAAAATCTTGAGAATCTACTTATGTATTGCAGCACAGCTGAGAATGAAACTTGTCAGCTCAGTGGCTTTAGGCATCTCTGTGTATCTGTGCCTATGTGAGAATAAGTTGGTATGTTTGGTTTCTTGCTCTGGTAGTTATGAGTGTAAAACCACTATAGAATGTTAGCTGGTATCCATAGCTCATACACACATTAATAAGTGATATATTAGTTTGTGAAGGAAATAAAGTTTTATTCTAAATATGTAATCCTTTTATCAATTTTCCTGTTGTAGTGCAAGTGCTAAAGTCTCTCCCCTATGCAGTTTTACTCAGAAGATACGTGTACCTTTGACAATTGCAGCCCTCTCTCAATAAAGGTTGAGAATAATACAGAATATCTATAAAAATATACCAGCATAATTTTCTATCCAAACATAAAATATGTCTAAGTTTGATAATTAGTATATAACTTTACATATGTTCCTTTTTGAAAGAAGACTCAACATTTCACTAAACTAATAAAATGCCATTAAATTTGCTTGAAATATTAATTAGTCAAATCACAAAAGGAACCTTTATGCCTTCTCCTCTCCAAAGCATGGTTAGCAGTTCAGCTGTTACAGTTCCCTCTTCTAATCTCTATCAGAAGACAGTTAAACAGCACAACAGACATTACATGCAGTAGGCTGTAGGAATACAAATATTGGTACCATGGAAGGCATAATTGCATGGTTTTAGTCTATTTTATGAAGCTCCACCAATAGATGTAGATTTTCAACTAGAAAACTCTCTGGAAATAAGGTACTGTTGCTACACTTTATGTTCATGTAAAGTCATGTTAGACATATCATGAGAATAAATTGAAACTAATTATCTTTTAAAATCTATGGTTACCATGAAAAATAATAAAAGCATTCATACTGTGGATATCATTAAATAAAACAATGAAAATTTGTTAAAAATTTTATCAGTGATTATTTTAACCGTAAATACTAAGACAATAGAAACAAACTATTAGGCAATCGTTTATGGTAAGAAGAAAAGTTAAGACTTGTGTCATTAATCATTTACAACAATGCATCAAGGATAAAACAAACCACAAAAACAAATTAATCGAGTGTATATCTCTTCATAAAATATAGTTCCAGTGACTTGTGATTTTGTTAAAAATTTTTATTCTATTTCAAAGTGTTTTAAGAAGCACCTAATTAAAACATAGTTCCAGTGACTTGTAATTTTGTTAAAAAATTATGTTTCAAAATGCTTTAAGAAGCATCTAATTAAAATATGGTAATGGAATATTTTTGTACAGGCAAACAAATTGCTACCCACAGTCATGTAACAAACCTGCACATTCTGCACATGTATCCCATTTTTTAGAAGAAATTAAAATAATTTACAAATTGTAGGACTGCAAACATTTGATATGTTTATAATTACAGCTGCAATAGTGTATGTAATGGCTTTGTTTGATACCAGCCTGGCCAAGGTGGCGAAACCCCGTCTCTACTAAAAATACAAAAATTAGCAGGCTGTGGTGGCAGGTGCCTGTAATCTAGCTACTTAGAAGGCTGAGGCCTTAGAATCCCTTGAAACCCAGGAGGTTGAGGCTGCTGTGAGCCAAGATCATGTCACTGCATAACAGCCTGGGTGACAGAGGGAGACTGTCTCAAAAAAGAGAGTATTAGATATACAATAAAGTGCACATATTTATAGTTTATTATTTGCTAAGATTGATATATGTATACTCTGTGTATACCCTGTGAAACCACCCCTATAGTCAATTATGAACATATCTACTACCCAGAAAAGTTTCCTCATGTCCTTATGTAATAACACCCTCATGCCACTCCCTAGGCAAGCTAATGTGCCACTATAGATTAGTTCGCATATTCTAGCATTTTATGTAAATAAAATAAAACACTATTCTTATTTGTGTGGCTTCATTCTAGAAAAACTATTTCAGGATTCATCTTTGTTGTTGCTTCTATAGTTTTTGGTTTGTTTTGGTTTTTGCTATGTAATATTGCATTGTATGGAGGTACCAGAACTTGTTTATCCATTAATCTATTGTGAATATTTGGATTGTTTTCAATTTCTGGTTACTGCAAGTAAAGCTGCTATGAAGTTGTGGACAAATCTTTGTATGGACATAAGTTTTCAATTCTCTTGGATAAACAACAAGGAGAAGAATATTTCAGTTAAATGGAAGGTTATTTTTAACATCTTATGAAACTGTCAAACTGTTTTCCAAAGTGGTTGTACGATTTTGCCTTCTTACCAGCAGTATATGAGAGTTCTGACTCTTCTACACCCTCACCAACAAATCTGTAATTCTTTAAAAAGCCTGGCCTTAGCAAATGTTGCCAAGGATGAAGAAAAGCCATGAGCTTTGATATTGTGTCCATTTCATCTAAGTTGACAAATATTTAGCATAAAATTGTTGTGAAGATACTGATACCCTTATTTCCCCTTTGGTATTTGTAAAATCTGTGATACAATCACTCTTCTCATTTCTTATCCTGATAATTTGTGACATCTACTTTGTTTCACCTTCTTGCTTTTCCAAATCTTTTGCGAGAATTTATCAGTTTTATTGACCTTTTTGATAGTCAGCCTTTGGTTTCATTGATATTTTCTTATTTGTGTTTCTATTTCAATATCTTTATCTTTATGCGATGTTTATATATTTATATCAATATTTCCTATGAAATCTACATTATTTAATATTAATATAGTTTCTCCAGCCTTCTTTTAGTGTGAAAATGGTATATCATTTAAAACTCTTTTTCACTATTTGTATGTATATAGAGAAAGTATGCTGTTGAAGATAGTTTTTAATTCAGTTTGACAACTTCTTTTAACTGGAGCTTTTAACTTACAACCTTTTTTTATTACCTTTTCCATTTCTGTCTGCCTTCATTTAAACTGAGCATTTTTTATAACTATTTTCTTTATGTTGGCTTGTTAACTATAATTCTTTGTTTTGTTATTTTATTTATAGCTTTAGTGTTTATAGATTACACTTTTACTTTATCACAATCTATCTTCAAGTATTATACCACTATTTCCAATTTCTCAAAATCCAAATTACAAAACAAAACAAACAAAAAAACCCTTTCAAGTTATTTAGTTCTTTATTCTATTTTAGTTGCCTGCTATCCTGAAAACTTACTTAAACTGGAGTGGCTATATAATAAGTCCAGCTCTATTCTAAGTGTTTCTTTGCCAAACATTCACTTGATATAAGTACAATACAAATTAATATTTCTTTGGTCTTAAAAATATTTTGGATTTTTTTTAAATAAATCACCAGTCATTCTCATATTTATTGTTTAAGGACACATATTATGAGGACACATAGTAAGAATTATTTTACTGCGTTATGGAAAAAAAAGTAGGAGTTGAGGGGAAGATGGATAAGCAGACAACATTCCCAAAAAGAGAGTTATCATAGCAAAATCATGACTGACGTCCTGAGATGCAGTGTGTAATTATGAGAAGAGTATGTGGCTTTGCATGAAAATCTATTATTTATTATCCTAATATTTTATTTCATGTTCTTCAAATTTACTTTCAGCTTGAAGCAGTCACCAACTAAACTTATTGAATGTTTACTCTGTGCCAGGCACAACACTCATCATTTATAAGCTTTACTAACTCAATTGATCCCCACAATCCTATGAGTTAGGAATAATCAAGTCTATTTTTATAGAAGCATGCCAAATGTATGGTTCTCATCCCTCCAGACTGCAATGCCAGATTATGAAGACATTAGAAAAGATCTTTATGATGCACAACCTCATCATAAAAAAGTTCCAGATGCCTCCTGACATAATAAAAAAATCAGATAGAACAAGGAAGCAAATTAAATGAATGAAATTTTTTCCCTTATATCTGAAAATTTGTCCTTATCCAGGCCACTGGAAATGCATGTTTTATAATTTAAAGGTAAATGGCAGTGGCTTACTAGCATTATTTACAAGTTTTCTTCATTGTTCCAATAAAAGTCAATGAACCTGAAGACTTGTAGGTATTTTTCTTTTTAAAAACCTTTATCTTTTATTCCTTTATGTTTTGTTAAATTATTAAGATTACTATAAAAACTCAAACAGTATAGGAAACTGAAAAGTAAAAATGGGAAAGCCCCCTTCATTTACTTCCCAGTGTTATTCCCTGCTAACAACTTCCAGTTTCTTTGGAAACTTTCAAAATAGAAAACAGCTAATGCCAAAACAACTTAGATATATTTACTGGTATAGATACCTCTTTCTAGGGACTATGGTAAATCCTTTATTAAGAAAAGATATATGTAAGGAGGCAATGATCAAAATGTTTCTTGTTTTTCAAATTTGTTAGTGATGAATAAGAAAAAGATGAGACTATTACTATGTTCTCAAGTCTATCACTTTGTTTTTTTATCACCCAGGATAGGTTAACCTTCAAGCCATATTGTTCAGGCAAGAGAAACTGTATTCTCAGTTTGCTGTCAGACATAGTCCATCCCACCACCATGGTGGTTAGTTCATTGTAAATATATGACTCATTTACACCAAAGCGGGTCAGGTCTAGGACTTCTGTCTGACAATTGTCAGAATTACTCAAGCTACCAAATATATTCAGATTTATGACAGAATTTGCCACTCTGCCTAGTGTTGATTTAAAATTATTCTCACACGCTGCCTTTTGGGTAGTTGCATTTAACTCCACAATTTTGGCTTATGCTTCTGCACCCAAATACCAAACTCCCTGGGCAGTATTTTGGATAAGATACGTTAACAATATTATATTTCTAAGTTAATGTTTTGAGCATGAACCAAAATTGTACTTCATAATTTTCTCCCAGAATCCCATATTAAGACACTAGAAAAATGTTGACACATATGGAAAAACCACAAAATGAATGACAGTAATTGATATAATAAATAACAATGGGCTGGGCACGGTGGCTCACACCGTAACCCCAGCACTTCGGGAGCCCGAGGCGGGAAGATCACCTGAGGTCAGGAGTTCCAAACTAGCCTGGCCAACATGACAAAACCATGTCTGTACTAAAAAATACAAAAATTAGGTGGGTGTGGTGGCAAGCACCTGTAATCCCAGCTACTCAGGAGCCTGAGGTAGGGAGAATTGCTTGAACTTGGGAGGTGGAGTTTGCAGTTAGCCGAGATCGCACAACTGCACTCCAGCCTGGGTGACAGAGCGAGACTCGGTCTCAAAACAATAATAACAATAATAATGGATAAAGACTTACATTTTATAACAAACACCAAATATCTAAAGTGAAGTAGGAGTATAACTAAACCATGAAGTTATGTCAGATAAATATATTAAGATTGTGTTTAAATGTATGGTGTCAGAGTAATATTTTATAGATAAATAATAAAAATTCACTGACCATGATGACTAGCAATATATACATGAACCAAACTCAAATGTGTAGCCATGTGCATGGACAAAATCAAGATATTATCATTTCCACATAATTTTCTTTTTCATCATCTAATGACTATATGTTACAAGAGAGATTTCTGAATCTTGTGAACCATTTTCAAATTTTAAAACCATAGTGTTTCCCATCAAGTGACAGAGCCATTTGCATTCATGGCAGCTAAGAGATTTTTTCTGTTTTGCGCACATGGTCTTATAGCTGAGCTTCTATTATTTCTCTTCCAGAAGAATGCAATAAATATGTCTAGAGACAAGGGACAAAGTTAATAAAAGGCTGTCCTTTCCTTTGACTAAGACCCTGGTTTAAAATGAGCTATTTTCCCTGAACACCATATATTAATTGGATGGTTTCAGCTTCAGCCACAGACAAAAGCAGTCCAGATCATGATTATTTGCAGTATAATTCTTCTTGATATAGTAAGCAGCCACAGAGCATTGATATTAAATAGTAGATTTCTTCCCTGGTAAGGAAATTATTCTAGAATGTTACCTCTTGGTGGGTCAATTAACGGGCTGCCACTATTATTCCTTGAATTGTGTGTATTCCTAAGATTCATATGTGTCTTATCATAAAGTTTTTGTAACTGTTTGATTTGTAGTCAGCTCAATTTTTTAAAAAATCAGTTGTTTCAATAATAAGTATTCTGTGTTTATTTTTAATATACATTCAGAATCCTCCTATTATGATTTTTGGTAGGTGTGGGAACCTTGTAGAGGATAGACAATGTATAATAGAAAGGACACTCTCTGGAGATATTTGTCCATTTAAACTAAAGTCAAGTAAGTTTGCCACATCTAAAACACCAACCTACTTTTTCATATCATATGAAGGTGGTATTCTCGGGCCCTTTGCCTCAATTACCAAAATTAGGTTCTGAGTCTAAATTAGACACATCTCAAGTCTTTATTCCTAGATAGGTTCTGAAATCTGGGCCTCGTACTGATCCAAAGAAAGATTGAAAATGACTAAGGTTGCATAGTCCCTTACCAACTCTTGTTCTGGGAGTCATTTTAATCTCCCAAATATTTAGTTGTGAGGTCATCAGTGTAGATAATCATTGATAGATTATCAGATTACCAGATGTAGCAACATAATTCCTCCTCACACTTCCTCTCTTTATTTACTTTTATTTTGGGAGAGCCAAATCCATAGGTCTGTGGTTCTCCACTAGAAGTGTGTTGCTCTCCAGGGAGCATTTGGCAATGTCTAGAGACAGTTTTAATTATAATAGGAGACTGAGTACTAATGTATATAGGTTAGAGATGCTTTAAACCTCCTACCATGCTCAGAATAGTTCTGGACAACAAAGAATTAACTGGTCCAGAATGTCAGCAGTGCTAAGGTGGAGAAACCCTAACGTAGATGAGCAAAAGTCAGGGAGATGTTATAGACTTGAGCTATATTACATTGCCAAACTCTACTCAACAAACTTAAAATAGTTGTTTATCTCACTTTCTACTTGTCTTAAATAGCCCTAATTACAAATATTCATACATGCATTCAAACATTCATCCTCTTATTCATTGTCTTATTCAACAACAACAACAATGTATAGGGGCTTATAAAATTCCAATTCAAAAAATTATATTGAAATTCTTCACGTATTAAGGACAAATAAGAGCAGTTGTATATAAAGTCATATCAAAACATTATAAATGCACAAATAAGGCTGTAGAAGGTAGTTTTCTGATAATTGCATCCCTTATTGAAGTTGAAGAGTTCCTATAAGGTAAGTACAGAGGCAGAGTCCAAATCGGATGTTGTTGTAATGGTCCAGACAAAGGAATTTGATGGCTTGGAATAGAACAGGAGAAAAGGGCTAATTATAGAAGACATTTAGGAGGTAGAATTGGATATAACGACATTATTAAGGAGCTATGAAATCGTGAAGATGAAGAACAGTCAAAGATTATACCTGAATTTCTTTTGGCTTAAACAATGTGAAAACATTGGTATCATAGAGGTAGAACATAGCAGAAGGATGAGTGGGAGCTACAACGTGAAGATAATAATCTCTGTTTTTAATATCTTAAACTCAAACTATGTAATGTCTTTGAAAATGTCCTCGGCCAGTTGGTTAGGTGAGATAAAAAATTCTAGTCTGAAATATGTGCTAGAAACAGAATCATTCAAGAAGTTATCAAGGTGGTAGGAATTTGTTTTGGCTAGGCTTCATGGGTATCCAGAAGTCACCAAAGAGGAAGGCCTGAGTGTCAGAGAAATTTGTTCAATTAAATTCAGTTAATTCCTCAGGTAAAATTAGGGTAGAGTTCACTTCCTTGGTCAAGAAAATATAATGAAAAAACCAGTGTTTCAAAGAGATTTCTGTCTATAATACAAACCCCTTCTGATAAGATTTTTTTTAAACTATACAAATTTGGGCTCCTGAAATTGTGAATTATAGTGTAGTTAATATTAAAACAAACTTGCATAATTTTTTAAAATTTATAAAATGCTTCCATGGAAATCATATTACTTAATTTAAACAACCTGAGTTTGGAAGGACAGGTATTGTAATTGTTTCGATTCTGTAGATATAGTTTCTGAGGCAATAAGAGGTTAAATGGTATTTCTCAGTATCATGCAAGAATATAAATTCCATCATTGAGCTGTAAGTCAAGTTTTCTCATTCTAAACTTCCTGTATTTTTCAGCATTTTTCAAAATGCACACATGCACACAAGTCTTTATGCATAAATAAAAATTAAGAATGAATGTTGTTTAGGAAATAGTTTTTCTTCTCTGTAAAGGTGACTTATATGGACTAAAAATAAATCTAGGCTATTTCAAGAGACTGTAGCATAATACTAAATTTATTTCTGTATAATTTATATTACCTAAGAAGTTAAATATTTTAAAGTTTTGTAATGAACACATGATGTTACTAAAGTAGATTGTTGCTCTCAATAGTAATTGGTCACACGTAGCCTCCATCGAATTTTAGTATGTTTCCATGACAGATAATTTTACAGATTATTGCTAAATGTATATTTCAAGTGAACTTGGATGTCAAATTTGAATGGCCAAGGTTTCTTGGAGCAGGAAATTCAGAGATAAAGGAATTTTAACACGTGCTCTGGTTTCAATGGTGCACTATCTCGAATAAAAATTGATAATGACTCCAGGACTGCAAACGCTTTATCAGTCCCAGAGGCTTAGTCGCCTCACACCAGATGCGGGAAGTTGACTGTATTCATTAATATCCTTCAGTGAGGTCACAGGTAGGGAAAGAAGGAGCTCCAAGGAGGAGAGCTAGTGAAATAAAAGCCTAAGTATATTGAGTTTGTGCAGTAAAGGAAGGATGTGGGTTTGTAAAGTTCTCATTGTCTTAAGCATGTAAGGAAATTGAAAGTCAAGTCTGCTAACAAGAACACTTTGTTGCTTGTGACTTCCACCCTCCTATTCCACTAAGCGTAGATAGCACCTGTTCCGAGTAACTGTTGCTTTTTATTTCTTTCTCCCTAGTCTATCTTCTTAAATTACAAAAATAAATTATTTTTTCTTGCTTTGTCAATTTGTTATTTAGTTTTCATTTGGTGAAAATTAGAATTGAAATGTGGTATTCTTTTATGACACTTTCGCAGTCAGTGTGTTTCTGAGTTGAGCTTAACTGATTCAAGTGAATCTGTGTGCTGAAGTGACTCCTGAGGGAAAATACAAATCCTTTCAAAGGCTGGCTACACAGCTTCAGCAGCAAGCACTGAGACCTCCTTATTCAGCCTAACCCTGCTTACATATTTCAGAACTGAACCCCAATCTTCATCTCCGCACAGCATTCCCCTGGTGATTTGAGCAAGCCTTGTTAACAGTTTCATCTAACAGGCTCAGCAGGTTCAACATTTGATTATCTTTCCCTCAGGTTCACGATCAAGTCTTTTTCCTTCGTTATGCGCTGACAGGACCACTGTGCTTGGGTTCTGTGTGCGGGTAGATTCACATACTGAACGTGCAAAAAATGCAGATGACAATCTGGATAAATCTCACATTCAAGAAATTTAATTGTATTGAAATTCAAGGCTGTGCCCCTGAGACATTGATCCGGTATTTTCAGTTTCAAATCCTGGATGCACTAGCAGCATGATGATGTGTTCATGGAATTTGCAATTGAGATAATGAGGAATCAAAGCTTACGTCTGGATCACTAACTGACAGAAAACAGGGGAACCAACGCGAATCAATACGGCCCGGCCCAACGGAGTCCGCCTGGCAGCAAGAAATCTTGGCAAAGCTTCTCAGGTTCCAATTTAAGAACAGGGCTCAGGACTTCGGAGACGGGCACAGTTGGATGTGCAGACTGGGGTGATGCTTTTGCTTTCCAAGGCACAGAGAATGTTTGCTCATAAGCTTTTATTGCCAAAGGCAAGAAGCTCTGGCTTCAGCAGCCAAATAAAACAAAGGAAGATTGGAACAAAACAGTGGAATACAAAATATGTATAAAAAAAAAAGAAGACTTGTGACAAATGGTTGCTTTTTGCTCTGCAAGAAGTTGGATGTGATCTGCTCTGTTGGGGGATTCTTAAACAATTTAAAAGGAAGTGAAGGCCCCAACTGTTACAAGGAGGATACATTTTAATCATCGAGTTGGCTTTTTCCAAACTTTTGTTTACTTCAGAGCTAAATAGGAAAAGCCGATTTTCATTTCAGAGTGATAAGAGCAAGTTTGAGGTGTTTCTTAGGCTAAAGCAAACTGGACTATTAGCTCATATACTCCCTTTTAATTGGGTAACTCATTCTCCTCTCACTCTCAGCCTGCAGGTACCCTGGGAAGTCTGAGCTATAATAGCAAAATCAGAGGAAAGGGATTAAATGGGATAAATATTTCAAGCCAAGTTTTATATCTCATTCTTGCACATTTGCTCAAATGGGTAATTATTAAATTACATGGAAGTTCCTTGCCCCAGCAAAACAGAGGGTTGGGGCACATGTCTAATTTTGAAACAGCCTTGATTTAGGCTTGTTTGGGCACAGTTATGAAAAGCACTCTTTTAATCTCAGGATATATTCGGTTGGATGATAAATTACATGGTAAAATATGGTCACTCTGAAAACCTTAAAAGACTCCTCAATTCAAAATGAAGAATTTTCGTTTTACCAGATACCGTTTAATGTACCATACGATGCCACTTAAATGTAGCTTGATGACTAATTTGGAAAACAATATGTGTTACTCCCTCAGTTTTCTCCGAAGTTAAAGAACAAATGTCATCTAAATGACTTTAAGATTTAATAAAACAAAACATTTTAGTTTAGCTGGATTTTACTGGTACCTACCTAAATTACTTTGTAGAGGACTTAAGTGTTTTATGAGGTATAAGCACACACTTTCAAAAGACCAGTAAACTTCATCACTGCCTGAGAACTGCTGGGCTGCTCTGTAGCTCTAGGAGTAAACTTTCCTTAATTACAGGCTCACAACATTCAAACTGCTGTAGTTTATGATTAAACACCAAGAACACTAGTTAAATAGAGAGATTGCCTTAAATTATCCAGAACTAGGCTTTTAGGTCAATTATCCTGAAGTATATTCAAACTCTTTTTGATAAAAATAAAATATTTCTGAAATATATGGAAACTCCCAGACCTGGTGATCAGAGTATCCTTGAATAAAGTTACAGTTATGTAAATATTAGAAAGGAATTGGCACTGATACCAAGAAATATTTTGGCACTCAAATTCATAATTTGATCTCACATTCGTTTGACATGGTCACTAACATGTTTTGTGGTGGTGGTGGTGGTGGTGGTGGTGGTGGTGGTGATGGTTTTCATTAAGAAGATTAAAAACTATGGCAAAGGCTGATTGTACTGGTACATAACACAAGTGCAATTGTATAAAAGTGACCATTCAATGAAGACTAAAGCAGGTTTATTTCAATTGTTTCTTGCCCATATATAATTATTTATGGAGTTCTAACACAAGCTCTTGGGGCTTCTTTTTTAAGGCAATATTCTTTCTTTTCAGCCTTTTAAACTCCATCAACCAGAAACATATTTGACTCACTTTCAAAAGCATTTCTACTAACTTCAATAAAGAAAGCAATACATTTTATAAAACTTCAGAATACTGGTACCAGAGATCATTATAACCAATTTCCCTTTAAAACTTACCAAAGTAAAGATTCACCTTATCTTCATTTCTATCTATAACAGCCAAATTCCATTCCTCTGGAGCAGGAAAATTGAGATATTTTAAAATTTGGTAACTTTCTTTAACACACTTATGAATCTGATAATTGGACACGCAAGGAACTTTAATTGTACCTTACATTGGGAGGAAAAAATACACTAAATTTTAATCCAATGTAGGATTTAATTGACTCATCTATTTACTCATAAATAATTGCTCATTGCTTACTGCTTGCTAGACACTTAGGAACACATGGGGGAGCATAGGAGGAATATAATAGAGATATTCCTCCTCTTATTTTCATTAGATTTATCTTATTTGTGAGGCTAAATATGCAGGCAAAGGAAAGGCAAAATGATTCTAATTCCTTTCTTCTACCCCCGACAGCACCTCTGCTCTGCCATCCTGAATATAAGTCTTTAAAACTTTAAGAAATGTGTATTCTTTATATATATACTTCTGGAGTTTTCTACTGAATATTATTCCAAAAAAATCAGCACAGATGCAATGCAAAGTTTCCAGGCAGTCGATAAAACCAAAAAAACAAAACCTCATCAGCCCCCTTGTTTTGCTTTTAAGTCTATTTTTTAAATTCTCGACCAATCATTGTTCAATATTCATTCTGCTATGAGGAAATGATTATCCCATTGCACAAATTACCCTCACTCCAAAATGACATGATTAGAAATTTTCAGCTAATCCATAAGTGGCCTGTAGTTTGATTCCCATTTCATCAGTGCTGTAAAAGGGGAGGATGTCATGGAAAAAGGCACAGTGCTTTATCAAGCATTCTTTATTAAGAAATGGATAGTGAAACTGATTAATAATTGAGAAAAGGATTAAAATTCTTTTCTTTCAGCCATATTATAGAGAAGAGATTGTTATAGTTAATGGCAATTATGTGAAATATTCTGGGTAATGAAGCAACTTAAATAAACTTTGCAGTCCCCACTCATATCACAAACAGAAAAAAAATGCCAATTTAAATTTAATATCACAATTTGCATTTGAGATCATGAGGAAATTCATTGCTTGAATTAACTCAGCCTATTAGGTAATAATAATTTCAATAATTCTAAGTGTTACTATGATTAGTAATAATCATAATAATGCGCTCTGCTTAATTTCCTTTAGTTAGACTAGCATAGTTTACAAATATTTTCCGATAGGCTAAAAGTGTACCCCAAACCCTTTTTTGAGTTTAAGAGGGTGCAGATATCATGGTGGTAGGGGTTAAGCCATTAATGCTACAGAATGTTTTAACTATATTATCTTATTTGTTCAATTTATCAATTTGTTTACCAATTTGTATTATATGACATGAATTGTGTATAGTAATTAATTTACTGGATTTCTACTATTGAGCATATAGTCTCTGGTGCTTTATTCATACAATATAGTTCTTACGATCATGGCACATTTAACTCTTTTCTCCAAGTATGTATTTCCTAAATTATCATATATCTAATCAAAAGCCTGCACTGTAGCTTCTGGTTTTCTCTGGAAGAAGTGGGCCAGGTGGGAATAAGGAGCTCATGCTCATGTGAGGCTTCCCAAAGACCACTGATGGCATCTTTTGTTCAGACAATATTGGAAAATTTTGATAAAACTTTAAAATGTCAAATAATTGGATGTCCATAAAGTCGATATTGGTGTACCAGTTGTCAATTATTTCAGAGGTAGTAGGTCACCACTTAACTAAAATAACCAGACTTGCAAAAAAAAGTTTTACTCAATATATGCAATCTCAGGATAAATGATCAGCACTGTGAGCAAATATACACATAGAGGAAAAACAAATGTACCTGAAAGTCTAAAGGATATTTTTTCTCTAAGTGACCCAACTGTGTATTTCCAAATTTCTCTATAATTAGTAAAAATTTTTATCACAGCAAAGTAATATTTGTAGAAATGATTTATTACAATTGTATTTTTAAAATTTAGTAGTCCATTTTTAGAAGTCTGAAACAATTTTTAGGAACATTTGCTAAGCAGTCAAGTACTGAATTGTTCCAGCAGTCAAGGTCTTGTGCATTTTCTATCTCAAACAGATATTTATTTCAACTACAAAATGGGAAGGAGAGAGAGAATCTCTAACACTTTCTGTGAGTTATTAAAATCTTTTTGGATATTGGCCCAAGGTGTATATCAACAGTTTTATAAAAAAATTTGATTCTTTCCCCTACAACTCATTAAACTATGACAAGGCAAAGTTGACATTCTGTGAAAAATTCCCAAACATGACTTTCTTTTTTTAAAAAAGAATCATTGCCAGTTCAGGACAGACTTCAGTCTTCCCAGTGTTTTTCAAAGTATTTCATTATTTTTGTACTTGTATTTAGTTTTTAGAATCCCTGATTTCTTCACATCTAGCTTCCCTAGGGTTAATCTGAGGGGAGAAAAACAGCAGCCTGCACTTGTTTTGTCATTTGGGTAGTCAAGTAAAACAGATTTTGCATGCAACACTAAGCTATTAAGTTCCAGTTAAAACCTTTGCATCTATTTCTAATACTGTTCTCTTACATTAGCAAAATGAGAATTGTTATGGGTTGTTGCCTAAAGGAATGAGAATAAAAAACACACAAGAATATATTTCATGTAGTTATATAACAGGTTAATTGACAAGATATTATACTATATATAAGTAGTTTGATTAGTTAGATATGGTATATTAATGGGTACTTTATTAGAGAAGATCACAATATATCTACAGAAATGTCCAAAAAATTAAGGGCATATAAACACAAATATAAAACTTCCAAGAACTCTTACCTATAGATAATTCCAGCTTGTAAAAATAAGAAGATTAAATATAATTCTGACTTTTTTAAATGTTTGAAATTCCTGTCCAGGTAAATTAACAATCTTTAAAGGCATTGATTCTACAGTAATTTTGAAGCAATATGCAGAAATTATGAAGTAATCATTATTCTGCTTTATAATTCTACTTCAAAAACAACTTGATTTGGTCCATTTCCCTTCATTTTTCTTGCCTCCAGCCTAGTCCAAGTAACTATCCTCTATCACCTGGCTCCCTGCAGTGGGTTCCTCACTAAGCTCTCTACTCACCTATTGTATTTGAACTTTCATCTTAACTGGCTCTTTCCCTTTAGTATATAAGAATTTCAAAGTCCTTTCCAACAGATTATTTGTGACCCTCTATCCAGCTCTCTATGTTCCCAGTCAGGCTTCCCCAAACACTACTTTGTACCTTTTGTCTGCCCTTCTTCAATTCTTTCCTATTCTTAATTCACAGTAATATGACTTCTCTAACACTCAGTTGAAAACTTTCCGAGGTTATCAAGAACCTCCTAATTGTCAGATCTAAATTGATTTTTCTGCAACATTTGGCATTATTGAACATTCCTATGGAGTTCCTATGGAAATTCTTTTACCTTTGTCTTTTATGACACATTTCTCCTTTACTAGAATTTTCATAGCTGCTTGTGCGTCAGGCAGTGAGTGTCATGGCAGGAAACAGGTCATGCCCTCAAATTGGATAATTGGAGGAGATTTTAGTATAGTGACTATTTACAAAAGTGTGAGCAAGGAAGGTGAAGAAGGATAGCGCAGTTGCCTAGGTTTAATAGCTGTGAGCTTCACCAATTTTAGGCAAACAGAGGAAGGGGTTACCAAAATTTGGCTGAGCCCTGTGGGAAAAGTGGCCTTCACTCATGGGACATAGATAATACTTAGAGAACTCACAAGAATGAATGGGGAGGAATAAAAGCCTTCTTCCTTCTGTGTCTGTTTTGTTTGTTTTGTCTTGTTTTCACAAGTTCTCCCCTCACCAATCAGGTTAACAGTACATAAAGCTAGAGGGCAAGTAAATCATTTTATGTGATCCAAACACGTTGGCCTCCCCAGACACAGAGGAGGGTGCCAAAGAATAGATGGGAGATCTGAAAGGGCTGGCAGAAGACATCTTGCCCAGCCTCTATTTCTAAGCAGTGGTTTTCTCCAGGGTTCCTCTTGCCTTCACACTCTTTAGACATCCTTTTGATTTGGTGCATTTTTATCTTCAATCTTGGCTTATATTATTATTTACATTTGGTGACTTTCTAATCTCTAATTCCATCATAAATGTCTTATTTTCTTAGGTGAGTATGATGCATCCAACTACTTCAAGGGTGCCTCTTTTTTGAACTCTACATCACAAAATCTGAACTCATTTTCTTCACATCAAATTTACTTTCTCCATATTCTCTCAAGCTGAATGGCACTCTACCCACCAATCAACAAAGCAGAAAACTCATAATGATCCTCGACTCACTTTTACTATCTAGGTATAGTCAATTAATAACAATGCTGTATAGATAATCTCCTAGTGAATTTTTAATTCATCCTCTCCTGTGCATTGTCACCATCACTAATGTAACGAGTGTGACGAAAAATTCATCCTAGGAATTATGGAAACTGATTACATGAAGAGCTTACCTAGAATGGGGGACAGAGTAAGTTCTTCCAGATGAAAGTGTGTGTTAGCGGAGTACTGAAGGATGAATAACACGTACTTGGGCAAATGGTGGGAAAGTGTTAGACTCAAAAGAAACACCATGTGCAAAGTGTCCTAGGGGAAAGAATAAATTTTATATTTGAAAAATTAAAACCAAACAAGTATAACTGAGATGTAAGGAGTGGAGACAGGATGCTATCTTAAAATATTTTCAGTTGAAGCTGGAGAAGTAGGAAGCCAGAAGACTGCAAAGGGCTTTAGATGTCATAATGTGAATTTGTGACATAATGCTTATAGTACTCAAGTTGATGGCATCAATAAAGAAGGAATGGATCCCAATAGCATTATCTGTATTTAAGCCTGAAAAGTTCTCATAGTCTTAATCTGTAAAGTAGGAGAGCATATCATCCAGGTGAGAAGACATGTGACCAAAGGGAACTAATAAAGCAATCATTCAGGAAGAACACGCTTTGTTTACTCTCAATTGAATCTCTAAACACAACTCATCTTTGTGCCCCACACACCTGTGTATATTCAAGAATTTTCAGACTGCATTATGAGGCAGGACTTCTCTTTGTAAAGGACCTCCTTGTATTTATTTGCACCAAATTTGCACCAAAACTCTTGGAAGTTATTGTATGACGGTTGTCCCATCATAATTTCCTTCCAAAATGCGAGATGGGAAGTTCATTTATCTAAGAGATGTAAGTCTTAAATGGCATGTTATTATCTTTTTAATTAATCATGACCTTTCATAGTGCTAATAACTAGGGTAGGTCACCTAAACCCCATGTTTTGATTTAGTCTCTTCTAAAATAAGAGTTGAAGGAGATACACATGAAGAGCCTTTCAAGGTCTGAAATTCTGCAAACAGAATGAGAATGAGCATGAGAATGCTCAAGCATTCTCATCATCTCAAGCATGAGAATGGATGGAAGGATCCCTTTAAGATTACTTCCAGCTCTCTAAGTTTTATAATATCTTAAATAAAATGGACAATCATGAAAAATCATGACTACATTTTCCCAAGTGAATCAATATTTGTTCACACAGAATAACAGCATGTAATCCATAATGTTTGGCATCAGATCCAGATAGGCCATCTACCATGGTACTTATTTGACTGCTGAAATTTCATCTCTAGAAAAGTGTTAGTAATTAGATAGCAGATATGTTCCAAGATAATGCACTGAGGCAATTCATCCGGCTCCTGTAAAAATCTACATAAAACACTTGCAAGCACATGTGTATATACATACACACAAGCAAAAAACACTTGTTAGAAGCTAGACTATAGATGTTTTCATAGACGAATGAGAATAGAAACATCAACTATGATGGGGAAAATGAATAATGGAAAAAGAAGTGCATTGTCCTTTCTCATTTTTACGTCTTAAACTATTTTAAATAATAATTTCTGACTTTACTCTTTTAATTTTATTTTATCACCTCTTAACTTAAACTTAACACTGTCCAGTGGAGAATTACTCATCTCCTAAAGGATCCTAAGGCTTAATTAATAGAGGAGCCAGCCAAAGAAATAAAGCTAGAGATATCGGAAGTAATTACAATTTAATGAAACAAGGATGAACAAATTACCACAAAGCCCAGTAGCCTAGTAAGTGACCTGAAATGAAAATTTGGTCATCAAACTGATAACCTCTCTTTTTACTCACCTCTCACTCTAAAATACCATTTCCTTATACTCTTTCTTATTCTATTCTTTTCTCATTTTGGAGAATGTGTGAGGTGATCATAGCTTTGATTACAAGTATAAATAATAAAAATGTCCTTGTGCCCCTCATCCTCAACACAAGTGCACATATTCAACAGGTAACCATGGCACATAGTCTGCAGGATGAAATTAAAATTCAACTTTAGGCCGGGTGCAGTGGCTCACGCCTGTAATCCCAGCACTTTGGGAGGCTGAGGCGGGCAGATCATGAGGTCAGGAGCTTGAGACCAGACTGACCAACATGGCAAAACACTGTCTCTACTAAAAATACCAAAATTAGCAGGGCATGGTGGTGCATGCCTGTAATCCCAGCTACTTGGGAGGCTGAGGCGGGAGAATCGCTCGAACCCGGGAGGCAGAGGTTGCAGTGAGCCAAGATCTCCCCACTGCACTCCAGCCTGGGTGACAGAGTGAGACTCTGTCTCAAAAAAAAAAAAAAAATCAACTTTAATAAAGTAGTTTACCAGCAAAACTAACTAAAGGACCATTCACGTGGAAGTTAACTTTTATTGCAGATATACTATGAGCTTTTTTGAATATTTACCATATTTTGAGGCCACATGGAACACATTACTGTTTCCCAAACCGTTTCTAGGGTGGTCTTCAGCTCACAAATTCACTGCAGCAGATCTTAGCTACAGAAATTTAGCCTCAGAAAATGTCTGAAATAGAGGGAATGTTTAGAGTCCTGTGCTGTTTTGACAAACACAATCTCTTTTTACACTGTAGGAGGGAAAGAAGACTCTCAAAAAAATGAATTATCGTTTTAAGTCAGTTACTATCAAATGTTAAGAACTGAAAAGGGAAAATTAACTACCCTCCCTCTCCTGAAAAGAAGCAGCAGGATGAAATTAACTGGGAAGGCAGTCACTGTCCTATTCATACTTCTGCTGGGGCTAGAATGAATGCCTATTCCAGAGTCCATCTCAAGCCCCACTCCCAAGGATATACCGTCTCGCTGGCACCACTCAAGATGTTTGACTGTATTGTGTGCTACAAAGCATTTCAATTTTGATGGGGAGAAGGGAGTGGGTGAACAAAATCTAGCTTATAGGAAAAACATTATCCAGTATATGCCACGACATTCTTTATTAAGATACTGAATATCAGTAAGTAAATTATTTCTATCTTTCAACAAGCACCATCCCAATTTAAACTTGCATTTTCATATGTCTAACAGTTCATTGCCTCTGTGGATATACTTGCTTTCACAGGTAAGGAAATTGAGGCAATTAACTGAGGGTTTACATTTTACTTCAAATTTCTCAACTGTCCAGTGACTTATAGTCTAAGAAACTAATTTAAGTCAGTATCTCTAAATGAAGAAAGTTGTCTAGTTATACAGTAATACTTTTTCTGAAGGTAGCGAGTTTTAGAGATATATTGAATGTAGTCTTATCCAATCCCATTCTCGAAGAATTATATTCATTAGATAAATAAATGATGCTAGACTTGGCAGGTTTGGTAACATCAGGGAAGGAAATTAGGTATAATCAAGTCAGAAGGGTGTTCAATAAGCACAATAAATAAAATACAAAAATAACAAAATAAAAATACATTTGTGCAGCTATTTGTTATGACTAGGAAGAAAACTGCTGTGATTCTGAAAAACAAAGGCAATTAAATTAGTTTACTAATAACCTCTGTAATTACATAAGATTATTTAACATTGAATATTCACTTAAAGAAAATATGAGACATCCAGAAGAAATTAATAGATACTGCTTCCAGAACATATGAGAAAGATTTACAGCAATTAAGGATCATTCTGAAGTATTATATTTTATATATATATACACACATATATATATATTTCTGTGGGTATATATGCATATAAATGTAGCTTATATTTTAGCAAGAATTTGTAATGAATAAATTGTTTATGGGTAATCCCTGTACAACTACACATTAAGATATGGTTTCAAATTTTATGCTAAATCATCCTTGCTGTGCAGGCATAAGGCCAGATGGAAGCTTATGGCTGCTGTGTCAATACCTACAGAACATTGATGTCTTCTTAGCTAGTCCAAATAGAGCCATTCCATCTGCCATAAACACTAGGCCCAAAGGCCACATTTATAGATTGCACTAAAGAAATTAAAATTATTTTTACAGTGAAGGCATTTTTATAGGTTCTGGGAAAAGGGAACTCAATGTGTGTTCCAAAATACTTATTCTCGGGTGATTTTGAGTGCATTTTCATGTATGCATGCATAGGGAAATAATAAAATAACCCTAATAGCGTATTTTTATGAATGCTAGCACTAAATTAAGTATTGTGCTATTATTGTTTCCCTGGGGGTGAGATCTAACTGATTCTGTTTAGCTTCTACATCTTCAATCTTCCCTCTACTATGATTGGTTTTATGTCTTTTTCTTCCAACCACTTGAAGGATTCCTTTCCCAAATGGGAGATACAGGGCACATCTTTGTCGTCCTGCCATAAGTTAAACAAAAACACAATGGGACAGATCAAATTGAGCACATATTTTTAATTTGTTTCCTTTCAAAGTAAGATTTTCACAGTGCCTAAAAATGCTGAGAAAATCTCCCCCCAGATTTTAGGATCTGATAAAAATCTAAGGTTTCCAAAGCCGAAAGATGACTATTGGCTAGTAACTAACTGCCCTGAATCCTACTGTGTTTTAATTCCCCCAGCCTTTAGAAGAGAGTAGGTACCATGGCCCTGAGCACTTGCCATTTGAGGGAAAGCCATTGCTAATACATACCATGGAGCTAACATCTATCTGTATAACAGAACATCACAGAAGAAAACCTCTTTCAGATTTGGATAAGTAGGAGTCATAGATCTTTGCTCATATTTCCTGAGCAAAATTTTCTAATTTAATAGTAATGAAAAGTATCAGGCACATTCATTGACTTTGAGTTTTGTAAAAAGACAGATAAAGATGCATATTTAAAGTGAAGGGAAAAGAATAAACGAAGAGGATTTCTGGAGGTCCCTGTATTATAAAAAGGCACCACATACAGATAATGTGTTTGGAGAAACATGAAGGACTCCTCTAGATGATTAAGGAAGGAAACTCACTCTTGTCTTTCCCTACACCTAAATTTAATGTGTTGGTCATTGATTCTTGGTGGGTTTGTTTGTAAGAATTAAATTTATTAATCCATTTGAAGTAATTAGAAAGCCCCAAATAGTACATAATAATAAGCTGGATGGGGAACAATTTTAAATATTACGTGTACCATATGAATGTAAGTTATTCATAAGTATTCCCGCTGTAGTCAGTATGAAATGGTGGCCAGAGGAGATAAGGAAACTGCCTGGCCAGATAAGTCAGCTGAATAAGTTCTAGAGAAGATTAAGTGAGTGGAAAAAACATGCCAGACCTGGGACAAGTTCTGTAGTAGACATGTTGATTCATCTTCTAACCTCCCATATTCTCAAAGAAAAGTTGTCACCCAAATCTGCTAGAACAAACAGCCTAGGTATCAAATGGCCTCAACCAGCTTGACTAAAGCTATTTGGTGTGGACCTGTGATCACACTCAAAAGATCTCAAGTAGATAATCTCTTCTAAAAATGTGGAATTAGGTTACTGAAAAAAACCAAGTCTTTCTATAATGGTATATCCTTAACTAAATAGTCTTGCCATCATAGCCAAAGTGAGAGCCATGGTCAGCCAATGCCATGTACAAGCTACAGTTCTGGGGAACTTTAGTGAAAAATCTAACTGCAGAGAGATGGGAGAGGGAAAAAGAAACCAACAGAGTACGAAAGAGCCTGGACATGTGACTCCATGAGACAGAGAATATATAGCTTTCTACTTCCAGCCTTACTGAAGCATCACTGTGCTTTATTCTCTGCTTTGGAATTAAATGATTCCTTACAATAGCACGGTTTTTGTAAGCATTTAAAATGATCTATTTTGAACACAAATATGCCATGTCTATAACACATGCACATCCTTCTCTAATGCTTTTCGCACACATAATCTACACCACACTACTGTGTGTGTGCAAATTCCTACAATCTGGCTCTTTCATGTCTGTTCACTTTGGTTTTAAGCTTTTTTTTAAGATAAAAAAAATATATGTTCTATATTTGCACATATGCTACAGACACTAGCATGCTTCCAGGCAAACCATTGCCATAAGAAACAGATTCATTTGACCACCGACTCCTTGTTAAACTCTTTTCAGTCAATGATGGTTGCTAACTATGTGGAAAATATACCAGCAAAAACATTTTCTCATTTTCAATTTATTCTAAAAGATAAACTATACTTGGGACTGGATAAATTTGGAAGACCTGTTAGCTAGTACTGATTATTCCATGCCATCAGCATCTTTATACATACACATAATAAACAAGAATTTCATTAGGCAAGAGCCTATGTGTTACTTGGAAAAATAGCAAAGGAAGAAGCTGATTTGATGAATTCTAACCTTAGGAATAAAATATTTAATCAAAGGAAGTAAGTCTAATGGTATAGATAAATTCATTTCGGAAGCTTTCTGAAAGTTTTTTTAACTTAGCCATATTTATTTTTTTGAATTGCTTACTTTTTCTTCATAAAAATTAAAGGGAAATTCTTAAAAGCGGAAGTATCTACATGCTTTCTTTCATTTCTTCCTGGAATTGTATGAGCATTATATGTTTGAAATGTATAAGATTTCATTTTCAAGCCCATCAGTGATTGATTCATGTGCTTCAAAATATAAAGAAAAATGTGTATTAAATTAATATGTATACTGATGAAAAATAGGTATTAAATTCAAGTTGTAAATAATAAAAACACAAATGCCCCTATTTACATATACAGCATTGAGCATTTTTTATGCTGCCGTCACAGGAACAACCGAGTCTGGAAAAAAGCTAGAAGCAATGGCTACACTATGGGTAAAAACCACCTCACTTCACAGAAGGCTGGATGTTGAGAGAATGTATTAGATTTCCCAAAATATACTCTACTGTAAACATCCATACATACAAAAGATTTTACACTGTACATTTATTATATAATACAATTGCCCAACATTAATTTACGAAAATCTTTCTGAAACAAGTTTTTGTTAAAGGGAAATACTCTGCTTGAAACCTTTTTTTGTTGTTTCCTTGAAATGATGTTCGTTAACCACTCCCGCCTTCCAATCTAACTTCCTGTTCCGCCCCAGAGGTTGTGTGAGGGGTTAATTGGTGGGAGGTGATAGATATTGGTTCTTGCTTCTCTTCTGGGAAAAGAAGCTGTCAAAATTCCTGAGCCTAGAGATTTCCTTTTATTCTTTTCCTCTACACTTGGTTCAAGGAGATGTAATAACATGGAATGGTGCTTCTGTTCTGTAAACTCAAATTTGTCTTTTGAAGGTCTATGCCAACTAGCACAGTGGAGGAAAGAGGATGTGGCAGGTTCATGATGGCTCTCACCCTAATGTTCTTCAACCTTCCCTTTATTGGCAGTTACTGTGAAGTTTGGGTGATCCATTTTACGACTTGTTTTTCTTATTTATCAAATTTTCTGCAAATTCACCAGGAAAGTATGCTCTCTTTTTCGATCCTGCAGACAGTCTGACAGTAAACAGTGTATAAAGCAAGGTGTATTTTTATATGAATCTGAAAAGGCAATTTTAGATTACAAATTAAATTCTAGGAAATACACTTACAAATCTATAGAAAGAAATAAATTACTGATTACCCATTGAGAACACTAACTAGTCCAGCTAACATGTTTCCAAAATTATTGAAAGAAACAACATAAATTTATGCATAATTACTTGAGATTAAGAAATGGATACTCCATAATATTTGGTGCAGTCAAATACAAAGCCATATTTAAGTACAAAATTATGATTTCAATTAATAATTAAAAGATTACGCTCATTGGGAAGGTATATCTAAAGCAGTAAATGGCTTTTCAGGTGATTAAACATCTAAATGATGCTTCACACCAAAGAAAAAAGGTTTATTGTGACTATATTCCTTAGCCTGAATAATATTCGTCCAATACAGTAAGAACATAATTCAATGAAACTAAAATAGCAGAAGAGGAATGAAGTTCTTTTTGCTCATGAAGCTCTGAATGGCTGGCCTGACTGCTTTCTTCACGTTACCAGGGATATCACAGCAACAGCAAGTAAGAGATTAGGTGAGGAATGAAGTGAGGGCAGATATGAAAATGAAATCATTATGAGAGGCGGGATTAAACAAGTGAATAATCTTCACTCAAAATGATCTGTACAGAAAGGCAGTGATATAATTAGACATTTTAAAGCTAATAAGAATTTCAGGGTCATTTGTAAGTGGGAGAATGTTTGAATTTTATAAGCTAGCATTGGCTAAACCCTTCTCTTGACATAGTACAGCAATTATTCTCCCATAAGCCTTCACAGGATACAAATTGGACAGTGTACAAGTAATTACTGATGAATGTGAATATGCTGCTTGGTGATGAAATGTTTTCATAGAAACAGAATGAAATAAATGGAAAAGGCATTCTTATCAACTGTGAATAGATATATCCAAAGATAATGTGCATACTACAAAAGGTTTGAAAAGGGGTGTTTCAGTAATGTAATCATAAAGGGTCATTTACAGTGGATTTTTTTAAAAAGGTCTTTTTATTGTGACATGTAAGGGGATTGTATAGAAGAAACATTAAACACGCATTACAGCTATTCACAGCAGTATGGATGCCAAATAAATACATTCTGTTAATTTTAAGACTTTACTTTTTAAAAATCCATGCAGCTGGAAATGTATAGCTCCGTTAATAGAGACCTTCTTATATCTAATAAAACTAAACACTGAATTTCTTCACATTTCAACAATAGTCTTTTTAAAATCTGTGTTTAATTTTTTTTTTTGAAAAATACCTACAAACTCTTAGAAAAATTAATACAGATACATAGTTTTAAAAATATTGCTATTTGGCCATATTTGGTCCAGCATCCTTGCTTTACCATTGTTCCTTAATCCTTGGTGCATTCTCTTCTCACAGCTAGTTGAACCTGTAATTTCACAATTCTCATGTGCTGTGGCTCCAAGGAGCACTGCCACGCTTAGTGCAAGAAAAGGGTCCTGTATTTTGGAAACTTTCTGACAGAATGACAAGACATGTTCAAGAATTAAAATGAGTTTTCTGCATTCACCCAAACTCTGTGCACTCTTCAAAGAAATACAAATAAAAATCAGTGTCTAGAAGACTGAACATTTTCTACATTCAAGGTTTACATCACAAAATAATTATTATTTGGTATACCTCTTTAGTAATGCATTCTATCAACTTCAGAAATATGTCCCAACTCCAGCCACTCTCTTTATCAGAGGTTTGCTTATTACCTCAGTTGAGAGGATAATGTTATCAGTTGAAAAGGGATGGAACCTCCAGAAATATCACCAATACATGAAAACTCTTATCAGGGTAGACCAGCAGGTAAAAGCTTGGTCTCTCCAATCAGACAAACCTACAATTCTTGACTCTACCCCTTTCAAGATGAATGGCCTTTGGGAATTTAAGCTTTCTTGGCCTGTGGGAGTTGTTGTGGGAATTAAATGAGATGTCAATAAATATTTAATCAGAATGCACAGCTACTCCCCTTAGCTTTCAGCTCCTCTCCTAGAAGCTGTGGGGATGCTAGACTCAATATTAAAGAGTGGCTAATCAATTGCTATGGCTGTATTCACAATTATCTCTTATTCTGTTGTCAGGTATGTCTTGTGCAATTTGGTCCTAATGATGACGTATCTAAGCTTGTAAATGATTTTATTTTTCATAACAAATTGTAGAAGTCTCGAGGTATAGATGTATGAAAGTCACTTTCAAAATGCTAATTCGAGAATGAAAGGGGTTGAGTTACAGCTACTGCACTGGGAGCTGCACACAATCCTGTTCCTCCAAGGGCAAGCCTCTCACAATAGATATAAATATCATCTCATTTTGTGTATTGGATTCAAAAGATCAAAAAATTCTCCTCCAAAGGATTGTCCTTAAACTTCTGAGTGAGTTTTTTTAAATTATGAAAAATATGAGGAAACTATTTCTGCAGAGGAATTGAAACAGAAAATCCAACACTAGGCTTAAGAACAATTATTTGGAAGTCCAGAAAGTAAATTAACTCTATTAGTTGCCTTTTATGGTTTTTACCTGAATCTGTATTTGGAAATATTTTGGAGCACAGGAGGAAGTTTAAGGAAATTGAATATATGAGGTTATATGGTGCCCTAGAGAAGTAGCATATGTTCATTCAACAAATATTTATTAATTTCCTTCTATGTGCTAGGTACTTTCTATTCCAGATGCTAGTGTAGAACATAAACAAAACAGACAAACCTCTCTCTGCCCTTGTAGCATATATGTGGGTGTGTGTGTATACTTATGTGATAGAAGAGGTAGCATTTGAAATGACTGAGAAAAGATAAACTATGCAGCAAATGACACCAGAAAAAACTGAACAGCAAATTAGAATAGAATAAATTTGAATTGAAACCTCATATCTTACAAACACAAACATCAAGCAAATAAACACACACGTACAAATCCAGAGGGAGCAAAGATGTAAGTGTATAAAATAAAATGGAACCAGGCTAGAAAAAATTCTGGGAGAAAATTGTAATGGTTTTAGAACAAGACAGTCTTCTATAAGTATGAAATAGTACGCAGAAGTCATAAAGCTAAAGATTATTTACTCTACATAAAAATTAAAAAAAAAAACCTTTGCATTGGAAAACCCATCATAATCAGTGAAAAGGTAAAGGAAATGTCTAGTTTTCTTAATACATAAAATTCACTTTGAAATAAATAGGAATAAGATCAACCCCTCAGAGAAAAATAGCACAAGGAACAGATTCTATGTAGTTTATTGATATATGGAAAAAGTTATCAGAACTGTTGGAGTAGAAACTATCAAAGAATCACTGAAAATATTTTTTTACTCTATATTTGGATTTTTATAGTCTTATGTTGCCTTTATTCTTTAATAAAAAGGTATCTAATAAAAGGAAATATTGATTAAATAGTATTGAGGATTTTGTGCCCTGGATAAATCATAAATAATTTTTTGATTTAGTTAAAATGATAAACAATGTGCCCATTAAACATAGAATAAATATCTAATATGGCTTTATTTTTCAAATAATGCTTTTTTAAGGAAAATTTTATATCCACAAACTATTGGATTAAATAGCTAAACAATAATAATAAGGAAAATCTTTATTGTTGGAACATATTAATACCCTCTTCCTCAGTTATAAATTGTAACCATAGCACATATTCATTTTTCTTTATATGAAAATACCAAGATTACGTGAAGCAATTTTTTAGTGGTCTCCTGGCTCCTAGTCAAATCCAAAAGGAGCATTTCATGTGGTTGTATCACATTTCAAATAATTGTGATCAGTAGAGTACTTTGTTGCAAAGACAACAAAATGGCATTAGTGATTAGTATTTCTTCATTCATTTTTCTATTTTACATTTTATTTATCGAATTAACTTTAAAAACTTAAGTGAGAATTTCAGTTATTGTCATCATCAATTTTATAGTTTTTTTGTGTAAATGTAGTCTCCAAAATTACTTGACCAAAAAGTTTGTAATTGAAACATACACTAAGCAATACCTCAAACACCAAGGATACAAATAGTTCTTTATAAAAAACTTCAAATCAGATTTTATGAGTCATTAAACAAAATTTGAAAGAAATACTATGCACTGCAAAATTTCAAAAGTGAAAACCCAAAGACTTACCAAAATCTTTAGATCTTTGACCTGCACTTTATTATATTTTTCATAATGCTTTACATAAGCAACTTGGAGCTCATATTCTGCAATTCTACCAGCCTCAGGGAATATTCAGGATTCTTCCTACTGCAAATGACAAAAGCCCAATTCGAACTATCTTAAGAAAAAAATGAAAAAGAATTCAATTAGCATAATGGCTTCAGAAAGGGTTGGATCCAGGAGCTAATAAAACTATATTATTAGTATTTAATTTAGCTCTCTTTATATGATAATTTGGCAGACGTTTTCTATACTCTGGCCTTCAGCATCTCCACATTCTATTCTACCAGCTTTCAACTTCCAGGCCAGGAATAAGAAAGAAGAAAATTTTAGGGAGTGAGTATTGTTACTAGTCCATCCCAGTTTAATTCATGATATATCAGGCATGAGTTACATGCTGACCTTCACAGCCAAACTGAACCTTGTCCACTGTGACAGGGGAAGGATTGGCTTCTTATGAGTAATTTGAGCTAGTGCTTTCAGAAGAAAAACAAATGAATGTGGTACTGGAAAAATTTTCCCTTTATATCTATATAATTCCCATAAATATACTGATTCATTCTTCCTATTTTGTATTGATTTTCCCTCCTGAAACTCACTTATTCTCTGTGATCCCTAGATAATATCACATTTCTTTCCTAAATTATTGGGAAAGATGCTTAACTGCTCTTTTTGACTTGCTTTCTCAACCTTGCTTTCCCTTACATACAATTTCCTCAGTATACCTAGAGTGACCAATTTAAAGTGTAGAACTACCCATGTCACTATCTATTCAAACTCAGTAGATGTCCATCCTTATGACTCAAACCATTGATACCTTCATTCTCCTAATTACTCTAATACTCAATTTCACAAGGTCATGTTTCCTCATGACATAAGAACAAAATATAAAAGATTAAATTACTTGTGAAATTATCTTCTCTAAAACCAATTGATACGGTTAGGCTTTGTGTCCACACCAAAATCTTATCTTGAATTGTAATCCCCATAATTCACATAATCCCCACATGTCAAGGGAGAGACAAGGTGGAGGTAATTGGATGATGGGGAGGTTCCTCCATGCTGTTCTCATGATATGAGTGAGTAGATCTGATGGTTTTATAAGGAGCTCTTCCCCCTTTGCTCAACACTTCTCCTTCCTGCCGCCTTGTGAAGAAGATGCCTTGCTTCCCATTCGCCTTCTGTCATGATTGTAAGTTTCATGAGGCCTCTCCAGCCATGATAAATTGTGTGTCAATTAAACCTCTTTCCTTTATAAATTACCCAGTCTCAGGTAGTTCTTTATAGCAGTATGAAAATGGACTAAAACACTAATTTAATGAAAGTATAAGTGGAGCTGAATCATTTTTTCCTCCTGAAAAAGTACTTCCAGTACAACTGAGTTGAATATTTGCACAAACTTTAATTCACAGGTATATTAGAATAAGATACTTTATAGGACTCATAATAAACCAAATTCTCCAAAGGGCAGCCTTGAATGCTGATTTTCTGCTTATAGTGTGCAAGCAGTTTGAAGTTTTTTGTTGTTACAAATGAGATTAAGCTATTATAATTTTCTATATCTGCCACCATATTTTCTATTTATACAAAAAAATCTGTGCTACTATTGCTTAATAAGGTTGGCTTATGGCCTTGAGAACATTTTTTTCACAAAATAAAACTATAATATTATACTGCATTGGGCAATTTTGAATTTTTTTAAATGCTTAAAGAATTATAATCATGCTTTTCTTTTTGACCTAGAAACACAAAGGCAGCAACTAGTAATAAGTTCATTTAAAAACTGAACTTGATGAATGTCTAGTGATGTTGGGCAATATTACTGTTTTTTTACTAAGATGGTTCAGTGGGTACCTGATCTGTCAGCACACACCAATGAGATAAAATATATATATATAACTATGGTCAATTAGATTATTCAGTGCCACATTACCACATATCAGTTTATCTAAATTTTATTTTACTTTTAAAAAGTAAATATGAAATATCCATAATGCCTGGTAAACTTTGAATTTGGAGTAATAGAATACACAACAAAAAGATAGGTTTAGGGAACTTGTAACACAAATTCTTTAGTGCTTTCACCTCTATAGACATATTGATAAAAATTATTGGGTTTTTCTTTTTCCATCTTGATTTTTTTACATCTTTATTATTAGCATGCAGTTTGCAGTAATAATTAAGAGCATGACTTTTGAAATAGCTGGTTTCAGACACTACCTACTACTAGCTTCATGCTCTAAAAATTACTTAAATTTTCTGTGCCTCAATTTTTACATTGGTAGAATAGGAATAATAACTACCTACTCTATAGGGTTATCAGCAAGTTTATGTGGCATAATAACAGGAAAATACTTAGACAGAATTGCACACACGGTACACACTCTATACAGACTAAATACCATTTTATTTATGCAGCTCACCTGATAAGGGAAGAGAGTTCTCAAACTCCAGATAACAACAATATCAACCAGATCTAGTAATAAAGGCAGAGATACAGTCTCCATTTAAGCTGGTACATTCCATTAGACTCAAAGTAATATGGAACACAGTAAGATGCATTGAGAAATGAAACAACATATGAGTGTTGGTTATCTAAGGGACAGCCCATTGAAATGAGAATTTATAGAACACCTTAGATACACATATTTCAATATATTCTTCCACTGTGTTCTGGATCTCCATTGCAGCTCTCAGAAGAGGGATAAAGGGATTGACCTTAGATAGGAAGTTACACATGTCCTCTCTCACAGAAAGAGTTACAGAGCAAGGATGTGTGCAGCTGTGTGTAACCCTCAGGTTCAGTGATAAGAAATTGATGAAGTTTTATCTGTTAGCTCAGTTCAGTGGTAAACTTTTCAAGAGCCAAGTGTGGGCTATGTCTTCCATATCATTCTCCTTTCCCAACAATGACAGTTATTTAATTATGCAATTTGAACACTCAACAAATAACCTGTGGTTTTCTGAAATTTTCATGACTCTGGGTCATAGAATGAGAAACCAATAACTAAAAATTAATGAGACATTTCTTTTTTTTTTTTGAGACGGAGTCTAATGAGACATTTATATAGTTCATAAATGTCTTCCACTCTGATGGAGCTTCTAAAAAAGAACAGAATATATTTCTCTAACTCATTACCAAAACAGGTGGACTCAGCTCAATTTGGGGAAAAAATTCACTTTTTGGTAGATGTCAGCAACAGATATTTTTGTTTTCAGTAGGAAGATCGATGTAGCAGCAACTCATAAATTAGAATAACATTTGAAAGTTATTTGAATTCACTATTCTTTTGAATGAATTCTTGATTTTTATTCTTCTCTATTTTTAAGTACAATATTTTTAAATGTCCATATCATCTTTTAAGTATTTTGTTTAGTCTGGAGAGGTACAAAAGCTTTTGAAATAAAACAAAAGTAGGTTGGCAGATTTCACAAGAATATTTACTGTAAAAGGATATATTTTCAGAAAGTATCAGCTTTATAATTTCTTTCAGATTAAAATAAAACATCGTGGCAGGTAGAATTTGTCATCTCTTAAAAGTTAACTTCTCTTTGTTTCTTTTTAGACTCTCATTTTCCCTTCTGTTTCCTCTTTTTACTTCAATTTCATCGAGAAGCATTTGCGTTCTTCATTAAGTCATGATGACACATCAGATAATCCTTTTACATGAGCCTGTTGTGCATGTTGTCAATGTAAATCTGCGGGTGCAAACAAAGAAGTTAAAATTTTTAAGAAGGCAACATGACTCTCTGCTTCTCATCAGCCTAGCCAGCAGAAAGGTGATGAAATATGGATGTTGACCTAGATAAAAGCCAGAGAGGTAGAAGTAAAGTCATCTGATATTCCAAAGGTGTGTTTTTAACGATAATGGAGAGTTTGTATGCTGTCGTCTTGATGGTCATGAGAAAAGGATTTCAGTGATGCATGGAATATAGGACAAAGCAATATTGACAGACTTAAGGAAGTATGGCACCACCAGTCCCATATACCTTGAACCAAATGTTACCAGATGATTTTGTCTTAAACTCACTGAGCCTAGGTTTGCTTATCTTTTTTATTTATTTTTTATTATTTTTTATTTTTTTGAGATAGAGTCTCACTCTGTCACCCAGGCTGGGGTGCAGTGGCACAATCTTGGCTCACTGCAACCTCTGCCTCCTGGGTTCAAGCAATTCTCCTGCCTCAGCCTCCTGAGTAGCTGGGATTACAGATGCGTGCCACCACGCCCAGCTAATTTTTGTATTTTTTTAGTAGAGACGGGGCTTCATCATGTTGGTCAGGCTGGTCTGGAACTCCTGACCTCAGGTGACCACCCACCTTGGCCTCCCAAAGTGCTGGGATTACAGGCATGAGCCTGTTTGCCAGGTTTGCTTATCTTTACATTGGCGATACCTACCTGTGACAGATTATATTTTCCAAAAAGGTCCACAACAATATTTCTGGTCCCACATGCTCTTCTAAAATTGTGCCTCCAATAAAGAGGTCATTATTTACCCTCCTCTTGAATCTAGACAAGAGTTTCTTACAGCCTTTACACTTAGTGTGGTTCAGGTAATACTACATGATTTTGAGGTTAGGTCATAAAAGGTGATACAGCATTCACCTGTCTCTCTTCTTTTGGGGATGTGCATCTTTGACTCCCTGAGGCACCATACAACAAGTCTAGTTCTCCTGAATCTATCATGCAAAAGAAATCATGTGGAGAGACCACCAGGAACTGCTTGCATCTTCCCAAAGCACCAGAGATGAGAATGCAGAAATCTTCAGACTACTGTCTTAACCTCCTTGACAGACTCTAGGCCAGAACCACTCAGCCAAGCTGTTTTTGAATTCCCAACGCACCAAGACCATAAGAGATAATACAAACTTATCATTGCTTTTAAAACACTAAAATTGTTGTTTTAAAACACTAAGTTGTGTTGTGATTTGTTACTCAGCAATCAGTAACTAATACACTGCCATTTAGTTAATTTGGGAAGATTGAAAATACATTTAAAACTTTGTTAGAGTAGGTTCTCAATAAAAGCAGATGTTCATTAACAACTATACATGCTATCTCCATTTATAGCCCATCCTTCCATCCTCTGCCCCCAATAATTTTCAATAATAAAATTTTTATAAGGAAGAAAATTGTTTATCTTCTCCTGTAATTTTTTAGTGTATTGAAATTATCTGCCATGCATAATTTTTGTAAAGCATAAAAAGCATCTGGTGAGGAAAGCTGTAAACCTTTTGCTAGTGCCCTTTCTTTCTAGCATATCTGGAAAACTGAACAGGGATGAATAAATTATGCCTCTATCTCTCTTTATTTTCTCACTAATTATTCCAGATACTCTAAATCCACACAGCAAGAATTTTTATTGTTGTTATTGGGATGAGGGATATTACAGTTATGGCAGTACAAATAAATACAATTTATTAGGATATTCTAAATAGTAAAAATTCTATATCATAGCATTCTATAATTAAATTAGTAATCTTTAGGGACCATAATGGACCATACACTGATGCATATGCTACAGGTTTATTTAGCTGGTGGAATGGAATTTCTACTGGTCAGAGACCCTTGAAAGAGTGTGCTGACTTGCCCTGGAGTTTAGTTGGGCCTTTAGAGGAGACGCAAACCTGTATGCATGGGCCATGCTAAACAGAGCTAAAGTCAACTGAAGCCATTCCAGAAAAGAAATAGAATTGGAGCTTTTGCTCCTGAGAGTGAGGACACAGAAACTTTGGAAAATTAGGGGGACTGTCAAGCAACACGACAGGATGACCCAAGACAAAAATAAAGATGCCAGTGCCTTAACTTCAACATTAGATTGTTTGTATATGTGCTATGCTATTTCCTTCCATCTCAACAAACATCAGTGAAGTCTTCTGTATATTCCAATTATCATCCAGGCAGTTTGTCAACTTCAGGTATTAAAAATTATTTGAAAGTGACTTATCTTAAGATGGGAAGGAAAAACATCCTCCTACCTCTTAAATGCCATTTAGTTACTTAGCACCAAGGGAACATTCCCTGTCTACTCTTTGAAGACAGTTGAACTATGTTGAAAATTATGGCATTCTGATGATTTTTATTAGTAAAACTGCTATCTTTCCAGCCATAATACTAACAATAGGGACAGCATAGTAATTAAGACTAAAGCATTGTGTACTTCAGGTCAACTTAACATCCTCTTCTAAATGAAGTTAGAATGGTGGTGTTTTCCATAAACATGGCTACTTCTGTTTCAAATTAGGAACTGGCAACTCCGTGATGAGTTGATATAAACACTCAGCAGTTGCTGTAAAGACAAGTGATTTGTATGGAGGAAGTAGCCATATTGATTATATTTTTCAGCAAAGTGCAGTGTTTGCACTATAGTCTATCTCATGGGCATCAAAAGCCATGTTTAACTTGAGTTATCACAGTTTAAAACCGTTGGAAGGACTTCATAGTTTTGCATTTTTAAGGTTACTTCATAGTATAGTTGGAGCTACAATTATAAATAGCATGCAGAGTTAAAATTTTTGCTTTGAAATTTGATACAACTAAAACCAATTGCTAGCTCAGCAATTAACTAGTTAGGTGAACTTGATCAAGTTGCTTAACTGCTCCAAGCCATGTTTGATTTTCTCCTCTGTCAAATGTGGACAATAATAGTACCTACCCACAAAATTATGCTGAGGATTAAAAGGGATGATTCATGCTCATGATCCAATGTAAGGACTCAATAGATGTTACCTACTAAGTTTCTATACATGTTCATAGTTATATAATATCAGAATGTGGAGCCAATTTCTCCTAATGTCTAATACAGACAACTGAAAATCATTGGAGCATTTTATACTTTCAAAGTGTTTTTACATGATTTATCATATTAAACTTTCTGCCAACCTAGTGATATGGTTTGGCTGTGTCTCCACCCAGATCTCATCTTGAATTGTAACTCCCACGATTCCCACGTGCCATGGGAGGAACCTGGTGGGAGGCAATTGAATTATGGGGGTGGGTCTTTCCTGCACTGTCCTCGTGATAGTGAATGAATCTCATGACATCTGATGGTTTTAAAAATGGGAGTTTTCCTGCACAAGCTCTCTCTGCCTGCTGCCATCCACGTAAGATGTGACTTGCTCTTTCTTGCCTTACGGCATGATTGTGAGGCCTCCCCAGCCATGTGGAACTGTAAGTCCAATAAACCTCTTTCTTTTCTAAGTTGCCTAGTCTTGGGTATGTCTTTATCAGCAGCATGAAAAAGGACTAATATACCTAAACACTGAAGATTCTTACTATCTCCAGCTTGAAGATGAGGAAATTGAGGTGCAAGGAATTGAAGTGACTTTACCAAGGTGACTCGTAGTTAGTGGAAGAATCAGAACAGGAACCCGAAGTTCCAGTTCAATTCTCTCATACCTTGCTGCCACTATTGCCATACTGACTAATTTCAAAACATTAAAAAACTAATGTAGCTCAGTTATTTTAATTTAAAACATCAGACAACGAGCTACAGTCCTGATATCTTGATATTATTTCCAGGGATGCATCAGTGTCATCCCATTTGCCTTATTCCTTTTTTTGGCTCTTCTTTGTGATGGCTATGCTTCCATTCATGCATCTGTGGTGAATGACTCTTGGTCACCTGTTCTTTGTCCCACTGGAGTTCTACCCACTGAAGTCATTTATACTATATTCAGGCAGAATGGCTATACCCCAACAATTGGCTGAAGTTGGCTGCATATTGCCTTCTAAGACAAAGGGGAAAACAGTATTTTAAAAACACTCTGATCCACAAACAAAATGCAATGTTAAAAGTTGTTCTGTATCACTCTATTGTTCTATCCAGGCTGGAGTGCTAGATTGAAATAACAGCAGGGCAACAAGCAGAGCAATAGTTGGAGAAAAGGTTTGCAAACCTCATTGGGCCTAAAATACACATGCCAGATAAAACTTCACACCTTTTTCTTTTTCTTATTAGAGCATAAGCTTACTTTTTCAACTACACATTTTGCTTTTCATGAGTTTGCTTTATTGTGGGGTCAGCTCATTTGCTGACTTTTGTCTTCTTTTCCCTGAATATTTCATCTTAAACACTGGGCTGATTTTCAGAAAGATCTATATACAGAGCCGAATTTAAAAGGAAGAAGTCAAGGGTCCTTGAGAAATTTTGAGTAGGACAGTCAAGTAACAAGGGCACTGGAAGCTACAATTAAGTAGACTTGAAGAACTGTAAATAGTTGATGTGGATAACAGCCCAAGAGTGTTGTCTGTCTTAGAATTGTGGCTGCAAAGCACTGAAGATTTTTCCACAGATGATTTCCTACCTCACATAGTTACGTGGCACATGTGTTTTGTGCTTTCCTATATGCTTCCGTTACAATGCTATAATGTCCTTGATTTGCACAATACTCAGAAGGATGTAGACAGTGCTTTCAAACACAGTTAGGCTCCCACCGTATGACAGTAATGCTTAAAGTGACTAATTGCATATATTTTATTACTTATTTATTCCTTGGAGTATTTATCAATTAGTTACCATTTATGGACCAAAGCAAATTTTGAAATATTTTATATACTTATTGTACAGAGATAGTGATATCATATGATTAATTAACAGTATCTCGCACAGATGCAATCCAAGGACCTCCAACATAACGGCCTACATAAAGAGTGAAGTCTATTGCTGGCTACAGTTACAATCTTTAAGAGAATGAACAGGGACAATGATGGTCATTGAAAACCATTTATATATGCCAGTCTTGTTATACTAAAAAAGAATTTGAGCATAATAGTCATGGTCAAAGAATTTTACATTGTAAAAGAAATTTCCCATTGTAGGAAGTGGTGCCAGGCTCCACTATCCTTCCCTAGCCAATGACACGTCAATCTTGATTCCTCTGTTATATCATCCACCAGGTTCTTAAGGTCTCTTCAGTTGTGATTCCCAAATATATTCTGAAGCAATCTCTCTCTTTCACCATCTGCACTGCTGATGGGCTTGTCCAAACACCATCATTGCTAGGCTGGTTTACCTTAACCTGGTGTCTTCATTGGTTGCCACATCACTACTATCCATTCTCTGCACAGAACTAACATTCAAACCCATGCTTTTTATCATGGCTTTCTTGCCTTTTGGAGTCTGGTCCCTGCCTTGCTCTCTGACTCTATCTAATATTTGCCCCAGCTATTCCGGGCTTTTTTGTCTTTGAAACTTGACATCTCTCTTGCCTGGTAGTTCTCACCATTTCTGTACCTTTGCATTGCTGGCGCCTCTGCCCATGTCGGTCTCTTCTCAACAGCACCTTCCTCAGAGACCTACTCTGGCCTTCTTTTCAAAGTCATGTATTGATTTATGCCTGAGATATAAGAAATGTACCATTAGGCGATTTTGTCATTGTATGAGCATCATAAAGTGTACTTACACAAACCTAGATGAAAGAGACTACTACACACCTAAGCTATATGGTAGGTGGCTTATTGCTCCTAGGCTACTAACCTGTTTAGCATGTTACTGTACTGAATACTATAGGCAATTATAATGCAGTGGTATTTGTGTATCTTAACATATCTAAACATAGAAAAGATATAGTAAAAGTACCATAGTATAATCAAATGGGACCACCATCATGTATGTGGTCTATTGACTGAAAAGTTATATGGTACATGGCTGTAATTTCTCCCAAGGCATTATCCATAACTGTTTAACTTTTGCCATCATGTTTATCATCTGGCTTTATCTTGCTAATTTTGCTTGTTACTATCTGTCTCTGATACCTAGAATATAACCTTTGTGAAAGGAGGGAATCTGTCCTGTTTACTTGTTATGGACCAGTGCTGGATACTGTTCATAGCATTCAATAATCAATAAATATTTTTTGAATGAGTGATTGAAAGAAGGGGACTATGAGACAAGATACAATAAGAAAAGGAGAAATTTCATGAATAAATATGAATAAGAATTCAAGAAAGTATAGTGAAATGTTTATTAAGGAAGTAAAAATTTGATTGCAAGCCTTAACAAAAGACAAGGTTAGCTGAGCTTGGTTTCTTTGTGAAATGCAAACATATTTGAGAATACAAACACATTTTAAATAATTAATAATCATTGACATCCTCTAATCATGGCAGAACTTATTAAACAAATAATTATCTTTCAGAATTAAAAGGTAAATAGGAAGATACTTCATGTCTTTGTTTATTTTTCTCTCTATTGTTTTGAATCAGGAAAGAATGCTCCACGTGTGAAAGTGAGTATGCAGATAGATGCACCTATCAGCAAATAAGCTAAATGTCCTTATAAAATATCAGCAGACATTCAGAAGCATTCCACAACCTAAGTGCTGTTACTCTAGAGTTCAAATGACCTAAATTATATATAAGTTGTTCTCTTGGTTGTCGCTACTCATGGAAGCCATTTCTTAACCTGAAATTTTACAGATGTTGACTCAATGGAAAAATTTTGCATTTGTGTCTCATTTTTATTGTTTTGGAAATCTCACTTAGTTTTGAATATCCCTAATACATGTTCTGTATTTGAACACAGCCATTAAGCCAAGAGTTGACAGATCTTGGAGGTGGACTCTTAAAATAGATGACTGTATCTTACAGGGTCAAACAAACTTTTATTCCTACATCAGCCACTTTCTGGTTTGCTAACCAGGTTGTTTCATTTCTGCAAGCCTTAGTTTCTCACTTGTGAAAGAGTAACACATATCACAAGGTTATTGTAAAAATTAAATGAGATCATGGCTATAACACAATGTTTGGTACACTGTCATTTCCATCCACTTTTAGTCTCAGTTCTGACACTTACTAGCAATGGGACCTCATCAATGCACTTCTCAGGGTTTCAGTTTTACACTTTCAAATGAGAGAATAAGGGCCTTCATGTTCTTAAAGTTTTTTTAGATCAAAAAAATCTAAGAGTCTTACATGTACAAGTAATCAGCCTGGTCATTCAGATGGAAATGATATGATTGCTTCCATGTCTCTGATAACCCCTTGCACATTAATTTCCCTATTTTATTTCATCTGTTTTCCCATGCATAAGTGCTAATATTAAATATTATTTCCTTGAGAAAGCCACCTCTATCTTTCAGATGTGTCAAGTGCTAAGTTTGTTTAAAGCTCAGCATCCACAGTGTGTTTTGTAATGTAGGAGGCGATGGTGGTCCTCTTGGTAATATCCTTAAGAGAGTAATACCAAAAGTTTTGAATTTTCTAAATCAAATATCATTTTAAAAATGTTTTAATTTCTAAATAAAACATCACTTCTAAAATGTTTTAATTTCTAAATAAAACATCACTTTTAAAATGTTTTAATTTTAGTATTATCTGTATTTGAAAAGGCAATTTCAGAAACAGAACACTTGCACACCCTAAACACTCTTGCCTTCCTCAAGATTTCAGCTCACTCACCTACTCCTAAAAGAGAACTCGGGGATCGAGGGATAGCAATGGATGGTCCCTCCCCATTTAAGTCTCCTTACTTCAGTTTCGCTTCTGTAGTGTACTAGAGCCCAGCTTTACTTGATTCTTTTCACATTTTGTCAAGTAAGGATAAAACACAGATAAAGAAATACGCAGTTGAAAATGCATTTGTATTTTAATCAAGAACTGTGTGTTCAGGAATTATTGCTCATGCAAACAGAGATAGTCATCAATCATAAGTGTTCCTTTGTATCTGCAGCAACTTATTACAGAGAAAAGAAGTATCTCTGGATTCTGAGAAATTTGCTGTAAGAAATACTGCATGAAACTCCTTTCCTTTTTTAATTTCCTGCTAGCCTCCGAAAGGAGAAATGAGGTAGGAGGGATGCTTTTTTCTTCTGCTGGGACCTGAAAATAGAGAGGAACAGACATTAATCTGGAAGACTGTCATTTAAATCAATACTCTGGAAATGATATTAGTCATTATTTGTATTGTTTAGTATTAAGAATCATAGCAAGATGGGTACAATACTTAATAAATGAATATATGTATGTGAGTGTAGATAGGTTTTTGTGTGTGTATATTGATTCATACAAAACTATTACATTTTAATTGTGAATCAGAGCAAGACACTTAGGACAGGAACCCAGGGCTTCTGCACCCTACATCATTACCGTATTATATTTTCTTTATCTAATTTATTTAAAAATCAGATAGTTAAAATAATACGAATTTGATGGATCTGAATAACTCTGTATGTATTCATACATATGTGTACAAGAGAATTTTTTCACCTCCAGTAATCAAGATTTTGATTTACCCTTTGCAATTTTCAAACAATAGTTTTAGTATTTAATATAGACCTAACTTCAACCTGTATTTTCCATTTTTAAATTATCAAGTTTGAGAAGTGAGCAACAATTTAAATCCCCAATAAGCATAAACTAGATGGTGAGACAAAGGTCATCTGCAAGTTGTACTCTAAATGTTAAGTCTTTCCATATGCTTCTATTTTTTTATTTTACATGATATGTAAATATCATCCTGGTAGGAATAATGTTTTCTTTTTTTATAATTCCTTATAAGTATGAGAGAAGAATACACTGATATCTTAGCAAACATAGCTGTCTGAATCTAATTGTGTAGGTTTTTAATACCCCACAAACACTTTAATTAATTGTCTCCACATTCTCCTCATAAATTAAACTATGAAGTCAAGAGCTAGGCAGAAGAGCATTTCAATGGTAGGCTGATCTCAAATAGAAGCAATGCCTACATCTACACCATCCAGAACATGTCCAGTCTCAAATGATGAACACTAAGCAGTTTTTCATCCTTCAGTATTTGTTTGGAAGACATCATGAGAACACCAAGTTTTACAGCCTTGGAGATAGGGAGTGCCTTTTAAGGGTTAAGAGTATGACATTCAGAGTTAAGGAAACCTACGTTTATATTCAATCTTTCCTAAGTGAGCTTAAGCAACTCTAATCCTCATTCTCTTCATCCATAGAATGGAAATAATAATATAATCTATCTCATTGGATCTGTTTGGTAAGGATTATAAATTAATATATATTCAACATACTAATCATCAGGGAAATAAAAGTTAAAACCACAGTGAGATATCCCCTTTTAGGATGGTTATTACCAAAATGACAAAAGATAATCTTTATGTATGGCAAGGATGTGAGAGAAGACTGCCCTTGTATAACTGTTGGTGGGAATGTAAATTAGTACAGACGTTATGGAAAACATGGAGGTTCCTCAAAAAAATAATAATTTAGCTACTATATGATCCAGGAGTTTCACTTCTGAGGAGTATATACACCAAGCAAATGAAATTAATATCTCAAAGAGATGCCTGTACTTCCATATTTATCACTGTTATTCACAATAGACAAGATATGGAATCAGCCTGAGCATCCATCAGTAGATAAGTGGATAAAGAAAACAAACATAATGTACATATACAATGAAATACCATGCAGCAGTAAAAAAAGAAGGAATTACTGTCATTTGCAACATGGACTAACCTAGAGACCATTATGTTAAATGAAATAAGCCAGGCATGGAACGACAAATACTTCATGATCTCACTTATATGTGAAATCCAAAAAGTTGAAATAACAAAAGCAGACAGTAAAATGGTGGTTTTCAGGAGGAAGGGGTAGGAAATGGGGAGATTTTGGTGAAAGGCTAAAAAGTTTAAGTTAGAGATAATAAATAAGTTCAGGGGATGTACTGCATAGCATTGTGGCTATAGATAATAACGTATACTTGAAAATCATTGAGACTAAATCTTACATGTTCTTATCACAAAAAAATAAGTATGTTGAGGTGATGAATTTGTTAATTAACTTGATTTAATCATTTCATGATGTATACATACATATATATATCAAAATATCACATTGTATACCATGAATATATATAAATTCTATGGGTCATTATACCTTAATAGAAGTGAAAAAACATCATATATATATAAACATATATTGTTTTATATATAATATATATTATATATAGTGTCATATATATTATATATAAATTATATATAAAACACTACATATAAAATATATATAAAACACTTTGGCTAGTATCTTCACATGGTCACTCTTCATCTGATAGTACTTAGTAATTATAATTTAATCATATTATCTATGCTTCCTTTGATACTGTTTACCTTTTGCCCACTATTCATTCAACAAATATTTATTGAGTACCAACTATGTAAGAAGCATAGTCTTAGATACACAAAAGCACATATCTGTTCTCATGTGATTTTATACTCTATTTGTACTAATGTATTACTCAGTTTTTCATTATGCATTCTCTACATTTTCTATTTATTACTGTAGTTACACCATTATTCCAATAGTCTCACAAGTAAATGTAAAGTTTTGGCTGATAAATGATTCAAAGAAGGGCGGATCAATGCTATGAGGACCTTGTTGTTTTTCCATATTGAGGAGTAGACCTGCTACATAGCTATTATCCACAGAATCTCAAGGTTAGAAAGAATTGAAAAGACACCCAATTAAACAGGTTCATGCTTGTATGTTATTTATTCTCTTTAATTATTCTCCTCTGTACATTTTCTATCATTTACTCTAATTAAAGCCCATTCTCTCAGTTCCTTGTCACTTTCTCAACTTACTATAATGTAAAATAAATAATTATGACCAAAAATAAGGCTGGGATATAAATGGGAAAACAATATAGTAAAATCTTGTTAATCTCATGCTAGTTCATTCAAAATAACATTCAAATCGAATCAACAGTTATTCCCCAGTCAAATAGATACGGTTTTCTCATTAAAATTGTTCACTTAATACAAAGCATGCATTATGAATTCTTTAAGGCAGAAATTAGGTCCCAAGAGGACCTTGCATTATTAAAGAGGTAGAATAATTCCAAGAGTTGCCATGAAACAACTGTATATCAGCTACAGGTGAAGCAGTATCTGTGGACCACTGCGATTACTTAAGGCTGTGGGATTTGGTTTGTAGACAATCATTCATTCACGTCTCCTCTTTAAAACAAATATTCAGGACTATTTTTAAAAATCTGCAACATTTTTCATAGGAAGGACTTCCCTGCTTTTTATAGCATTCAGTGTCTGGTACAGAATTATTTAACTTTAATAATTAACAATAATAAATTGAAGAAGCTCTCTCTCTCAACTGTGATCTAATTTTTCAGTGAGATGCTTTTTTGAGATCTGCTTGAATTTCTAAACATTGAAAATTTTTCATTGTGATTGCTATGCTTATATCACTTGAAAACTGTTATGGCAAAGTTCTAAGTGTATTTGGAGGAAAGAACTGGAAGATACAGGACTGCGTTTTTGAGAGGCATGTTTCCTCCTCTTTGCTGTCTTCGAAATGGAGCTACTGTGATCTGATGCTCAGAGGATCTCTGATGTTTGTTTCCGGACTTAATGCAATTTTAATGTTTAAGAACCTGAGGATGATTGGATTAGAAGTGTTATAAAAGCACATATTACTAGATTGTTCCAAATGTTGTTAACTGCATCATCTCATTATAAAAGGAAATCTTGTTTTAGTCGGAATCCCTGGGGGTATGGATGGTATTTCTCTTTTACAACTATTAAACAAGACAAAGGTCGACAGTACAGTAAACATGCTTTGAGCTATCAGGGCATGATTTTAGCATATGACTCCCCCTCTGTTCTAGGAACTGTTGGGAACAATTATTCCCTGCTGTGGCCCAAGTTGTGTCAATATGAAAATTCATTTGGGAAATGTGTAAATCATTAGAAAAGGTTTGCAGTATTTTATCCCCCTAAGGATAAAATATAACATGCTATGTCACCATGGTGATTTATGACTCTTGAATTTCCTTGGGATAGATAAACCATGTGCAGTTTAACATCCTATACTCTTTAAATTAACCAGCATCACTATCTCTCCATGATCCATTTGCATCACAGAGAGGGGTAGATTTGAAGGTTACATCACAAAAGCATGTGAGAGCAGAATCTGTGTTGTATAGTAATAATACATATAATAAAAACTACAATTTTATGGAAAGCCAATTCAATTCATAAAAGAGGTATGATAGCATTAACTTTGCCATTACACTAAAACAGGCATACTTTCAACACATGTTTTTGTTAACTGTCTTATGCACAATTTCCTAGATGCAACAGGAAAAAAAGATATCTAAGATTTGACCCCCATTTTTAAAAATGTAGAACTAAAAATCTTAATAAATTTATTTTACTCTCTAATTTCAGCTCCATCAAACCAGAGTCAAAAACAAGGAAAATCAGAAAACATATACGAAACCTCTCTGTCTTCCTCCTAGATTTTCTCTTAAAACAGAGCTAATGTTACTGACTTAAGAGCTAGTAAACCCTATTTTATGCCAGATAGCCAACCGCAAACTTCTCCTCTTTAAATATATTTCAAAAGGCAAAAGAAGTGAAGAATCAGCTAAAGCACCCTTGGAGAACCCTGGTGCTCACAGTGTTGATGTGTTTAAGAAGAGATCTGGGAACTGTTTTTAAGTTTCTACACAAGGAAAGGAGGCATTTCTCTTCTCTCTCTCTCTGCAAACCCAAGATATTGAAACTCTCCACCATTAGGCTTACCGAAGTCCTGCTTATCCTCCAAGGTTTGACTCCTTCCTTAAACATAAGCCAGAGTTAGTCTCGCCCTTCTCTGTGTCCTCCCAGAACTTCCTACACAACTTATTCATAGCTTTTGATGATTCCACACCATGAGAAATACACATATTCCTATCTCCAGAGCAAGAATACAGATGGCAAGACAATCAAGATCTCATCTTATTCCTTCTGGTATTTCTACAGTTTGGAAAACTGCGTGGCATTTATGAGGTATTTAATGAGTTAAATAATGGGCTACAATAAATGTTTGAGGTGATGGATATCACTAGATTTGATCATTACATACTCTATGCTTGTATCACAATATTACACAATATTATGTACGTATCATAAATACGTACAACTATTACATATTCATAAGAATTAAAAATAAAACTTTTAAAGGTAATATTTTGCTTTTGTGGGTTTTCCATTCAGAAAAAAAAAAGGCCATGAACCCTCTTTTTAATCATGGTTGGCCTTCTATACACATGGGTTCCACATTCATGGATTCAACTAACTACAGATTGAAAAAAAAATTACATAAAGTTCCAAAAAGCAAAACTTAAATTTTTCCTGGGCTGAGAGTTATGTTGAATTCATTAGAATGAAGTGATGTTTGAGCCCTGTATTACACATTATACATAATCTAGAAATGATTCAAAGTATATAGGAGGATATGTGTAGGTTATATGCAAATATCATGCCATTTTACATAAGGTATTTGAATACCCATGGATTTTGCTACCCGTGAGGGTCAGGGGACCAATCCCCCATAGATACTGAGAGGGAAGACTGTATTTTAAATATGATGGCATGATAGACTTGCTTTACATAGTTTCAGAATCAAATCAAAGGCCTGTGAGTGGAAGCTCTTTGGAGGCTATATTGGAATAAACATGAGGAAGCACTGTCAATATTCAGAAACTACCAATAACTGGAAAGGAGCCTGTCACTGGATGTATTTAAGCAGAAAATTAATACAAATCTGGTGGCAATGTTACACAGGAAAATCCAAAATCAGATTAGTTTGTACTAGGCAGACTTAATTTTTGTTAATCCTTTTCTATTTTCCACTCTTGTAGCAAGTGTAAAATTATTTTTCCTTTCTTTTCTTTTTTTTTTTTTTGTGTGTGTGAGTTTTGTTTTTTGAGATGGAGTCTTGCTCTGTCGCCCAGGCTGGAGTGCAGTGGCTCAGTCTTGGCTCACTGCAACCTCCGACTCCTGGGTTCAAGCGATTCTCCTGCCTCACCCTACTGAGTAGCTGGGATTATAGGCGTCTGCCACCATGCCCAGCTAATTTTTGTATTTTAAGTAGAGATGGGGTTTCACCATGTTGGCCAGGCTGGTCTCAAACTCCTGACCTCAGATGATCCACCCATCTCGGTCTCCCAAAGTGCTGGGATTACAGGCGTGAGCCACCATGTCTGGCCTCCTGTTTTATTCTTCACTGAGTAATGAACCTGTTTTAAGTTGACAGAGAAGAACATAAGGAGAGCAGTCACTTGGATATGGCAGTGTCCATTGCTGATTTTTTCTGCTTCACACTTTACTTCCTTAGTCCATGTATTCAGATTCCAACCAACCATTGTGTGTGTGTCCTTGGCTCACGTTCCCGGCTTCTTGTGATCTAAAACCTTAGCTTGGATCCAGCTCTACAGATCATTAGACTGGATTAATGTTCCCTGCTTATATTTTGAACTTCCAGGCCATCATCTCTTGCTTATCTTCAGCTTTCGCTTCCTTCCTCTTCTTTACCACGTTTTCTGATTTGACAACACAACCACCTGCCACTGTCTTCCCTATTTCCTCCACACCATCCTGATCCCTGCCTCAAGCCACTTTATCCCTGTTGCTCAAGACCCAGTATGCTAGAATCCAATGTTTTTTTGGCAGCTAACACTGTGAAAAAAGATTTAGCTATGTTCACCCGGATTGTGGAACAGGGAGAGGCTGGGGTATCAATTAGGGAATTGGCTCAATTTTAGAAAGGATAAAAGGAGTGGCAGCACTGCTTTCTACCACCACAGTTACAAATGTGTATTTTTCCAGTTTTTGGTCAAGCAACCATGGAAGAGAGAGGCAAATTAGCTTTGATTTTTTTTTAATTGTTAAAGAAATTCTTCAACTGTAAGAATTTGCATGTACCTGCTGATATAGTTTGGATATGTGTCCTCACCCAAATCTCATGTTGAATTGTAATCCCCAGTATTGGAGGTAGGGCCTGGTGGGAGGTAATTGGATCATGGGGGTGGATTTCTCATGAATGGTTTAGCACCTTCCCCTTGGTGCCGTCCCTGTGATAGTGACTTCTTGCTAGATCTGGCAGTTTAGAAGTGTGGTACCTCTCTCTCTCTCTGGCTCCTGCCTTTGCTGTGTGATATGCCTATTCCCACTTCGTCTTCTGCCATGACTGTAAGCTTCCTAGAGGCCTCCCCAGAAGCAGATGCCAGTGTGATTCTTCCTGTACAGCCTGCAGAATCATGAGCCTACTAAACCTCTTTTCTTGTAAATTACCCATTCTCAGGTACTTCTTTATAGCCATGCAAGAATGTCCTAATACACCTGCCAAAAGGTTTCACTCAGAGAATCAAAACGCTGCCATCTGAACTCAGAATGCACAACAACCCATGTCGAGGACAGAAATCGTTGTATAACAATCACCTAGATTATGGGTCAGACAGGTGGGGCCGAGAGATGACAGCAGTGGAAGTGGCCCCTCATCACCCTGTGGTTGCAGGGTTACACACAAATGTAATTAAGGGCCTGGCTGGTGTGCTTCTGGTCTCAAGGTTAATTAACCACAGGAAAATGACACCTTCAGGTGTCCCTTTTCAAAACAGCTCTCACAGGAAGAAACATGACTTTAAACTGACAGCACTGACATTGCCAGAGAGTGTCGTTGAAATCAGCAGAGGTGAAAACAAAGACTGACATAGGTTACTGCACTGCTGACAGGGTGGAAAAAGGACACATCCTTCCTTCCTTTGGTAGAAATAACACTTAAACTGAGAAAAACTCACCCATGATGCCCCACTGTTGAGTGGGAGCATCACCCATGATTAACTGCACATGGAAAGCTCTATCCTCCATCCTGCTCCCTCCACTCGATCCCCCTCAAGGCTGGCATTACTGAGCCCCACGTGCTGACCCCAACACAGCCACTCCACACTCCCAGGACTCTCCGACTCATTTCAGACAGAGTCAGCATAATGGGGTGACTAAAACCCCTAACTCCCAGTAGATACCGAGACCTAACTTCAAGCTCCTTTCCTTCCTGAAGGTTTATTTTTTTCCCATTTAAGACCTTTCTTAAATTTTGCATCTTTTCTGTATTCCAATTATCAAGCTATATCCAGATGGATCTTGCATGTCCATATGACCTGGAAGAGGCACATTTAGTGAGAAAGAAAGAAGCTTTCTGGTTCTCAACACTGAAAATCCTTCAGTTTTTTGGCAGGTGTACTTGCCTGCCTGTGCAACTGAGCCTGTACTACCTGCTAAGGTGTGCAGTGAGGGGGGCAGAAAGAGGACTTTTTCTAGGGTGACTGGCACCCAAGCAGCCAGCACAGGACCCCTCTCAGGTTTCTCTGAGCACTGAGTACAGTGTGTTTGTGCTCTGCTCCCTCTCCAACCAAATCCCCTCTGCTATCAATTTGTAAACAACTCAGCTCTGCCTGCATAATATGTGAGCAGGCAATGCCAGCGCCACACTGTGCCCTTCCCTGTTCCCGGCCAAGTGCACCTGCTGCCCAGGGCTCTGGCTGCTGCTGCTGCTACTGCAGTTATTATGCTCTGCCATCGCCGGCCCTGCAGCTCGCTGGGCTGGCGGCACATCTTCAGCATGGGGAGGAATGTTTATTAGTTTTAATTGGTGGACACGGCTGGACAGTGACATTTGGGGAGTATTGCATGTCATTCATCCTGCACCAGGTGCCGGCTGCGATGGCAGATGTAGGTGGGTCAACTTAGAATACAACCTACGGATTATTGCCTTTCCAGAAGAAGGCAGCTGCTGTGCCTCTCCCCTACCTATGGGAGCACACACTTTTTCCTTTCTTTTTATACCTCTTGTGCTTTCCTAAGTGGAGAGGTTTTATTTATTCTGAAATACAATGGTTGGTCTGATTAAAAAAAAAAATCCCCTCTCCACAACTCATAAAATATACTCTATAAATGCAAGTACCTTTCTTTGTGCTTGACCAAAGAATCGCCCTGACTTTACTGTTAATATTCCATATGTTGCAAAAACTCATATATTCTGGGTGACGGCCTGGATATCAACTTAGCAAATATTTCTATATACAAATACAATGTTTTGCTTTCAAATTCTACTCCTACTTAACTCTGTATCTAACCTCTCACTGTTAAGAATCCTCAAGCTGTATGCTTTTCAATCTAACAAATTTAGCATTTCCATGTTTAGCTGCTCTTTGACTTTATGTTGCTTTATTGCTCCTCTTCCTACAAGGTTCAGGCAACGATGCCCATAGCAGAGTCAGGTGGAAACATTAGAAATCCTTCCAAGCAGCAATGGATATGTGAGTTGCCAGCTGTCTCCCTTGGACGCACTAGTCCTGGACAATGGCACAGAAACACACATACAAAGCCTAACCTCAGGAAACGGTCATTTTTTTCAGGATTCCTTCCTCTACTTCAGCCCATCAGCAAAGCATTGGTTTCACCAGACCATCGGAAGCCGAGAACTTGGCTTAAAGTTGTTGCTTTATGCTTTAATGATGGTGGTGTGTCTCATATATAGCTTCTGCTTGTTTATACATTTATATCAGCCTCAGCTGCTGCGGGAATGAGCTGAGTGCTTAGTGGAAGTTTCGAAAGCGCAGCACCAGAAACTAAAACTCTTCTGCCACCTAGCGGTAAAGTAAAAGCTGCAATCATTGGAAAATGTTAAAACGTCTGTAGGACTTGGGATATCAACTTGTTAAACTTTGGCTTCACATTAAAAGGACACAATATAAACATATACCCCATGTCCTCAAAAATAGTAATTAAAAGTGACCTAAAAGTAATGTTTTAATGAAGCCAGACCTCTAAACAGTAAACTACTAAAGACAATGTCCTGTGCTGATAAATAATTGCAGCGCTCTGAATTGCTGATTTACAAAACAAAGTGACCCAAGAAAATAAAATCGCTATATTCAATTTCATTTCCAGATTATCACAGTTTATTTTTCTTCTTTAACCATCGGTTTTTAGCTGTACACTATTCAAAAGTGGAGGGCGAGCTTGGAGTGTGTTTGTGAGTGAAATGAAGGTTATTTGCTTTGAAAAACCTACAGCTCATGTTATAGCGTAGAGTATGCACAGCCACAGAAGGTGGCGCTTGCCCTGAAACATGAGGAAAGAGGGAAAGAAAGTTCAGGATCTGTGAAACTCACACGTAACAGTAGAATTACTGAATCCTGTCTTTATTTGATTTTAAATGATGACACAAAATAAATACTGTAAAATAAAGCAACAAATTATTAAAACACTTCCAAATTGCTGCTGAATGGGTCGATGCCATTGTTTTGACACAAGTAAATGTGAGGTCTAACGAAATCGCTCTATACATGATGGGAAGTTGATGTGTCTTCACAAAACAACAGGGTTTGAGGAAAGATGAGTACCTGGAAGCATCTTAGGAAAACACTCTGAGTAGCAGATGGCATGGTTTCTTATGGATGCTTAGCATTCAACGGAGAGAGAGATTTAGATAATGCTAACAGTGTAGAAATTGCAGAATCAAGTATCTTCCCTCTAAAAACGTAAAATAAGAAAACAAAACCTATGCATAATTTAAGGATGCCCCAGGACAGTTTTAAATTATGCAATCCACATATCCATGCTTAATGTATTCCTTGCGTACTTCATGACACTGATCACCACCCCCTCCAACACACACACACACGCACACACATACACACACTTTATTTCTGAAAAGAGTTAAAGAAGCAAGTCTGTATCTACTATGTAACATTCATTTCTAAAGCAAATATACCGGTGAGCAGGGAGGCACGAAGGCATTTGCTAACTAAATGCTTCTTTTATCAACTCAGTGGTCTTCTCTGTTCTGAAAGCTTCTCAAACGTGTATAATGGCATTAAAAGCACTTTCAATAAAGTTCATTACCTTAGTGGTCCTTCCCATCTTCATGTGAAATTAACTGTATCTCCTATATGTACATCTACTTAAAGGAGTAATTTAATGGCAATAACATCTATATCTAAGAGGGTTATGTTTCCCTTGGACCCGCTTCACTCTTAGAAACCTCTTTATGCTGTTTAGAATAAAAACCAGAAATGCTGTTTTCCTTCTGTTTTAGGCAAATAATGAAGAAAGTAACAAAAGAGGAAAATCAAATGATTTTAAAAGCCATAATCCTAGAAAATAGTAATGCCATAATACTTTAAAATGAATACTCAATGGAGGAGGAAGATAAATAGAATACAGTTATGCTTGATTCTCATTAAATATTCTCTAAAACATTTATTTAATCTTTCATCTTATGCTGTCTTCTCATCTTCTCATTTTTGCCCCTCTAAACACACATACACACAGAGAATCTTGGCCCATCTCTTTATTTTGACAAATCAGTGTTGCCTCCCTATTTTCACACACTTTTTCCAGGTTTGTATTCTTACCCCATGGTAGAAGGGGCTGTATCATAAACATTAATTACCCTTCCTTTAATGAGCAGAGCCTGGATTTTTTTTTTAACACTTGAATCAGGAAAGACTGACCTTCTGCTCAGCTCCACTACTAAATTTCATTTTGCCTAATTATTATATTATATTAAGGGGTGGGTATATGGCCCAGGTCATCTCAGTATAATAGGAGGTATGCAGAAGAAGGGGGTTGGTGGGGGACAGTCAGGACTCTGGATTCCTAAGACTAAACACCAGGAATAGAACAACTTCTTTATTGTTTTCATAGATTTAGGGGGTAAAAGTGCAGTTTTGTCACATAGATATATTGTATAGTAGTGAAGTCTGAGCTTTTAGTGTACCCATTACCCAAACAGTGAACATTGTACCCAATAGGTAATTTTTCAACCCTCATTTCCCTCCCACCCTCCTATGTTTTGGAGTCTCAAATGTCCATTTTTTCACTATATGTCCATGTGTACCCATTTAGATATATCTTTTGAAGTTGTCCCAGTGATCTTAGATCTCTGAAGGAAAGCAGTCTTTAGGATAACTGTAGAAGATGCAGGGACTTTGAGTCTGTGATGAGATTGAACCCTGGAGATAAGCTATCCCAGAGCCTCTGACCTTCAAATAAAAGTGAACCAGGATTTTAGTATTCTTCGTCCAAATGGGTCTAACTTATTCCTTTGCCCAAAGACATGCAGCTGAGGAGACTAAAGATAAATCTAGAATTCATTCTCTTCCAATACTGGCTGATTCTAAAACTTTTACCTTTTCTACGATACTCCCTGAAATTATACTAACTGTATATTGTTCTATCCCACTCATATGCATTTATAGAATTCTATAGATTTTACTTCCTAAATCTCTTAAATTGATCTTTTCCAGTCTATTCTGCACTCACGATTTTAGTTCAGGCCCTCATAATTTTTCTCTTGGACTACTGTCACAGCCTCACGACTCCTCTAAAATGAAGTTTTTACTTTGCCTGTGTATGACCTGTGTGTGTAAATTTCACATACAATAAGTCTTGTCCATGCTTAAAGGCATTCCAAAATTTCCTCTATGTTCAGGTCCAAAGCAAAACTGTTTTATGGGGTAAACAGGCATTTTCTGCTTCAAAATCTAGCGCTTTTTTTTATCCTTCTCATCTTTATCCTCTATCATCCAGCCATACCGAAATAATGATATATCTATTTTTTTTATCTTGACTCTAGGACTTTGAACTTCCTGTAATGTTTTTCTGCATCAATCAACCCCAACTCTCGTTCAGCTTGGTACTTTGCAGTCAGGTATCTGAGAAGCCATGTCTCTCATTATAACTTCTGTTTAAGTGTTCATCCTTCTTCTTGCTTTCATATCACATTTTACTTACCTCTTACATAGTCCTAAGCACAATGCCTTGTCATTTATTTTTATTTTTAATTTTTTCTACTAGTATATGAGCTATTTGGGGGTACGGAACATAACTTTACCAACCCTTCATGCCGTACCTGGTATAGAAAAGGTTCTCATTAAATGCTTTTTGATAAATGGGTTTCCAACTTTAAAAATACAAATTCTAAAAGTCACAGAAATAGTTAGTGGTGCAAATGCTAGTAGAATTGAAATCTCTTGATTCTCAGTCCTGTTATCTTTCTAGTACAAATGTACTCTATACTCTTTCCAGCTTAGTTTACTCTGAACTCTAGTGGTTAAAACTCAGAACTGTCATTTAAGACAAATAGCTTCTTCTAAGGGCTTTACCAGAGACTTATAGTTAGAATTGCCCAAGGCAAATCTTTTAACCTTCCTATCATCCTCATTCTTATTTACAAAATAGCGCCACTAGTATTGCTCATTTCTTTTTGCTAAGAAATGATTAATGTAAGGGCCAGTGAAACCAATATCCATTGAAATGATTAAAGACAAGGCCAGGACTCAAAAACAGTATCCTCATGCTTTCTTTGTTTGTTTGTTTGCTAATGCCCTTCTGTGTATTTATTGAACACAAGAAATTCAACTACAACTCCAAATATATTTTCCCATCTTCAGTATCTAAGAAAGTAGTATGAAATAAAAGAACTGCAAAGCATCACCTATGCATATGCACATACCTTTCTATGCTGCAAAATGGAATTCAACATATTTATATTTCAATGTGTTTATGTATCAGGCAATAAGCCTTTGACCTTGCAGAATGTTATCTTTTGATGTATTTAATCAATTCTCTATGTGTACACTGAAATGCTGTGCCTTTTGAGTCTACCCAGTATGTAACAGTATAAATACTATGATTCTATTAAAAAATCATAATGAAAATGAAGTGAAATCCGAGTTTTCTTTCAATTGTGAATATTTCAAGAAAGATCAGTTATGTTTCCATATGAATAAAAACAGTATCTTCTATGCATAATTATTTCCCATCATCCTCAGTTCTCTCCGAACATGTTACTTATCAGGGAGGCTTTCCCAAACCATCCTATTTAAAATGTCAGTTCTATCTCTATCCCCAAAACATACACCCCGATCCTATCTTACTTCTTGGATTTAGCACCTTCCCTGCTGCTTTATCCTTCCCATATCTCAACACTAGATGACAACCCACTTATTTTGTTTATTGAGTAACTGGCTCTCTTTCCACAAAAGTGCAAATCTCATGAGGGCAGAGGATTTTTTTGTTGTTTTATTTTTTGTGTTTTTTTTAAATGCTGGTTTACTGGTGTCTAGAACTGCATCTAGCAAGTGGGAGGTACTCAGTTAATATGTGTCCAAATAACAAGTATCTAACACATTATAGATCATTTCAATGTGGAAATTTCTTCCAAAAAAAAGGACATTTGTTTCCTATGATCTCTGACCTACTTTTCTTGACATTATTTTTTTTTAAACATATCATGGCTGAAATATGTCTAGTGCCTTCAATTATCATTCTCTGAATGGTTGTTGCATCTTCAGTAATTTTCATTAAATGTTGTTGAAGGTTCGCTAGTGATAAGGGTTTCAATCATGATCTCCTAATATCATTGCATTATTCAGAAATCTTCTCAAGTGTGTCCTTTGGAGCCTACAGTCTCTGATGCTGCATCTCATGCATGGGAATACATGGTTGATGAAAGGCTAAAAGAAAATTAATGGTTTCACATTTTATCTCACGGCTTCTTAAAAAATTGTATTCATCCTCTGAGATAGAAAACATGATGATATAAATGAAAAGAATAGAATGTTCTCATGGCTTATAAAGTGCTCTCCCAAGCCCGTGCTAATGCTGTATGTGACTGGCAGCCTGTGTGCCTCTACAGGAAGATAACAGAGGAAAACCTGTTTCTAAGACAACAGCATTTTCTTTTATGTTTTATGCTGTAATAATAGTTCTGATCACTTTGAAGATCACCTAGAGTTTTGCAGGGAATAAAACATTGTAAATTAAAACAAGCGTATCTTCAAAGGACCAAAGTAAACAGAAATAATTTTTTTTGTTGATTGAAAGTAAGTGTTGCAATAATTTATAGTAATTTATATTGAGCTATCAGGACAAAAGGCAAAACTAAAATATTTAAAGATAAACTACACTTTAATTAAAGAAGTGGCCTTTGATGAAAATACATACTCATTTTGAAAGATTGCTTTTCCTGATAATATCAGAAAATAGCAGATTGTCATACATGAATTCCACACATTAATTTACCATCCATCTCAATAGCTTATGAGTTTACTTCATCTTGATTGTGTCCCAGTTTTCTTTATTAAAGTGAGAGAATAATAATGCTGATATATTTGAATAAAATAAAAATATATGGGTTTAAAAGAGCTATGAATCTTTTCTGTAAAAATTATTTCAGGAAATAATAGAATTAGCATCATAAATAATTTGCCACTCATTCCAAAAAATTACTCTATACTGACTTAGCACTGAGTTCTCCTACTCCATATAAACGTTTAAATCTTCAATCTATTAATTATATCTCAATTTTCTAAATGTTATTATAAAACATGTGTTATTGAAAATTATTTCAAGTTTTTTTCTTGTATCAAAAAGAATACATATTTGGGTTAAAGGATTTTTTAATGAAAGAATTACCTTATTTCATTTTTAAATTGAGTTTTATATTGCATGCTTATGTGATAAGTTAACATGCTGCATAAAACATTTTACACCTAAAAACATGCTTATGATTATAATTCAGGAGTTTTTTTAAAAACTCCTGTAAGTTCAAGAAAATCTACAAATGACAGAATGTGGTTATAATATATTTAAGGAGTAATTAATTAGTGCCTTCTGCAAATAGAAGGGAAACATAGATAAGTCAACAATAATACAAGTCAGATTGTGATAAATGCCAAAAGGGAGATACAATGTTCTAAAGACCTTGGAAACATGAATGAAAAATCCTTTTATGCCAGTTCCCTCCCCAGTATGAATTATAACATAGTCAAAGGGATATTATGAATGTTAGCAGAAAAAAATAAATATGAATCAGATTAGAGTGCTGTATTTTTTTTTCATTAATTCCAGTAAGATCAAGAATATACTAGTGAAGCAAATATTCACTTTACTCTTGGAAGGTTTTCCAAAATGTATTCCTCCATTCCCTTCTGTTTCCTTCCAGGGGCTAACAGTGAACCTTCTGAACTATAGTTCACACTAACCCTCTTGACCTGGCAAGTAGGCCTTTCCCACCACCCTTTTTCCTGTCCTTCAGCCAGTTCTCAACACATGTGATTGCTCTCATAGCTAAGTCAATTTAAATTATTTTGGGAATAAGATTTTATTAAGCACTACATCATTTGCCTTGCTGAAATCAATACCTATTACATCCACTATGTGGCCTTTATTTACTAAGGCTGTAGTACTACTGTCAAGGCGTGGAGACAAATAGGCACTCTGTGATTTATATAGGAAAACTATTACTCATATTTGGCTGTCTTTTGAGAGTTTACAGTTATATTTTTCTTAAAATTTGTTATTTTATTTTACTAAGGGGAAGATTAGACATATTTGAGTAAAATATTCAAACTGAATATACTTGTCTATTATTTTCAAAATTGAATGACACATTTTGTCTATAATGTTTTATATTTTTCAGGTTCTGTGACTTCTGAAAAGTCAATCATTCTTTATCTGATAATGTGTTCATTCCCTTAAACAATTTCTATCCATTATGTTGTCAGTTTTTCATGATTAAAATACATTCTATAATTAAATTACTTTGGTTTAAATTAATATGCTCTGAATCCCCAATTATCTAACTATTGGAAAAATTTTTTATAGTTGAATGTTAAATGTTTTGGCTAAATTGAAAAATCTAACTGATAAAAGCACAAATAAATGTTACTTTCAATATTCAGAATAATTTATAACAATGGCATGCAAGTTCAACAATGAACTTACATAACATTAAATGTCAAGGCAGGCTCACTAAGCTGACAATTGTAAAAACAAACACTTTGTGTTGAGCCATTGGTAACAGAGATGCCTGGAGTAAATAGGGACTGTGATCATTCTGGCCACGCCTACTCTGAATTGTCCAGCTGAGAAGATAAGGAACACAGTTCAGTACTATCTATTAAAGTGACTAATGAACACAAATTGCTGCTTGATTTCTTCCTGGTCTAAAATTGTTAATAATTTCTGCATATCACTAATATGCTTGGAAAAGCACAAACTCTGAGATGATCGGATCTGCTTATCATATGTCAATGTCAGGAGTGTCACTAGGTTGAAATTAAGGAAAGGCAAATATAGATCCATAAATACTTAGACTTTTGGGATATTTGAGCAGAGAAAAGACCTACCAAATATTTACTTTAGCTTTCTTCTTCTGTAAGTGAGAAGAGGGGTTCCACTGATGTTAGATGACTTTCTCAAAGTAGCACAATCATTTAGAAGCAGGACCAGAGCAGATTTCTACTGATTTCTCATCCAGGACTATGGCCATAATACCATAACATTTCCTCTTTCCTCAATAAGAGGATGATAACATTGCTGTAGAGTTTATAGGATTTCAAATCCCTGTGAAAAATTGTTGTAATATCTTGAGTCCTTTACAGAAGTTTCAGAATTCACAAGAGTATTGAGGTATGTAGAGATAAACTATATTGATGACTTCTTCAAAATGTATTGCTATATTATATATTTAAAATAGTTTGCTCATTATGTGTAATTGATAAAGAGAAAGACCTGGTTTAAACCAGCAGATGCAACTCTTTATCCTTACCTAATTTCATTCCATCACATTTTACTTCCTGTCTACAGGATGATTATTGCAAACTCCAGAACTTACTCTTTAATGGTTGACAATCATATAATGACTGTGAGCAATTCAAACTCAAAATGCCAAAAGTGGAACTCTTCATGTTTCTCCTACAACCCCAGCACTCTCTCCACGCTCGCACTCACACTTACTCTCTTGCTCTCTCGCTCTCTCGCTCTCTCGTTCTCTCTCTCTGTCTCACACACATGCACACACAAACACACACACACCCAGGATTCAGGCTTCTCCTTATTTTTTGTTATCAGAGGATAGAACTAGCATTCATTATACAGAACAGTCCTAAACTAATTCTGCAACTCCTCCATCTAGTTGACTTCTCCCATGGAATTAGTCACCAAATCTTGCCTGTTTACCTCCTAAATGCCCCCCACTTGCTAAAATATCTTCATCTCAACTCCTACCCTTTTCCAGCCCTCCTACTCCCAGATCAGTCTTACCTTAGACCCTCACATTGTTCTCTTGGATGAATAGAGTAGCAGGCGCATTGTGTTTCCTTTCGAAAACATTAATTTAAATCCTGCAACTTCTCATAGTCCACATTCTTTTATAGGGACTACAAGGAAAGTCATGATCTGACCCAGGGTTAACTCCAGCTACTTCATCCTTTCTAGTCATTCCCCACTACTAAATCTTCACCTGTATTTAACTCTTGCAGTTCTCACAGTTATATGTTCTCTTTCATATTCAGACCTTTACATAGTTCACTCCCTGTGTGGACTACCTTCCCTTTCTCTAGGACTCACTCCCCGACTCCACCTCTTTTAACTAAGAAAACACACTCCTTTCAAACCCAGTTAAATGATAGTCTTTTCTAACAGCCAATGATGTATGACACACTGCCCATAATTGTTACTATACCAAATTAAATACACTTCAATTTGTGATTAGCACACAGCATAGTAATATTTTCTTTTTGAAGTTAATTTTTAAATTTATTCTAAATTTTCTAGGCCTTAAAATTTCCACTTCAGTAAAACAAAGGGAGTTGGATCTGATTACCTTTAACATACATTCTAAACGTAAATATTTTATAATTTTTAGCATACCATATTATGATTTTAGGAAAGATGAGAGTTTCTTAAGCACCTTTATGTACCAGTTATTTAACGTTCATTATCCCATTTAATTTGTTATTGGCTGGAGTCCGCTATGTTACAGTAACAGAAATTTAATTTAAACTAGCTGAAACAAAAAGTAATTTTGTTACCTCATGAAACAAAATAAGTAAATCCAGAAAAGAGATTTAACTCCAGGTACAACTGGATTAAAGACTCAAAGAATATCTTCAACACTTCTATTTTTCATTCTGTCTCTGCTTCCCTCAGAATTAGCCTGTCTCTCAGACAGATCCTCTTAGAAACTGTGACCCTGAACAGCTGTTTTTCATGATCATTCAGCATATAGTTTCAGGAGAAATGGAGTTTTCCATTCCCAGTGATTTTAGCAAAAATCCCAGGATGAGATCTTACTGGACTAACTCGGGCAGTCAGCCCTTCTCTGAACAAATTTCTGTGACCAGGGAATTGAACAGCAGGAGCAACTGGGCTTAAGCCCTCAGCCCTAAACTAAAGGTGGTGGAGTCAGGACCCCCATACCTCATAGTCTAAAATCAGGGTGGGGTTTGTTGCTAAAAGAAAATCCCTTATTAGAAGAAGAGAGATTTATGCTGGCCAGGCAAAAGCAGCGCTCAGTCCACAACAAATTCCAACAATGTTCCAGGTTGATTTTATTATATCTACATATTTTTCCACTAGACTATGGGTGAGCAAAGTTTTTCCATAAAGGTTCAGACTGTAAATACCATATTCTTTGTGAGCCATATATAGTATCTGTTGCATATTTTACTTTTTCTTCTTTACAACCTGGTAAAAATACAGAAGACACTTTTTAGCTGGAGGGCTGTACAAACACAGGCTGTGAGCTGGGCTTTGCTCATGGGTTGGTTTGCTGACTCCTGCACTAGACCGAATAAGTAAGGTGAGAACAGAACAATGTTTTCTCGATGTTCATATTCCTAGAGCAAGCACCTTGTGAGTGAGTGCTCCATAAATGCTTGTTTGCTAAATAAATGCACACTTGGATTAAGTGAAGAATTGAAACAAGATAATGAATTTTAGACTCATTTCATATATTCCATTACACTAACCAGAAGTGAAAGCTCTTTCTTAGAATGTTGACACAGTGCATCTGACCTCAACCTCTTAGGGAGAAAAGAGTTGGGGAAGAAGTAAAGGGGACAGGAATGAGAGAAAAGTTGTATTGTTAAAGAGGTCTTCATGCAGTTCGTAAAGACCACAAAGACTCCAGTAGAGTTTTCTGTTGGGGCTGTAGAAGGTGATATGGTTTGGCTTTGTCCCCACTCAAATCTCATCTTGAACTGTAGCTCCTCTAATTCCTGTGTGTTGTGGGAGAGACCCTGGTAGGAGGTAATTGAATCATGGGGGTGGTTTCCCCCATACTGTTCTCGTGGTAGTGAACAAGTCTCATGAGATATGATGGTTTTATAATAGGCTTCCCCTTTTCCTGGGCTCTCATTTTCTCTTGCCTGCTGCCATGTAAGATGTGCCTTTCACCTTCTGCCATGATTGTGAGGCCTTCCCAGCCATGTGGGACAGTGAGTCCATTAAAACTCTTTTTCTTTACAAATTACACAGTCTTGGGTATGTCTTTATTAGCAGCATGAGACCAGACTAACACAGAGTGGGGGGTGGGGGGGGTGGGAAAAACATAGGACCTGGGAAAACGGTCTCCTGAGGCATCACCTAAATAAGACAATGATTATCACCTGTCTAAAAGACAGGGCCATTGATAGAAGCCATGGAGAGGCAGGTGGGGATGGCTACATTTGTATTTCAAGGCACAGACCTAATCTAACCCATGATTCCAAGCTTCGACAGGCTGAAGCAATCGGTTGCCTATGGGCACACTGCAAAGATTCTTAGCTGCGGTAACAATTAAGGAAAATGGAGCTTTCATGATGGCCGAAATGAATGGGTATAGCAAAAAAAGTTACTATCTTATGTTAGGAAGTTTTCATTTAATTCATGTTATCGTATTTTCTCATTTATCTTTCTTTAACATGTACAGGAATACTTCAACTGTGCTTTGCTTTTTGGCACTTAAGATAGTGATTTTTACAAATTGAAGGTTTGTGGCAATCCTGCCTCAAGCAAATCAATTGGCACCATTTTTTCAACAGCGTGTGCTCACTTCCTGTCTCTGTCACATTTTGGTAATTCTCACTATATTTCAAACTTTGTCATTATTGTTATATCCATTATGGTGATCTGTAGTTAGTGATCTTTGACGTTACTATTGTAATTTTTGTGGGGCACCACACACTGTACCCATATAAGATGGTGAAGTTAATCGATAAATGTCTATGTTCTGATTGTTCTAAATGTTCTCTCATCTTTCTCCCTCTCTTCAGGCTTCCTTATTCTCTGAGACACAACAATATTGAAATCAAGCCAATTAACAACCCTACAATGGTCTTCTAAGTGTTCAAATGAAAGAAAGAATCACGTCTCTTTTTTTAAATCAAAAGGCAGAAATGATTAAACTTAGTGAGTAAAGTACATTGAAATCCAAAATAGGCTGAAAGCCAGACCTCTTGCACTAGTTAGCAGAGTTGTGAATGTGAAGAATAAGTTCCTGGAGGAGATAAAAGTGCTACTCCAGCAAACTTACTAATGGTGAGAATATGAAACAGCCTTATTGCTGATATGGAGAAAGTTTGAGTGATCTGGATAGAAGATCAACAATAACATTCTCCTAAACCAAAGCCTAATCTAGAGCAAGGTCCTAATTCTCTTCAATTCTCTGAAGGCTGAGAGAGGCGATGAAGCTGAAGAAGAAAAGCCTGAAGCTAGCAGAAGTTAATTCATAAGGGTTAAGGACAGAAGCCATCCCCAGAACAAAAAATTGCAAGGTGAAGCAGCAAGCGATGAAAGTGGCTACAATAAACAACGGATTTTTTCAATGCAGACAGAATAGCCTTATATTGGAAGAAGATTTCATCTAGGACTCTTACAACTGTAGAGGAGCAGTAAATGTCTGGCTTCAGTGCTTCAAAGGACAAGCTGACTCTCTTGTTTGGGGCTAATGCTGCTGATGAATTTAAGTTGAAGCCAGTGCTTACTCTGAAATTCCTAGGGCCCTTAAGAATTATGCTAAGTCTACTCTGTGTGCTCTATAAATAGAACAGATCCTGAATGGGATCGGTTTGTAGCATTGTTTACCGATTCTCTCAAGAGCTGTTAAGATCTACAGCTCAGAAAAAAAAAAAAAAGATCCCATTACAAATATTAGGTTGACAATGCAACTTGTCATACAAGAGCTCTGATAGAGATGTACAAGGAGATTCGTGTTATTTTCATGCCTGCTAACACAGCACACATTCTGCAGCCCATGAGTTAAGTCACTTCAATATTCAAGTCTTATTATTTAAGAAATCCATTTCATAAGGCTGTAGCTGCCATAATGATTCCTGTGAGCGATGTGAACAAAGAACATTGATAACATTCTGGAAAAGATTCACCATTCTACATTCCATTAAGAATATTCTTGATTCATGAGAGGAGGACAAAATATGAATATTAACAGGAGTCTGGAAAAAGTTGATTCCAACCCTCATGGATGATTTTGAGGGATTCAAGGCTTCAGGGGAGGAAGCCATTGCAGATGCGGTGGAAATAGCAAAAGCAACAGACTTAGAAGTGGATCTTGAAGTTGTGACTGATTTGCTTCAATCTCATGATAAAACTTGAACAGATGAGGAGTTGCTTCTTATGGGTGAGCAAAGAAAGTGGTTTCCTGAGATGGAATCTACTGCTGGTGAAGATGCTGTGAACATTGTTGAAATGAAAACAAAAGATTTAGACTATTATATAAACTTAGTTGATAAAGCAGTGTCAGAGTTTGAGAGGACTGGCCAATTTTGAAGGAAGTTCTACTGTGAGTAAAATGAGAGTTATTGCCTCCAACCTCAACTTCTTGCACCTTGTAGTGGCTGAATGGTACCCTCTGACAACGATATGACCATGTTCTAATTTCCAAAGCTGTGAATGTTACTTTACTTGGAAAAAAAAGGGTCATTGTGGATATAATCATGTTAAGGATGTTGAAGGCTGGATGTGGTAGCTCATGCCTGTAATTCCAGCCCCTGGGGAGGCCAAGGTGAAAGGACCACTTGAAGCCAGACATTCAAGAACATGCTGAGCAACTTACTGAAAACCCATCTCTACAAGCAATTTAAAACATTAGCTGGGCTTAGTGGCACAAACCTGTAGTCTCAGCTACTCAGAAGGCTGAGGTGGGAGCATCCCTTGAGTATAGGAGGTCGAGGCTGCAGTCACCCATGATTGTGCCACTGCACTCCAACCTGGGAGAGAGAGTGAGACTCTGTCTCCCAAAAACAGAAAAGAATGTCAAGATGAGGAGATCATCCTGGATTATCCAGGTGAGCTGTCAATACAACGTGTGTCCTTAGAAAAGGGACATAGTAGAAAGACACACAAGAAGGTAATATGATGGCAGAGGGAGATTTGAGTGACATGAACATCAGCCAGACAGAAGAAGAGGAGGAATGTGGCTGCAAGTCAGTCATTATTGACAGCTACCAGGTACTGGAAGAGGCAAAGAAGAGATTCTCCCCTAAAGCCTTTGGAGGGAGTTCAGCCCTGCTGATATCTTAGTTTCAGGCCTTTGGCCTCTAGAACTGTGAGAAAATGAATTTATGTTGTCTTAAAAACTACTCAATTTGTGCTAATCTGTTACAGCAGCCACAGGCACTAATGCACTTGTTTATTCCTGTACCCTGGGTTACCAAACCTCTACTACCTTTGAACCTTAACCTAAGCACTCAGCATGATTGGAGAACACCTGCAATGTTACTATTTTAAATCCATGGCCAAATACTTCCTTGGCTCATTCATTCTCTTTGCTTTCCTAATTTCTTATTCTTACCCTCGGATGACAATCTTAATTGTTCTCTCATAGTAAATAAAAGCAAAACAATTTTGTAGGGACTTCCATTCAGTATGGGTACCCATTCCTCCTGGGTATGTAGATTAAGTATACATATTCTTCTCTAAACATCTAATGGCCATATCATTCCATGAGCATTTTATCCATCTTGCCTATCAATGGTTAAAGCTCCAAAGGTTCTCTCTTCTCTTCCAAACCATTAAGTTTTCTCTCTACTTAATCATTTGCTTCGACCTACAAAAAATGGTCCTCTTTATGTCATATAATACCCCATCTCTTTACTCCCTTTTACAGAAAAACTCCAGTCAGAGCCATCTAACCTGATTCCTTCCAGTTTTTCTTTTTCTCTGTTCATTCCATCAGGTTTTGCCCTCACCATTTTACTAACCAGTATTTTTGTCAAGGTGAGTCATGCCCTGAATGTTGCTAAATTTGATGATAAATTTCTATTTCTCCCATTACGTGACTGATCAGTACTACTTAAAAATTATCACTCCTTTCTCCTTGATATTTGGCTTTTGGAACTCCATACTTTCTTATATTTATGCCTATTTTATTGACCATTCTTTCTCATTCTCCGTCACCAGTTTCTTCTCTCTTCTCTACCTCTTACAGTGGCATACTTCAGGGATCTCCTTTGTCCTTTTTTACTACCTACACTCATGGTTTTTGAATCCCACTCAGTGCCTCATGAATTTAAATACATCTGTTATACTAAGTTAGGTCCCTAGTTTTCCCAAATTCCAGAATTCTATACTCAACTGTCTGCTTGGCTTTTCCATCCATCTGCACATAATGAGTAGACATGTCAAACTTAACAAGTACAAAACAGAACCCCTATTTCCTCTTAAACATTTTCTTTAAACTGTCTTTCCCATCTCAATTGAGGGCAACTCCATCCATTTGTTGCTGAAGGTAAAAACCTCTGATATGCCACTGTTGACTCATATTATTCTTTTTTTCCTATTAGTTTATTTTTAAACTTTTATTTTAGGTTCAGGGGTACATGTGCAGGCTCGTTATATAGATAAACTCATGTCAGGGGAGTTTTTTGTACAGATTATTTCATCACACAGGTACTAACCTAGTACCCATTAGTTATTTCTCCTGACCCTCTGCCACCTCCCACTCTCCACCCTCTGATAAGCCCCCAGTCTGTGTTATTCCCCTCTACGTATCCATGTGTTCTCATCATTTAGCTCCCATTTATAAGTGAGAACATGCAGTTGTTGCTGTTGTTGTTCCTTTGTTAGTTTGCTAAGGATAATGGCTTCTAGTTCCATCCATGTTCCTGCAAAGGACATGATCTCATTCCTTTCTACAGCTGCATAGTATCCCATGCTGTATAAGTACCATCTTTTCTTTCTCCAGTTTACCATTGATGGGCCTTTAGTTGATTCCATGTCTTTGCTATTGTGAATAGTGCTGCAATGAACATACACATGCATGTGTCTGTTCATGTCCTTTGCCCACTTTTTAATGGGATTAATTTTGCCTATAAATTTAAGGTCCTCATAGATGCTGGATATTAGACTTTTGTCAGATGCATAGGTGAGAAAAATTTTCTCCCATTCTGTCAGTTGTCCGTTTACCCCATTAATAGTTTATTATGCTATGCAGACCTCTTAATTTTAATTAGATTCCATTTGTCAACTTTCACTTTTGTTGCAGTTATTTGTGGTATCATCATCATGAAATCTTCGCCTCTTCGTGTGTCTAGGATGGTATTGCCTAGGTTATCTCTCAGGGTTTTTATAGTTTTGGGTTTTGCATTTAAGTATTTCATCCATCTTTGGTTGATTTTTGCAAATGGTGTAAGAAAAGGGTCCAATTTCAATCTCCTGCATATGATTAGCCAGTTCTCCCAGCACCATTTATTGAGTAGGGAGTCTTTTCTCTGTTGCATATTTTTGTCAGCTTTGTCAAAGATCAGATGGTTGTAGATGCGCAGCCTTATTTTTTCGTTCTCTATTTTGTTCCATTAGTCTATGTGCCTATTTTTGTACCAGTACCATGCTGTTTTGGTTACTGTACCCTGTATTATAGTTTGAAGTTGGGTAACGTGATGCCTCTAGCTTTGTTCTTTTTGCTTAGGATTGCCTTGACTGTTCAGGTTCTTCTTTGGTTCCATGTGAATTTTAAAATAGCTTTTTGTAGTTCTGTGAAGAATGTGATTGGTAGTTTGATAGGAATAGCATTGAATGTGTACATTGCTTTGAGTAGTATGGCCATTTTAGTCTTTTTGAGTCTCCCTGAGCAAGAAAATGTTTTTTCATTTGTTTATGTCATCTCTGATTTCTTTGAGCAGTGTTTTGTAATTCTCATTGTAGAGATCTTTCAACTCCCTGGTGAACTATATTCCTGGGTATTTTATTTTTATGTGGCAATTGTGAATGGGATTGTGTTCCTGATTTGGCTCTCTGCTTGGATGTTATTGGTGTATAGGAATGCTAGTAATTTTTGTACATTGATTTTTGCATCCTAAAATTTGGCTGAAGTTATTTATCAACTTAAGAAGCTTTTAGGCTGAGACTATGGGGTTTTCTACATATAGAATCATGTTTCAGCAAACAGGAATAATTTGGCTTCCTCTCTTCCTATTTGGATGCCCTTTATTTCTTTCTCTTGACTGATTTCTCTGGCCAGGATTTCCATTACTATATTGAATAGGAGTGGTGAGAGAGGGCATTCTTGTCTTGTGCTGGTTTTCAAGGGGGATGCTCCCAGGTTTTGCCCATTTAGTATGATGTTGGCTGTGGGTTTGCCATAGATGGCTTTTATTATTTTGAGGTATGTTTCCTCAATACCTAGTGTGTTGACATTTTAACATGTGTGATGTTGAATTTTACCAAAAGCCTTTTCTGCATCTATTGAGGTGATCATGTTGGTTTTGCCTTCAGTACTCTTTCTTTGATGAATCACATTTATTGATTTGTGTATGTTGAACCAATCTTGCATCCCAAGGAAAAAGCCTACTTGATTGTGGTGATGGATTAGCTTTTTGATGTTTTCCTGGATTCAGATTGCTACTATTTTGTTCAAGATTTTTGTATCAATGTTTACAAGGATATGGGCCTGAAGTTTTTTTTGTTGTTGTGTCTTTGCCAGGTTTTGGTATTGGGATGATGCTGGCCTCATAAAATGAGTTGAGCAGGAGTCTCTCCTCCTCAATGTTTTGGAATAGTTTCAGTAGGAATGGTACCGGCTATTCTTTCTACATCTGGTAGAATTCAGCTGTTAATCTGTCTGATCCTGGGCTTTTTTTGGTTGGTAGGCTATTTTTTACTGATTCAATTTTGGATCTTGTTATTGGTCTGTTCAGGGAATCCATTTCTTCCTGGTTATGTCTCGACGGGTGTATGTATCCAGGAATTTATCAGTTTCTTCTAGAATTTCTAGTTAGTGTGTGTTGAAGTATTCATAGCAGTTTCTGATGATAATTTGTAGTTCTGTGGAGTCAGTGGTAATATCCCCTTTGTCTTTTTGAATTGTGCTTATTTGGATCCTCTCTATTTTCTTCTTTTCTTCTTTATTAGTCGAGCTAGCGGTCTATATATCTTTTTTTTTTTTTTTTTCCAAAACAAACTCCTGGAGTTTTTGTGCTTTTTTTTTCCTCTCAGGGCTTTTATAGTTTTGGGTTTTGCAAGACAGAGTCTTGCTCTGTCGCCCAGGCTGAAGTGCAGTGGCATGAACTCAGCTCACTACAACCTCCGCCTCCCAGGTTCAAGTGGTTCTCCTGCCTCAGCCACCAGAGTAACTGCAATTACAGGCACGTGCTGCCGCACCTAGCCAATTTTTATATTTTTAGTAGAGACAGGGTTTCACTATGTTACCCAGGCTGGTCTTGAACTCTTGATCTCAGCTGATCCACCTGCCTTTGCCTCCCAAAGTGCTGGGATTACAGGCATGAGCCACCGTGCCTGGCCAATCTTTTGTATGTTTTTTTTTTTGTCTTAATCTCCAGTTCAGCCCTGATTTTGGTTATTTCTTGTCTTCTGCTAGTTTGGGGTTTGGTTTGCTCTTGCTTCTCTAGTTCTCTTATTTGTGATGTTAGGTTGTTAATTTGAAATCTTTCTAATTTTCTGATGTGGGCTTCAGTGCTATAAATATCCCTATTAACACTGCCTTAGCTGTGTTCCAGAGATTCTGGCATGTTGTATCTTTGTTCTCATTAGTTTCAAAGAAGTTCTTGATTTCTGCCTTAATTTCATTATTTACCCAAAAGTCATTTATGAGCATGTTGTTTAAGTTCCATGTAATTATATATAATTTTGAGCAATTTTATTAGTCTTGAATTCTATTTTTACTGTGCTGTGGTCCAAGAGAGTGGTTGATAGGATTTCAGTCATTTTGCATTTGCTGAGGGTTGTTTTTAATGTCTCATTGTGCAGTTGATTTTAGAATATATGCCATATGGCAATGAGAAGAATGTATATTTTGTTGTTTTGAGGTACAGAGTTCTGTAGATGTCTATCAGGTCCATTAGGTCCAGTGATGGGTTCAGGTTCTAAATATCCTTGTTAATTTTTTGCCTCAATAATCTACTGTTAATGGGGTGTTAAAGTCTCCCACTATTATTGTGTGGGAGTCTAAGTCTTTTTGAAGGTTTCTAATATGCTTTATGAATTTGGGTGTTATGAATTTTATATATATATATATATATATATATATATATATATATATAAAATTTAGGTTAGGTCTTCTTGTTGAATTGAGCCCTTTACCATTATGTAATGCCCTTCTTTGTCTTTTTCTATCTTTGTTGGTTTAAAGTCTATTTTGTCTGAAATTAGGATCGCAACCCCTGCTCTTTTCTGTGTTCCATTTGCTTAGTAGATTTGTATCCATCACTATATTTTGAACCTATGGCTGTTATTGTATGTGAGATGGATCTCTTGATGACAGCATACCATTAGGTCTTGCTTCTTTATCCAGCTTGCCACTCTGTGCCATTTAATAGGGGCATTTAGCACATTTACATTCAAAGTTAGTATTTATATGTATGGATTTGATCCTGTCATTGTGTCATTAACTGGTTATTATGCTGACTCGTTTGTGTGGGTGCTTTATAGTGTCACTGGTCTATGTACTTGTGTGCTTTTGTATTGGCTGGTAATGATCTTTTCTTTTCATATTTAGTGCTTCTTTCAGGAGCTCTTGTAAGGCAGGTCTGGTGATAACAAATTCCCTCAGAATTTGCTGTTCTGCAAAGGATCTTATTTCTCCTTCACTTATGAAGCTTAGTTTGGCTGGATGTACAATTCTTGGTTAAAATTTCTTTTATAAATGTTGAATATAGGTCCCCAGTCTCTTCTGACTTGTAAGATTTCTGCTGAGAGGTCCGTTAGTCTGATTAGCTTTCCTTTGTAGGTGACTTGTTTTTTCTCTATAGTTGCCTTTAACATTTGTCTTTCATTTCAAACATAGAGAATCTGAAGATTATATGTCTTGGGAATGATCTTCTTTTGAAGTATTTTGGGGGGGGGGGTTCTCCGCATTTCCTGAATTTGAGTGTTGGCCTCTGGTAAGGTTGGGGAAGTTCTCATGGATGATATCCTGAAATATGTTTTCCAAGTTGCTTCCATTCTCCCCATCTCTTTCAAGGATGCCAATGAGTCGTAGATTCAGTTTTTTACATAATCCCATATTTCTTGGAGGTTTTGCTCATTCCTTTTCATTCTTTTTCTTCGTTCTTGACTGTCTTATTTCAGAAAGCCAGCCTTCAAACTCTGAGATTCTTTTCTTAGCTTGGTCTATTCTGCTAACACTTGTGATTGCATTATAAAATTTTTGTAGTGCGTTTTTCAGCTCTATCAGGTCAGTCACATTCTTTACTATACTGGCTATTTTGTCTTTCAGCTCCTATATTTTATCGTAATTCTTTGCTTCCTTAGATTGGGTTTCAACATTCTGCTGAATCTTGATGATCTTTGTTCTTATCCATATTCTGAATTCTATTTTGGTCATTTCAGCCATCTCAGCTTGGTTAAAAACCCTTGATGGAGAACTAGTGCAGCCATTTTGAGAGAAGAATACACTCTGGCTCTTTGAGTTGTCAGAGTTCCCATGCTGGTTTTTTTCTCATCTTTGGGGCTAATGTTCCTTCAATCTTTGTTGTCCTCTGAATTTTTCTTTTCTTTATCCTATTTGATGACCTTGGGGGCTTCACTGTGGTATAAGATGTGTTCAGTTGACTGGCTTCATTTCTGGAAGATTTTAGGAGATGAAAGCTCAGCTCAAGACTACTGGACTATGTGCTCCAAGTATGGAGAACTGGTATTGGGCCAGCTTTGCTCTCTGTCTCCTTAAGGTCAGGAAGCTGCTGTGCTGGAGGGGCCCACGTGCTCCTGGACCATTGGTCACAATACTCTGATGGGTGGTGCCTGCCAAAGCACCTTTTAGGTTGGTAGCAGCAGGATCTGTCCTCATTTACACGTGTCCACAGCAATGGCAGTACAGCAGCGTGCATGTTCATTGGCTGTGGCAGGCTGCTAATGGCCAGTGTGCTGGCCTCTGTGTGGGTATTCACAGCAAAGGCATTGGCAGCATGGCTCAGGGAGGACGTCACTGGCAACTGTGCATACATTTGTGCTAGTAGTGATGTTAGCACAGGAGCAGGGCACTGGAAGGCGCGGGATTGTGTGTGCCCTTTGTGTGCATTCATGTGGATGACAGTGGTCACTCAGGGTGGAGGTGGGTCCACTGTTCTCTGTGCTGTTTTGCACTGGCAGTAGTGTTGGTGCAGGGACAGGGTGTGGAGGTGAGGATGTGCACTCATGCCACCAGGGGTGACATAGGACTGTTCACGCACACCTGCGCATTGATGGGGAAGGGAAGGCAACGTCCATCTTCACACAAACACATCAGCAAAGAGATGTTGGGGTGGCCATGGGCCAGTACATGCAGATAAAGTGGCACAGTTGAGGCTATAGTTGGGGGAACATGCAAGTGGTCTGGTACGTGTCTGTGGGGCCGCTCTGCTGGAGCACCGTGCTGGTCAGATGCAGTCTTCCAGCACAGGAGCTATGATGTCAGCCCCCAGGAAGTACCTAGAAGCAGGCATGGCCAGGCTGGTACCCTAGGAAAGGCCAGCAGACTCGGGGTGCTCAGGTCAGACTGGCCTCATCTCATGGGCAAGACTGCCCTGCAAAGTTCAGATCTGACTGTTCCTCTATGGCTAAAGTCTTCTAGGAGAGCAAGTTGAGTCCAGGGCAATGGGTGTCACTGGCCATGTGCTACTACAGACACTGCCACACCAAACCCTCTAGGCTCCCCACCCACTGGAGTTCTGCCCCTACTGCTTTTCTAAGCAGCCATCCCTGCCAAATTAATTGCCTGTGGTAGTCAAGGGGTCTCCTGCTGCCAGGATTCCAGAGGCCTGTAGTGACAGCAGGTTGCTCCTCGCCTGTTCAACTCACCCCTTCCACAGAAATCATCAGGGACCAGGGATGAGGCCAGTGTGGTAGCCCCCTGTAGGGGTCCCACCTTCCTCCCCCTTCAACATCTGTGTCTTCCCTCCATCTGCTCTAATGCCTTTCCTATGAAGATCTGCTAAGAGTATGCCAGTCTTTCCAGTGTCCTGGTCCCTCAGAGGGAGGTGTATCTCTTGGCCATATCTATTTGGTCATGTTGGAAAGTCCAGAAGTGAGCAAATTACTCTTCAAAATGAAACAAAGCTTCTGACCAGAGATGTTTTCAGACTCCATTCATTTTTATCATTTGCCACCTACTAGACTACTTTTATTTTTCAGCTAGTGGCCTCCTCTTTTACCTTTAAATATTGCAGCATAGCATTTTCTCGTGTCTTGCTCCTCTCTCTTTGCTTCTGTCATCAGATTACATTTATTATCTTTGAACTATAAAATGAAAATAAAAACAAAAAAATATTTTAATGATATATTTTTCTTATGCCTCATACTTTTCATTGGGAAAACTTGTTTCTATTTTCAAAGTATATAAAAAATAAAGCCATTAACTCTTTACCTTTGCTGCAAACATCTTGTGCAATCCACCATTATCTCTCATCTGGTCTCCTAACTGGTAACTTGTTTCCTTATTTTCATTATTTTTACCTTATAATCTATTCTTTTCAGATTTCTTAGAATTATTTTAACAATATATCTTAGATTATGTAATTTCTCAGATAAAACCTTCCAAATGGGATCTGTATTTCACTCAGAAAGAAAATTAAATACCTTGAAATGGCATATAAACATTTACATCGCACACCTTATATTCCATGGTCCCACACTTACTAATACATCTATAGCTACATTGGCACCATTGGTGTCTCTACAAAACACCTGAAAGTCTCCCGACTTAGTGCAGTTACGCTGTTGTTCCCTTAGACTGCTATACCCATTTCCCAGATTTCTACACGTGTAAAATTCCTTGGCCTCCTTTGACTCTTTTGCTCAAATGTCATTTTCTCAATGAAGCCCACCCACACTGATGACTATTTGAGGCTTACCCTGTCCTAAACTATTTCACTCCTTGTTTTCCTTCCCTACTATATTTTCCTTAGCCCTTATCACTTTCTGCCATACTATATAATTGACTTAATTTCTTGGTTCATATTTAATCTTTGTTCTTCTACACTACAATATAATCCCCACAGCATGATATTTTTTAACTCTTTTTTCCACTTACAGGTGACAAATTCATAGGAGAGTACCTGGCACATAATAGGCACTCATTAAAATTAAGTCATATCGATAATATTCTAGTCACTGAAAGTAAGCTTGAATTCTAATTCCCACTGTGTCACAAACATGCAATAGGTCTTTGAGCAATCCTTTTTAATTTCAACACCTCTCCTTCAAATGATTCAAATGTCAGTAAACTGAACAGTTAGAAAAATCTCCCTTACAGTTGCCAACAGTTCATAATTCCAGTCTTATAAGTTACTAATTTATTGTAGCAAAAGATAAAAAAGAACTGACATTTATTAGGCACTAATGTGCTAGGTGTTTAAATCCATCATTCCACTTTCTGTTAATTCCATGAAATAAGTTATTCTCTTCCCCATTTACAAGAGAAGGACCTCTGGGAAGTTTAAGTCATCTGTAAACAAGAAGAACTGAGATTCTAGCACACATCTCTTTAACTGCAAAACACACCATGGTTATTCACTGGCCTATTTACTTATAAGACATATACTACTACCTTGGTTACTGTCTTGTGCCTCTATGATATTTCCTGCCTAGCATTATTTTCCACTCTTGGGAATTTGCAGTTTCCCATCTTTCACGTAGCTCTAGAAGGAAGTGGTGTATTTATGCAAAACTCAACCATCTGGCTGCAATTAATTTTGGAAGTGTACAGCTTATCTAAGTTCAGCCAATCACTGTCCTTCCTCTGAAATCACATGGACTAGTAGTAGCATAAGCTGTGAGGGAACTCTTTGCAGTTGGGTTTTCAGCCATATGTAAGGAATTATTCTGCATAAGAATGAAAAGAGGGAAGAAGGGAGGGGATGACTTACTGACGCTAATACTTAGTCCTTGAAGCACTGGCAATTCTGCTTTCATATGTTTCCAAGTTAGGACTGCAATTCTGTGCCTCTGACATTTAGACTTGACTTTTCCCTAAATTCATAAAACAATAAATTATCCTTTGTGTCACTCATATTGTTTTTTCTCATTTGTAAAAAGTGTATATTTTTAATTTGCATATTCTATATTTGTTGAATATATAATTATAGCCTAACAAGGCACAAGCACAACCTGAGATACTCTGAATTTCAGACCCAATCCCTGCAAGGTATGATAAAGTCCAAGTGGGCATGTCTTGGGAAGTGAAGCTGAATTAATTAGAAAACCTCAGAGCAAATAAGTGGAAAAAAGTGTTCTATCCTTAGGAAATATTTTTAAGAAATAAGAATGAAAATCTGAAATAAATGGCTGTGGTACCAGTACATCCATGAGCCTTCATTTTCTCCACTTGCTTTAAAACAAGGTTTGCAATTTCAACAGACTAAAAAAGAAGTTAGACCAGTTATAAAAATGAATGACCTGGGCTGGATGTTAAAAAAATAAATTAATAGAAATAGTACTTGTGATTGCAGATAATAAAGGAATTTTTTTCTTGCTTACAAGGGACAGATAGGCTCTACCTGGCTCTAGTCATTAGTTACCATTTCTGCAGACTTTCTAAAGAAATCCAGAAATTTGGGTTCTGGATTTCTTTAGAAACATTTGTATTTATAAATGTTGGTTCAAGGTTTTAACACATTGAAAGCCAAAACAGAACACATTTGCAGCCTAAATTCAGCCCTGGACCTCCAATTTATAATTAAGCTTTAAGCTGTCATCAGTTTTTTGGGACCAGTAATGACTAATCAAATTATGAAGTCACACACAGAAAAGCAGGGGTACATTTTTACTGGCCTCCCATACTGCCTCCCATGAAAGCCCTTGAGAGAATGTCTTATTTTATCTTCAGTTTGATTGACTTCTTAAGTTTCTCTTAGACTAAAGTGAATGGTTTAAAATTGTAGGGTCATGAATTACTCGCACATACTGAGATCTATTAGAATAATGCAATGTTTTTTAAAAATTTAGTACACAATTGATCTGAACTTCCCTCGCAAAAGCATATTCTATGAGTTCACAAAAGCACATATATGCAGAATGGTATCAATAAAAAATAAAATAGCCCAATCTAATAATACAAACTCCCTAGGAAATGCATTCTTTTTTGGGGGGGAGGGGGCGGATTAATGTTTTATAGAGTTCCTCTCCTTCCCCAACACTTCACTAAGATGTTATTGGAGTATATGGCAAAGGGAGTTTAGATGAGGAGTGCTTAACTCCTCTCTGATATTCTTTACTTATCCCCTGGTTGTGGACAGCGATATCATTTGCCAGTGGGTTTCCTGGGTGCTCTAAGAGCATTCAATTCTGCAGTCTGTGGCTAATGAAACAATGATCAGTTCTTTTGGCTTATGCAGTACTCTAAGGGCAGTCAACATTTCTTTGCTACACTAGGTCAGCTTTGGCTCGTTCTGGCTCCACGGAACTCTGGAATTTAGCAGCAACTCCCATGTGGTCCCTGGCCCTGGTGAGCAGTAGGAAACCTCTTGGCTTCAAGGCCATTATACCCAGATAGAGAGGCCTCTCATCCCCCTAACATGCTTCCCAGCCAACACAGTGGGCTGCATTTGGTACCTCCCATGCAGATGCCTTTATGAACCTGGAGGCTGAAGTGGACTTCATGGGGCAAAGCTTTGTCTCCTGCTCCCCTTTCCCAGAACAAACTGCCTCTTTTACCTTGAAGCAGCCGTATTGCAGGCTGTACAGGGAAGTCTTCCTTCAATGTCCCAGAAGAAAATGAGATCAAATCCCCTCTGCATCCTACATATTCCCCTCATCCACATCAGATATCATGAAAGTCCCTTAACTCTATCAAGACAGACTCCCTCAGAAGAGGGTTAACCAGCCCCTATCTTCACTTTCTCTCCTCATCAAAATGATCTGGGGCAGGAAGATTTGGGCTGTTACTAGATTCTTCCCTAAAAATTCTATTATTAAAATATTCAGACCTTTGATAATATTATAGAAGTAGATGAAGAAATTTAGAAAATGGTTTATCTCTGGGAAAAAACTAGCTCTCAAGATTATTGCCTTATGGAGAACTTAAAAAACATACTTTTGGTTTCAGAAGCTGAATATTGTTTTCCCTTTATGCATTTTACTCCCTAATATTCCTAACATTCTTGGAGGCAGATTGATGCATCAGGCTGAACACAGAAATCATATGCAAGAAAATAAGAAAAAAGCATTATAAGAAATAACTCATTACGCTTATACTAGAGCAGAGATCAAGCATGTCTTGTTTGGATGCTCTATTAACCAAAACTGAGGAGTTGGCATACATTCTTGTTTGTGCTTTCAAGTCCACAGCTAGAAACTTGGCCGATATTCGAACACTTAGGAGAGTTGGAGAAGAGAATTCCTTACACTGTGGTCAGTTCGAGCACGTGTCTTTTGCTCTACTTTTGTGAAAGTGATTTTTAGTGAGTGGTATTATATTATTATTAATATACATTGCTTTCTTCCCATATTTTTCTACTTCAACACTGAATCATTTTCTTCTTGCTCTTAAATTTTTTAATCTAAAATTTCTATCATGATAATATCAAAGGTATTTTCCCCATGGCAACATAGTGTTATTCTCTCATTCATTAAATCATATTTATTTTAATGCATTTAATACAATTTTAATGCTTTTAATACAATTTTAAACCAAAATTACTGACAAAAGCCATTTCTAATTTTTATATATGGAAGGGTTTCTTTTTTGAACTTTGAAAGTTTACTTTTGATTGATTTTTTAATGGCAAAGTCATCCTTCATGTTAAATTGATTCTTAAATACTCTATTTTTCTCTTAGGTTACACACCAGAATTAACCCGAACACTTATTTGATATTTTTTAGTGTAAGTATTATTTCTTAAAATCTATTGCAAATTATGCTCTTCATTCTGTAGAAGCATGGTATAGTTATGAACATGTATAATTTAAAACAAATAGTCTTGTCTAAAACTTCTTTGAGAGGTAATTAATTTAATTAAGAATAAGCATTAAGACAGAAAATAAAATTATAAATTGAATTATGAGTTTAACAAAGTCTAAGTGACCTTCAAGAATATGCCATAACTCTGGGCCATATTTTTAAAACGATTGATAAAAAAATGTACACTTTCTCACCCACTGAATTATATTTTAGGTTATATGAGAGGGATAAGGTAGATTATTCTTTTTTTTTTTTTTTTTTTTTTTTGAGATGGAGTCTTGCTTTGTCGCCCAGGCTGGAGTGCAGTGGCACGATCTCGGCTCACTGCAAGCTCCGCCTCCCAGGTTCACGCCATTCTCCTGCCTCAGCCTCCGGAGTAGCTGGGACTACAGGCGCCTGCCACCACACCCAGCTAATTTTTTGTATTTTTTAGTAAAGACGGGGTTTCACCATGTTAGTTAGGATGGTCTCAATCTCCTGACCTCGTGATCCACCCGCCTTGGCCTCCCAAAGTGCTGGGATTACAGGCGTGAGCCACTGTGCCTGGCCGATTATTCTTTTTTATGGTTTTGGAAATATAATCCTACAGATTCCCAGAAAAAAATTCTGGTGTTGATTTTCAAATGTCATTGCTTTATTAAACATAAATGTTTATAAACACATGGAAACATTGATTCCTCTAGATCACACAAAGGTCTTAACATACACAGAGTAGCTGCTTATGGAGGGTTATATGAGAGGACTTCAAAAATTCATGGGAAATGCATACTAAAAAAACTGCATGGATTTTTAAAAAAATTTCAGCAAAATAAACTTATACTCACTTGTTATAGTACGTCTGAACAGGACCTTATCTGAGGCACTAGAAAGGATAAGACATCAGTTTGAAAAGAGCCCCTATTAGCAATACGAATTCTGCTAAATTTAAAGCAAAAACAAACATTAAATTCATGGTGAAGTTTGAGTGGCAGAATGGTGAAATCATTGAGTTTTATGGAAAGTTTATGGGCACAATGTCCCCAAAGAAATCAGCAGTTTACAAATGGATAACTCATTTTAAGAAGGAATGAGATAGTGTTGAAGATGAAGTCCACAACAGCAGACCATTTCACATCAAATTTCTGAGGAAAAAATTAATCTTGTTCATGCCCTTATTGAAGAGGTCTGATGATTAATGGAAGAAAGAGTAGCCAACACCATAGACATCTCAATTGGTTCCGTTTACTCATTGAGACTAAAAAAATTAAAAATGGGCAACCTTTCTACTCTATGGGTACCAAGTCATTGTGTTGAGATCAGCTGCAATCAAGGGCAGAGCTGTCAATGGAAATTTTAAACAAGTAGTATCATGATCCCTGAAGCACTTCTAAGAATTGTAATAGGAGATGAAACAGCTTTTCCAGTATAATCCTGAAGACAAAGCACAACCAAAGCAATGGGAACCAAGAGGTAGAAGTGGTCCAGTCAAAGCAAAAGTAACTGGTCAAGAGCAAATGTCATGGCAACAGTCTTTTGGGATCCTCAAGACATTTTGCTTGTTGACTTTCTGGAGGGCCAAAGAATATCTGCTTATTATGAGAGCATTTTTGAGAAAGTTAGCCAAAGCTTCAGCAGAAAATTGCCCAAGAAAACTTCACCAGAGATTCCTCCTATATCACAACAATGTTCCTGCTCATTCCTCTCACTAAACAAGGGCAATTTTGTGCAAGTTTCTATGGAAGTCCTTAGGCATCCATCTTACAGTCCTAATTTGGTTCCTTAAAAAAATCTTCAAAGGGCACCCATTTTTCTTTAGTTACTAATGTAAAATAGACTGCATTGACATGGTTAAATTCTTAGGAACCTCAGTTCTTTGTGTGACTGGTATCATCACACACAAAAGTGTCTTGACCTTGGTGGAGCTTATGTTGAGAAATAAAGTTTGTTTTTTCTTTATCTTTTAATTTTCAATAAAATTTTTGAAGTCCTACTGTGTTACAGTTCAGCAATATCCACCCTCCCTTAGGAGGAGTATATAGTTCCATCCTTCTGATGATAGATTTAGCCAATGAAATACAGGTGAAAGGGAGACAGCACCAAATCTAAGTAGAGTCTTTAAGGGTCACTGCAAGTTTCTGCCAGGCCTCCTTCCCTCTTCCCTCCAGCATGACAGTAGCATTCCCAGATTAGATCTGCTTCTTCATTCTAGGTGATTGAGATGTCATGTGATACAAACAAGAACCTGACCCACAGGCTGTAGTAGACTTACTGTAGCCAATTCACAGTGAATGAGAAATCAATATGTACTATGGTAAATCATTGAGGTTTGGGGAATACTGGGTTCATAGCATCATTGCAGCAACAGCTTCTAAATATAGAAACTGATACCTAGAATATGTGCACTGACAAAGCAAAAATCTAAAATATGTGTCACATGGCTTCAGAGCCAAGGGACAGGTGGCGTGGTAACTCATGTCAGGCTAGAAAAATGGTGACGAATAATGTCTTGCAAAATATTTGGCAAAACTGTCACCCACAGTAACACAGGCAGAAGAAAATATACTTAATGATTCTGTAGCTTTGGGCAAGGAGATTTTGAGATTAAATTTAAGAAATGTGAGTTGTTATCTACTGTGGCTAACAAATACCATGAAAAAGAGATGAGCTCAGGAAAGAACTGGCCTGTTTGCAAGAAGGGATAGAGAACCCAAGTATCTCTTCACTTCAAGGTTTAAAGATGCAACTTAAGCATCTTCAGCCCATAAATGATTGTCAGATGAATAGTGTGCTGAGGAGAAAGGCCAGTCTAAGGCAAGACTATCATAGCTTCTGTGAAGACTCCCGAATGAATTGAAATATCTTCCAGTAAAGTTTTATCTTTTTCAACAAGATAGAATAAGAATATTTTATTTCTAAAAGAAAACTTATTTTAGTAAGAGAATTTTTGTAGAAGCCAAAAAATGTTGATCTCATAGAAGTCAAGAGTAGAATATAGAATACTAGAGGCTAGGAAGGGTAGGAGGAAGGGAGGAATAGGGAGAGATTTGCTAAAGGATGGAAAATTAGAACTGGATAGGAGGGATAGGTTCTAGTGTCCTACGCCCCTGTAAAATGACTAGTTAAAAATAATATATTACACAATTTCAAATAGCTAGAAAGAGGATACTGAATCTTCCCAAAACAAAAAAAGTGATAAATGTTTGTGATGATGAATATGCTAATTACCCTGATCTGATCACCATACATTACATATATCAAAACATTACTATACGTCCCATAAGTATGTAATATTATTGTATGGCCATTAAAAATAAAATAGTAAAAAAAAAAGGTTTTTTTTTTTAAGTAAAATGGCTCAATAAAATGAGACTAAGGACAGATTTCTAACAATCACAAAATATCTCTAAGCCTAAAGGTATACTGGGACATGATAGTGAGTGGAATCAAATATATTTATTTATTTTTATGATGAATTAAGCCACCAAAAGGATATAGATATTTCAAGAAATACTATATTACTATCCCAAGCATTACCAAATAATTAGCATATGTATGATCCATGCTCACAGTCAATCCATTTGTGTATTAATAGTTCATTCTGTACTCCTACATGTGTAAAGTGGGCAATAAAATGTGGATTCTTCTTGTTTTTTTTTTGACTATAGGAAAAGGAAAAAACATTCTCTATCTTAGGCTCTCCAGATGGGTCCCTATAAATTAGACTGGCCAAAAACAGGTTGATGAGAGTAAAACAAACATGTTTATTATCACGTACATTGTGCATGTACACACGGGGGTACCCAGTGAGGAGAAAGCCAATGGGGTGGTTAGAACTTGGGTTTATGTATCATCTTAGGCTAAAACAAAAGCAAAAGAGTTTGGGATTTCTGGAAGAGAGAGGCAAGTTATGAGAAAGTGACCAGGAAAAGAGTGAAAATCTGCATACAGTTTGTTATGCAGATTTCAGTCTGTGCATTATCTATTGATGAGTTAAGAATTCTCTTCCTGACACAAGAGACAAATACCTCTACAAATGAAAATTTCCTGTACAAAAGGAAAATGAAGGCCCTAATTTTCATGCTTTTCCTTTGTCTTGCTGCTTCCTCTTTTTTTTTTTTTTTTGAGATGGAGTCTTGCTCTGTTGCCCAGGCTGAAGTGCAGTGGGGCACTCAGCTCACTGCAATCTCTGCCTCCCGGGTTCAAGCTATTCTCCTGCCTCAGCCTCCTAGTTAGCTGGGATTACAGGTGCCTGCCATCATGCCCAGCTAATTTTTGTATTTTAGTAGAGTCAGGGTTTCACCATGTTGGCCAGGCTGGTCTCGAACTCCTGACTTCAAGTGATCCACCCGCCTTGACCTCCCAAAGTGCTGGGATTACAGGCGTGAGTCACTGCGCCCAGCCTTCCTCTGTTTTTTAGCTCAAAATAATCTGTATGCCAAAGAGGCATATTTAGGGGTAGCAAATTCTGGTACTCTTCATTACTTTTAACCAGATATGGCATTTATAAAAAAAAATGTTTTCGAGAAAGTTTCATTGCAAAGAATGCTATAAAACTATACCAAAAAAGATTGTGACTTTTAAAGTAAAACAATTACTGGTTCCTAACTTTATAAGGGCAAGAGGGTAAGCTGAGAATGTATCTCAGTCACCAAGGAGGGCCCTGTCTTCAATGCCTCACTCAGATGTATGAACATGAAGGCCTACACAGAGGGTTTAGTTAAAGCCTTGGAGAACAATGAACCTGGGAGCTCCTCCCAGGACCAGAACTGAAGTCTACACAGAACATTCCCCATACCCAGAATAAAGAGCTTCCCAAGATCTGCCCAGTGGGATTTCAGAGTTGCTGTGGATCAGTGACTGCTGTGTGATTCCCAATGTTCCCCTTTTTGAATAGGGGTGATTGCGGTCATGTTCCTGGCCCACTACTATGTGATGGAAATTTGGGGGTAAGATAACTTGTTTTTCCAGTTTATAGATTTTCAGATCAATATATTCAGCCATGATGAAGAGACTATTATAAAATGTATTGGTCAATGACATTCGTTGCTTACATAAATGAATTGAGCAAAAGTTAATTGATGTAATGTGCCTACAGTGTCCTTTGATCGGAAAAGTCTATTGTACACTATTTAATCATTTAATACATTTGTTCAACAAATATTTTTTGATGTTATCGCAGATGTAGTATCTTCTGGGTGCTGGGGACACAGAGCAGTCAACAAAGCAGACAAGGCCCATGAGCATAGAACTTCTCAAAAACAAACAGCTTTTTAAATATCATTTTGCTTTTCTTTCCACCTAAGTATTTCTTCAACACTTGATTCTTATGTATGTTATTCCTCTGTGCCCAAATCTCCAAAAATATCTCTCTAAACAGAGAATCTGAGTCAGAAGCACTACCTAGCTTAAACATCTGTCTGAGACTTGGAACCTCCAAACCGAAATCCTTGATAAGAATTGACAGGTTTCTGCGAACTCTTCCCCCAAGGCACTATTACACTACGATGTTCCCAAATAGAAATCATAAAGTCGTTCTTCACTCCTCTCACCTTAATTCCTCAAATTTTTAATGCAATTAATAATCAAATCTTGTCAAATTCCTCTGATTTTTTAAACTTTCTACTATTTTTATCTCTATAACCACTACTCTAACTTCAGACATTATCTTTAAATCTGCAACAAGAATCCTTTCATTGTTCTCCTTCCCTTCTACCTTGATAAGTAAAATCCGCCCTCCATATAACCATCAAATTGACTTATATACTTATAAAGTAGAGCTGATCACAATAGACACACCTCTGATTAAACCCAAACAGTATCTTCTATCACCTAGTGGATAAAATTCATATTCCTTTATATGATAAACAGGATTTTTCAGGAAATGGTTTTGCCTTCATTTTACGTCTCATGTTTTTCTTTTGTCCTCAAGATTTGCACTTAACTATCAAATTGACAAGAACCAACATCGGTCACTTGATGATTTTCAAATTAACCAATTTCACTAGACATATTCATGCACTGTGGCCAAAGTGACCTGACCAAACCAACTTGGCCTCTGAGATATTTTAACAAGAAATCCAAACAAGGGGTGATGAATTGGCAGGGACATTTTAATGTTACATTTATTTTTTGTTTCATGAGACCCCTTGACTCACCTTTTGTTAACCAGGAGTCATTTTACTGAATTTACTTTTTTAAACTGAAAAAGGATGCATTACACACTCTGGCTTAGAAACAGCACCCTGCAACATTTGTTGTTTAAAAATAATAATAATGGAAATCTGGGGGCAGAAATCACGTGAGAGAATTATAGTGTTTATTTCTCAAAGTGTCAATATATTTAAAAATTATGAAAAAACTACATTTGGCAACTCTCACATCTCTAAATCTGAGATGATTTAAGCCTCAGAGAAACACTGAGATAATTATATAGATTATGTAACCATCAGAAGCTCATAAACAGTCACATAATTTCATAAAATTTCAATTTCTTTTCCCTGAATTACCTTGATTGACTACAGCAGGGTCTTTTCAACCTCAGGGTATTGATAATTCGGGCCAGATATGTCTCTGTGTACAGAGTAGGAGTCGGAGGGGAGGCTGTCCTGTACACTGGAGTGTTGAACAGCTTTCCTGGCCTTTATGCATTAAGTGCCATTAGCAACTATCACTCCGGTCATGACAGCCAAAAATGTCTACAGACATTGCCAATTATCCCCTGGAGAAGGGGAAAAAATTCCCTGAGTGAGAATTTCTCATCTACACTGATCAAATATTTTGAAAATATTATATAATTTCTCTTTGTTCTACTCACCTAGATATATCTCTGTGCAGATAGACCCGTGACACTTGTGGACTACTGAGATTATCATCTCGATCAGATTTTCTCAGCCTACTCAGAAACAGTGGAAATGCTTCTTTGAACTAATTTTCCCCCTGGATAACATAACAACATGGCTACTTCTGTTGTAGCATTGCAGTGGAAAACACATTTGATTTTTCTCCTAAAGTTCTTGTGTTCAAGGTATGGTTTCTAATCAATCAACCCATAGAAAGCTCTTGGAAAATCATTTAACTTTCTCAGACTCAGTTTCCTTATAAGAAAGATAAAAATACCTGTCCAGATGACTTTAATGCATGAGACTAGGGATCAAATTAGTTAACAGATGTTAAAGTATAGTATAAATAGTAAAGCATACTAAAAAGAACAGCTATTTTTCAAAATAATGCCATTTCTCTAAACCCAGCTTGAATATGAAAATTCAGATATCCAACTTGGGTGACATAATCTCTAATCTCAAACCTCTAAATCAAGGCACTACTATAAGAAGATCAAGAAGGGATACGGTAACAGTTAACTCTTTTTAAAGTGAAATGATGTAGCAAATATCCTCTGAACCAGTTAAATTTTAATTGCTTGTACATGGATGATTCTATAGTGCTTTGCTCAGATAAGTACTTAATAAATACTTGTGGAATTGAATTAACTGAACCAAAAGACATACTTCCTTCTAATAGATCTAGCAGCGTGACAGCTACTAATTCCATCATGCAGAAATAAATTAGGATGCCTTTAAATAGCAGCTTCATATGGAATCAATAAAGTAAGACCAGAATATTCTACATTGATTCATTTCTGTTCCTTTGTTTCCTTTGTGTTTAGTTTGATACCATAAATATTAATAACAGTTTTTGCAATTTACTGTGAAACTGATATTATTAAAGCAGCCTTTTACTTACCTCACTATGTTTTTGCACTCCATCTTTCTATAATTTCTCCGTTCTTCAAAGCCTAAATCAATGTCTATCTTCCCCACAGTCTTCTATACTAACTCAGAATGACATTAATCTTTCTTTTGAATTGTTTGACTACTGACTCTATAAAATCATAATATGTGAATTTATTATGTTGATATTATTTAAAACTTTCTGCATTTTGCATTTTATAAATGTTGTTTCCTTAATTGATGTTTGTTAGTTTTTCCTGTCCCTGAAAATTACAAGTTCTACATATGTAGGGACGGTGTCTTATACCTACTTTGCATTCCATAAAGAATTCTTCTTTCTACAAGTATTTGCTGAATATCTGCTACATGCAAGTCACTCTGCTCAGTGCTTTGGGGGATACAAAGATGTGTCAGCTGCAATCCCTGTCCTCCAGTAGTTTAAATGTATAATTGATAAGTGGCCTGAAGCCTATCTTATAATTACATGAGTTCCCTCAATTTAGTATATTTTAATATTTTCATTTAATTTCCACTACCACCTGTTTGTTGTTTTGCTGTTGTTGATATTTTTAAACTGAACATCTAAATGGGAATTTAAATGAATCCCTTGAGTATCAGAGATTCTTTGATGTGTGATGACATTTTTACTTTTTTACTTTCTCATTATGTCTTTTCTATAAAAAATGCCAACGTATACATTTTTATCAAAACATCTTATCTTATGTACAAGTTTTATTTTCTTTTCCCTCGAATTGATCCTTTAAAAAGTCATCTATTTAATCTTTAGCCATGCTTACCCATTACTTTTAAATTCACAGCGTTACTATTCTGCTTCAGAAGATTTTTCTGTTTCCATTTCACGTCTGACTGTTGTGCTTTCCTTTGAGGTAATTCTGGAAAACAACTGCCCCTAGGTAAATAAAGACAGAATAAATATGTTTTTACCTTTTCAGGAGCTTATTCTGAAGATGCTGTAATTGTCATCATGAATGCTACTCACACTGGAAACTAACGTCTTCAAAAGCCAGAAAATGCATTTGGAAAATCTCATCTATAGTAAAGTCTACATACATTTTTTGAATTACCAGTTTAATCTAGCTCTTTAAACTGTGAGTTCATCACAGGTTACCCAGGGGAATGCATAGGCTCCGGACTTTCTACTTATCATCTCTTTGTGTAGATCACTTTTCCAGTACACTTGATATTTATGATAATATGAACATTGACTAAATGTACTTGCTGGCTACTTTGCCAAGTACTTGATGTGTAGCTCATTTATTATCATGTAAAATTATGAAGTATTAACTATTAATATCTCTATTTTTCATACACTTAAAGTAAGTGCTGCAAAAGTTATATAATTTACCTTTGGTTATCCAGCTTTTAAGTGACAGAGTCCATGATCTTAATGATTACGCTATACTCCTATTCATCATTTTCATATATAAATATACTGAATCATTCTTATATTGTTCTGTTATATATCATTAAAATGAGGTACAGGAAAGCCTTAATTAATAAAATATTTTACAATATAGGCTTACAACATACAGATATTTGAATAAGTAACTTAGACTTGACTAGTAAGATGTTTTTACTAGAGAATTAACATACTAAGTGGCTTCCTTTATTACACAATTATTTGTAATTCACATGCAATTTCTTTTTTTTTGTAAATAGGAATTTCAAAGTTTCCTAGTCAGGACACTTGAAATTTTTCTACCATTTACTAGCAAACACAAAATATCAACTAATATTTGTCTTTTATAAAAATTATATACATTGGATCTGTGGGGTATAAAGCATAAGTGAGATATTCTCTGTCAATTGCATGTAAAATCATTTGTAACCACCATGAAAACATGGTATGAAGATATCTAATGAACTGAGTTAGCAAGAAATCAAGATCAATTTTTTTAAAAGAGTAACAATTATACATAATCAAAAATGGGATACATTCATTTCTATTGCCTAACAAAATTCTTAACATATAGCAAGCACCAAATAAATATAACCCAGATGGTTCTCAGATGTGAGTTAATATTATCAGTGACAGTACTGCTGATCATTCTTACCAAAGGTCTTCACCTTCCCTATCTCTACTTTAGTTTACATAAAAGTGATATGTGAGTCAACTGAGTTCTCTAGAAGTACATTTCATCACACTTGACAAGGCTTCTAGGTAGGGTCCTACAGCATTGTCTGGAAACAGCCTTCCAGGGATCTTATTAAGCACCTGGCCATAGCTGAGCAGAGTGACATTGACAGTGTTCTAGAAAGAGGGGAGCCCAAGAGCTACCTTGATTGTTCTCATCGTCAAGACTCCTGCTTATCAGGTCCCCAGAGCTTCCTGGATTCTTGCAATTTCCCAGGCCTGCCATTCAGCATTATTTTAGGTTCCATGAGTTACCATAATTCCTTCCCAGTTAGGTTTCTTTAGCTTAAACCTAACAGAGTTGGTTTCTTTTGCTTTAAGCAACATCAAAAAGATCTGCAACCATATCCTCACTATTAAATCCTCAGGTAAAAAAAACACAGATACATGTATGTTCTCATAAGTGGCAGTTGAACAATGAGAACACATGGACACAGGAAGGGGAACAACACACACCAGGGCCAGTTGGGATGGGCGGCGAGGGGAAAAATACTAATGGATGTGGGGCTTAAAACCTAGATGACAGGTTGATAGGTGCAGCAAACCACCATGGCACACATATACCTATGTAACAAACCTAAACATTCTGCATTTGTATCCTGGAAATTAAAGTTAAAAAAAAAAAGGTACAGTTCTTACAGTCAGCCCAGGAAGCCCTTAACCATTTATCTTGAAAGCTCCTGTTTCCATGTACTGTCCTAAATACTTGGTATAATGATTTTTAATATCATTGACAATTTAGTAGGCGAAAATGGCATCTCATAGCAATTTTCATTTTATTTCTTTGAATGCTGGTGAGACTGGATTTATTTTCACATGTTCTTTGGCCATTTACATTTCTTCTTTTGTAAAATGTCAATTAAAGTTCTTTCCTCATATATCTATTGGGGTGTTCACCTTTTTTTACATTGATTTGTAGAGGCTATTAGAAGTATTAACTCTGTTTGCTAAGTATATTATGAATTTCCCAAACTTATAATATGCCTCCTAATGATTCTTGTCCTTTTTGACAAATAGAATCCTCATTTTTAAAACAATAAAATCTGCCAGTCTTATTTTTATTTGATTTTTTCTTTGATTTTAACTTTGTATTGAATGCCTTTCCTTATTCTTATTTTTTTAATCCTTACACTTCATTTTTTATTTCTTCTGAAATTTATATTGGTATAAAGTAGAACTGTAAATCTTCTGATCTACTAGATAATTCTTTTCAAGGAGCTGTCAATAATGTTTACTACTAATTCTTTCCTTCTCTAATTCAAAATATTCCTTGTAGTAGACACTGGTGGTATTCATTGGCTTTTCAGCTTTTATTCCTCCTTTTTCTGATAACGCTACTGCTTTAATTACATTTTGGTGGGCAAATGTCAGTTATGTGTTCAATGAGTAGACATAAGATTGACCCATCCAATAAATTGGGTGTTCTTTTTCTGATATTTGGAATCTTGAGAAGACAGACAACAAACTAAAAACAATTGGAGGTCACTTACCCCAGCTGTGACCCACGAGAAGCACTACTTTATCCCACTGCCTGCATTGCCCAAGCTGTGAGATTCCTTTCCCTGGTGAACCTGCTCTTTAGCATTCAGCTCCCTTTAATCCTCTGGGATACCTGCGTACAGTACTTAAACTTCTTTCTTGCATTTACCCAGAGCCCGTTTATATATGTGAAGCCAAAACTCCTAAAGATTAACATTTGCACATCAACAACAAAAAAAAGACCTAAAGGAGATATAAAATACATTCTTATGTGAAAGGAAAATATTGATGTATGAAGTTTTGATACTAAAATATTGTAGGAGGAGACAGAATGCTGCCTGATATATTAGCATACTTGGTATGGTTTGAAATAAGGCTAATGGCAGCCAACACAGCCTTGAGAATTCTGGTGAATGTGGCTGGTGTCAGCAACAGAAGTTTCATGAGAAATTCTTAGATGGTTCAAGAATCTATAGCAGTAGAGCAGATGCTCCTTCCAAGCCTAAAAGAGCATAGGAGCTCTGCAGCCAGCACAAGCCCTCCTCAAGGAGTGCAGCTTAGCTGCCACTCATGAAAGGGTCTCAGAGTATATTAAAGACTTGCATAGGCTCCCTCTCCTGGGCAGCTATGGCATGAGTCTGAGGAAGGGCTTTTCACATCAGATTGGAGGTACATGGATATGAAAAGAAGCCCTCCAAAATATCTTCAGGTCATGTCCAGGAACACTAGAAACTGATTTGAAATCTTAATATTAGTAATATCTAGCCTAATAGTAAGTCTTCGGTTCACTTTTTGATGACTCTGCTTAGACCTACATTCTAACAGAAACTACATTCCAACAAGCATCTGTAGAATAGAATTCTACTCTCAGTTTAAAACTGCCCACTATATTATAGTTATGCTATATTATAGTTATAGTTATGCTATGATTTGAACACAGCAACTCTTTAAATTTTCTTCTAAATCAGTAGTTTCTGCAGTCTTTCTTATCTTGGTTTTTGCAATTTGTCTCTAAATTCCTTTAAACCTCTCCTTTTCTCTTTCAAAGAGTCCACTGGTTCTACTTTTAAAGTACACTCAGATTCTAACTGTATCTTACTCTATTGCCACTCCCTTTGTCCAAGACATCATCACTTAAAGCAATAGACTGGACACTTCTCTTCCTGCTGCTCTCCTTGCCTATGAAGTCTGAAGTCTTGTCTGAGTGCGACTGTAGGCTAATGCTGTTCAAAATAGTTCAGACTATGTTTTGCTCAAAATCCTCCAATGATCTCTCCTCTCATCAGAACAAAGGACAAAATTTTCATATTACCTAGAAGGCTTAATGTGATATGATTCCCTGTAACTTCTCTGACCTTACTTTCTTCTACTCCTCCATTCTCTCTGCTCAGACCCTACTAACCCCTCACTGTTGCTCAAACAAGCTCTGCATGCTCCAATTCCAGGGTATTCGCCCATGTTCTTCACTGCATGGAGAGTTCTTTATTCAGATAGCCATGTGGTCAGTTCCCTCGCATCTTGCTTTATGCCTTTACTCAAAGTCATCTCTCGGAAGCCTCTGGCACCTACTTAATTTCCCTTCAACATTTCACATCACCCTTTATCGACTTTATTTTTTCTCCTTAATGAATATCATTATCTTTCATAGGATACACTTCCTGATTTAGTTTATTTTTCATCTCTTACACACATAGAATGCAAGCTCAATGAAGACAGAGTTTTCTCCTCACCATTATATTTCCAGCACCCATAACAGTGCCTGACACACATTAGACACTCAAAAGACACATATTGAATGGCGAATAAGTGAAGGGTTCTTTTCCTGGTCAAGAAATAACTTTTTAGATTCTTTACCATGGTCTTCTACTAAGAGTTTTAAAAGGCAAAAATCATAGCCAGTTGGTTTCCTAATAAATATGTTGAAAATATAGGATGTTCATAAATTTATTAATAATTTTTATTATGAGAGGCATAGAAAATAAAACCGGAAGTATAAATCTTATAGAAAAAATGTAATTCATCTGCTAATTGAGTGTTTTAATGAGAAAGTATATGATTTAGAAAGATCCACAGAAGAGAAAATTAAAATAGCCAAAGAGATGCAGTAGCTTCCATTGCTAAACAGTTTTATCCATACAATGTCTGAAAAGGCTATATCTTTGTTTATATGATCATTATTGTATAACTAAAGTGAACACAAATGTGCACAAATATCCAGGAAATTTACACGAGGGAAAAATTCTTGAAGCTGTAGAAAACAAATTTGAGTGAAAATCAGGCCCTATTATTTTACCAAGTAATAAAAATATAAAATTCATTAAGAATGCAGAGCAGATGATCAAGGAAGTAGAAACACATTAAGATAAATTTGTAAAATATATGAGAAAATTTAGTCCATAACTAGTATTTAACAAAGAAGAAAGTTCAGAATCTTTCCTGTAAGTCTAGAGGTTCATGTCATAAAGAACTAGCACTCAATAATCTCAATAAATCTGATGCCCCTGTCACAGATAGAAAATATCTGTACCTTTGGTCTGAATAACTGTAATTTTTTTATGTTCTTAAGTCTAAATATCTCAGCTGCATCTGGTTCAGCTGCACTTATCTAGACCCTGCTTCAGTTTCTTAAATAATAAAAGTATTTTACTAGAGAAATAAAAATAGCAAATGCTGATCACTAGTTATGAGTTGTGAAAAAAAATGTTGCTTATAACTATATATATATACACACACACATACACATACACGCATATTGATGAGTTGAAGTTTATGACTACTCAAAAAACTAAATTAATCTTCTACTCATATGGCACAGTAGAGCAAATCAATGTAAGCAATGATATACCTTGTAATCAAGCAATGCAAATAAATAAGCTAATCAACATAAAATCAATATGCAAGTAAAAGTGAAATATAAAGCAATAATCAGAAGTCTAAATATGACTGGTGATGTAAATCATTTAACCTTTCTTTTCCCCTCCTTTCTTAAACATGGCTTATGATTAGAATTATCTAGGGAGATTTTTAAAAGTACACATTTCTAGGCTATATCCCCAAAGGCTCTAATTTAGAGATTCAAAGTAGGATCTGAGAACATCAATAAACCATTCATATAAACATTTGGAATATTATGATATAATGCTGTGTTAATGTTTCTCTTAGTCGAAGTCACCCCTGATCATTAAAAAAAATAAGCTTAACATAAAAAGAATCATGAATAACCTGGAATGCTTGTCAAATACTTTTCAAAAATCATAATAATGATTTTGCTTACACAATGCAGTGATACAAGTTGAAGAAGCTGGAAATACCAGAGACTTACACCTTTGGGACAGAATATATAATGCAGTTGGAAGGAATCTTTCTGGACTCTAAAAAAGTCATTGGACTACAAGCGTCAGTCCTTCCATTAGAGCAGCCATTCATAGCAGTTAAAGAAAATGCAATACAAGTATCAAATTTAAAACACACACACAGAAAAGAAGTTAGTATGTGAATTTCCACATTGCTCATCTGATAAGATTTTAACAAGGTTTCTGAGAACTGCAAAACTTTACTTGTTCTTCAGCTTCTGTCTAAGGAAAGTTTAGAGATCTCCATTTGGGACTTATCCTCACAGAAGCTGCTCTGCCTGATATTAAGTGCCTACAAAATCTCAATATCCAGTGTCAGACAGTCTGCATTTTCCAATTCCAAATTTAAATCTATAATTTTTAACTACAACATGCCCATAATAAGAGTACCTGCTGGTATAAGCTGGCACTTCTTCTCTTACAACTGACAATGCAAAAATGCACAATCTGCCCACGGGACTAGGACTGTCTTTGGGCTCATTTGGACATGGACGCTCAAATGACATCATCCAGATCAGATTAATTATCTCTTTTTTCTTGTTTAATTCATCAAGAGCACATTTAAATAAAAACCTAGTTTAAGAAAGAAAACATGACAAATATAATTGATCTGTACACATCCTGGGTTCTATCTGCCTGGAATTGATTTTTGTATATACAATTGATTTTAAATTTTTCTCATATAGATAAAACTTGCTTACCATGTAAAGAATCATGTGTGGCCAGGGAAATAGGATTAATTAATCAATTGAGATTTAAGTCATGTAATCTCTTCCTAGACTTAAGGATAGATCTTTACCAGAACACATGAACTGAGAATGGATGATGAATCTGGATCTTACAACTTCACTTTGGAAGTAGCATGACTAAACTATTAAAAGAGAGTGGTAGAAGATTTATTTGCTTTTGAGTTTTTCTTCTACATTACCTAAATAAACTTGGTTCATGGAAACAAGGATTCATAAGGTATAGGAATCTTCCTTAGGGATAAAGGGGACAAATTGTTGGAAGTTTCCTCATGCTCTGTATTATAAGTCTAAGTTTAGAAATGGCCAAATGGGAAGCACGAAATAGGAGATAATCCCCAGTATAAAATTTTAGTTATCAAAAAAAAAAAAAATCACATTTCTAAGCAGTTGACTACTTACTCCCCACTTATCCCCAAGTAAAACCTTAAAATTGAGAGCCTTATCCCCTCACAGTGATGCAGGGCAGGCAAGTTTCAAAGTGGAGCTTAGCCCATGAGGGTTCTTGGCTTTGCCCAGGAAAGAATTCAAGGGTAAACCAGAGGCAAAAGAAAACAGCTTTATTGAAGTGGCAGTGTTACAGCTCCAAGGTATTACAGCTTCCTGACTGCTCCTCCAGAGCAGGACTACTCCATAAGCAGAGAGCAGCAGCTCAGGACAGTTTTGCAGTCATAATTATACCCACTTTTAATTTCATGCAGATTAAAAGCTGGTTTATGCAGAATTTTCTAGGGAAGGGATAGAAAATTTTGAGTCATTGAGTCATTGTCAATGATAGGAGCAGTAACATCTGGGTATTGTTGTGGCAACAGTAAATTGACATGGCACAATGGTGGGCATGTCTGATTGAAAGCTCCTATCGCCCTGACTCTGTTTTAGCTAGTCCTCATTCTAGTCCTATGTCTGAGCCCTGCCTCTGGAGTTGAGTTCCGCCTTCTAGCTCAACAGAGCTCTAGTCAGCCTCTTTGAAAGAAATAAAGCCTATTATTTTAACAAACTCTCGTATATAACAGAAGAAACTCAACCTAGCTGCTGCTCAGAATAATTAATCCAATTCTATAATTATAAAATACTAATAGACAGCTTCTGGTCTCCATACATACAAAAGAAACAAACAGCAACAGGAAAGTGAGTGATCAAGACTATACAGTAAAACAATAATGACAGAAACCAACCAAACAAACAAACAAAAAAACACTGCACCCTAAAGAAGCAAATGCAATACATGAAATACAACAAAGCAAAACAAATAAACCAACACTCATTGGTATCCTCAGGACCATATGGGAAAATGCTACCAAAAAATGAAACTGTCAGAGAATAAGAAAAAAGCTAGTGTAAATTAAAAGAAAGAGAAGAGGCAAAGGCTCAACCACCAAAGATGTCCAACATCCAATTAACAAATGTTTCAGAGAGAGAATAAACAGAGGATAGAAGACTTTAAAAGTAGAAAAGTATTTCTCAACAGTAAAGACTATGTCTTCAAATTGAAAGGGCCCAAAGAATGTAAAAAGGATGAATTCTAGGTTCAATCTTGTACAATATCAGGAAATAAATGATTTAAACACTTCTATTGTAAAAAATATAACACAGATACAAAGAAGTTAGGATGAAGATGGCTTCGAACTTGAAATCAGCAACATTGCATGCTGTAAAGTTTCTAAGAATAATTTTTAAACTATTCTTATTCAAACTATTCTTATATAAGCTATCTATTAAGCATAAGATCATAATAAAGGAATTTTAATATATAAGAATATATAGTTTACTCCTCATATCTTTTTTTGAGGAAGGAGAAAAACATGGGATATAAGAAACTGCAATATCAAAGAATTTCCAAAAGACACCTACCCAGCTTTCCTAGAAAGATGCTGGTTCTAATTAGAACAGAAAGTCAGTGAGCTATGATGATAAATATCCTCATGAGAAGGTACAATGCATTCCACTCAAGAGATACTCATTGCAGAATATGTAATTTCTTAATGAAAACAAAAAATAAAATGAAAAATTAATTTTACCTAATATTAGTCAAACTAAAAAATAAAGAATAGTTTTGATCAATTGATGAAATCTGAGAAAAGAAAGTCTGTATGAACCTGATGTTGGAAATAGACTCCTTAAGCTTCACAAAGTTTATGATATTAGACAAACAGAAAAGGACATCTAATCATGACATACCAATTAGTGTTGTAGGGAGCAGTGTTTTCATAATTAGAAAGTAAATAATAATGCTTTTCAAGTTTTAGAATCAATTTATAAGCAAAAAGAGAAGAAAATAATCTGAAAGGCATTAATTAGGTAATATAAAGATATCACTCATACTATTGATCATTGATTAAATGTGGTAGAAATCATAGGGGTCCTAATATCCTCATTTACACAACAGGAAGTCTAGAGAAAAGGCCTGGGTTTAATGGGACAAGAAGTACAAGTTTAAGCCTATAATTTTAATAATTAGTAACCAATGGAATATTAAGAATAGTAATTTTAAAATTTGTATTTGAAAGGAGATGGAGATTTGGGTAAGGTTTAGTCTGGATACACTAAATCTTCATCTTTTAGAAAAGAGAACAAATAGATGATCAAATATTGATTATTCATGACTAGTACCGTCTTAGCATATGGTCCTGAGGATGCCCAACTCTCACCTCATTTCCATGAATAATGATTGGAAAGAAGGTGAGAGAGTTGGGTGGGGGTTAATATTGATAAACAAAATCTTCATCTTTGTAAAAAGAGAATAAATCGATGAGCAAATATTGATTATTAATGACTGTTTTCAGAAGAACTGAAAATACTAAAAAATGTTTGAGCTATAGAAGGCGGTTTCATAAACTGTTGCTTTGTTTCATACTTTTAAAAAAGATTTGCATTTTTATTTTTTTTTTAAGTATGAAACAAAGCAACAGTTTATGAAACCACCTTACTTGGAACCAACCCAAATGTCCATCAGTGATAGATTGGATTAAGAAAATGTGGCTCATATACACCATGGAATACTATGGAGCCATAAAAAAGGATGAGTTCATGTCCTTTTGTATGGACATGGATGAAGCTGGAAACCATGATTCTCAGCAAACTATCGCAAGGACAAAAAACCAAACACCGCATGTTCTCACTCATAGGTGGGAATTGAACAATGAGAACACTTGGACACAGGAAGGGGAACATCATATACACCAGAGCCTGTTGTGGGGTGGGGGGAGGAGGGAGGGATAGCATTAGGGGATATACCTAATGTAAATGATGAGTTAATGGGTTCAGCACACCAACATGGCACATGTATACATATGTAACAAACCTGCATGTTGTGCACATGTACCCTAGAACTTAAAGTATTATAAAAATAAAAATAAATGTAAAAAGCTGACAGTACAAAAAAAATTTGCATTTTTACAATGTCCTTGTACTCATTTGTATTTTTATAATTTAAATTTTTTAAAAAATGAAACCCATAGTACGAAGCAGTTGATAGAGAACATCGATAAATAGGTTACTTAGCCTAAGTCCATGCATAACTACTAACATGTAATGCAGATTTGCCTCATTGATTCAAAAAGAATAAAACTATTGAGGTTGTGAAGTGGATTAATGGGCATTCCTTGGTTGATAGAGTGTTTCAGTGACAAAAATAAATACCTCAGAAGTGGGTAATGAGAGAACTATGCTGGTTAAAAGAAACTCGAACAGTTATCCCATTATTTTTATAACTCACTGAACAGTGGCTTTTATGAAGTATTAACAAAGTATTTTGGCCCCTGGCTGCATAAAAATAAAGGCAATATAATATGTAAAAGAAGTTTTTTTATTAAGAAATTAACATCTTTACACAATCCAAATAGTATGTTCTTGAAATAAACATGAATAAGGCATTTTGTTCTCACAGCAAATATCTTTCTTTATTATCAAATTATATTTTAGGGTATTTTATAAGTATCATTTCCATTTCTTTTTAAGATTTTAAGTATTTTAGTGTTGCCTTAATAAAGGATAATTCTATCTTATTTTATAATTCTTTGAGATTCTAAAAAGAAAATTATAACAACATAAGATTTTAATGAAAATCACTCTTACAGGACCACTAGTAAAACTATTTGATATATTTATGCAACTATAGGTATATTTATATAAAATGATATCTCTACATAGAATTCCCTTTCTGTTTCTTCTATTTTTTAAATTGTTGTGATTAGATAGTAGTTATATATATTTATGGGGTACATGAGATGTTTTGATACAGGCAAGCAATGTGAAATAAGCACACTATGGAAAATGGGTTATCCATCTTCTCAGGCATTTATCCTTTGAGTTACAAACAACTCAATTACACTCTAAGTTATTTTAAAATGTAGAATTAAGTTATTATTGACTATAGTTACCCTATTGTGCTATCAAATAGTAGGTTTTATTCATTCTACTTTTTTTTTGTACCCATTAACCATCCCCATCTCCCCCTGCAATTCTCCCACAATAATTCTTCCCAGTTCTGGTAACCATCCTCTACTCTCTATGTCCATGAGTTCAATTGTTTTGTTTTTTAGGTCCCTGTTCTTTAATATTCTTTATTGCATTATCCTTTTAACAAGACCCTAATTATTCCATTTTCTCCTTCCAAAATCACTGTTGTCAATTTTAAATAAACTCTTATTATCTGAACAACGTTTATGACTTCCTGAGTTATTCATCAAATTATTTGAACTTTTATTGCCTGAAGAATGAGGTAGATATTGTGAGTTTCTTGTCTATACATCTAATGAGACTATTTGCTTATTATTAAAACAAATCTAAAAGTCTGAGAAACACTTTGAATTTCTTTCAGATTTGGGTTATAGATGGACTTTTACATTTATTATTTATTTTCTTATTTTCAAGACAGAGTTTTACTCTGTCATCAAGGCTAGAGTGTAGTGACATGATCATGGTGCAGCCTCCACCTCCCTGGGTTCAGGTGATCCTCCCAGGCCAGCCTCCCGAGGAGCTGGGACTACAGGCATGCACAATCACACCCAGATAAAATTTTTTTTTTTTATTTTTTGTAGAGACGGGGTTTTACCATGTTGCCCAGGTTTGTCTTGAACTCCTGGGTTCAAGTGATCCACCAATCTCAGCCTCCCAAGAGCTGGGATTACAGGCACCATGCTTGGCCGACTTTTTTTTTTCTTTTTATTTAATACTAGTGTGATATTCTTGTGTTACTCTGGATATTTAGGCAAGTTTCAATATTCTCCACTACATTTTTCTAATTCATACAAACATTTATATTGAGTAATACGTATAATGATTTGAAGAATCAACAAGATATTTGAAGAAATGCAAAGTTATTAATTTAATGGTTAGTATTTTAAAATTTTAAATTAATAAATGAAACTAATTTGATTAAGGCCAATGCAATGGAAAATGGGCAAATGATACACATTTTTATTAATAATTTAGTTCTGTATTTACATTGAAACTGTTGTATATAACAGTGGAATTACCATCCTACTAAGAGAAAACCATTAAAGCCATGTATTATTCATGATAAAAAAAGTTGAAAAGTAAAAGCCATGTTCCCAAAGGTTTTTTTTTTCACTTTTCTATTTTATTTTTTATTTTTTGAGACAGAGTCTCACTCTGTTGCCCAGGCTGGTGTGCAGTGGCGCGATCTCGTCTTACTCACTGCAACCTCCTCCTCCAGGTTTCAAGCATCTCCTTCCTCAGCCTCCTGAGTAGCTGGGATTACAGGTGCCCACCACCATGCCCAGCTAATTTTTGTATTTTTGGTAGAGATGGGGTTTCGCCATGTTGGCCAGGCTGGTCTGGAACTCCTGACCTCAGGTGCTCTGCCCACCTCAGCCTCCCAAAGTGCTGGGATTACAGGCATGAACCACCGCCCCTGGCCTATCCAAAGGTTCTTAATATATCTTATGTGTTGCAGCTAGTTTTATGAATTCTGCTTGAAGAATGTATGATAACAGCATTAAAGCCTTACATAGGCAAATACAATTTCTACCACCTGTAATTTTCCCAAGAATAGGATTAAATATGATAATTTATATACACTGTATTTAAATTTGGAAACTTGAAAAAAATGCATCTGTAAAATAAACGGCTTATTTATTCACCAAATTTCTTTTTCCTCCTTTGCAAACAACTATATTGCACTTCTTTACAGTCAGCTCCAGCCAGGGGACTAAGCTCTGGCTGGAGGAATACAGGCTAGAATAAGGTAGACCACTAGGCAGGTTTGTTTCTACAAAACCTCTGGTGTGACCTTCAGCAATCTTTCTTGGTCTTCTAGCCAGATACAGAGGACAAAATGAGAAGTGCTTGGGTCCCCAGAGGACCACATAGACTGAAGCCCCTCTGCATTGCCTTGTATTGGATTGTAACATGGGAAATAGTATACACTTATTATGTAAAGCCACTGACATTTTGGGTTTTCATGACAAGTAGCCTGCCTTTCTTCCACAACATTGTACCAAGTTACCAAGGAACATAGGGAAATAAACACCCCCAGATTAAGAATCAAAAGACCTAGATTGCAGCCCCATATCTGCCATCTTTCACATAGACAGCCATAGTTAGCATCAACAGTGTTACTTTTGATGAGCCCCATGTTGGCAATAGCATTGGTTAATAATATCACTAATACAAATGGGTACTCTCTGTTGAACACCCATTAAGTTGCTTACAAGGCTAAACAGATGTTCCACAGGTAGAAACAAATGAATTGGCTCAGAGATTTTCAAATGACGTAGGTACCAAGTAGCAAGGGCAATGTGAGAATCCAAGTCTCTAGAGCTCCTGCTGCCTGCTTCTCCATGACTCCCAGGAGGATTCTGCACAGTCACTCCACTGCTCCATGCCTCAGCCTCCTCAATAGAAATGGTACAGGCTTGGACTAGAAAAACTCTAAAGGCTCTTTGACTCCAATATTTCTCTATGAGAAAAAATAAATAGTTGTTAGGAAAACATAGAAGTGTTGGCTGGCATGCTCATATCTGTGCTAACTTATAACAGCTGTGTTGTGTCTCCTTCAGAACTGTCAAGAGAAATATGATGGCCCTACTCACTAAGCCTCCCTCCATCTCTCTTTTCTCTTCCTCTCATTCACTCTCTCCCATCCTCCGTGACCTACAGCAATCTGTGATGAGACTTGTGCCAGTTACAGGGAAGATAGGAGCCTGAGGAAGACAAACTTGTGTATGACATGAACTTTACACCTCCCAAATTTTATATATTACCTGGAAGATACTCAAATAACTGTAATAGTTAATTAAACAATTATTTTAGAAGCAGGGATGGTAATCTCAATACACAGCACTTCAGTCAGGAAGCCATCTAGGGATCTCTTAAGAGTAGGATTTGTATATTTTGAACAGGTGGGCTAGAGGCTGGGGAATAATCTAGACAGAGGAGACACAGTAATCTAGGCAGTCATCAGAGTAAGAAGCATGAGAAAATCAGTTAATTCTGGGCACAGTAGAAGATGATTCATTCTACATACACAGTCTTCTTTTCTACTCCCTGGCCTTAAAACTGTGTTTGTGTCCTTGCCTATTCTCCTTCCATACCTACCACTTTACTACATAGACTCTAATAATTTTCATATTTGTTTCATTTTCTTTAAAAAACATGTATATGGCACTTAACTATGCAACATTTGTCTAAGCATTAACAAATATTAGGTCATTTAATCCTCATGCAACTTCATAAGGTAGGTGTACTATTTTTAGCCATGTATTAGAGCTGACGCACTGAAGTCATGAGTGGTTGAATAGCTTGCCAAAGGTCACACAGCTGATAAGCGTTTGAGCTAGGAAATATCCAGGTAGCTCAGACACATCTCTTGAATCTTGAACAACTATATTCAGATATTTACGGCATGGCATAAATTTGGAAAGTCATCTAAATAAGTGTAACTGTTGAAGACTTGGATTGGGTCATTGATTGTCAATATGTACAGAATGCTGGAGAAATAACCAGGAGTAGAAACCTGGAAATGTTCACTTTTAAAAACAAAGAAAGCAAGCAGAGTAAAGGATAGAATCGAAAATAAAAGCAAGACAAATGACGGTCTCTAGTGCCATACAATTTCTGGGAACAGAGAGGCAAAACGGAAACATGGCCCACAGGTAGAAAACCTCAGTGGCACAAGTGCTAATAAAAAACAACAACACTTGGTCTTTTGGTGACTTGTTTGAGAGCAATACAGAGAATAATGAGTAGGTAATAGTGAAGTGAATACACTGAATGTAAATTTTATAAAGGAAAAAGTGGTGCTACAGACAATGCATTAAAAGATGTGATTCTGCTGGGAGATTTGGGAATGCTTTTGCTTTTTTGTTTATTTTAAACTCTCTTAGCCTTTATTCTCTTTGGCTAACTACAAAAAAACGTTCAGCAAAATAACTTCTATTCAGATTTATGATCTTTGTGGAATATTGGCTGTGTAAGAAGAAAGGTGGTAATTTGGAGGGTGGTGTATGGTTTAAAGCAAATGTTTATCAGTTGAGTGTTCTGAGGAGTAATTCAGCTTCACAGACTTCAACAGCAATCACGGACCCTACTGACTCCAAGGGAGACACAGAGAACTCCTGAAAGAAAGCTAAGTAAAAACCAAATATAGTGAATTTTCTTCTTTATTTTCTAATTTCACCTTTTAAGTGGGCATCCTCCTGACTCCTTGAAAGGCGTTGAAGGCTAAAATTACCACAAAATGCTTTTTTTCCCTATGTCAACCCTTAATTTTGGCCTTTTTTTTCCCCTTCATGATCCCAGGTTCAGACATAGCCATCAAGTGCTTGGGGTGATCAAATGTGAACTTCTGCTATTTGCCATCATTTGATGTAATTTCAGTGTCAACTTGTTCACTTTTAAAATGTGAGCAACACTCATTCAAACTGAATCAAACAAAAAAAAATTTTTGGTTGTCAGGGCATTGCAAGAGATCACAGAATAAGGGCTAAATACTTACTGGTATGTATTCCAAAGACCACCAGAGATAAAAATACTACTAGCACTGAGATGCTAGAAGCTATAAAAATAGATGCAATGATCTCTACAACTCCCCACCCTAATGCTGAGGCATTTTAAGATATATGAAGGCCAGCACTAAAAGCTAATGGCTGTGACAGAATCCTAAATATAAAGGTATCTTGCAAAGTTACTAAATTCAACCTCCAGCTCCCATGCATGTTCTTAGGGTGATATAGAGGACATTCATCTAATTAGAGTCTTCTGAACAACCTTTCTGTGTTACATAAATTACTACCCAATGAGTTTCATTTCCTCACTTAGAAGCCATTTTGCCAGTGTCTCTTGGTACTAGGGCAGAGGTCTATATGTTCAGTAGTTGGGCTAGTCAGATACAGCATGTCCTCAAATACCGTGATTTCATTCAACATCATTCCATTATAAGGTAGATGAGAAAAAAATATAGATTCCTGTCTGGGGTCACTGTCTACATTGGTTTTCTCCAAGTACTCTGGTTTCCTCTTACCTCCCACAGCTGTGCACTCTAGGTGATTCGCTGTATGAATGGCCCAGGTCTGAGTGAGTGTGGGTGGGTGTTGAGTGTACACTGTGATGAGATGGCATCGTGTTCAGAGTGGGTTCCCACCTTGTGCCCTGAGCTGCTGGAATAGGCTCTGGGCACCTGAGACCCTGAAATGGAATAAGTGGTTTGGAAAATGAATATACATTATTGTTACATAAAAATTCCTAAAGCTCATGATAATCATACAAATGCACAACAGCAAATGATGCTGTTCAAAAGCACTCAGCAAGCCCGCTGATATGGTTTGGCTACGTCCCCACCCAAATCTCATCTTGAATTGTAGCTCCCATAATTCCCACGTGTTGTGGGAGGGACCCACTGGGAGATAAATGAATCATGGGGCCTATTCCCCCATGCTATTCTCATGGTAGTGAATCAGTCTCACAAGATCTGATGGTTTTATAAGGGGAAATCCTTTTCACTTGGCTCTCATTCTCTCTTGACTGCTGTCGTGTAAGATGTGCTTTTCACCTTCCACCATGATTGTGAGGCCTCCCCAGCCACATGAAACTGTGAGTTGATTAAACCTCTTCTTCTTTATAAATTACCCAGTATCAAGTGTGTCCCTATCAGCAGTGTGAAAACAAACTAACACACCTGCCATACTGGTTATTGTTTATTTTCCAATATTGGTGGTGGTAGAAGTTTCTCCTGAAAATTTCTGCTTTACAAACATTTATTTCTTAATTTAATTCACCACTGCTATGACTGCCATCACTCACTGATTCACCAAATATTTGGTAATTATACTACTTTTATTAATCTTTTTAAAATGTATGTATAACTCATATTTTAATGTTAGAATTGTTTGGAGTATTTAGAAGTTTGGTGATATTTTTGTGACCAGAAACATGTAGGAACTTAAGTCTTGTTTATATCAATTAGCATACATTGTCATACATCCTTTCACTTAAAGTCATAGTTTCCAAGAATCTATTGACAATGTTAAGACTCACTATACGCATACCTGAGACTTCTTTTAGAAAGAGAGTGATGTGAAGTGGGCAGTACAATGTGAGGGCGGCAGAGGACAGCAGGATGATCAAGTCTCAGATGGAGTGACAGCAGAGGTCTAAGCCAAGAGTCTCATGCTCAGAGACACTGGTATGAGCCACCTAAGCCTAAGGACAATGGCTATAGAATCTCCTTTGGAGCAGCCACATGTATAATGTAGATGTAATTCTTGGCCACCCAGGTAAAACTTAACCCCTTGTCCTCTTGAGAAACATGGATGCCCCTTAACATTCTTTATAAAGCCTCTTATACCTTAAATGAAATAGGTTTTATTTTTTTTGCAACTAAGAATATTTACCTTTAAATAGCAAATTCAAGCAATTGATTTTTAACAGATATATTAATACAATGAAAATAAAGACTATCTGCTGGTCTTGTCTACTGTATTGATTTTGTCTATGACCATTTATTTTTCTCTCAAACAACTTCTGGAAATGCATATGAATTCTTAGCTCTGCTGGTTTCATGAATCTGTGTATTCATTCAACTGTGATGTTGTGACGATGTGTAAAGTTTACTGAGTATACAGAATCCAATGTATAATGACGATAAAAACTGTGTCCTTGACTTCAAGAAATTTCCATGGCTAATCGTATAAGTAAATTAGGAAATGAGTATGTATTATACAATGATATTAGGTAATTTATGCCATAATGAAATCAACAAGAGGTTGTTGGGGGAACATTTAACCTAGCAGCCTGTGCTAGAGTGATCTATTTAACCCAGGCTTAGGAGGTAATAAAGTCAAGAAAGACCAGGTAAAGAAAACACCATTTATTTTTTAAAGGATGTGTAGGGCTAGGTAAATGTAAAAATGGAATGTTGGCAGAAGTAAGGAACAACATATGCAAAGTCTGAATTCCTAGAAAAATGGGATTATATGTCCAAATAATTGCAGAAAATGCAGTAGAACCTGAGCTATACTTGAAATGAGAATGTGAAAAGAAAAGCTGACAGGTTAGCATGGAACATACTACAATGTCCCATATTGTGGAACTGTCAACATGAGAAATCATTGAGGGATCGAGGTCTATAGGCTGGAACATAGACCTCAGGTGAACTAGGATAAAGAGAATGCTGATGCCATGACAACTTTTAAAGTGACATTTATTTTTTCTTGTCTGTTGGATTAAAATAGGCTTATTGTTTTTTCCATAACATGCAAAACAATTAGGGGTATATAAGTACCTCACTGGAGAGTCCTCGTGTAAGTGTGCTGTTTAAGTTTAATCAGCCAGAAGCTAGATATGCACTTAAGAAACTGAGCAGAAAAAACTAGTGGAGTTCTTCTCACTTCAGATAATATTTATCAGGTTTCTCTCCTGAAGTCATCCCTTAGTAGCTTAGCCACCCAATGTGCAACAAGGTTCAGGTCTTAGAAATGAGCAGCTTTATTTTTGTCTTATGTCACTATCAACAGTTCACAAAATTGTTGTTTTTGACCAAGAATGCAGATCAAACTGCCTAACATATGCCTGCCTCTTTTCTCCAAGTCACCCTCCTTTCTCTAAAAAAAGGTGGTTTCTTCTTAGGCCTCCAGTATTAAACTAGGCCTTATGATATTTTTCACTTACTTTATCTTACTCTACAATATTGAGTCTTCCTGTCGAAGGAAGCTCCATTCTATCCCTTCACATTCTGTTAAAGGATTCCCCCCGAGAACCATGTTCCAAAGGCTGATTACATTCTCTATTCTTGGGAATTTATCTCTTTTTCATTTTTCCCATTTTCAAGACTCCTGCAAAAAAATATGGAATAATCCTGAGACAAAGCTTTAGGAAACTTGGAACTCTCCAATATTCACTCAAAGTACATTTATTGAACACTGACAGCTACTTTGAGCCAGGGAACAGTACGCCATACTCTAATAGACTCAGAATTTGGTTTTAATGCAGCCGAAAGAGAAGCATAAAAATTCTATTCATAGCCTAGATAGCTGATGCTTGTATTATTTGTCATTAGCAAATTAGTTGTAAAAAATTTCTTTATTGCATAATTTAAAACTGATCATAATGACATGTCCTATATCACACTTGATGATTAGACTTTTATTAAGGTGATTCTCTTGTTTGCACTGAGTAATAACCTTGAGATCAGTAACAAGTATGCTAAACAATCAATGGTTAAGATAGGCAAGATTCATTACACTGTGAGCTTTGGCCCTTCCTGTAGACCATTAATGCTCAATGCATGGCCCCTAGACCAGCAGCATCAACATCACCTGGGAATTCATTAGATATAAAAATTATCTGACTTTACCCAAGATACAGTGAATCAGAGACTCTGGAGGTGAGGGACTAGAAATCTATATTTTAACAAGTCTTCCACATGATTCTTGATGCACATTCAAATTTGAGGATCAAGCTGAAGAAACATCACACCTGATGGCTTTCACATTTTTTAGCCTTAGAGAATGAGTTAAGAACCTCACAAAAGAATACAAATAGCCATGCAAATAGATACAACTTCATTAAAAATTAAATAAGTTCACAATAAGCAAAACCTGTTGTTCTACTTTTTCTTTACTAAACTACTCAAGACTTTTCAAAATCATAATGCCAGTGTTGGTGAGGGTCAGGGAGGCAGACAATAGGTAGGGCTGTAAACTTGTTCACCTTATTAGATAATCAAAAGCTTTAAAGGTATCTAACTTCTCACATAGAATTCTACCTCTAGGAAGATATTGTGAATAAATAAGATTAAAAGCTTCAGCTCTGAAGTTAAGCAGACCTTGGCACAAATACTTCTTTCACTTACTGGCCTGATGGCCTTGGAGGAAAGTCTTTAAACTCTCTATGCCTGAGTCTCCTCTGTCTGTAAACTGTTATTAATTACATCAACTACTTCATAAACATATTGTACAAAATAAATGTAATCCATTTTAGAGTTGCCAGATAAAATACAGGACATCCAGTTAGATTTGCATTTCAGATAACAAGTAATATTTTAGTATAAATATGCCTCAAATTTTATATCAGACAAACTTAGGATGAAAAAGGATTCATTGTTATCTGAAATTCAAATGTACCTGTGTGTTCTGTATTTTTATTCATTAAATATGGCAACTTGATCTATAATAAACTCAGTATAATACCCATCAATTCTAGGTTTTCAAAAAATTAGCCACTAACTTATTGTATTATTATTTAAATTATTTTTAAAAGAACATTAGTGACAGAGAAGTTCTCTAGTTTAAATTGAGATTAGTAGTTCTGTGAAACTCAAAAAAGTTTATACTTATGAAAACTTCATAACATGCAGATGAATATGCTGAAATACAATCTTAGGATGTCTCATATCTAGAAATACTCCTGAGTAATCAAAGACATTCAATATCTTGAGTTTGAATAAACCCAAATTGACTGGAGAACCTGATTTGTTAAAACATTTGAGCATCTCAGTTCTGCTGCACTATAAGAAAATATTTGCTTATACATGTGTCAAAAAACTCCTCTGATAATAGAAGAAAATAGAGAGTGAAAGTAGGGTTGCTGACTTTGGAAGAAACAGAAAGAAACCCATGTGCTATCAATTTGTTACTAATAAAATGTAAACATCCTGGAAGTTTAAATTGCATTTGATTCAGCAACCAAAAATAAATTCATCTTTTTAAAACTGTAAAGTTTTCTCTTTATATACCAATAAAAGTTAGTGACTTGTAATTATGCCCCAAAATGTATGTGACACAATTTAAAACAAAATATCAAGCAGAACAGCGATAGTTACAATTTTCCTTTTTTCTCTCTTACTTAAAAACTGTAGCTGGATGCAAATGTTCAGAGGATAAATTGTGGCAGGGTCTGTCTTCACTATCAAAGTGGCTGCAACATGAATAGTAATGAATGATTGAGCATTTTCTTTGTCTTATTGATAGATGGAGTTACGTTTCTGATTAATACTGCCTGCTGCTGTGATCGGTATTGACCTGAGCTGTGGTTGAATACACTGGTTACATAAATATCTGGGGGTGTCCAGAAAACAGATCATTTGCTTGTGGGGTTGTCTGAAAAAAAATTAATGGAAGAAGTACTATTGGAATTTGGTCTCGAAAGTGACTAAAATTTGGCAGTTAAAGAGAGGAAAAGAAGTATCCCAGGCAGATGGGAGATACTAAGAGTAAGTCTCCTGGGGCTCAATGAGTAAAGTGAAACAAAATGTTTTTGAAAGAACAAAAGAGAAAAAAAGCTAAGAAAGTAACTTTGGGCCTGCTTATGGGGTGCCAAGGAGTATGAACCATAGTATAACATAAGAGGAAGATATTGGGGTTTTGTAAACAGAGGAGTGATTGATACAAATTAGATTTTCAGAAGGCTGATCATAAGGGAACATAGAAAATGTGCTTGTGGAAGGAAGGGATTGATGAAAATAGATTAGTTAGAACCTGTCCAGAGAGTCTTGGCATTAAGAGGTAAGAGATCAGCCTTGTGGAAACAGAGAAGACAGAAATAAAGCAGCCAAAATGAAAACTAAGTTATGGTAAACAACAATGGCTAAAACATGGTTTATAATGAGAGTAGAGTAAAATGAATGGAGAGGAATCTGGCTTCTGGTGAAGACCGGGCAGGGGCCAATCAGATTAAGGATGTCATCTTAATGTGGTGTTTAGTGGTTGTCCAGAAAACATATCCTTTCCTGGTGGGGTAATTAACATTTAATCCCCCAAATAACTTTTGTCATAAAATTAGATGAATAAAGATGGAACACTTAAAATATAGGACCAGCAATTGTAAAAACAAAAAGGAGTCATGTTAGAGAGACAAATAAAACTAGCTTAGAATTATATTACAGAAACCAAAGTTGAAAAAACAATCAAGAAGGCCAGAGTAAACACTCTGATACAAGTATCAATATCTTTCTTCTGGTAACCACCTCTACCCACACCGTCTTTTGGTTTTCAGTTATATGAAATATCTTTTTTCATCCCTTCATTTTTAGGAGATGTGTGTGTTCTTAGAAGTGAAGTGAGTCTCTTGTAGGCAGCATATAGTTGTTTTTTGTTAATTTATCCATTAAGCTAGTCAATGTCTTCTGGAGAATTTAATCATTTATAATCAAAGTAATTACTGGTAAGTAAGAACTTCCTGGTGCCATTTTGTTAATTTCGTTGTTGTTAATTTGTACCTTCTTTGTTCCTCTCTTTATCTCTTGCTGTCTTCCTGTGTGGCTTGATGATTTTCTTTTTCTTTTTCTTTTTTTTTTTTGGAAAGTAGTAAGAATTTTTATTACTGGTCAAAAATATTTACTTATTTGCTTTTTGTACATGAAACACACTACCATTCTTTCCAAGGAGCATTCAATATTTCCATCCAGCCTGGCATGGTGGCTCACTCCTGTATTCCCAGCACTTTGGGAGGCCAAAGTGGGCAGATTGCTTGAGGTGAAGCATTCGAGACCAGCTTGGCCATTCATGGTGAAACACTGTCTCTACTAAAAATACAAAAAAAATTTGCCAGGTATGGTGGTGAACGCCTGTAATCCTGGCTCCTTGGGAGACTGAGGCATGAGAATTGCTTGAACTCAGCAGGGGGAGGTTGCAGTGAGCCGAGATCGTGCCATTGCACTCCAGCCTGGGTGACAGAGCAAGATCTTGTCCTAAAAAACCAAAAACCAGAATAGCGACAACAAAAATTTCAATCTATTGTGACATCAACTCAAGATCCAGAATTTCTTGATATATTCTACTTTAGATCTGTGTATAGTGTCTTTTGATTCAGATACTTGTAGGCTAAAACAATGAGTATCCCACCATGACACCCACCACACACAAAGCCATAGAGAACATATAAAACTGGAACAGAATAAACCTCAATAACAGTTTGGATTGCGAAGCGGGAAGAACGGGAAGTGCCCAGCAGTCACAGGTCCATAGCAATTCTGAAATCCTACCGGCCAAACATCACGTGTTTTCCTTTTACTGAAAGTTGGACCTTAGTCTGCCTCCCTCGCATAGCTTCAGTTTGATGATTTTCTGTTATGATTTCAATCCTTTATTTTTTTCTTTTGTGTATCTAATAAGTATTTTTGTTCTGTGGTTACCATGAGGCTTACATAAAATATCTTACAATTATAATAGGCTGTTTTAACCCAGTAATTACTTAATTTGATCACTTCCAAAAACTCTACACTTTTACGCCCCCTAATTTGTTTTGAAAATATGATTCGTGTCTTTCATAGCTTGTTTCTCAACCCATTTTTGTAGCTACAATTAACCCTTGAACAGCATGGATTTGAACTGCTTGGGTCCACTTGTACATAGATTTTCTTCTACCTCTGCCATTCTGGGATAGCAAGATAAACTCCTCCTCTTCTTCCTCAGCCTGCTCAATGTAAGAAAAACGAGGATGAAGACATTTATGGGGATCTATTTCCACTTTATACTAATTATATTTTTCTTATGATTTTCCTAATATTTTTCTCTAGCTTACCTTATTATAATAATGCAGTATATAATATATAATATAAATATTTATATTATAAATATAAATTAATATAAATATAAATTATACATATATAAATATAAATTATATTATATATTAATATAAATATGTATATATTTAATATAACATATATGTGTTAATTGACTGTTTATGTTATCAATAAGGCTTCCAGTCAATAGAAGGCTATTAGTGGTTAAGTTTTAGGGAGTTCAAAGTTATATGTGGATTTTGTACTGTGGGGTGAGGGGTGGGGATTAGCATCTCTGACACTTGAACAAAGCAAGGGTAAAGTATATATATATGTTTTTAGTACTTTTGTCTTCCAACCTTTATACTAACTACATATGACAGTTGATTTTCACATCACCATTACACTATAAGAGTGTTCTAAGTTAAACTATATACTTACTTTTCCACAGTTTTATATTTTTGCATATTCTCGTGATGCTACATAGCGACCTTTTATTTCAATGTAAATGACTCCTTTTAGCATTTTTGGAAGACAGGTATAGTTGTAATCCATTTCCTTAGCTTTCATTTGTTTGAGAAAGTTATCTCCCCTTCATTTTTGAAGGATATAATTGCTCAGTATAGTATTTTGGGTTGGCAAGTTTAAAAAAAAATTCAGCTTTTTGAATATATTATTTCATTCCTTTATGGCCTTCATGGTTTCCGAAAAACAAAAACAAAAACAAAAACAAAAACCTTCTGATAGTCTTATGCAAGTCCCCTTGTTTGTAAAAGGTTGCCTTTGCCACTTTCCATATTCTCTAACTTTTGACAATTATATCTTGGTGTCTCTTTGGACACCATCCTATTAGGTGTGTCCATTGAGGTTTCTGGATCTGGATTTCTATTTCCTTCCAGATTTGGGGAGTTTTTTGCCATTATTTTTTGGAACTATTTTCTGTATCTTCTCTCTCTTTTCCCTGTCATTCACCATTAATGCATGTATTATTATTCTTGATAGTGTCCCAGAACTCTTTTATGTTGTCTTCCCTTTTTTTCACCTTTTTTTTTCTTTTTGCTTCTCATATTGGATAACTTCCAATGACCTGTCTTCAAGTTTGCTAATCTTCTCTTATGTGTTATCTAATCTGTTGTTGAACTCCTCTACTAAATTTGTGATTTCACGAATATTATTCCACTTGATGATTTCCATGTGGTACTTTTTAAATATTTTCTGTCCCTTGTTGACATTCTTAGTCTGTACATGTGGTGTTCTCCTTACTTCATTGGGCATCTTGATTACTGTCCTTTTGAATTCCTTGTCAGGTAAATTGCATATCTGCAATAATGAGGAAAAAAATATATGAAATATAATTTCATTAGGATCCATTTCTAGAGTTTTGTCTTGTTCTTTAGTTTGAAACACATTTCTTGTTTCTTCATGCTCTGTGTTGGTTTCTGTGCAATACACGAAAGAACCATGTTTCCCAGTCTCATTAGACTTGCTTTATGTAGGAGATGTTCCTCCTCCATCAGCCATCCAGAGATTCTGTATACCTCTAACCTCTTTGTGCTTGCCCAGACTCCTGCCTTTGTTCTTAGTGACCCTCAAGAAATTGGAGTTTCAAGTCATTTCATTAAGAAAGGTGAGATAGAAGCCAGTCTTTTGCGATGCAGCTGGAGAGGCTGTGATATTAGATGTATATTCCAATTCCTTTTTTTCCTTGCAGAGAAGCTGAGAACCAGAGTTTATCTCTTCCCTGTTCTGCCGTACACCAAGAAGATGGCCTGTGATGCCTGTATTCTTGATCATATTATTCACTTTGGACCCAGAGAGATAGCTACCGAATGCTTGCAATTTAAAAGTCAGAGAACAAAAAGTGACTTTTAAATTGCAAGCATTCAGTAGCAAAGGAAGATACTGAAATGAGATTCTGAAATGTCTTTGTGTTGAAAACCTGTTTTACATGCAGCCTACTATTTAGTAGCTGGATTGTCCTGAGCAAAATATTAACCTCTGAGTCTGTTTCCTAGTCTATAAAATTAAAATACCACTATGTAAACGTATTGTAGTATCCATTGGGAATTAGAAGGCCGTAAGAGGTGGGAGAAACCAAAATGAGGGCTGTTAGGAAAGAAATGGATAATAAAAAAAAAAAACCGACAACTCTTATAGATACTTAGAAAGATTTTCAAGAAAAGTAGTTACAGAGAATAGTGAAATATTGACGTACCAGCCTATCTTCCTCCTTCTCTCTACCTTTCTTCATTTCTTTTTGTTTGTTTCTTAATATGGGGAGAAGTATTGTTGTTTATAGATGAGAAGCTCCCAATGCTCTGCATTGATAAAGTCAAGCCAATGTGATAGTAAGTACAAATGCCACTAAAAATATGGCTCTCTGCTGAAAGAGATTATACTTTCTTTTTTATATACAGAGCACAGTGTAGATATTTTGGCGTGTGCCACCATGCCCAGCTAATTTTTTGTATTTTTAGTAGAGACACGGTTTCACCATGCTGGCCAGGCTGGTCTCAAACTCCTGACCTCATAATCTGCCCGACTCAGCCTCCCAAAGTGTTGGGATTACAGGCGTGAGCCACCATGCCTGGTCGACTGTTTTTATATTCAAAGGAAAATGTTCTAGTTTTATGCATCTGTAAATAAGGAATGGGTGAGGCTCTCTGATGATTTGGGATGATTTCCATTTTAATCAAATGCCATAAACTATTAATGTTTACTCTTACATTTATAATAACATACTAAATAGTAATATTGCTATCTGAGAAAACAGATATCATGATGCTGATTGCCTTGAAATTGTATTAAAAGATAATAGAGTGGTGGTTTTGGCTTTGTCATATCTTAGTTTTATTTTCACTTATATTTTAAAATAATAAACCATTTCTATTAAGAGAGAAATCATATTATATATTATTATACTTTTGCTTAATTGCTAAATATGCATTTTATTTCATTTTATATTCTGCCTATTTGAAAAACATAAGTTGGTAAGTCATTTTTCTAGTCAACATGGAACAGACAGGTATAGATTAATTTAATAGTGGTGTCACCAAACCACAAAGCGTAGCAACATATCTTTTTCCACCTAACTTCAAACAAAGCCACGTTTATCTCAAATGGAGAAAATCCTTTTGCTAATAAAGGGCTCCCAGTATACTTTCCTCTTTTATTCTCTCCATCTTATATGTGGAATAGTGTTGACCATGTGAAATTTAAAGATGAAGGAAATTATACATAGCACTTAGCACATTGCCTGGCATGGCGTAGGTGTTCACAAAAGTTAACTATTATTTTCTTATTTGTTAAAAAATTGCATGTAACTACAAATAAAAACAAATTTTGAAGCTGCAAACTAGAATGCATTTCCCTATACAAGCATTCATTTCCAGCTCTATTGTTTTTTTCACCACACGTTTATTGAGCATGCATCTTACTGGGCATTAGGACAGGCCAGACAATCTGCTGAGCATGAGGAATACAAAAGCTAAGCATGGGCCTTGGCATCATAGATCTTGCATTGGTATATAACATACCAGCATGCAATTTTCAGCATGCTCTTTTAGGCAACTTTCTTTAATATCTTGTATAAGAACTGTTTGGAAAACTACAATTATTAGTATATAAACACCTCAATAGTAGAACAGAAATAATGCCATGTGTAAATTGTGGGTTTTTTGCTTATTTTTGTAAGTCTGACTTTTATCTTGTTCATAAAATGAGGAAATAAAATCTTTATTTATCTAAAAATCAATGGGGTATGAAGGATGCACAAATCATAGTTCAATATCCATTACCTTTACCAAATTTTCTTAATGAACAAACACACAAAATTTGAAACCCGTAAACAAAATATTCTTACTTTAAGCACAATTACATAAGCAGAGCAATAGCAACAAAAATGTTATCCTTCTTTCATATAAAAATAAGCATATAAAGTGCCAAGTTACCCCAGCAGCCTATTAATAACCAACATGGGTTGGTAATAAAGCATTCTTCCAGTGCTGAGATTTAAAAAAATGCATGTCACAGAACAATATAAGCACAGTGGAGGATTTGGTAGGCTACTAAAATGAATCAATTTGAGCTCCTGAAATGAAGAATCACTTTGGAAATGCAAATGAAATAAAAAGAAAGCATGACAAAAAAAACTCACCAATATTATTCCCTTAAGGCTGTAAAACAAGGGCATTATGCATTCTACCTAAAGCAATGACTATGTCTCCACCATGAAGCAAATCTTATTTTAACCTGTCTAAACAAGAGAAATTGTTTTCCTATTCATATAAATATTTGTTCTGTGTTTTACAATATGTAATTCAATAGGAAACAGAAGCTTATTATCCTTCCTTCTCTTGCAAGGAGGTCTGTGCTTCCTCATTCTTTATTCTGATGACTGTGTCATTGACAACATCATCAATAAACACTTATCATTAAGCCAACAAAATTATAGCTGTAAGGTTAAAAATTGCATCGTTACACATGGATTCCTCAAGTGAAAGAATTTACAGTTGTTCATATCCCATGAATGTTTCCAGAACTCTGGTAAATAACACTGTCAGCCATTTACCAAGGGACCCATATCTGTTGCCTTTGTGCCAGGTATTGGGCTTGATGTGAAAACAAATAAAATTCACAATCTATTGGTGAAGATGGATGTTCAATAATATGAAATGTTAAAATCTATAATGAAGTTCTTTCAGAGGAGTATCTGATTCCAGAGGATGTAACAATCGCCCTCTAAATGTACAAGCCTCACAATCATGACAATACACAGGATTCCCTAAACAAAAATCCTCTCTTTGTGAAAGTAAATAGGAAAAAAAAGAAAAGAATGCTATAAGACCTTGGAGGAAAACCAACAAGGATAATGAAATAGCAAGAGTAATAACTGTGTGAATTTCTTTGGATCTTTGGTTCTGAAACACTCCCTTAAAAATCATATCAACATATTATTTTCCTGGTGTACCTTTGAATATATCACATAACAGCAACATTTTTATCTTCCCTAATAGATTAACATTATTTTTCCATAAACTTTTGCTGCTCTTCACACAGACAAGGAAAGTATGGATAATCTTTGCACCCAGATCTATTTCTCCCACTTGGTGTTTGACAAAAAAATTTCTCTAGATAAATAAAAAATAAATTGAAGTCATTAATAATTTTACTGAGTATATCTTGAGTGCTGATAGGTTAATTATAAAGCACCTTAGAAAAGCACCCTTGGCATCCTTCTCTATCTTTCAATAAAAGCCTGTATTTTTGAGACACCAATAGTCCACTTTGCCAGAACCCTGGGTCAGCGCATTTTCCAAGCAGAGGGAGAACAAAGTGTGGCTCCAGGACACTTATAGAACGAGACCCTATATAGAGGTTTCTCATTTACCTGCTCTTTCTCTGCAAACCCCCACTTATTTTAAAGGGAGTTGTCACTAATTACAAAACAGGAATAGGGGATACCAAAAACAGTAAGTAAGATTTAGATAAATCTTGCAAATTCTTACATTCATTGGCCATGCCTTACCTAGGTGCTCACAAAAAGTGGTTGAGTGAATGATGTATATTTGGTAATGCTTTCGTCCTCCCATTCTTTAATTAGAAAGGGAGAAGGAACTCTCATCTCCTTCTAATGTGGAGCTGATTATATATCAGACTGTGGCCAAAGAAGAAATTCAGCTTTCAAACAGAAGTAGTTTTTGGCCTAATATCTTTAAGGATCAGATTTGAAGTAGAAGACTGTTTTACCATTTTTGTCACAGAGGTGCACTCTTTGAATAAACGGAAGTGGTGGTGCATGGAGAAAAGGATGTCTAAACAGCATATATGTTTGGATTTTGTAATGGCCTTTACATAAAGCAGCCTACAGAAAGCATAAAGCAGCCAACAGAAGCGCTAATGAGGCCACTTATTAAAACCTGTTTGTTAAATTTATGCATCCCAATCACAGACTGTTATCAAGAGTCATTTCCAATGATGAAAATAACATTAGTGGCTTTAGGACACAGTCTAGGGTAACAACAGTATGTACTTGAGGTAACATTCCAAGGCCACCTTTCTTTTTAAACAACAACAACAACAACAAAAATAGAGTCTGACTCTGTTGCTGAAGCTGGAGAGCAGTGGTGCAATCATAACTCACTGCAACCTCAAATTCCTGGGCTCAAATGGTGTTCCCAGCTGGGCCTCTGATAAGTCCTGGGATTACAGGTGTGAGAGACTGTGCCCAACCCTCGAGGCCGTTTTAATTTTCTATCCTCTCCTGCCCCTTTTCCTCTGTAACTCATCAATCCCTCAACTCCCTTTACCTCTTTTCTCCTAAGACTTCTGTTGTGCACTGTAAACACTCTTCAGACTTTGTAAATCAACATTTTTAAGCTACTGCTGCCTCTGTCACTACTACTTTCACCATTTTTACCATTGCAACTGCAGCACCAATCTCTCTAGCTTCTAATGCCTCTGTGGGGTCCCTCCTCCCATCTCACCTCCTCCACATCCAGAATGCCTCCTTCACCTCTGCTACAGCTTTCTTCTCAAATTTGGGCTCACTGTCATTTTGGTTAAGATCCACAATACTGCCAATCACAGGGCACTAAGAACAATTCTCATTCAAACCTTTTCTCAACCTAGATCTCGGGCATTCACAAAATTCAAATTTTAAAATTGAAGTAATTATGTAAAAGATATTTCATGGAAAAGGATGCCTTTAATTTAATAGCTGAATTTTTTCGAACTAATTATCTTGGCTAATTTTCCCTTCCTTCATGTTTGCCTATAAAAATAATAAAAAATATAATGTGGCTATCCTATTTTTAAAAAAAAATTCAAAAACTTAACAATTGCTTGTACCTAAGAACACCATATTTATTGACTACCTACCTTGCACAAAACAGAGTACTTATCATGGTGAGAAGTAATTAGGTCTAGGATTCCAAAAATCTTAGAAACAAGAGGAGATAAGTACACTTGAAATACCATATATATAAATATCACATATATATATATTAATACCTTCCTATCTACAGATTGTCTCTTTACCCAACTCTCAACCTTACAACCTATTAACAGAACTCTTGTGGGATTCATTTAGATTGGTTTTAAATGGCAACAGTATTCACAACACACTAAAATCCACATTTCCTAAAAGCAATTCAAAATCCTTCTTGAAATCTGTGGTTTAAGAAATGTAAATACTATAGGTAACCCTTAGATATTCAATAATCCTAATGAAAGATTCAAAAGCTCCTTCCAGTCCTCCAACAATTTTGTTTTCAAGTAATATTTAGGAACTCCTTCCTGAATGCTATCCCAGAAGTGTTTATTTTGCACCCAATTCACTTGGAATGTCTCTTCTTTGTGGATTTTATTCCCACCAAGTAACTTTCAGTGGCCTATTTGCCTTTCTTATTATTATGATGGGGTCAGAGGGCCAGTTTTGAACTTCTGTTTTTACTGTTTTCTAGGCAATGTCAAGCTGAGTTGAAATACTCTTTTTTCCCTCCAGACATCACAGGTTATAAAACTAAACAGTGAAAATCTCAGACGTGGAGTTACTTCTCTCATCTCATTCCTTTGTTGCAAATCACATTATATTAAGTCTATGCATTTTTTAATAAATGAATAAACCTACATTCTTTTTTCTTTGAGCAATTTAGAATGAGCTCATGTGTGCTTTTTGAAAATTTATTTTCCATTTCTATTATTCAGGCATCAAACTTAACCCATCTGGTATTTCAAATTTATCTTTGAAGGGTGAAGGGTGATAATAATTATAATTTATAATTTTCATTGCTGAGTTCTGCAATTTCTATCTGTGACACACTGAGAAATCATTGATTAATCATCTCAATGCTTTTAGGAAATGAATATTATCTCTATAGTTACATGATTTAAAACTGAAGAAACTTACTTTTTTAACCAGTGAACCTGAGTGTAACCTAGTTTGAAGAGGATTAAATCACTGTCAGGGAAAATATTTTAATATGTGAATTTGATGGTATAAAGCAATGAATTTGTTAATGTATAGCATTAACATAGATTATTTTTAAATTACCTTAGGACAAAGTGAAAATTACATATATTTTAGGACCAATATAGAAAAAAATTACAATGTTAATTTAAAAAAATTATCTTTTAAAAGAGGCCATGGGATTGATTATGAAGGTTTGCAACCTATGTCTGTATAAGGTTGTTAGCTGAAAAAAAAAATCAAACATAACTCTTTTTAAATTTAGTGTATTTAGATTTGGCATTGAAAAATTTGTGTGAGAATTTGTGTTAAAAATGTCCATTTTTCACTAAGTGCCAAGGAAATATAAGTGAATGAAATAAGTAGTTAATCGCAATCATCTTTCTCTTGACTCTTTAGTACACCAGTGTACATGTGTACTTTCCAATTGAGTGTTATGCTAAGAGTCAGTTATCTTTGGTCTCAGATCCATGTATGAAAGTTGCACTTCAGGTTGTAGTTATGTAATTTAAAAATTTATAAACTAACAAATCATGAGTGTATATAGAAATATTTTGCTTCATGATAACTACTATGAATGCTTTGAGAAATCCTCAAAAAGATGAGATGTAAAAAACAAATTATGCTGTCAAATTAGTTGGAGGTAGACCAATTATAAAAGACTAAGAGTTATAAGAAATACATAGATATCTACCCTTGGACTGTATCACTAGTGTTGGCAAGTTCCCACCGCACCATTGAGTAAAACCAAACTCAGAAATCATTTGTGTCTGTTACACAAGCATGGTTTCTGCAGAAAAAGTAAAAGCAAAAGCAAAAAACAGCCCTCATTCTTTTATTCAATGAGTGCACATACTATACATTTGTTATAAATTAAAATTTAAGATATTTGTATATCACTTTTAATGATTCTACATTTAAGCTGATGCCTTTGATTAGTCAACCAAAGACACATTCCTCCACCTCCAACAGAATTGAACTGTTTCTAATCTAATATCTTTATGAGAAAATTAACAATACAAGGAGGTAATTTTTCGCTTAGAGTTTGGAAAACAAAGATGTACCTCCTTTAACTATAACTTAATGGTGAGATTCAGCCTTTTCATTCATATGATTAAAAGGGAGTCTATAAGACCAGTAGTGAAATCTCAATTCTAGGCAAGAGAAAATCTTTAAGTTCATCAATCAAAAATACTTTTATTTTCACTTTTGCCTTCAGTTATCTTTGTCAGTACCTCCTTCATCACAACTGAATGCTGTCCTAGTCTGTGTTGTGTTATTATAATAGAATACCTGAGACTGAGTCATTTATAAAGAAGTTTATTTGGCTCACCATCCTGGAGACTGGGAAGTCCAAGATCAGGCAGCCCATCTAGTGAGGGCCTAGTGCTGCTTCAACTCATGGCAGAAAGAGACATGCAGGAGAGGCTAGGTTTCTTTATATCAACACACTCTCTCAGGAACTAATCCATTCCCTCAAGAGCATAACTTGCTCACTCCTGAAAGATGGCATTAATCTATTCATGAGGGTGGTGTCTCCATGATCCAACCACCTCCTACTGGGCCTCACCTTCCAGTATTACCATATTGAGAATCAAATATCAGCATGAGCTTTGGTGAAGACAAAGCACTTCCAAACCATAGCAGATACCCAGAGCCATTTTCTCTTCCTCATTCAAATACCTCACTTATATTTTAACTCTTCTTTGTTACCTTATTAGAACTCAACAGAGGGCTTGGCTAGTTATGCTCATATGTTGAGAAGACGATTGACTATTGTAGGAAAAGAGCATTGACCCATGAGCACAAAATTAAGTTCTTTTCTTGCCTCTCTTATCAACATAAACCCTGAGAAACCACTTTGAGACTTCAGTTACTTTATTTGTAACATTAGGGAGTAAATATAGAATTGCGACAGTTCGCAAGATGTCAGAAACTACTCAAAATTTTTGGCATTTATTGTCTTATTTAATTCATATAAAATATGAATTATAACATTAATCATAATGTTAATATTATCCTCATTTTACATGTGAACTGAGGCTTATAAGACAGTGGCAGGCATGAGAGGAAAACCTAGGTCTTCCCAAACATTACATTCAATATTATCATTTGAAACCCATTAGATGTATTAAGAATGAAATAAAATAATGTTATTTTTTCTAAACTAACCTGGCTTGCCAACTGAATGATTTAAACAGTCTGAATATTTGCTGAGCCATTTACCTGTTTTGTCAGCTGAGTTTAAGATAAAGCCCAAGCAAAAGCACAGCAGAGTAAACCTACAATAAGACAGATAAGAGAGAGAATGATTTCTCATTGCGCAGCATTTATAAAGTGAGTTTCGGGTAGGTCACTTCTTCTTTGTGAGCCTTCTGATACTTTTTTAATATATACATTTGTTTACATTTTAATGAAACAAACACAGTTTCTGGATGAGGGACAGATTATTATTATTTATAATAACAACCACATTTGTTTTCCATGCCTGATTTCCCCACCTCAGGACAATGCAAAGAAATCAGATGTATCTTATGCATAACAAAGGTTGTTTTTTTTTCCATTTTTTCACTAGTTTTTTTTTTTTTTGGCCACAGGAGAGGAACTTCAAAATTATAAATGTGAGACTTTATATAGGCTGCATGCTGCCTTCTCATCTGCCGCCCTCCAGAGAAAGAGAGAAACTTTATCTTCCTAAACAAAGTCTTTGGGAAGAAAAGGCAAGCATTTGGCTCCAGAGGCAATAGGTTTTACTATCCTTTGAACAAGAACAAATGGTTCTGCCACAAAGGAACCAAGCATCTCTGGCTCTAAGGCCCTTAGAATGAGAAACAAATGGATCTGGAAAATATTTATACTATTATTTATAAATTATCTATATTTATAGCATGTCATTTTTGTTTGCTCAGAAAATCCTAACTATACAGCAATATAAAAGTATTCATATTGCTTCTAAACACTTAGTATCCCCCCATATAAAATAAGAGTGTTGCTATACAAAGTCCCCAAATTCTATCTATTTATAACAATTTTATAAAAATGATACCTTCATTAAGAAAAAAGAAAATGGCCAGAAACAATTAAATTAACTTGAGACTTCTGACAAAATGGCAAGCTGGAAAAAACACTGACATAGATGTTATTATCTCTCTGATCTGGGACAAATCACTTAAACTGTGTCAGCTTCGATGTTCTCATGGGTTAAATTAATAGCTGGACTACAATGGATCTAATACTTCCTTAATAAGATTATTTCTGAGTCAAATAAATAGATATTTGTGTTTTAAATATATATATGTATACAAGTACATATGTAAAAATGGAGATATCTATCTATATATATCCATTTCCAGTCTCAAATTTGCTTCAGTGGCTCTATTGGCCAGATCTACAGTTGCTATATGAAGTAATATTTGAGCCACTCATTTAATTCATGCCAAAAATCTGCTTTGCATTAATAATAGTTCACACCAGGTGTTAGTTTTCTTTATTTTCCCAAAAGAAACTGAAAAAAAGAAGAATGTTTTTCACAGTGGCTCTCACGCTTTGGCATGCATCAGAATCACCTGGAAAGCTTGCTGCTATTGTGCCCTTCCCAGAGTTTTTTATTCAGTATATCTGGAATTGGAGCCTAGAACTTGTCTTTTTAAAACATTATAAGGTGATATTAATTCTGCTAGTCCACGGACCACACTTTAAGAAACACTGACCTAAAGAATGTTTCTAAACCTTTCATGTAGAGGAATCACTTGGGGATCTTAGAAAAAGGTACATTCTGATCCAGTAGGTCAGGGTGGGGCTTGCCATTCTGCATTTGTAACAAGCTTTCAGGTGACATTGCTTCTCCTCATCCACAGACCATACACTTCCAGTACAAATGATCAGCACAGGCATCCCCTAAGAGATGTTAATATGCAAAATTGAAACTCAGTTGTACAAACGTGGTGCCTATAGTTAATAATACTGTATTGTATGCTTGAAATTTGCTAAGAGAGTACTGTAGATCTTAAGTGTTCTCATCGATATCTCCTAAAAAGGTAATTATGTGAGGTGATAGACATGTTAACTTGGTCATGGCAATCATTTCACAGTATATACTTAAATTATCAAATTGCACACTTCAAATACATAAAATTTTGTTTTCAATTGTACCTCAGTAAAGCTGAAAAAAACCTCAATTGTGCAAACACATATTGATTGCCTACTATGTATCACACCCTATAAACACTGCCAGTGTCCAGAATTGAATTAGACCTTGCTCAATGAGGTTTAGAGCAGAAATCAGAAAAGTAAACAAACATATGTAAGAAATACAATCATAAAGGCATAATGAAAAAGGGCTCCAGAAAACAAATAACCAATTAGTTCCGACAAGAAGGGGATGATGGTTGGGAGCAGCACAGAGAGTAGGTCTTTTCTCAGAGAAATGCAGATCTGATATATTTTACCTAAAAAGCCTTAGGAAAAGTAAACCTAAGGTGCAATATGAGAGACTTTCTTAAATAAACACATACACTAGAGTAGGCCAAAAAAAAAAAAAAACAAAATCACCGCTCTACATAGTTAGAGCAAACAACCATTATCGCTTTAAAAGGACCTGAACTTAGCTAACCAAATAAACAGACATGTTAAGCCTCACTTTCAAAACAAATAAACAAGTGACTAAAATTAGTCCATAGGATTTCAGGTAAAGTAAACAATGCTTCAAAAAATTATTCAGATACCCAAGGATTTAAGTTTATGCAAATACCACTTAGGCTACAGCAAACAAAACTTAACAGTTTTTTACAGATCTCAGGAAGAAAAGGCGCCTCTGAGCTGCCTGGACCAAATTTCCAAATTTAAAACCTCACCATAGCTCTGATTGACAAAAAACAAATCTCTGCCTCCAAACATTCTCTGGCCTGATAGGTGAACTTCAGCCTCAGGACACTGGAGACGACGGTTGAGTCCTGCATAATCAAGAGTCTTGTGAGGAAGTATTTTCTTCCGAGGTAAGAGAAAGTGTAAACACCCTCCAGTGTTCAGTTACCTGACTGTCTTTGTGGACAACAGAAAATTAAAACACAATAAAACTTTGCTTCCTTTCTATACAGAGAAACAACTAATGAATTAAAATTGAAAGTGCATGCAAATCATTAGATGTAATGGAGCCAACACAAAATGGGTTCTGGTGGAAATTTATGTCATTTTTTACAGAGCGAAAGTGAAGAGAATAAAGATACCATTGTGTATGAGGAATTTTTGAAAGCTATTGCTATTTAGAGGAGAAAATGAAGACAGGGCTGTAACATCCTCTCAATGTCATCTGTTAAGAGAATTGACCTTTAACTCTTGGCAGGTGAGAAATGGCTGAGACTCAGGCTAAGGCACTTCTAAACACACACACGCACATCTTCTCCTTGCTACTCTGGGTTTAACCTCAACCCCAGATCTCATTTTAGAAAGTCAAGAGACAACAACCAGAGGCAAACAAACAAATGTGTGGAGAGTTCAAGAGTAAGAGTTTTCTATCTCTTCTGATGGAGAGTTTTGAATTTATATTCAAGAGCATGATTTCCACAGAGAGGGTAACACACCCACCATCCACTAATGAGCTTAACCGGGGGCATGAATGCCCGAGAGCCAGCTCATTTTGTTACAGGGATCATTTGGACTTGGTACTGTCAATTCATGTCATTTAAAGCCAAACAGTGAATATAATGTTAATGTGCTCTCTCCTTTCCCATCCTTGGTTATGTTCACTGCTTACTGAATACCTATTATAAATAAAAAAGTTACAAATATGTAACCTCCGGAAAAAACTCCACAATAATATTGATCAGTTTGCAATGTAGATTACATTGCTTATGATGGAATACCACCAAATTTACAAAGCAATTGGCCAAGCACTATCTATGACATCTTTCCAGTACATGCCCTCCTGTCCTTGCATTATATAACACCTTTAATGGCATAGCTCACCACTACAACCTTGGGGCCATCACTCACATCTTGTTTATTTACATCATTTTAATGAATGCCAGAACTGAAGGGGATTTTATATGCCTAGGACTGAAAGTACTGTCCCTGCTTAATGGAATAATACAAAATCTGTGCGATTCATGGCCCTGACTTTTAGACAGATGAAGTGGACTGGGGAGGATGCATAGAAAATAAGTATTTTTTTTTTTTTAGAACAAAACAAAAACATTTTTTAAAGAAAAGACATATCTTTCTGTTTTGTTTTGGTTTGTTTCGAAATACGTGTTTCTATAGTTAAACATGCAGCAGTTAAAGCTCATGCAATAAAATATAAAAAAGAAAATGAATGTAAACATTTTCTGAGAACTGCTCTTTATAGATTTTAATGTGATGTTACCCTCTATTTAAGCATATGCTTGTAAGTGCACTGACTCAGAGTATATTGGATGTGTCAGAATGTGGAGTTTTAATAACTAGGAAAAAATCTCAGATAAACTCGACTCTTAGACAAGAACAAAAATGTCATTCTTTTTGCAGCTAGATTTTAATACATCCTGGAGTGCTGGAAATCAATATCAAATCCCAGGGTCCTTCTGCTGAGATATTCAAAATGTTATCTCTAATGGGAGTCGTATCAGAAAAACAGGCAGATATAACCTAGGGCTGAGCAGTTCACACAAGAGCTGGAAAGAGTTTTTGCTGAAAATCTAAACATACCTTGTATCCCCTTTTCTTTATCATCATCATTTTAGCAAACAATGTAACCGTTTTTCAGAACTGAAAGCTGGATATAAAGGTAGGTAATTTTGGAGAAATTATTTTCTCTTGTTTAGTAATTATCATTAATGAAAGAAAGATTTCTTAAATACTAATAAATCAGAGCTGAATTGACTGACCATGCATCCAAATTGCTGCATTATTCACACTGGAATTACTCCAAAGATTAGCTGCAAATTGCCCTCTAAATTGAATTTATGGTTTCATTTTTCATAACTACTGTGTTGTGACAGATGAAAGGAATCTGAGAGGAAAATGACAGCGATGGACCCAATTTCTTAGTGCTCTATCTGTAATATAGGAGTCAAACTGTCTCTATAATTTATTTTGGCAAGCACAAAAACCTTGTAGGTTGAAATCCAAAATTTTGTACCTTAAGTTCCCCTCAAGGAAGGGAAAAGGTCAACATCGTATTTTTGCCAAGTGGAAGCTAGTCAAATCAATATCCATGAAAGGAGTTAACATGTATGATTCAATTATTTTGTCTGTTATATCTCTTTAATTTAATCCACACAATGACACCATGGAATAGATAATCACATGCCCATTTTAGAGAAAGAAAGAGTAGGGATGAGTAATCTGCCTCAGTCTGGACTTCTGAGAGGCCTATCTTCAAATACCATACCTAGGACCTCCAGCCACGCCCATCCCCAGAAAGGGCTACTGCTTTGATCACATTACCAATTCAGACCTATTAATTTGCTGTTTAGCAGGGTCTCTTGTAGTTTCCTTTGCATCAAAGAAAACAAAAATCACTGCAGTCTAAATTAGGTAGAGGGAAAAGCCAATCAACTCTACAAACTAGGCATCATAAACATGCCTAAATCTTTGGTACAACTGTTTTTAGAGTATTATTGAAAAGCTGAAACAAAATAAGTGCTTCCAGATCAGAGAGACAGTAAAAGCCTTTATATGAGATAGATAACTTGTTGCAATACAGAATGGCGAAGACAATTTTGTCAGCCTTTAAATTGGGTTTGTATATCGTCTGGGCCTCTTGGGTTAGAAATGATTGAAAACAAATATTGGGCTGGAGTTAGTGACAAGTGCAGTTGATACCTTCAGGTTTATAAGACACCAGTATATGAACATATGCTCTGTTTGTAAGACAAATGATTAGGCAGCCTCCCACAGCTTTCTGTTTCTAAAGGTTTAGAAAGTATCACCATTTTTCTTCTGTAATAGCCTTAGGTATTCTCTCTTTTATCAGACTAGCTCTTGGATAACATACAGAAACCCAGGCATTTAAGGCATTTCTAAAATGCACAAGAGCAAATTAAGTTATTTCTATTTACAAAGAAGTAGTCTCACCCTATGCTTGTTAATAAAGAATTTATATGATCCTTTCAGATAACAGAAGTAAAACCTTTACCAGTGAGAAGGAAATTGCAAAGCTCTGGGTCTCTAGATAAATCTCTTTGCATCCTATAAACTTTTAATCCAATAACTTTATTACTGATTTTATAATGTATCTTTTTTGGAGGCATATGATTTAAATTTTTTCTCTCTTGAAGATTATTTTTAATATTTTCACTTCTTCTAGTATAACATAAGCTTTCAGCTGTATATGTACATTTCCACTCTGGCTAGTGCCACATGCTGGCTTTATCTCACCAAACTGACCCATTTGTGTTTTACCTTTGTTTGATTATTTTTCATGAAACTAAGGTGTTTACATTCAAATTTAAAGTCAAACACACAAACTCTTCATTTATGACAAATGTGAAAACTGAAAGTTTACTCAATGATTCTATGTAAATGGACAATATAATGCTAATTCTGGATATGTACAATAACTAAATACTTTTCATTTTGAATTTTGCCATTATATAGAAAAGACAAGCCAAGGTCCATGGTGCACCAAGTATTTTAGTGGAGCAAGTTGAGGTGTTCAACTAGCTGTGCAACTTCTGACAAGTTCCTTAATATTTCTGAGTCCTGCTATTTTTCATTAAGGATAGGGTTAGTAATGCCTACTCATAAAAATTTTGTGAGAACATGATTAGAGAACCAACTCTTTAGATCTTATTCATAAGGCATGTCTCGAGCATTCACATCATTTCTGAAAAGAAGGGGTTGAACTTCACTACTAGGCAAAGGAAAAGAGCCTTGATGAAAGAGAAAAGCATTACAAAACCTAAATCAATGGCTTGAATTTTGGTTTCAAGGATGACTTTAAATATATGAAATACAAAAACATTTGTTCGAAAGAAATACAGAGGAATACTCACAACTTCAGTAGTAGTACCCTTGGGACCTGGGTTAGGTAGACTTTCACTTTCTGTTGTTTCTGAAATTTTTGAAGTTGTTTATAATAAGCATGTTACTTTCATGATCAGAATTTCTAATAAATATTTTAAAAGTAAAAAGTACGTAGAATATGGTGAGTATTCAATTGATAACAGTTTCTTTTTTCATCTTTCAGATTCACCAGCTATAAAAGTAAAGGCATTAATTTTTTCATTCATACTAATTTTTATTGACTACCTACTACTTCTGAGCGCTTCTCAGTGCTGAGGATTCAAAAATGAAAGAAAATAGGTCTCTGTCTTCTATTTCTGTCAAGACATAGGGACAAGTAATAAGACTTTCAAAATTACTTGTAAGGAAATTTTTCAAAAGCTTTCTCTCAATCTGATTCTCAATGGAATGCATACCACAAAGAGTTTTCCCACCAGAAAACTGGCCACCACACTCTGAAAATTGATGTTGGAAAAATATTTCAGAATATGTGAACAAAATAAAAATTATATTGTTTGGTGGGTAAAACAACAAGCATATGTTTGACCTACATATAATTGCTGTTTTTATAGATAAACATGGTGAAATATCAGCCCTTTTGCATGATTCAACTTAATATTCACTCTCAAGATAGTTTTAAGACAATATTGCACATTTATTTCTCACAAAATAAATGTATTTCTCTCTTTACAAACCTAGACTTGAGTGTACATTCAAATTCTCAGAATATTTTTCCAGACAATGTTTGATAATCTGCATCAATAGGTAGGAGCAGCAACACATATATAAGCCAAATTTACTGATAGTCAAAAAATTCTTCACATATGGCTTTCAGATATTCACCAGAAAGTACAAGTATAGATGCCTTAGTGAATGAAATTAACAAAAGGCTCTCCAACCTGTTCTGTTAGACTATATCAATAACTCAAAAGCAGGATGTACAGAATGGAGAAGCCTCCACTCCTCCAGTGAAATACTTCAATGATTTTGTTGTGCAAATGATTGAGGCAGAGCAAAGTTTAGCAGAGTAAGTCACAGTCTAACAGAGAAAATCTTCCTTACCCTGTACAGCATCAGTGCCTCTTCATCATCAATACCTTAACTGAAAGAAGCTATGAGACGTAAGTAACAACAACAGCAAAGAAAACAACAAAGTAAAACACCTTGAAAAAGCAGTTCCTTAGGTGGTTGAATTTGTGTATTCCCTAAGTGTTTCCTGGCACTCTTAGAGGAACTTGAAGTCATTGTGAATACTCAAGTGGGAAATTGCAAAGAGCATGAAGGGACTTTGGGGACAGCCACAGAGATTGAATTCATAACTACTCTGTTTCTGACATATCTCTCTAAGTGAGGGAATGGGGAATCTGGGAGTTGGTACTGATTTGGCTTCCGTGAGCCTGGAGTAGGTGCTACTGGGCTAAGATATCCCAGGGGAGGGAAACCTAGAAAGCAAAAGAATTTAAATGGAGCAGAAAGCACAAATGGGACTCTAAGCAGAGGGCCAAGAACAAAACAGTCAGGCAGTTAGGTGGAGCCTGTAGCTGAACTTAAGGACGAATTTAATTCTCATAACTTCCTTCTGTTCTATATGCTATTACTATTACTCTGTGTTTTAGTTCTACCTTATTTTTACACTCCAATATTTGAACATAAGTCACCAATACTTGGATAGACTATTCTAACATGTTAAAAATTGCTCACCATCATTTCTTGCATCTTCATCCTTCTAAGTTCATTTTTATTTTTATTGAGATACATTTTGGTACTTATTTCAGCTGAAGTCTGTGGGTCATATGCTCTGCTTTGTCTAAAAATACATTCATTGTATTTATCAAACAGATATATGTATTATATGTAGAAATATACATATTTTGTTGAATACAACATATATTGAGAAATGCACACATGTATTGCTTGATAAATTTTTGTTCAGTGAAAACATCCTAATCTAAACCAGGGCAAGAAATAGAATACGATTATCACCCTGGAATCTTTCTTCCTGTCCCAGTCCAGTTATTATTCCACCTGCCCAAAATGATAACCACAATCCTCAATGGCTAACTACTTTCAATGCTATGGATTAGGTCTGCCTATTTTTAAAATTCATATAAATGGAATTATGTATGTAGTCTTTTGTTCAGGTTTATTTTGGTCAACATGATTGTAACTTTGTTTTGTTGTTTCTTTGAATTATCATTGCTAGATATATATCTTTTTTATTATGACTATTTCTTCCACAGTTGTGGGCATTTGGATTGTTTCTGGTTATAGGCTGCTACAAGTAGTTCTTTTATAAACATCCTTGCATATGTATTTAGTGCACATATGTACATGTTTTGCAGAGCTATACACATAGGATACTAATATAGTCAGCTTAAGTAGATACTTGCAGTTTTTCAAAGCAGTAGTATCAATTTATACAACAGCAGGGTATGAAATTAAAAGATAATTTTCAAAAATTGGTAAAATTGTGTCTCATACAAGTATAAAAATGGACACTTTAAAGATTTTATTTAATACATTAACTGAGAGACCCAGGCAGATGTTATAATCAATTTAAAAGATAATCCAAAGAAAAATAATATTCATGTGAAAATGAAAACAGCTCAAAGACAATAAACAGGGGTAGAATCAGAGAACTGAAAAGAATATACCATATGTAGATGACTCATTGCTGTAAAATAGCTTAAAGAGGCTAGAATCAAATGACATAGGCTACTTTACATAATGCATAGTTTTTCACTGAAATACATTATATTTTCTCAACAGAGAGTTTCAACTGATCCTAAAACTCTCCAACACTTGTCAGTCTTAAATTTTACCTATTCTTATGGGTACACATTGTGGTTTTAATTTGGATTATGCTGATGATTTATGACTATGAACACATTTCTAGATATGTTAATTGGCCACTTGGCCTTCCTCTTTGGTTAGTCTATTGAAGAAAACTGTCTTTTTATTCTAGCATGTTGACTATTTTTTATTTGTGCATTTGTAGAAATTCTTTACATATGCTGTGTATAGGTGCTTTGTCAGTATATGTATTGGTCTATGACTTGCCCTTTTTACAAGCTTAACTTTCAAACAACACACGGAATTACGTTAAAATCTTCCTTGTTCAAATTCTATACTTGAATTCTACAGCTTCTATGGTCCTTTTGTTTTTTTAATCTCAGCCCTTTGTAGATGTCATTCCATCTTTTATGGCTTATAATTTTGCTTTGGGGATATATGCTGTAAATTTATTATTTTTTCACAGATCCTTTCACTTGTTCTTAAATCTCATTTTTTTTCTTTGCTCAGAAGACTTTTAGTTTGACTCTAGTGTTCTATGGTTTCAATAGCTTGTGTCAGTGTGAATTTGCTTCTATTTAATCTAGTAGGAATACTTTCTATTCCCTGAATCTGAGTAATGAGGTATTTCAGCAAAGTTCTTTCAGCAATTCTCTTCAAATTTAGATCCTAAAACTTTGCATCTGTGTCATTCTCTCTATTGCTCCTTCAAGAACCTATATTAGATGTTTGTCAGATATTTTTCCATGTGTCTAAACTGTTCAGATTTTTCATCTCTGCTTCCATTCTGCTGTATTCTGTGTAATTTCTACAATCTGTTTTCCAGTTCACTAATTCACTCTACAGCTCAGTATAACCAGGTATTTAACCCATTCTTTGTGTTTTAAATTTCCATGACAATATTCTTTAGCTATAAAATTTCTATATGGTGCTTTTACTTATCATCCTAAATTTTATTGTTTTTATTTCAGTTCTAATTTTTCTCTATTTTACTCCTTCAATTATATCTTCAATCTTATTTTTCTCTTTTTTTATTGTGGTAAAAAACACATGACATAAAATTTACTATCTTAACCATTTTAAGTGTACAGTACAGTAGTGATAACTTTGTGCACATTGTTGTCCAAAATAGCTCTAGAACATTATCTTGCAAAATTAAAACTCTGTATCCATTGAACAACTTCCATTTCCCCCTTCCCCCAGTTCCTGGCAACCACTATACTACTTTCTGTTTTTAAAGAGTTTGACTACTTTAGAGGTTTCATATAAGAGGAATCACATGGTATTTGTGCTTTTATGACTGGCTTATTTCACTTAAAACAATGTCCTCAATATTCACCTGTTTTAGCATAAGACAAGGTTTCCTTTTTTGATAAGGCTCAATAATACCCCATTGTATGCAGATATTACACTTTTTATCCATTTATCTTTTGAAAGGTATTCAACTTGCTTCAACTTCTTGGCTATTATGAATAACGATATTGATATGGTTTGGCTCTGTGTCCCCACCCAAATCTCACCTTAAATTGTAATCCCCATAATCCCCATGTGTCAAAGGTGGGACCAGGTGGAGGTAATTAAATCATGGGCACTATTTCTCCCATGCTGTTCTCGCAATACTGATACTGAGTCTCAGGACATCTGATGATTTTATAAGCGTCTGGCATTTTCCCTACTTGCACTCATTCTCTCTCCTGCAGCCTTGTAAAGATGTATCTTCTGCCATGATTGCAAGTTTCCTAAAGCCTCCCCAGCCATGCAGAACTGTGAGTCAATTAAACCTTTTTTCTTTATAAATTACCCAGTCTTGGATATTCCTTCATAGTAGCATGAGAATGGACTGATATAGCTACAATGAACATGAGTGTGCAAATATCTCTTGGAGATCCTAGTTTCAATCCTTTTGAATATATAACAGAAGTGGGAGTGCTGGCTCATATAATAATTGTATTTTTTATTTTTTTGAGGAACTTTCATACGGTTTTCCATTGCAGCTGCGTCATTTTACAAATAACTGCTGCACTACCAGCAGTGCACCACATTCCAACTTCTCTACATTCTTGTCAACACTAAAAATTTTCCAGTTTTGTTTTTAATATTAGCCATTCTAACAGTGAAATTTACCAACTATAAAGTGATATCTTACTGTGGTTTTGATTTCCATTTCCCTGATGACTAGTAATGAAGAGCTTCTTTTTCTGTGCTTGTTGGCTATTATAATATCTTCCTTTGAAAAATGTCTATTCAAATGCTTTGCTCATCTTGAATTGGACTTGTTATTGTTACTGTGGTGGTGGTGGTAGTGATAATAGAGATAAAGACGTCTTTATATATTCTGGATCTTAACCATTTATCAGATAGATGGTTTGCAAATATTTTCTTATTCTGTAGATTGGCTTTTCACCACCCTGGTTATTTTCTTTGCTGCAGAATTTTTTAGATTTGATATAGTCTCACTTGTCTATTTTTGTTTTTGTTGCCTGTGCTTTGGTGTCATATCCAAAATTGCTGCCAACTCCAGAGGCATAATGATTTTTCCTTATGTTTTCTTTTAGGAGTTTTATAGTTTTGGGGGTTACATTCGTGACCTTAATCTGTTTTCAGTTAATTTTTCCATATGATATGATATAAAAGTCCAACTTCATTCTTTTCAATGTGAATATCCAGTTTTCCTAACAGCATTTATTGAAAAACTATCCTTTCTCCATTATGTTGCCTTGGAACCCTTGTTGAAGATTGTTTGTCCTTGTGTCAGTCCATTTTCACGCTACTGTAAAGATACTGCCTGAGACTAGGTAATGTATAAACAAAAGAGGTTTAATTGACCCGCGGTTCCATGGCTGAAGAAGCCTAAAGAAACTCGCAATTATGGCAGAAGGTGAAGCAGAAGCAAGACACGTCTTACGTGTCAGCAGGAGATGGAGAGAGTGCAGGGGAAACTGCGACTTTTAAACCATAAGATCTCATGAGAACTCACTATCACAAGAATAGCATGGGGGAAACTGCCCTCAGTATCCAATCACCTCCTACCAGGTCCCTCCCTTACACCTGGGGATTACCATTCAAAATGGTAAACCATTTGGGTGGGGACACAGAGTCAAACCATATCATTCCTGGCCCCTCCCAAATCTCAGGTCATTTTCACATTTCAAAACCAATCATGCCTTCCCAACAGTTACTCAAAGTCTTAACTTGTTCCTGCATTAACTCAAAAGTCCAAGTCTGAAGTCTCATCTGAGACAAGGCAAGTCCCTTTCACCTATCAGCCTATAAAATAAAAAACAAGTTAGTTACTTCCAAGATACAATGGGGTACAGGCATTGGGTAAATGTTCCCATTCCAAATGGGAAAAGGTGGCCAAAACAAAGGGGCTACAGGCTCCATGCAAGCACAAAACCCTTCAGGGAACTTCCTAAATCTTAGAGCTCCAAAATAATCTCCTCTGACTCCATGTCTCACATCCAGGGCACACTGATGCAAGAGATGGGTTCCCAAGGCCTTGGGCATCTCTGCCTCTTTGACTCTGCAGGGTACAGCCCCTGTGGCTGCTTTCACAGGCTGGTATTGAGTACCTGCAGCTTTTCCAGGTGCCCAGTGCAAGCTGTCAATCGATCTACCGTTCTGGGGTCTGGAGGACGAGGGCAGTGGCTGTCTTCTCACAGCTCCACTAGGCAGTGTCCCAGTGGAGACTCTGTGTGGAGGCTCCAGCTCCACATTTCCCCTCTGCATTGCCCTAGCAGAGGTTCTTCATGAGGACTCTGCCACTGCAGCAGACTTCTGCCTGGGCATCCAGGCATTTCCATACATGCTATGAAATCCAGGTGGAGCCTCCCAAAGCTCTTGTCTTCTGTGTACCCACAAGCCAAACACCATATAGAAGATGCCAAGGTGCGGGGCTTGCACCCTCTGAAGCCATGGCCCAAGCTTTACTTTGGACCTTTTTAGCCATGGCTGGAGCTGGGATGGCTGGGACATGGGATGCCATGTTCCAAGGCTATACAGAGCAGCAGGGCCGTGGGCCTGGCCCACAAAACCATTTTTACCTTTTAGGCCTCCAGGTCTGTGAAGGGAGGGAATGCCATGAAGATCTCTGAAATATCCTGGAGACATTTTCCCCATCGTCTTGGCTATTAACATTTGGCTCCGCATTACTTATGCAAATTTCTGTAGCTGGCTTGAATTTCTTCCCAGAAACTGGGTTTTTCTTTTCTTCCAAATGGTCCGGCTGCAAATTTTCCAAACTTTTATGCTCTACTTCCCTTTTAAATATATGTTCCAATTTCAAACCATCTCTTTGTGAGTGCATATACATGTACGCTTTCAGAAAAAGCTGTGTCACCTTTTGAATGCTTTGCTGCTTAGAAATTTCTTCTGCCAGATAGCCCACATCATCTCTCTCAAGTTCAAAGTTCCACAGATCTTTAGGGAAGGGGCAAAATGCTGCTAGTCTCTTTGCTAAAGCATAGCAAGAGTGACCTTCGCTCCAGTTCCCAATAAATTTCTCATCTCCATCTGAGACTACCTCAGCCTGAACTGCATTGTCCATATCACTATCAGCATTTTGGCCAAAATCATTCAACAAGTCTCTAGGAAGTTCCAAACTTTTTGCACATCTTCCTGTCTTCTTCTGAGCTCTCCAAACTGTTCCAACCTCTTCCCATTACCCAGTTCCAAAGTTACTTCCACATTTTCGGGTTATCATTATAGCAGTGCCCACTATCCCAGTACCCATTTCCTGTATTACTCCATTTTCATATTGTTATAAGGATACTACCTGAGACTGGGTAATTTATAAACAAAAGAGGTTTAATCGACTCACAGTTCTTCATGGCCTCAGGAAACTTAATATCATGGTGAAGATGAAGGGGAAGCAAGGCTTCCACACCTTACATGGCAGCAGGAGAGAGAGAGCGTGCAGGGGAAACTGCCACTTTTAAACCATCAGATCCTGTGAGAACTCACTCTGTATCATGAGAACAGCATGGGGGAAGCCACCCCCATGATTCCATCACCTCCCATAAGATCCCTCCCTCAACATGTGGGAATTACATTTTGAGATCAGATTTGGGTAGGGACACAGAGCCAAACCATATCAGTCCTTATTATACATAAGGTTTTGATTCTGGGCTCTTTTCTGTTCCATTGGTCTGTATGTCTGTCCTTATGCCAGTACCCAGCTGTTTTGATTACTGTAGCTTTGTACTATGTTTTGAAACTAGAATGTGTGAGGCCTCCAGTTTCGTGTTTCTTTCTCAGGAGTATTGGTCTATAAGGCCCTATGAGATTCCAATCCATATTAATTTTAGGACTTTTTTCCTATTTATGCAAAAAGAAATGCAATTGACATTTTGATAAATACTGCATTGAACTTGTAGATTGCTTTGGCTAATATTGACATTTTAACAATATTAAGCCTTCCAATAAATGAATAAAATGTCTTTCCATTTATTTGTATTTTATTTGATTTCTTTCAGCAATGTTTTTAGTTTTTACTGTACAAGTTTTTCACCTTCTTCTATATATTTTTACACTTTTTTATGCTATTTTAAGTAGGATTGTTTTTCTAAATTTCTTTTCATATTATTTATTTTAGCACACAGTCATACCCTAGAGATATTGCAGATTTGGTTCTAGACCACACCAGTAAAGCAAATGTCACAATAAAGCAAGTCACACAAATTGTTTGGTTTCCCAATGCATATAAAAGTTACGTTTATACTATACTGTAACCTATTAAGTATGTGATAGCATTATGTCTCAAACATGTCCCTGCCCTAATTAAAAATAATTTATTACTAAAAACTGCTAATGATCATCTGAGCCTTCAGCAATCATAATCATTTTGCTGGTGGAGAGTCTTGCCTTGATGTTGATGGCTGCTGACTTACCAGTGTGGTGATTGCTAAAGGTTGGGGTCTCCATGGCATTTACCGAATAAGATGAATAAAACTTAATTGACCCTTAATTGACTCCACATCAACTGACTGTTCCTCCACAAAAGATTTCCCTATAGCATACTATGCTGCTTGATAGCATTTTACCCACAGAAGAACTTCTTTCAAAATTGGAGCCAATCCTCTTAAACTGTGCCTCTGTTTTATTAACTAAGCTTATGTTATATTCTAAATCCTTTGCTGTCACACCAACACTATTCCCAATTTCTACACCATGAGCAGATTCTGTCTCAAGAAACCACTTCCTTTGCTCATCCATAAGAAGCAACTCCTCATCCATTCATATTTTGTCATGAGATTGCAGAAATTCAGTCACATCTTCAGGCTCCACTTCAAATTATAGTTCTCTTGCTATTTCCATCATACCTACAGTGACTTCCTCCACAGAGGTATTGAACCCCTCAAAATCATTCATGATGGTTGAAGACAACATTTTCTAAACTCCTGTTAATGGTGATATTTTGGCCTCCTCCCATAAATCATGAACATTCTTAATGGTATCTGGAATGGTGAATCCTTCACAGAAGATTTTTCAATTTACTTTGCCCAGAGCCATTGGAGGAATCACTATCTATGGCAGCTATATCCTTATGAAATGTATTTCTTAAATAATAAGACTTAAACATTGAAATTGCTTCTTGGTTTATGGGCTGCAGAATGCATGTTGTGTTAACAGGCATGAAATCAATATTAATCTTATATGTTTCCATCAGAGCTTTTGTGTGACTAGATGAATTTTCAATAGGCAATAATATTTTGAAAGGAATATTTTTTCCTGACCAGTAGGTCTCAACAGCAACCTTAAAATATTTAGTAAAACATGCAATAAAGAGATATACTGTCATCCAGGCTTTGTTGTTCCATTTATAGAGCACCCACAGTGTAAATTTAACATACATAAATTTTAAGGGTCCTAGGATTTTCAGAATGGTCAATGAGCATTGGCTTCTTAAATTCACCAGCTGCATTAGCCCCTAACAAGAGAGTCAGCCTATCTCTAGAAAGTTTGAAACCAGGTATTGACTTCTCTTCCATAGCAATGAAAGTCCTAGATGGCATCTTCTTCCAATATAAGTTTGCTTTGCCTACATTGAAAATCTGTTGCTTACTGTCACCACTTTCATCAACTATCTTAATTAGATCTTTTGGATAACTTGCTGCATCTTCTCCATTAGCACTTGCAGTTTCACCTTGCACTTTTGTGTTCTGGAGATGGCTTCTTTCCTTCAACCTTATATATCAACTTCGGCTGGCTTTCAAGCTTCAAGCTTCCTCATCTCTCTCAACATTCATAAAATTAAAGAGAGTCACGGCCTTGTTCTGGATGAGGCTTTGGCTTGGGGGAATGTTGTCAGTGGTTTGATCTTCTATCCAGACCACTAAAACTTTCTTATAGCAGCAATAAGGCTGTTTCACTTTCTTATTATCCATGTTTTCACTGGAGTAACACTTTTAATTTCTTTCAAGAACTTTTCCTTTGCATTCACAACTTTGCTAACTGTTTGTTGCAAGAGGCCTAGCTTTCAGCCTATTCTGGGTTTTAACATGCCATCTTCATTAAGCTTAATCATGTCTAGCTTTTGATCTGAATTGAGATAGTGTCTCTTTCTTTCACCTGAAAACTTACAGGCTATTGTAGGATTATTAATTGGTCTATTTTCAGTTGTGTTATCTTTCAGGGAATAAGGAGGCCCATGGAGAGGGAAATAGCTGGTTTTTGAAGCAGAACACACACACAACATTTATCAATTACATTTGTCATCTTAAAATGAGTGCAGAGCATGATGCCCCAAAACAATTACAATAGTAACATTACATATCATTGATCACAGATCACCCTAATAGGTATAATAACAATGAAAACTTTTGAAATATTGTGATAATTACCAAACGTGACATAGAAACTTCAAGTGAGCACATGTCATTGGAAAAAAATGGACTAATAACATTTCTTGATACAGGGTTGCCAGAAATCTTCAGTTTATAAAAAACACGATATCTACAAAACACGATAAAATGAAGTGCAATAAAACAAAGTATGCCTGTATAGAAACACAGCTGACTTTATATGTTGATTTTCTATTTTGCATCTTTGCTGGATTTCTTTATTAGTTCTAGTAAGTTTATTGTGGAATCTTTAGGGTTTTCTACATATAAGATTGTGTCTTCTGTAAAGAGATTTAATTTCACTTCCTTTCCAATGTGGATGCCTTTTAAAAATTTCTTCCTTTTTTTTTTTGCCTTATTGCTCTAAATAAGACTTCCAGTAATACATTGAATAAAATTGGTGAGAGTGGTATTGTGCTTTTTATTGTTATGATTTCTTTCTAGTTTGGCCTTGAGGTCTCTCTGCTGAGAGTGATGAGACATGCTTCCTTCTTTCTTGTGTGCCTTGTTACATTTGTCGTTGTTGTGATTTGTCCAATAGAAAAAACAGCCACCTCTTTCAGTCTTTACAGAGTAGCTTCTCACAATGGAAGGCCTTCCCCAATCAATCACCCTGGCTAGGCATTCTGTGGTCCTCTCAAACCTTTTATGGGGATATTTCTCTGATCTTGTGCCTGTAATGTCCAAATTTGAGACATTTGTTAATTTCCCTTTCAGAGGTTTGTAATTTCTTCCTTCCTCTGGTGTCTGCCTGTGTTACTGCAGGCTTTCTGGAGCTGCCACAGAGCACTGAGCTCTATATTGTTCTCTGCAGTTCCCATGCATAGAAAAAATGCTGGTTCAATCAGTACTCTGAGTCAAATGAGGGAGACTCAGGAAGCCCTTCAAAAAGTAAAAGGAGTGGATGCATATTCCACTCTTCTCTTTTCCTCCCAAAGGATTAGCCTCAAGCTGGGCACTCACTCCTAATCTTGGTGAGTGAGTATTAACAGCTTCTGTCTGTGGTATTACAGTTTCTCTAGCACTGCAATTAGTTGCTTAGCTTTCTTTGGTCCTCAGCAGCCCCCAGGCATCCAAAGTGCGTGAGTTATCTATGGGCACTCTAAGTCAGGCAAACCAGAAACCAATCCCTGAGGCAGCCCACCAAAACGCTAGAACATTAGGCATATGTTTTCCTCTTCTTTTCTCCTCCCAGAGAGAAGATATGAATTAGGCTTTTCCTCCTAATTGCAGCAAACTGTGTCAGCATGGAGGAGGGGCTGATATAATTAAAATAACATAGTTGTGTTTTTTTTAACCTTTAACATGGCTGTTCTTGGCTTTGAGCTTGCTTGGGGTACTGTGACTCCCTACCTGGTTCCTAGAGTTCTCACAAAGGCTTTTTGAAGTGTACATTGTTAATTTGCTGTCTGTGTGAGGAAATAAGGTCGGAGCTTTCTATCTGCTGCTTTATAGCACCACTCCCCTGTCACAATGATTTTTAGCCCACTTTTTAAAAAAAGTCTCAAATTATCCATCAAAAAACTTTTTCCTGGTTTATTATGGCTGTTTGTGGTTTCTGATGACTCTTATCTGGAATATATTTATTTCTTACGTACTTTTAATTTGAGATTGTAATCTCACCATCTCCGGGTGAGACTACTGTACAACCTGAATTCAGGTATTGTGCACATGGAACAATTGCTCTTTGTCTTTATCTAGTTCCCACAGGGGCGCCACTAGGGGAAGGCCAATTTTATGATAATTCCTACATTTGAGATTCCTGGATCATGCAAACAGTGTAAACACAAGCCCCCATATGATGTAAAATATATTTCCATGTTTACTAATTCTGTGGGAAACTTTCAATAATGTATTTACTCAGACCTAACACAGAGCTGGCAAACCTCTTGGCATCACACTGAGCCGATGGTCCAATTTTCTTTCCCTTTTTGGAGGAATTTATTTTTATATTCCATTAGTAGTCTGTTTTGTTTTACTATTGATATGGTTTGGATCTGTGTCCCCAACCAAATCTCATGTCAAATTGTAATTCCCAGTGTTGGAGGTGACTGAATCATGGAGGTGGTTTCTTATGGTTTAACACCATCCCCCTTGGTGTTGTCATGGCAATAGTGAGTTCTCATGAGATTTCGTTGTTTAAAAGTGTGTAGCACCTTTTCCCTCTCTCTCTTGCTCATTCTCCACCATGTAAGATCCCTGGCTTCCTGTTAGCCTTCCGCCATGACTGAAAGTTTCCTGAGGCCTCCTCAGAAGCCAAGCAGATGCCTTCATGTTTCCTGTGCAGCCTGAGGAACTGCGAGTCAGTTAAAACTCTTTTCTTTATAAATTACTGACTCTCAGGTATTTCTTTATAGCAGTTCAAGAATGAACTATTATAGCTATAAAGGAATACCTGAGGCTGGGTAATTTATGAAGGAAAGAGGTTTATTAGTCTCACATTTCTGCAAACTGTACAAAAAGCACAGTGCCAGCATCTGCTTCTGGTGAGGGCTTCAGGAAGCTTACAATCATGGCAGAAGGTAATGGGAACCTGTTGTCACATGGCAAGAGAGGGAGCAAGGGAAAGAGAGGAGGAGGTGCCAGGTTCTTTTAAACCACCAGCCCTCCTGTGAACTAATAGAACAAGACTTCACTCATTACCAAGGGAAGGACACCAAGCCATTTATGAGGGTTCCACCCCTTTGACTGAAACACCTCCACTGGGCCCCACTTTGAACACTGGGGATCATATTTCAACATGATATTTGGAGAGGACAAATAGTCAACAATATCACATTCTGACCTTCTAAGAAAAAAATGTACTTTTTATACCATAATGATTTGTTCATTTGTATATTCTGAAATTTTCACAGTGAGATCACACGGTTCTTAAAATTTTATATAGCAAATTATCTGTGTCCTGGTATGAAATATGTAATTTCTACCAGAGAACATTTTTTGATCTACAAGGTAGCTGGCAGGAGTTTATCTGGCCTGCCACATAGTGTGAATCAAGTTGCAAATCCACTTGAGGTCCAGTATTTATATCTGAATTTTCAGGGTACAGTCTCTCATCTCTACTCAGCACCAAAGTTCAAGACAGGCAACATTTCTAAAGTGGAATCTCATAGAGACCAGGTTTATATCACCTGTACCTGTACACTGGTAGGATATTTTTTAGGGTATTTTATGCCATATTTCTACCATGTGGCACAAATATTCTTAAGGCTAAAGCCAACTGCACTGCTCTGTTTAGGAAATCTGACTTTACTTAGTTTTTGGCCTCAGTATACTTTATATTTTTACAAGCCCATTAATACATTTTTAATACATTCAATGAAAGAAAAGATCAGACTATAAAATGTATCAGACTTCCCAGTTAAAAAGAAAAAAGCATTTTTTTCTCTTCCTGGTACACATTTTAATTGAGCATGCAGGCTCTCAAAGAATCTAGCTTTAAGCAGGATCTCGCTTTCAACTCCTAGATATGTGGGCTTCACATCTTTTCCCCTGGCTGTATGTGAGCATTAAAATCTCAGCACACATGTTGCCTAAACCAACACCCTACCACGATTCTTTCCTCTTTCTCTAACAGAACAGCTGCAGAGTTTTAGTTTCATCTTTGTTTTTATTCCTTGGAAATTTTCATTACTTACTTTATTTAAATTTTAGTCTGCATTTAAAAGACTATGGTATTTTATAATTATTTTTATAGCATTCCTATCCTATTAAACATTCTACCACATTGTCCCTTAAAATTTTGGTGCATCTATTTACTGAAAGTCAATGAATTAAAAAAGTATAAGTATGTTTGCTAATTTAACAATAGCCAATTAAATAGTCTAGTTCGACTGATTATATCAATAAAGTTTATACTGTGTAGAGTTTATACTTGCTCAAATATTTAATATGGTATTTTGGACAGTTTTTATAATAAGTCTTATGGGATTTTATTTTTTAGTTTGCAATCATATGGTTCTGTCTAGGGGAAATGTGATATTTATTTTCTATCATAAATGTTCTATTTCCATTTCAAGTGGGTGTACTGTAACACAATCCTGGCATAAACTACCCTGACTTAGTGTTAGACTCACAGGTTTAACGGCTCAATCCTTCAAAACTGGCCTCACTTTAGATGCCAGCTACAAGTCTCAGTGGCCACCCATACTTTAGCATCACCAGCTGTAAGTTCAAGGCTTTCTTCTTAGTTCAACAATTCACTAGAATGATTCACAGATCTCAAGAAAGTGCCATAATTATGATTATAGCTGTATTATAAAGGACACAATTCAGGAATCGCAAAATGAGGAAGAGGCACAGGGAGTGAGGACCCAAAGTCCCAGACACAGAGATTTCAGATTCTCTTCCAGTGGTGTCAGGGTACATCACCCTCTCTGCACAAAAGTGAATTAACCAATAAGTATACTCTACTGAGACTCTGTGTCCATAGTTCTTACTGAGATTTCGCTGAGTGGGCATGATTGATTAAATGGCTGGTCACATTATTGAATTCAATCTCCAGAACCCCTCTCATCCCTGGAGGTTGACATATCCCAAAGTTCTAATCATTTGGTCTGTCTTTGAGGTTACCAGTCCTCATCTTGAAGCTGTCTAGGGGCCCACCAAGAGTCACCTCATTTGCATAGCAAAGATATTCCTTTCATTCAGGAAATTCCAGAGGTTTTCAAAACTCTGCCGTAGGAACTGGAAACAAAGACCAGATACATTCTTAATATCCTACAATCACATGTACCAAAAATCTAATAAAATATAGTAATCTATGTAGTACTTCAGAAAAATCAATAAGTAATAGAACTAATGAATAGATCAGTTAATTAAAAATATATATTAACACTGTTGTGTAATTCTAAATAGTAAAGGTATGAATGTATAATCTTAACATCGTCTTTTACATATCTACAATGCTTAAAAGGTTTTTACAAAAGATGTTCTCATACATCACTTCATCTCATATTTATGTCTAACCTGAAAAACAAGTATGCCATTATTGCAGATAATTTAAAATTTAGAGGCTTGCCTAAACTCACAAAGCTATTTGTCTAGAGTCTAACTTACTCCAAACTAAGTGATCTTCATATAACCTCATAGTTTCTAACTTAATGCCTGCATTTTTATCTTATAAAACAGAATGCATCTTTTGTTTATTTGTTTGCTTCTACACTTCCCCACCACCATCAACAGGGAGGAAATCTCTTTGCTTCGAAATTTCTTTAGGTTCTTTTCACCACAGCCAATTAATAGTGCAGTTCCTTTGACCACAGAGAAGGGTGTTAATTTGGTCAACAAGCATGTGGTCATTTTATTATTGTAAGTCAGAGGCTAGCTAAGGAAGCTAACTATAAATCAGTGGTTATAGTCCGTTCTCTTATGGAAGGCCTCTGCTGAACTTGCTTTAATGTAAGTGCAATGCTGCATAATGAATATTGCATTTTCCATTTCCATAGTGAACTAAAATAACCTATTGTGAGTGTTAGAATGTAATAATCCATACATTATTATGTTTTATTGATAGGGTCTTACATTCTGGAATCCATTCAGGCATATCCAACCCCAAATACCTTTAACCAAATTTAATTCTGTGCATGAAAGTCATTATATACATCATCACAACTTTTTACCTAAGTGCACAACATTTAATTTCACGATTGTAATGGAACTGTAGACATTAGCTCTATTTCCATACATTGGATTGGAAAAAATGAAATCCTCTTTTTAATATGATCTAGGGTGAATTGTTATACTATGGCACTTAATTGAAACTAATCAGTTAAGTTGAGTCAGATTCATTCAAACAGTAGAGGTGACGGATCAATTAAAATTATGATATTATAACTCATCAACTTTCATTTGGCCAGAAGATATTCTATATAGGAAAAGCAAAAAATGTCTTTCATGTTTTTAGTTAGCAATCAAGTTTTATGTCTAGAATTAAAATAAGCATCTGATTTTTTCTCCAATATATGCAAAGGGTATTTTGACACAGAAAATCACAGCAAAGTAAGACATATTGTGATAATTAACTGAATTATTTCTGGCATGCCATGAACAATTAGAGGATTAATAACCACCCAACCAAACGATGTTATGTTGGAATAAATTGACCGACAAGTTTTCTCAGCTAGGAAATGAAGCTCAGATAGATCATCAATAAAAATGACTGTGACGAACATACTTGTGAGAACTCTAGTGTTTTACATTTACAAAATATGGCTGTGGTAATTGTGTTTAATGATTGAAAGAAAGTATTTAAAAATTCATTTAGAATATTGTGCCCTTTATAATTGCCTGCTGAAAGACATAATGTTTGATGGTCACTAATGTACCATACAATCGACATTTAATTAAATATCTGTTAAGTTCTGAAAGCCAATGGAAAACAATTTTCCCTAAATAAAGAAAAAAAGCAAAAAGAAAAGCATTTAAGAACTGCAGGTTGTTTGTAATATAAGGTGTGTCATATTCATCCATATTAAGAATAATAATGGATGAAAAACAAAGACAACCTTGAGAACAAATGATGTCATATGCCATAAAATGAAGTAATACATAATCTCATATGAGATTATGTAAACTGTCTTATTGATGCATTTGTTAAAATGTTTTGACTTAAATAACTAAGGTCATGTGTAGCACCAATATTTACATTTTTATTACATATAATTTTGTAGATAGTTTTTAACTTTAAATCAGAAGGAGAGAGCAGAAAAAAATATTAGGAAAGAAACAAAAGTAAAGAGATGAAAGTTTGAGATGTTTATAGTGTTATACGGGCAAATGTCTTATTCTACTGCAAACAGGAGAAATTAATTTGTAAACAAATTTGAATTCTCCCTAAATTTTAACTTTCCCATTATTGTCCAAATAAATGGCCTGGCTTAACCATCTGTTTATTATATAGTAAGAGTAGTATAGCATACCTTGAAGTTAGTTTTCTTATTTATAATATGAACGCAATTGTTTCAAGAAAGACTATTGTGAAAAGTAATTAAATAGATAAAAAAGCATAAAACACTTGAAAACTTAAAAATGTATTTACCTTGTTATGCTTTAGATGTAACCATACAGACAGTATCAATTCTAGAAGTTTGCTATGTGGTCTTCTCCCTTCAGTCTGTATTTAAACACAGATTTCCCCAAATTTCCAGTTTCTCCTTTCATCTCTCCTTCCTCTGTCCATTCTTCTAAAAAGCCAAAGTAAAATCTTTATTCTCCTGTCTCCTTCTCCTTTTTCCCATTTTTAATTTTGAACATATCACCCTGTACGACCTGTACATACCTCAAACTCAATGCGGTCAAAAGTGAAATTAGCACATTTCTCTTTCAAACTCCTCCTTTTGTGTTTTCTACCAGTTCATACTAGAATGATATATTATTATCATGTAATATCCTCATTCTTATTCCTCATATCCAGTTAGCACCGAGATCCTCTTTTTGCCTCTCTCTTATGCCATGATATTGTCTACTTTTCTCTACCTTAATTTCCATAACATCTTCTTAAGGATCCTCCAGGTCTCTTCTCTAACTTTATCCCAACCCATGCCCACATTGCTGCCAATATAAGTTTTCTAACTCTTCTACTAAAAATTTCAATAGTTCAGCAGTTCTAAATAAAAGTGAATTTCCTCAGCATGAGATACTGAGATACAAGGGCCTCATGAACTGGGTCTTGCCTACCACTTTATCATCAGGTCTTTCGACTTACTCTTTGCTCATAGATACAAGTCATACTAACCTATCGGAAGTTTCCTGAATGTGCCACAACCACTTAATAGGTCTTTCCCATTTCACATGCTGTTTTCTCTGTCCATAAGGCTCTTCTTTTTCCTCCTTCCTGCCCACAGCTCTGTGTAACTGCTATTGATATTTAAATCATAATTCAGAGCATTTTTTCCTGGTTCCACTTCCACCTCAGTCTAGGCTAAGTGCCTCTTTCCTAGTGACATGTGCTTACCTCTACTAGAGTAATTTTCAAAATAGTATTGCAATTACTAATACTCTTGGTGGTTCTTCTAAACAAACTGTGAATTCTCATTATAGGCATGTTCCCCTAAAATCAGATTCTGAGGTAGCAATGTGCTTACAGGAAATTTACTAAGGTCTGTTTTTGTGTTCTCAGGATCAACAACCGTGGATGGGTGAAATAAGTAGAATTGAAAGGGAGAGACATTGAACTGTGAATTGATGCAATTGCAACAAAAGCCTCAACAAATCTTATGAGGTGCTCTGGAGTTAGGATGACCCTTCAGAGTGGTCCCAAATTGGAGCAAGAGAAATAAATCTCCACATTGACCAGTCATTAGATATGGGCTTTGATATGGTTTGGACATTTGTCTCTGTCCAAATTTCTCCAAATTTCTTGTTGAAATGTAATCCCCAATATTGGAGGTGGGGACTGAAGGGAGGTGTTTGCATCATGGGGATAGCAATGGCTTGGGCCATCCCCTTGGTGATAAGTGAGTGCTCACTCTGATTTCACACAAGATCTGGTTCTTTAAAAGTTTGTAGATCTTCCCCCCCACCACTCTCTCTCTCAATCCTGCTTTTGCCATGTGACATGCCTGCTTCCCCTTCCGCCATGATTGTAGGCTTCCCGAGGCCTCCCTAGAAGCTGAACAGATGCCAGCACCATGCTTCCTGTAAAGCCTGCAAAATTGTGTGCCAATTAATCCTCTTTTCTTTATAAATTACCCAGTCTGAGGTATTTCTTTATAGCAATGCAAGAATGACCTAACACAGGCTTCCTCTGGAATGGGAGCATGACCTTGGGTAGGTGGCTTTCTTCAGCTATGGGAAAGTCCCACAGAGACTCAGCAAAGAGCTGTCAGCCACCAACACTCCTGGCAACTGGAGAAATTAGTTCTTCAGTATTGGAAGATAGGATATGGGTAGATCACCATGGAATCCACTACTGCTCCTTGAAAACAAAAACTTTTCCTCATACATTTTTATACACTTTGGGCTAGCAGAGACCCTGAATTATCAGAGACATTTAAAAATAAATGTTTACTGAATAAATGCATAGTATGATTTTAGTCAAATTCATCTTTCTGAAAGCAATCTGTGCTGCAGATACCTTATGTTCAATCTGAAAATAAGGACCAAAGAAAATACAAAGTGCAGAATAAATAGCTTTTAATCTAACTACAGTCCCTTGGCTTCTTAGAAGACTCATAATGACTCTCTGTCTTTAATCTCCCCAACAAAATGAAAAGTTAAAAACACAACAGTCAGGGCTGAAATACAGAAGAAAAGTCTTTGTATTAAAAGGACATTCATACAGTTTTTCATTTGAGGAAAATGTAAGTCTGCAGCTTTCCTAGTATTTGTTGAATCCTAACATTCTACTCTTATTTACTTTTGTAAAGCAAGGCAATAAGGTGGTCAAGTGTGGGTTCAGATAGTCACATTAGAAGCTTGCCCAATTGGTGCAATTGAAATGGCCTGAATATTAAATGCCATCACTAAACACTACAGAGCATGTTTTTATGCTTAAATTTCATCGGAGAAATATATTGAAACAGGACAAATGCTGCAAACTAATTTTAATCTTACTAACATGAAGCAGGAACACATGATGAAAAAGACTCGGGGTGAGGAGGCTGGCAGTGGCTGCTGTGAACAGAAGATGAGTATCAGTGGATTTTAAGTGACTTTGGGTCTAAGAGATCAAAATGTCAGTTGGACAGCAAAAAGTCAAAAACTACTGATACTGACATTAGGTGGTGGGATAGAAAGAAAATAAATAAGTCAGGTACTAACGTTATTGGGGCTAGGAAAGTGGTTCTCACAATGGGAGCAAATAAGAGATGATAGAAGATGTAATTCAAAAGTCTATAAGGAAGACTTGTAAATCAACCCTTGAGAAGCAGACAGCAATGTAGGAGAGAAAAGTGAAAGAATGTTGCATACTTACACTCACCAAATGGGAGAAAATTTGAGTCTGTGAGATCTGTAACATAGAATGCTACAGGAAGGGCACTTGGAATAGTTAGAGAAGGTCCAAGATCCTAAAGATGGTAAGACCTTTACATATGATCACACAGGAGTATACTTTTTCTATAATGATGATTTTGAAGTGTGAATTTGTTCCAATATTACTGGTATATTAGGTAATCATTTGAGCATAATGCAAATTTTTATTTTGCTTATCTGCGATTTCATATGAAGAAACACATATGAATTCAGAAAACTGCACCCAGTGGAACTAAGCCATATAGGAATACACAAAATGTACACAGGCACACACTTGAAACTTCTACTAGCTACCTCATTTTGCCACATGTGTTACGAGCCAAACCTGTATCTGATATTACACCTTTCCACTCAATTTCAGATAACCCTCCCTGCATTACTCACCAGTAACATACCACTGTGTGTTACTGTGCACCACTCCTGATGCCTAGTTCCACACTCAAATTCTAGGTCTTTTTCATGGTAAAGGGCCATTTCTATGATAGTACTTATGTATTTCTTAGCCAATTTGCCATATGCAAGCTATATTACTATATTCACTAGCTTTCTATCTTTTTTGTAATGCACAACAAATGGCATTTTTGATTGCTGGGTTCATAACCCCACTCTTCTCATAAGTCTTGTGGTTTTCATTCTGTGATTTTCTGTAGCACAATGATCTATAGGAGCACATATGTCACCTTATAGCAAAACTGACTGTATTTGTTTAAAAATTAAGATTCTCATTTCTTCCATGATTCTGATTCAATAGGTTTGGTGTGGAACCAGTGTAACAGAGTTTTTTTTTCTGCTTTTATTTTTTTCCTTCCAGTTTACAAGGGTTCTTCCCATTTTGGGTGAGTACTTCATTATTCAAACTTAGGGAAAATTGAGACACAGGTACTTAGTCAATTGACATTCCAACTTGAAATATAAATTTGGAATGACTCAAGAATGACTCTAGAAGAACACAAGATTGACTGACAAGTTATTCCTAGAGACAGCAAAAGCAATGATATCAATAATATAGTGGTGGCAATGACAGAAGTTTAGTAGCTATGATGCTAAAAGTGGAAACCAAACGTACTCATGACCATGGCTTGGCTCTGCTGCCCAGCCTTCCTTAGTTCCTGCCCATTCTCTAAATTTTGCTTTCTGGCCTCTAGGCCAGCTTTGTGAGCTACACAATAGCCTCCCAGTAAATTTCGCTTCTAATTAGGAAAGCTCTGCCTGTAAAAATGAACCCTGATGCTAATTCAGCCTCAGATCTTCACTATAACAAACACTGTGATGATTCCAACACAGCTGATATGTGGATTCAGTTTGACAATTATTGTTCTTAAGTGGATCATATAAATATTATTTAGAAGCAGTTCAACATTATACTGTTTACATTTGCCAGCCATTTAAAAACGTGTTTTTTTTTCCTTTTACTGAGATCTGCATTACCAATCATTGGATCTGTTTAAAAAATGTTAGTTTTGCCACATGAATCCCGGGAGAGGTAATTTTTCTTGAGATATTCATGCATTTTTGAGGTGGGAGGGTAGCAAGCAGACAATACGTTCTTTCCTACTTTCCTCACCCCTGGTCACTTTCTCTAGACCAGAATACTCGTCTAGTTACCCAGCTTTCTAAATCATCACATTGTATACTAACAGAAAAGGGATGTGGTCCAGAGGCTGGGAAGGGTATCAGGGAGGATGGGATAAGATGGGAATGATTGGTAAGTACAAAAATCCATTTAGATATAATGAATAAGATCTAGTGCATGGTGGAATAATAACTTATTATATATTTTTAAATAACTGAAAGAGAGGAATTGAAATGTTTCTAATACAAATAAATGATAAACGCTTGAGGGGATGGATTCTCCAATTACCCTGATTTGATCATTGCACATTGTATTCCTGCATCAAAACATCACATTTACCCCATAAATATATACAACTATTATTTACCCATAAGGATTAATTTTTAAAAGAAAGAAAAAATAGAAAATGGTCTTGGTACCTGCGAAAAAAACAAAAAGAAAGATATTTCCTGTAAGCTTTTGTTCCACAAGAATACAAAAGATTGACTCATCAAGGTTAATCATATTCTATGGAAAACATAAGTTTTGGTGGCACTAACATTTTTATTTCAGAATGAATGACAAAATTTCATATGCTTTACTCAGTAATCCATTTCATTTCTACTTCTCCAAAATATTTTCATTTTTAAAAATCCAGCTGCATTGATAGGTGGAAAACCACAGTGAAACTGGTTATGTTTCATGAGTCATTTCAGTTCAGGATAATGGTTTCATTACCTCTTTAAAAAATATAGTGCTTATCCTATGTATCTTTAACAATTCAGCACAGTTAACTACCGGACAACTATTTTACTTTATACAGGTAAGCATATGAAAACAGCATGTTACTTTATGATTCATAGAGTGATTCAAAATAACTAAAAACTATGTGACTGGGCTTCGGTTTCCTCATCTGTAAAATGAAAGCTGTTGTAGTGCATAACTTGCTGGGCTCTTTCTTATTCTAACAGTCTATTGTTTACATAAACAAAAAATAGCAGTTTACTGCATATAATTTTATTTCTTAATCAAGATGATTAATAATTGTTAATGAATGGGTCATTAGAGTAAACATCATCTCAAATATTTTTAAAAATACAAATCTCTATTTTTCATTTCGAAGTTGACTTATGTTGGAGTTCAAAATTTTTATTGTGCATCATGTGCATTCCAATCATTCATTTTATTGTCTCTAAATATTCAAAGATAATCCCTTCTCAAAGATCAAGTTACACAGCATATTTAAAACAATGGTGAGAAATCAAATCACTAAGGCATTACAGTGAAACTGAATTTATCTATCAATGGTTCTAAAATTGGTTATTTAGTATAACTGAATTTTCAAGTTAAATGAGGGTCATCAGGACCTATATAATACATGCTTTGGCAGAAATATCCAATTGAAGTAATACATTTTAAAAGAATATACTAATTTACTCCTTTATGAAAAATTTTACCAAAACATAGAAATAAAAAGTGGGAAGAACATTTTTAAATAACATTCTGGAATAAAAGTCACTTAAACATTATCTGGGGGAATATACTAAAAGTGAATAACTGTTTAAAATTAATTAAAGCCCTCAGACTAAATGAAGTTATATGTTAACTTTTATACTTTTACCTAGAACAGAAGAAAATAATTTCTATGCTGTGGAATAGGTAACCTTAAATGTTTTAATTTATTCCACTGTGAGACATTAACCTGTTTTGAATCTAAGCCAAAAATATTCCTAACTTCCCTTATTAAATTACACACACACACACACACACACACACACACACACCAGCTTCTCAAATGCTCTTTGAACTGGTTTTGAGATCTTACTGATTTTATCATTAATTAACAAGCTGAATAAAATTTTGATGCATTTATTTTATATTTATATGAGTCATCATCATATTGCCCTTTTGAAGAATACACTTTAACAATTCATTCATCACGATTTTTTTAAGACCTAGCTTGCTTCAGTCACTGTGCTGTGAGCTGTGTGAAACAAACAAATAAAAGTTTATTCCAGCCTTAGAAAAACTCACAATCTAATCAAACAGCTAAGTAGAGAGCAAAGAGATAAATGCTCTGGCATAGGGTTGATCAAATTGCCAACAAGCTCCGAAGAAGCCTTACCCTTATTGAAGGGGAAAAAAATTTAAAAAGAAAGTTTCAAAAAGAAAGTGGCTTTTGGGTTGAGCCTTAAACGATGTATTGGACAATTGGCTGGCAAATACTACTGGATGAAGGTAGTGGGTTAATTTCTAAGTTTAGCACATAATGCAAAAGTCATCAATAAACAAATTTACCATTGAGAAAACCCTTAAATTTACCTATAAAGTATAGTATACATTTTGTTTATATAAACCTGCATGGTACTAGGGATATATAAATGTCTCATGTATAGAGTAATGTAGGGTAAATAATCTCAGACGCAATTATACTCAGGTATCTAATCATTCAAATGTTTTGCTGCTAGAAAAATCTTAAAGTTATGGCTTGTTCTGTCATTTTTCTGTAGACCTTTCTTTTAACTCTTTTTCTATAGACCGTTTCTTTTAACTCTTCATTCAGCATTGTTTCTCTATGAATAATTCTGCAAATAAAAGCCAACTCAAACAATTTCATGGCCAGCTGAACAACCTTTTTCATTTCTTTATTAATTGTCAGAAAAAAACATTAAAACTATTCACACTTTTTTTCAGTGGTTTGGCCAACAGACATTTACAAACTTAGGCTTGATTGCATCCAATGCCTGGATCATGCACTCATCCTGACAAACAAAGAGAAAATCTTAGTAACTACGGAGAGTTTTTCATGCTGTTCTTTGTAATTCATTTTGTGCCTGTGTGGTAAACTGGGGTAGAGAGGATGTTTCCTTTGCTCGGAGCATGTTTAGTTGGATATATCAAGTTAAATGTGTTTACCTACCATGGAACTTCACTGTTACAGTGAAGCTACTAAAATGTATAAAACCAAAGGAAATAGGGTAGTAATAGCAGGCGGCTTAAACCAATAGTTTGAGTAACTAGGGTAATCCTAGATCTATTGAAATCATCTTTAAATATTTTTCTTGTTTTTTAAATACAGTGCTGTGAATATGAAAATCATCTTCATAAATGACGAAGTTAGGGTTAGTGATGAATAAAAATATAATTGTTTATCATTCTGTATTAGTCAAGATGATAGGTAGGTAGTTAGGTAGGTAGACAGATAGATAGATAGACAGACAGACAAATAGATGTTATTAAAAAATTGACCCACACAATTGCAGAAGCAAAGTGACAAGATCTGGTACAAACCCAGGAAGGAAGAAAGGGCAGGGGTGTATTTTCAGGTTGAGTCCAAAGGCCTTGAGAACTGGCATGACTCATGATAGAAAGTCCAGCCCAAAAGCCAACAGGCTGCAGACCCAAGAAGAATGGATTTTTCAGTTTGAGTCCTAAGGTAAGAAATAAAGATATATCCAAGCTCATGTAACAAGGCAGGAGAAGTTCTTTCTTACTCAGACTTTTTTTCTATTCAGGTCTTCAACCAGTTACATGAGACTGCTCACCTTAGGAAAATCTGCTTTACTCAGTATACCAATTCATATAATCTCATCCAGAAACACACTAAAAATATACCTAGAATAATGTTTGACTAAATGTCTGAGTACTCTATGGACCAGTCAAGTTGAAATATAATGTTGACCATCACATATAACTATTGACCTTAAAAACAGTATGTACTCCAACAAAATTTTGTAGAAATAAAAGGAAGCTCAAAAGTTTCAGTTCCAAAATGACAGTAAAGAAACAAGCTGGCTTCATTCCCCTCCCAGAGCAAGCCAAAAAGAAATGTACAGCACTACTATTATCACCAGCCATATTCCAAAACTCAAATATGAGGATTAGACAATTCCAAGGGCCACAGAGAATTGAAAAAACAAATGGAAGCATATAGTAAGAAAGTCAAACTTACATCTATTACACCTCTCTCTTCAATTTGCTGAGCACCACACACATGAAAAAATTTCCCCAAGTCACTGTTTCTACATTAGAGAAAGAGAGATTGAAATGGAAAACCAGTTTTCCCACCATCTTGGGTTTCCTGGCAGAAAACCTATCCCTGCCTCAATACATGGGAAGCATTGTGAATACCTGAAGGTAGAAATATCCTTGAAGAAAGCCAGAAACAAAGGGGAAGTTTGGGACTACCATCCCCAGCCCTAGAAACTCTGCTCTATAACTTGGCCGAAGGAAACACCAAGTCAGAATCACTGTTCAGCAGTACCATGCTGTAGGAGGTACATTCCACAGATTGCCTGGGGATGAGCCCCTAGCCAGCCCTCCTGCACTGCCAGCATATCCCCTTTGGAGCCTATCCCCTTTGGAGCCTCCTCCATTCAGGACTAGCAGTGTTTCAATTGTTTCCTGGAGCCAAGGCAAACCTGGGTTTTTAAGGTACCATCTAGTGCCAAAAAAGAGGCAGCAAAGTACTGGAAAACAAATTCAACAAGTAAATTACAAATAACAAACATGTCCACAAAAAACAAAACGAGCTAGACAGAGAAGACAGAAATAACTAATCTTTTTTTATGGAGTCTCGCTCTGTCGCCAAGGCTGGAGTGCAGTGGCACAATCTCGGCTCACTGCAACCTCCACCTCCAGGGTTCAAGCGATTCTCCTGCCTCAGTCTCCTGAGTAGCTTGGATTACAGGCATGTGCTACCACGCCTGGCTAATTTTTGTATTTTAGTAGAGACAGGGTTTCACCATGTTGGCCAAGCTGGTCTTGAACTCCTTACCTCAAGTGATCTGCCCACCTCAGCCTCCCAAAGTGCTGGGATTACAGGCATGAGCCACCACACCCAGCCCAGAAATAACTAATCTTTCATTGCAAAAACAGAGACATACATCCACAAGAAACAACAACAGGACACCATGACTTCCACAAAAGCCAAGAAACGGTGACTAACCCTAATGAGACAGTGATATGTGAGATCTTCGACCAAGAATTCAAAATAATAGTGTTAAGGAAACTAAGTTATCTCCAAGATAACACAGAAAACCAATTCAAAAATTTAATAAAGAAATGGAAAAATAGCAACCCCCCCACCCCGCCCCGCCAGAAAACCAGAAATCTTGGGACTGAGAAATACATTTGGTGAACTGAAAATCTGTTAGAGGTTATCCACAGTAGAATGAGTCAAGAAGAGGGAAGAAATAATTAGCTTGAAGACAAATTATTTTAAAATACACAGAGAAGAAAAAAAGAATAAAAAAGAACAAAGATTGCCTATAAGATATAGAAAAATACCTCAAAAATAAAATCAGAATTATTGGTGTTCAAAAGGGAGCTGAGCAAGAGCAAGTAGTAGGAAGTTTATTCAAAGAAATTATGGCAGAAAAGTTTCTAAAACTTAAGAAAGATATAAACATTTAGGTACTAGAAAGTTAGAGAACACCAGATTCCACCCAATTAAGACCACTCCAGGCATGTAATAATCAAACTTTCAAGGTCAATAACAGAGAGGATTCTAAAAGCAGCAAGAGAAAACAAGCAAAAAACATATAAAGGAGCTCCCATTCATCTGACAACAAACTTCTCAATACCATACAGTCCAGGAGGGAATGAAACAGTATTTTCACAGTGCTAAAAGAAAATAACTGCTATCCAAAAATACTGTGTTCAGCAAATCTACTCTTCAAATATGAAGAGGAGATAAAGTATTTTCCAGACAAAGAAAAGCTGAGAAAATTCACAACCACCACATCTGTCTTATGAGAAATGCTAAAGGAGTTCTTTAATCTGACAGAAAAAAGCACTAATATGCCAAAGAAACATTTGAAAATATAAAACCCACAGGTAAAATTAAGTATACAGAAGACAACTTCAAAATATTTTAATATTCTAATTGTGGTGTGCAATATGCTGAAAAAAAATCTATCAAAAACAACAATGGCTACAGAAATCTGTAAGAGAGACAACATAAAAATATGTAAATTTTGACAAGAAGAAGTCAAAACGTTGGGGGGTAGAGTTCAAAGTGTAGAGTGTTTTGTTTGCTTGTATTTTCTTTGTTTCTTTTGTTCTATTTGTGTGTGTGTGTAATTTAAGATGAGTTGTGATCTATTTATAAGAACTTTCATAAGATTTTTTTTGTAAGCCTCATGGTAATCACAATACAAAAATCTATACAAAACACAGTAAAACTAAAAAGCAACAAATTAAAACGTACTCCCCCCAAAAAATCACTTAACCACCAGGGAATACGGTAAGAAAAGAAGAAAACACTTACAAAAGAACCAGAAAACAACAAAATGGCAGCAAATCCTTAATTAGCAATAATAACACTGAATGTAAATGAACTCAATTCTCCAATCAAAAGGCATAGAGCGGCTGAATGAATAAAGAAACAAGATCCAACTATATACTGCCTACAAGAAATCTACCCCCATCTATAAACAAACATGTAGACTGACTGGAATAAAGGGATTAAAAAACATTTCATGCAAGCGGAAACCAAAAAAGAACAGGAATAGGTATTGTTACAGCAGATAAAATAGACAAATCAGATTGTAAAGAGAGACAATGAAGGTCACTCTATAATGATAAAGGGGTAAATTCAGCAGAATAATATAATAATTATAAATATGCACTCAACACTAGAGCACCTAAATATATAAAGCAAATATTAATAGATCTAAATAAATAGACTGCAATACCATAACAGTAGGGGACTTCACCACCCCATTCTTAGTAATGGACAGATCCTCCAGACAGAAAATCAACAAAGAAACATCAGATTTAAACTATACACTAGACCAAATAATCCAACTGACATTTACAGAACATTTCACCCAACTGCTACAGAATACACCTTCTTTCATCAGAAACATTCTCCAGAATAGACCATATATTAAGCCATGAAACAAGTCTCAACAAACTTTAAAAAGTAAAAACCATATCAATAATCTTTTCTTAACACAACAAAATAAACCTAAAAATCAGAAGTAACCTTGGAAACTACACAAACACATAGAAATTAAACAACATGCTATTGAATGACAAATGGATCAATGAAGAAATTAAGGAAACTAAAATAAAAATCTTGAAACAAATGGAAATGAAAATACAACATATCAAAATTTATGAGATACAGCAAAAACAGTTCTAATAGGAAAGTTTATAACAATAAACATCTACATTTAAAAAAGTAGAAAGACTTAAACAACCTAACAACGCACCCCAAGGATAGAAAGGCAAGAAAAAAGCAAACCTAAACTTAGTAGAAGAAAAGAAATAATAAAGATCAGAGCAGGAATAAAGGAAATTGAGAAAAAAGTACAGAAGATCAATAAAACATTAGTTTTTTGAAGTGATAAAGTCAGCAAACCTTTAGCTAGACTAAGAAAAATAAGAGACGACCCAATTCAAATGAATAAAGTTAGAAACAAAAAGGAGACATAATCACTGATATCACAGAAATATGAAGATCATTAAAGACTATTATAAACAGCTATATGCCAACAAATTGGATATCTAAAAGAAATGGATAAATTTCTAGATATATACAACTTACCAAGTTTGAACCATGAAGAAATAGAAAATCTCAGCAAACCAGTAGTGAGTAACAAGATTGAAGCCATAATAAAAAGTCTCCCATGAAAGAGAAGCCTAGGACTTGTTGATTTCACTGCTGAATTCTACCAAATATTTAACAACTAATACCAATTCTATTCAAAGTCTTCAGATAAATTGAAGAAGACTAAATACTTTCAAACTCATTTTATAAGGCTAGCATTATCCTGATACCAAAACCAAACAAGGACACAACAAAAAAAGAAAATTATTGGCCAGTATTGCTAATGAGCACAGATGCAAAAATTCTCAACAAATACTAGCAAACCAGATTCAACAACACATTAAAATAATCATTCACAATTATCAAGTGGGATTTATCCCAGGGCTGCAAGGATAGCTCAACAAATGCAAATCAATAAATGTATACACCACATTAACAGAACCAAGAGCAAAAACCATATGATCATTTCAATAGATGCTGAAAATTATGAGGTTCCATGGTGTAATGGTGAGCACTCTGGACTCTGAATCCAGCGATCTCAATATATGCTGAAAAAGCATTCTATAAAATTCAGCATTCCTTTAAGATAAAACCCTCAACACACTGGGTATAGAAAGAGTATACCTCTTTCTATAGGCCATATATAACAAACCATATATAAAATGCCATACACAACACCATGCTAAACAGGGAAAAAATTGAGTTCATGTTTTGACTTTCATTTTGTTAATAGTCTTTCATTAAACAAAAGTTTTAATTGTGAAAAATTCCAATTATCAATTGCTAATGGATTATACTTAAAATATTTGTAGAGCATATATCCCATAAAGAAGTTGTATCTTGTATCTTGAATATGTAAAGTGTTCTCATAACTCATTAATAAGATTAACAACTAATAAAAAAGAGGCTAAAACATTTGAATAATACTTCACCAAAGTGGCAATGAACACATGACAAGATGCATAAAATCATTAGTTCTCACAACAAATATGCTTTACATTTAAAATGGGAAAATTTAATATATATATAAAATATACTTCAATAAAACTGCATAAAAGTAAAGCAGATTCTTTTTTAAGCACTCCATTCTTCTATTGGTATGTTCTCTTTTGGTCTATTTTTTATTTCACCAATCTTTTCTTCTGCTGTGTCTAATATATGTTTTAACCTATTTATTGAGATCTCAATTTCAGTTATTGTAATTTTCAGGTTTAGAATTTCCATTTGCTTTGTTTACACAAATAATAGTTCTCTATGAAACTCATTATCTTGTTGTCAATTTTTATAAACATATTACTACCTTTAATGTCCTTTTGTGATTACTTCAATAAACTGATTATCAGGAGATCTGTTTCGAAGGTCTATTTTTTTTCTAGTTTTTTTTTTCTTCTTGAATTGGTACTGTCTTCTGAACATGTCTTAATTTTTATTGAATGCCAGGTAATGTGTATGAATCAATCATTGTAGATATCAGTGTGATGTTATCTTGCTCCAGAGGAAATTTATTTTTCTTCTAGGAAATAACTGCAGAGCAGAAATATCATGCTCCAATCATGGATAGAACTAATTTGAAACTGATTTTCAGTTTTACAGGTTTAGTCTACTTTTTGCTTGGTTATGTTTACTAGATGTAGCCCTCCAGAGGTTTCACTAAATGTCTGGGATATTTACCATGGTTCTTCTTCATCGGTGAATTCCGAATTACATTTTTTTTGTCTCCCTAGCACTGTGAGATTGCCAAAAGCCAATGGTTTCTTTGTTCTTATTTCTTATCACCCAGTGCAATTTATGAAAGGACACATACATTGAAAACAGATTGCCAGAAGATAACTTCTCTGTAGCTTCCTTTTCTCAAGACTCTTAGTCCCTCAAATCCTGGCTATTTTAGTCACTCAGATTGGTAATTTAATTGTATCTCTGTGGCTCCACGAGATTATGAAAAGCTCTATGCCACAGCTTTCTGCTTGGCATTTTGTTTGTGCTGAATCAGTTAAGTGGCAGACAGTACCCAGTTCCTCTCAAGATCTTTCTGCCTCTCCCTATAGCTTGGCCTCCTTGAAGTCCTGGATGCCATAAGTGTTCTCTGTTTGCTCTTGGAGCTGATTGTTTTGTCTTTTATCCAGATTTCAAAGTTCTGAGCTGGACAGTTTGTCTGATATAGGCAATTCTTTTATAATCAGAATAAAATGAGAATATCTCTTAATTTATTAGTGACTTCAGTGAGTTGTATAATGGCCCTGAAAAGATTTGTCTTCCCAGAACCTCAGAATGTGACCTTCTTTGCAATAAGAATATCCCTTATGCCTCCTTCAGTTTGTAATTCTTCATCAGGTTGCCTAAATAATTCTTTGTAACAGCAATCTTTTTTTGAGAAATAAGATGGTACTAAGCCCTTTGCACATATATTGTCTATTTTTATCTTTAGCGTAACCTACTTATTCATCCTACAAACAAGAAAATTGCATTTGGGAATGATTACATAGATCAGGATTTCTATCCATGAATTCCTAACATAAAATCCATATAATTTCTGCTACTTTGTGCTGGGATTGCCCAAAATGTTCATGGAATATGTTTGACTTGTCTTATTTTTCTGAAGTTAAATATTCTAGCTTATATACTATCACATAAAAATGTGATAAGATCTTATCCAAAATTCACACTTTTAGTAGTCTCTAAGGTCAAAAGTAAATATCACCCCTAGTACAGTTGATATAGCTAATGATTGCTCTTGTTAATGGGCAATGTAGTAAATATAAATGTAATAAAAAGATTAAAATATTGTCTGTATTTTTCCAAGTTTTTCCAAAAACATTCAGACCCAAGGCTCAATTTGGGATGCAATTTTTGTGCTTTGTTTTTCTCTAGAATAAATTTAAATCCAGGAAAAAAGATCACTTTTTCTTCTTTGTCTTTTACTTTCTTTTGCACTGGGCACATCTCATTTAGAATGCATTTTCATCTTGTGTACTGTCAATACCCTTACTTTTGAAAAAGTATTTTTATTTTTGTTTTGCCTCTAGCCCCTGCAATATGATTTCTAGTTTCTCTCTTTGCTGTTCATTATTTTCCAGAACACTGATCAGTTGTCAAGTATTGATTCCTGACCTCTGTCTGGCTGATGGATAAAGGAGATGTGCATTGGCAAATCTTCAGAATATCCTGGCTCTCTATTACAAAGCAAATTTTTAGTCCTTGTGTATTTCTTTAGTTAGCAAAGTATAATGTTCTGACTTTGAGGGAAAACATCTTAAGAAGGCTTATCCAAAAGACACACAAGATTTCTCAAACATCAAAGAACACAAAAAGCAATGTGTTAATGAATCAAATGCAATGAATCATGAAGTTTGCTTAAATCTTATCTGAAATGCATGTATATTTAAATAGGGCAAAAGCAAAGTGACTAAAAGAATATATTTGTGATATAAAAATACACTATAAATAGCTACCATGTTTAAATCATTTGAGTTCTCAAATTCTTGTTACCCAAATTACCCACATTTATTTGTTGCCTAAGATATTTTGCCATCTACTCATAGATAGAAAAATATAGCTATTCAAGTAAGAAGCACAACTTCTGAACTCATGGTTGTTTTAAAGAATTTTTCAAAAAATAATTAAATAAATTGATTTGGAGAAATCAAATCAGTCATTTAACATTACTATTATGCAATTCCTAAAGAACTTTTAAGTTTTCCTCTGTACAACACCTGTACAACACCTTTTCACTTTTAAAAACTTCTGCAGCAATTGGATTATTTGTTCATTTGAGCCACATGTTTTTCTTCTGAATTCATAGAGTTGTTTTTTTTTCAAGCCCTTGCTTGGAAGACTCAAGCCCATTTTCTAGCTCTGCTGTCCACATCTATGTATTTTTATATCAATAGCAATGGCTTCAGGTTTTCAGTGTAACAGAAATTGTCCATTTTCTCAGATCTTATCCCCAATCAGAATAGAGGTGCCGTGAAAGGTCTTTGGCAAGGCTGAAGAATAGAAATGCTTGTGCTCTTCGAATTTACATTTTTAGTGATCTATGATCTTATTCATTTGTGCCAACATTACAAAAGAAGTAAATAAATTATCCTGCATAGGTTTGCTGTGTAATAAACTTCTCAGTATAAAAAATATTTTTCTTTATTTCAGATTTTTACATCTTTTATTTTGCTTATCAATGTCTCATAAACTTAAAGGTATTTATGGATTGTACTTATACAGATTTTCTATTAGAATAGTGTTCCTTTATTTTGTTAAATTAGGAAATGAATATAAGTCATCAGAGCAATTTCTCTTTTTTGTGTATTCTAACTCTTCACTTCTTTACAAATAAAGACTTTGTGTTAGCTTCACTTATCAACTGAACCCTTCAAAAACTAAAAGAATGTATGTTCAAAGGCTTTAGCTGTGTCATTTTGATTTCCTTTTTATTCCTTGCATTTTTGTATTATTTACCTTATGTTGTATATTTGATTCATTTCTAAAATTGTCTAACAAAGCTATTTAATTTAGTCAAGTTTACAATCTTAAACAAAGAAAAATAAACATGTTAACAATACCATTGTTTAACGTTTATAGCATAACTTGAAGCTCTTCTGAGCAAAATTTCTCAGAGCTGATGTAAAGAGAAAGAGGTTTAAAAAATCAAACACAAATGTGAAGCCCATAATTTTAAAGTAGAATATGTATAATAAATACTTGATGAACTGACTTTTACTGCTATTCAGACTCTGGTGTATGTCAAGATAATTCACTTATTCTTGACATTAGCCAGATCTTGAATTGACATTTGTGTAAATATGCTTACTGTGGTAATTCTGAGATTATCTTTAAATGTCTACCATGTATTCAATTTTGTAAAGTACAAGCAAAGAGTTCGTTAATTAACCAGACTTATAAAGTATTACTCACTCCCTTTTATTTCTCATAATTGCCGATCATTAGAAGTGCTTGAATTAGTTGCAAAATTAGTAATTTTCTGTGTATCCGTCCCATATTTAGCATTAAATTAATAAGCTTGAATTTAGCTGAATTTCAGGTTTCGGCAGAGATAAATTTTTGGTCCAGATAAGGTAAAATAAATAATAAGGGAAAAGAGATATAGACTTTTGTAAAAGCATGCATGAAATACACTTAAGTTACATAAGAGCTAGTGCAATGATGAGAACTATATAATCTCGAAGTTGGAAGGGAAATTAATGATCATCAAATTCAAGTCCTTCATTTAATCAGTAAGGGAAATTATGCCCTAAGAAATTTTAACAACTACCTATGATCACACACTTGCTAATGTTTAAACTAGACTAAATCAAAGGTCTGAAGCTCCTGGCTGCTGTTGTTGTGGTTTTATTTCTACTAGGTGTTCCAGCAGTTATAGCCAGATGATGAGAAATTTATCTTAATGGAGAATATGTTAATCTACCTATTCTTATATTATGATTTCTTTTATTAATGACCTTTGGCTACTTTCAAAATAACAACATTTGGAAAGATCCTCAAGCATAGAGAGCCTACAATGCTTATCATACTATACTGACACAATGGTGATTTTATGTGCTTTTGTTAAATCTTCTCATCAGTACATCATAAGTCCTTGGAGATACCTCCAGTACATTAAGAGGTAAATTCCTCCATGACACTGAACTATATTGCAACTAGATTAAAATGAAGTCTCCACACTCAATCAAATAGTATCAGCCAGTTCTATTATTCTTTTGTAAAGTAGGACTTCTACAGGCCTCAGGTAGGTTGTCATACTACTTCCATCATCTGTGTAATCTATTGACACCTCTGAGTTCTGTCTGTCCAATCAATATTGTTTAAAATCAACAGTAACTAATTGCCTCAAAACCATAAGTCTGAAATAGAGGATTTCACAGTCTCCCTCAGCTCTAGGATTCTCTGATAATATTCCTTATAGAAGTCTCATACAGGCTACCAAATGCAATAGTATGTATCACAGAGTATAATAAATGCATCAGGTACATTTCAAAGAATTTCGTATTATTTGCTTTCCTGTGAAAAATCGAAACTTTAATTCCCAGTCCACTTTATGATTGAAAGTTCAATTATTAAAGCGTTTCATTGACTATAAATGCAGAAAAGGTAACATACCATGATATACTGTTCACCGTTTCTTTCCAAACTGTGAAAACTGTGTAACAAGTGCCCAGATCAAGACCCACTATCTAGAAGTTCATCTTGAGCCTTTTCTAGTCACTAAAACCCCCTCCCAAAAATCACAAATTCTTTTCTGAATTCTAACAGCATAGATTAGTTTCACTTTATTTTTCTCTCTTTCTATAAATGAAATCATGCAGTATATATTCTTATATTTCTGGATTCTTTTATGTCACATTATGTTTTTGAGGTTTATATTGTTGCATATAGATACACATACAATCATTCTCCTTTCTCTGTAGTATTCCACAGTGTAAATTTATCACAATTTATTCATCCTTGCTACTGCTAATGAATTTTTGGAAATTTCCAGTTTTAGGCTATTACTCATAGTACCTTTGTGATCATTTTAATGTATGTCTTTTGGTGAACATATGTATGCATTCAATCAGATACATACTTAAGGGTTAGAATGTTGGGTCGGGAAATATGTACATTCAGTTTTAGTACATACTGTTGTACAGTACCCCAAAGTGGTTATATCTGCTTACACTTTCTAATTCTGACCAATATTGGTATTTTTTTTGTCATTTTCTTTTTTGCCATTCTAACAAGGATGTGTGATCTCGTCATACTGTGGAATTTAACTTGTTTCCCTGACTAATGAAAGCTTGCTTGACGGCTGGGCGCAGTGGCTCACGCCTGTAATCCCAGCACTTTGGGAGGCCGAGGCGGGCAGATCATGAGGCCAAGAGATCGAGACCATCCTGGCCAACATGGTGAAACCCTGTCTCTACTAAAAATACAAAAATTAGCTGGGTGTGGTGGCACGCGCCTATAGTCCCAGCTACTCGGGAGGCTGAGGCAGGAGAATTGCTTGAACCTGGGAGATGGAGGTCGCAGTGAGCTGAGATCTTGCCACTGCACTCCAGCCTGGTGAAAGAGAGAGACTCTGTCTCAAAAAAAAAAAAAAAAAAAGTTTGCTTGACAATCTTCTTTTGTAGAAAGTATCTTCAGTTCTTTTGCCAGTTTTTGCATTCTACATCCATATTTTTCTTATTCACTTATAAAAGTCCTTTATATATTCTAGATAGGAGTTTTATGTCAGGTGAACGTATTGTAAGTATCTTTTCCCTCTCATGCATTATCTTCTCACTCTCTTAATAGTGTCTTCTGATGAACAGAAAGTTCTGAGTTTTAACATTGTACTTTATCAATTTTTTATTGTTAGTTATTACTATTTTATCTTTAAGAAATATTTACTCTTCTAAGCTAATGAACGTATTCTACTAAATTTTCTACTAAATATTATTGTTTTAACTTCTGCATTTTGATTTGCAGTCCGTTTGAAAGTGTGTGTGTGTGAGTTTGTGTGTGTTTGATGTGAGGTAGAAAACAAGGTTCATTTTTTTCTACATATGTATTTATTCAGTAGCTTTTTATTGCAAAGACCATACCATTTCCATTGCATTTCCATGACTCATTTTAAATACACTCACTTAAGGTTTGGACGATTCAAAATATATTTTTACTGAAGAGTTTTCTAGACAGAGTGTTCATAAATTGATTCTGTTTTATAGTAATAATGTTTTCAGAAAAAAATTTGTGAGAATTGGGAGAATCTGGATGTCTAGAAAGAAATTATAATTTTTGATATACATTCAATTTGCATGTATCTATATAAAGTAGTATATAACATTTCTAATGTCCAGGTAGTTAGATATCTTTAGCAAAGTTTGATGTGTCAAATAATAACCAATATCTTCAGGTCATTATTACTTTCAAACTAAGTGTACAACAGAGAACAGATAGTATTTCCTCAATATTATCTCCTATGATTTCAGATTTGCCACCTGTGTACATTTTGAAAAAATAATATTATACCAAATAAAATTGTTTTCTCTTTGGAATATCGTTATAGAAGTAGTAGCATGGGCCTTACATTTAGATAGATCTGTTTCCACTATGAATTTGTTGGGGGGGCGGGAAATAACACACACTTTCTGAGCCCTGGTTTTCCATAACTGTAAAAATGAAAATGCGTTTAAAAATTGAAAACAACGTTAAGACCTGCCTAACAACATTATTGTGATAATAAAATGAGATGTTTGTAAAACACCTCTTCAAATAAGAGGTTCTGAGGAAATAATTTTTTTGAAAGGGTGAAAATGTAGGGAAATGCAAATTGCTTGAACTTGAACGTCAAATTTACTAATTTCAAATGTCAACTCTGAATTTTCCGTTTAAAATATGTTTGGCTCTTAACTCACAAATCACATCGCTTCTCCTCTCCCAGAACATCTATGAAAATGCAGAAAATGCCACAACTTAAAAATACTGAAAAAAATCTAACATTATCAACTTATCATAGTCATTGGAATTTGATTAAGAAAAGCAATAAGCATTGTACTCAGGTTTGCCTCATGAAAGAAAGTTAGGAAAATACTTCTTCCTCCTGCCTCTCTTCCCAAGACTCAGAAATCAAGGATGGGTACCCACCAGAAAACTAGACACCTGTTCTTCAACTTCATGGATATTTTATTGTGCTCTGTTGTGTCCCATCACATAGCATCCTATTCTGTACTGTAGTGTATCAAATTATATTGTTTTGTATAGAGGGGCCAGGATAAGAATCTTGCCTTCACACATCTTTACATATCATTTCTTAGAAATTTTCATGCTCCCAGAACTCAACAGAGCAAAATATGGAAAGACAGAGTAGAGACTGATAGAATGCTGTGAGCTCACTGAATTCTGAGTATCCTTAAGCAACGTTCTGAAAGAAGACCCTTGCTAGCAATATTTGGGAATTTTAGTTTTTCATAAATTATAGCAATTCTCAGTGCCAGAGAATTAGACAACCTGTTAATAGCTGCCAAGTCAGCCCAGCAGAAACAAGCTAGAAAAATTATTTCTAGATTCTGCACATCGGCAGAAAAGTTGTGAAATCCAGTCTGTCTTCCATATGTAGATCATAAAAGTCAGCTATTAAACAAGTAGATATTGAGCAAGATCAAGGGCAATCCAAAATCAGGGTTGGGTATGAATACATTCATCCTTCTGGAAGTAACAATAGCTAGAAAAAATATAATTTATTCCAGTGTATAGCAAAAGTAATCATTTTGGATGCTTAGAAGAGAAAAACATTCATTCCAAAGTCGTTATTAAATATCGGCACAAGAAGTCTATAATACTCTTTGGTATTCTCAGCAAAATGCACTTAAATATGGCCATAAAAAAGGAGACCAAATGCTGCTAAAATGAGAAGGAAAAACTGGATAATATGCAAATACTATTCTTCAATGCAAGATTAAATTATCCATGTAGGCAGTCAAAGAGCAGAAATAGTACTGAATAAAACTGAAACAAGATGCCCAGGATATACTTGTGAACTGTTCTTAGAACCAAGAGGAGAAACAGAAGAGTTTCAAATGATGAGAAATATTTTGATAGATATAAAATTGGAGAAAATATATGTAGCATATTTTAAATTATTAAATTAATATTAACTTTGTTATATGTGCTAATGATATTATAGTTATATCAGAAAATGTCATTATTCTTATAAAATGTACTCAAAATGCTTATGGATAAAATTCCATAATGTCTGCAACTTACTTGCAACTTATTGAGCCTTATGTATATTGAGCCAATATACATAAGCGTGTATGTGCACATGGACACACACACATAAATGTGCATATATATCCATATATAAGAACACATAGACAGAAAGGGAGGGATAGAGAAAGATGAAGCCAATGTGGCAACGGTAACAATCTGGAAAATATGTGTAAGGCATATAGGTGTTCTGTTTTGTTCTTTCCACTGTTTAAATTTTGTATTTCTAAATTAAAATATGGAGGAGGGGATATTGTGGTGTAAGAGGAGTTATATTCCAGCCAAAATTAAGGCAGTGTGATTTCTATAATCCAAGCAAAATTTTGAATTATAAATATTTTTTTTAAACTCACAGGTATATGAGGGCAAAAAAAATAGGTTACAAAAAAATCAAAACCATGTTTGATCTCATGTTCTTCTATTGCAATACTAAAGGCCAGAAGGTAGTGATAATGTCTACAAATATTTCATGAAAACTATAGCAACACAATAGGCTTTACACAGTTTATAATTTTTGGTGAAAGTAAATGAAAGGCATTCACATGTACTAAATCAATTAAATGCTCACAATTCTTGGAGGAAAAGAGAAATTCAGCTGAGCAAGAAATCACAAATAAGAGAACAAAATGAGAGAAAAATATTGACAGTTATTATCATCATTTAAAATATATGGTATAGCTGTCAATCAAATAAAGGACACTGTGGTAAAAAGAGACATTTATTTAGAAAAATGATATCACAAACGTATTCACAAACTCATGTTCTATTATGAAAGATTGAAAAGCTACTAAGAAGGAAATAAAGAGTGCATAAAAAATAAATGTCAAAAGGTGCCATTTTATTCTTGAATTTTATAATGAACTATCTCTGAAGGGCTGCTGTATTAAATATTTGTTATATAAGTTATGAAAAATTGTTAAAATTTTAAAATGCCTACTTTCCAAATCAATTCACAAGACAAGTAAATAAAAAACAAACCAAAGAGCAAAGGTAAATATAGGTAGAGAATGAATGCATAAAAAAATGATGACATAAACCAAGATCACAAAATCAGGACAAAGCATAAAGTTCCTTAAACGTTCTAGCAAAGAGCAGGAATAGATGTAATCTGACAGTCCACATGGTAGGCTCCTCAGTCTACAAAAGAGCAGTGTGTGGCTAAGAGCAGAGAAAGTGAAATAAAAAATATCACTGTCTGAACTGGGAGTAGAAACTGACTTTCTGAGCCCCACTATTCTATGCAAAACGTACTTCATTGGGTCTTCTCCTCTATGTATTTCTCCATCCCTTTTGAAATGTAATTTCATCAAAGCCTAGATGCCCTATCTTCTTTCATGTATACCAACTAAACAAAATCTATTCCTTTTAGATAATCATGTTTCATCCAGTTCTCAGACCAAATTTCATTCTTCTCATGCCCTGAATATTTGCAAAGAATAACAGGTCACCTACAAAGGGAAGCCCATCAGACTAACAGCAGACCTCTCAGCAGAAACCCTATAACCCAGAAGAGATTAGGCACCAACATTAGTCATTCTTAAAACAAATTTCAACCCAGAATTTTATATCCGCTCAAACTAACTTCATAAAAGAAGGAGAAATAAGATCCTTTTCAGAAAAGCAAATGCTGAGAAAATTCATCACCATCAGACTTGCCTTACAAGAGCTCCTGAAGGAAGCACCAAATACGGAAAGGAAAAACCCTTACCAGCCATTACAAAAACACACTGAAGTACACAGACCAGTGACAATATGAAGCAACCACATAAAAATGTCTGCAAAATAACCAGCTAGCATCATGATGACAGGATCAAATCCACACATAACAATACTAAGTAAGTGGGCTAAATGCTCCAATTAAAAGACACAGAATGGCAAGTTGGATAAAAGACCAAGACTCATTGGTATGCTGTCTTCAAGAGACCCATCTCATGTGCAAAGACACAAATAGGTTCAAAATATGGAAAATCATCTAACAAGCAAAAAAAAAAAAATCATGGGTTGCAATCTTAGTTTCTGACAAAACAGACCTTAAACCAAACAAGATGAAAAAAGAAAAAGAAGGACATTATATAATGGTAAAGGATTCAATTCTAACAGAAGCACTAACTATCCTAAATATATATGTATTCAATACAGGAGCACCCAGATTCATAAAGCAAGTTTGTAGAGACCTTTAAAGAGACATTGATTCCCACACAATAATAGTGGGTGACTTTAACATCCTACTGACAATATTAGACAGATCATTGAGATAGAAAATTAACAAAGATATTTTGGACCTGAACTCAGCTCTGGATCAAGTACATCTGAGAGATATCCACAGACTCTCAACCCAAAAACAACAGAATATACATTATTCTCATTGCCACATGACACTTACTTTAAAATTGATCACACAATCAGAAGTAAAATGCTCCTCAGCCAATGCAAAAAAACTGAAATCATAACAGTCTCTCATACCCCAGTACAATCAAATTCAAACTCAGGATTAAGAAATTAAGTCACAATTACACAGCTACATGGAAATTGAATGAACTGCTCCTGAATGACTTAGGTAAATAATGAGATTAAGATATAGATCAAGAAGTTCTGTGAAACTAATAAAAACAGAGATACAATGTACCAGTATCTCTTGGATGCAGCTAATGCAGAGGGAAATTTATAGCACTAAATGCCCACTCCAAAAGCTAAAAGATCTCAAGTTAACAACCTAACATCACAACAAGAAGAATTAGAGAACCAAGAGCAAACAAACCCCAAAGTTACCAAAAGAGAAGAAATAACCAGGATCAGAACGGAACTGAAGGAGACAGACATGAAAAAACTCTCAAAAAATCAACAAATCCATGAGCTGTTTTTTTTAATAGATAGGCCACTAGCTAGACTAGTAGAGAGAAGAATCAAATGGACACAATAAAAAATGATAAAAGGGATATCAACACTGACCCCACAGAAATAACAACTATTGGAAAAATACTATAAACACCTCCATGCAAATAAATTAGAAAATCTAGAAGAAACAGATAAATTTCTGAACACATACACCTTTCCACAACTGAATGAGGAAGAAGTTGAATCCCTGAATAGACTAATGAGTTCTGAAATTGAGGCCATAATAAATAGCATACCAACCAAAAAAAAAAAAAAAAAAAAAAACCAGGGCCAGATGGATCCGTAGCTGAATTCTACCAGAGGTACAAAGAATAGCTGGTACCATACTATTCCATAGTATGAGCTGGTACAGAAACTATTCCAAAAATTGAAAAGGAGCAACTACTCCCTAAACCATTCTTTGAGGCCAGCATCATCCTGATACCAAAACCTGGCAGAGATACAACAAAAAAAGGAAACTTCAAGCCAGTATCCCTGATGAACATCAATGCAAAAATTCTCAACAAAATACTGGCAAACCAAATCCAGTAACATATGAGAAAGCTTATCCACCATGATCCAGTAGGCTTCATCCCCATGATACAAGGCTGGTTAAATATATGCAAATTAATAAATGTGATTCACTACATAAACAGAATTAAAGACAAAACCTACATGATTATCTCAATAGAAGCAGAAAAGTCCTTCAATAAAATTCAACATTCCTCACGTTAAAAAGTGTCAACAAACTAGGTATTGAGGGAACATACCTCAAAATAATAAGAACCATCAATGACAAACCCCAGGGAGAGGCTCCCAAAGCTCAACTTTTGTATTCTGCATAGCTGCAGGCCCAACACCACATGGAAGCCACCAAGGCTTGGGGCTTGCACCCTCTGAAACCATAGCCCAACTCTACATTGGCCCCTTTTAGCCAAGGCTGGAGCTGGAGCAGCTTGTTTGTAGGGTGCCATGTCCCAAGGCTGCGCAAAGCAGCAAGGTTCTGGGCCCAGTCCACAAAATCATTTTTCCCTCCAAGGCCTCTGGGCCTGTGATGGGAGAGGCTGCCATGAAGATCTCTGAAATGCCCTGGAGACATTTTCCCCATTGTCTTGGCTATTAACATTTGGCTCCTTGTTATTTATTATGCAAATTTCTGCAGCCAGTTTGAATTTCTCCCCAAAAAGTGAGTTTTTCATTTCTACCACATGGTCAGGCTACAAATTTTCCAAACTTTTATGTTATGCTTCCCTTTTAAATGTAAGTTCCAGTTTCATATCATATCTTTGTGAATACATATGACTATACACTTTTTAGAAAAAGCCAGATTACCTCTTGAATGCTTTGCTGCTTAGAAATTTCTTCTGCCAGATACCCTAGATCATCTCTCTCAAGTTCAAAGTTCCACAGATCTCCAGAACAGGGACAAAATGGCACCAGTTTATTTGCTAAAGCATAGCAAGAGTGACCCTTGCTCTGGTTCCCAATAAATTTTTCATCTTCATCTGAGACCACCTCAGCCTAGATTTCATTGTTCATATCACTATTCGAAATTTGGTTAAAGCCATTCAACAAGTCTCTAGGGAGTTCCAAACTTTCCTATATTTTTCTGTCTTCATCTGAGGCCTCCAAACTGTTCCAACCTCTGCCCATTACCCAGTTCCAAAGTCGCCTCCAAATTTTCTGGTTATCTTTTTAGAGGTATCCCACTATCCCAATACTGATTTTCTGTATTAGTCTGTTTTTACACAGCTCTACAGAACTATCTGAGACAGGGTAATTTATTAAGGGGAGAGGTTTAATTGACTCACAGTTCCACATGGCTGGGAAGGCCTCAGGAAACTTATAATCATGGTGAAAGACAAAGGGGAAGCAAGGCATACTTAAAATGGCAGCAGAGGAGAAGAGAGAGAGAGAGGAAGTGCCACACTTTTAAAAAATCAGATCTCATGAGAACTCACTTACAGTCATGAGAACAGCATGGGGGGAACTACCCCATGATCCAATCACCTCTCTCTAGGTTTCCCCCTCAAAGCATGGAGATTACAATTCAAGATGAGATTTGGGAGGGTACAGAGAGCCAAACCATATCAGATATTATTTTCCCAAAATGTATCTTCATACTTTGAACATAGTCTGATATTAAAAGACCAACTCAGGCCGGGCGCAATGGATCACACCTGTAATCTCAGCACTTTGGGAGGCCAAGGTGGGCGGAACATGAGCTCAGGAGTTCGAGACCAGCCTGATCAACATGGTGAAACCCCATCTCTACTAAAAATCCAAAAATTAGCTGGACATGGTGGCACATGCCTGTAATCCCAGCTACTCAGAAGGCTGAGGCAGGAGAATCACTTGAACCCGGGAGCCGGAGGTTGCAGCGAGCTGAGATCACACCACTGCATTCCAGCCTGGGCAACAGAGTGAGACTGTAAAATATAATAAAATATATATATATAGTAAAATATAATATATAAATATAGTAAAAAATATATATATAGTAAAACCTCGCCAAAAGTATAATCTCCTGCGTGTTTGTGCCATTGTTCATTTAAATGCGAATTATTCTTATAATTGTATTGTTTTTATTCAAACTTAAATGTGAAATCTGTAATGGTAATAATTGAAACACCTTGGTTTCAATTTATTTGCTTGTTAAACAGTATCTTATATACTACTAAAATACTACTATTTTATATATAGTATCTTATATATAAAATCTGCTCCAATATTTTTATTTCAAAATATTTTGCTAGAATATTATTTTATGTTCAGCATTCTTTTTTTTTGCTGCATCCATTTACTCTGCCTATTTTAATTAAATCCTCATTGCATCATATGCTGTTTCTTGCTAATTTTGGATGATGGATCCATCATTGTTTGTTTATAAAAACTGATGGAAAACAAGGCATTCATTATGTTGTGCTTGATAATCTGTTCCCTTAATTATCACAGGGCAGTTGCTGTAGTTGCATCTTTGTTATCATCAAATTTTTATAAATATTATGTTCTCTGTTGATTGATTTTCATTGGCAATATGGTCTTTATACTTCTATTCACCAAGTTCTCATCGCTTGTGCTATCTTACAAGATACTCTCCTAATATACAGAAAATTATATTTTCAAGAAAACCTACCTCTCCATCGTTTCTTTAATAAATATTTGATCCACAGATGTACTGTTTGGATAAATTAACAAATAGGCTGCTCTTCCCTAAGTGTATTGCATTCACTGTTACAATCAACTTCCCTAATGAATTGCCTACATTTGTTGTCTTGTTGAAATCTAGTTATTTTGAAAACCTTCTCAATTCTTTACATCATAGTAAACTCCACTGTGGAAAATAAATTCCTATGCACAGTTTATGAGCACTTGAAAACAGAAGAAATGTTAACTTTTTAGAATAGGTCTTTGAGTTTACTGTCATTACAGAAAATAAACTGGTGAAGCAGGTGAGAAGAATAATTGAGCTGTGATTTTCTTAGTTCTCTTTTGCAGTTATAACATTTAAATTGATATCAATTCTTCTGAATGATACAAAAAGAAAATAGTCAAAATCTGCAGAGTTTGCATAACAGAATAGAGATCATTTGTTTCTCCCTTTTAACCATGTGTATACTAAAGTTGGACCTAAAGAACACATCCAGAGTTTTCTTAAATAGCCATCATCACAAGAATTCAGAGTTCTTTGAAACATTAGTGGTCTGTATTCTGAGCTACCTGCATGGAACTTGTCTCAACATTTATACAGCCAGTTCATTCAATTAATGTTCATTAGAAATTTTGAAAGTTTCTGACTCAGACTTTACAACGTTATGTTATTAACAGGTTATCTATAGTCAGCCTCTACACTGCCAATAGACATGAAGTTATAATTCTAGGCTATTAATTTATGAGTATTGCAATCAATATCATCAACATTATTATCCAAAATAGTTATAAAATATCCATTTGTGGAGGCACTTAATCTAGGCACTGTATAAAATTTTAAAAACAATAAAACCTATTCACAAATGATTATAAATAACCTGATAGCTTATTATAAGTCTTCAGAATAGCCAAAACCATATTCATAAAGAAGAGGTTTAGAAGTCAGGGGAAAAAAAGCCTTCTTTTTGACGCTTTAGAAACTGCCAATATTACGACTCCTCTTTCTGATCTAGAGTTTACATCAATTTATTATTTTTAAAAACAAAATGAAACATTCTAAACATCAAAACAGGTTCTCAATACTCAATTGCACAGGTGTTAATATTTTTAATAATTTATTCAAATTATGATTTAGGAAATATATAAAACCTTTCAGTTTAAGACCCACTCTATCACCTTTTGCCTCTCAAATTCTCTTTATACATAAGCACTAATCCATAGTGTATTAGACTCAAATGCATATTTTAATAATTTATTATATGTACATTTATCCATAAATAACATTCTACTGTTATTTATTGTGTTTTAAATTTCTACTTAAGTGTTAAGTACCTTCTGTATAATGTTCTGTAACTTGTTTCTACCATGATAGAGATCCAGTTCATGCCTTTACTTTTTATTTTATTGTATAATCAAACCATGTTTTATATATTCCACTCCCTTTTGATAGACAGGTTGTTTTTACTTTTTTTAATGTTATAAAACAATTATTAAAATATCATTATTTTACATATTTGGATGACTTTATGAAAGAGCTAAAAGTGAAGCTGTTGAATTTTACATCACATGAATATTCAACTCAGTATCATCATGTTTGTTTACATTCAAGCCCTCTGGATATGAATTTCTATTTCTTCATCTCATTGTCAAATAGGACATTATCAGGCTATTTTAACTTTTGCCAATTTGATGTGAAAGAAACGGTATATGTTTATTTAAATTTGCATTATTCTGATTCTTAGCATGGCTAGGAGTTTTTGTGTATGTATTTATTTATTTTTTTAATTAAGTTTTTTTTTTGAGATGGAGTCTCGCTCTGTCACCCAGGCTGGAGTGCAGTGGCACGATCTCGGCTCACTGCAAGCTCCGCCTACCAGGTTCACGGCATTCTCCTGCCTCAGGCTCCTGAGTAGCTGGGACCACAGGTGCCCGCCACCACACCTGGCTAATTTTTTGTATTTTCAGTAGAGATGGGGTTTCACCGTGTTATCCAGGATGGTCTTGAACTCCTGACCTTGTGATCTGCCCGCCTTGGCCTCACAAAGTGCTGGGATTACACCGCACCCAGCCCTGTATGTATTTATTGACCTCTATGCTTCCTTTCCCGTGAATTGTTGTTTAATATTTCTAGTCTATTTTTTCACTTGGTAATTCGCTATTTTTTTTATTTACTTAGAGATTCTTTATGCATTTCTTGAATCATCCTTTTAACATTCACTGCAAATGTTTTCTTCTCATCTGTAATATTTTTTTACATTTGGATATCTTTTCTCAGTTAGATTATCTTTTACATGTTATTTATGGGAATACAAATTTATTATTTTCCTCCAATGCCATAAAAATAGTTCAGATTTTTTTCCCCATATTTAGTGTCACACAGTAATTCCACATTTATATGTTGGTCTCCTTTTAAGCTTTTGTTCTGTTCTCTTGGTCAATATATATCTGCCTGGACTAATATAACACTGTTTTAGTTACTATGTCTTTACAACCATGGATTGTCAGTCCTATTTTATCCATATATTTCCATATTGTATATAGATGCATCTGTCTTCTATGTTCACTAAAGTCAATCTTTGTGGTAAACTGTTGGGATTTTGAGTAGAATTCAATGGATTTACAGATTAAACTGAGAATGATGGACATAGGTACTATATCATCAATGAACATGGTATACCTCACAATTTATTAAAGTGACGATTTATGTACTAAATCATCCATGAACATAGTATACTCCACAATTTATTAGTCTAATTTTTAATTTTACACATTAAATGTTTTACAATTTTCTCTGTAAAAGATACTTTTTTTCTCTACAACTAATAGTTTTTGTTGCTATCACCTGAGTTATTTTTAACTACATTTTCTAGTTGTATGTATCTAGCAACAATTTTTTTTTTTGGAATGGTACTTTTGCATTCAGTAAACAGGAATTTTTTTTTTTTTTTTTTTTTTTGAGACTGAGTCTTGCTCTGTCGCTAAGGCTAGAGTGGCAGTGATCTCGGCTCACTGCAACCTCTGCCTCCCAGGTTCAAGCAATTCTCCTGCCTCAGCCTCCCAAGTAACTGGGATTACATGCACCCACCACCACACCCAGCTAATTTTTGTATTTTTAGTAGAGACGGGGTTTCACTATCTTGGCCAGGCTGGTCTCAAACTCCTGACCTCATGATTCACCCTCCTCAGCCTCCCAAAGTGCTGAGATTACAGGCATAAGCCACCATGCCCAGCCAGGATTTTTTATTAGTTCAATTTTTTTGAGATTCCCTTGGATTTTTTATGTAGGCAATCATATAATATACAAATAATAAGAGCTTTCTTTCCAATGCTCATAGCCATATTTTGTGAGATAAGACCACCAGTAAAATGCTGAATTAGAAATGACAACAGCAGACATTCTTGCTTTTTGCCTGACTTTAATAAAAGGACATTTAAGATTTCAAAATAATAGTTAACACAAATATATTTATTTCACTTATGTCAGGCCCCTGTATATAAGCATTTATTTTTATGATAATCATCATCAAAATGTCCCATAAATTAATCTCTACCATTATCTCCTTTAAATAGACAAAACAATGAAAGCAGAAAGATTCAATGATTTGTCTAATGTTACATAGCCACTTAATGTCAGAGACACCATTTGAGGCAAGGCAGTTCAGCTCCATGTACTGGCTTATACTATATATTATATACTATATAGTACATAGTACTATTGTAGTGGATAGGTTGTATAGAATATAGTGTATGCTTACACTATGTATGTACCGCTGTTTTTTTAAAGGGTGATGAGAAAATTTTTTTCTATATTTAGTTTGCTTTAAGTATTTATTTAAATGATTTTGATCATTTAAAATAATTTTTCTTCTATTCCTGGGATTAATCACATGGGTATCTCTTATCATATGTTAATGTGTTTAATTATGTCAATACATTTTTCTAATATTAAAACATCTTTGCAATACTAGTGTTAAACTTCCTTGGCCAAGATTGGTTTTTAGTATACATTGCTGGATTAAGCTAACTAATATTTTGATTAGTATTTTTGAACAAAGTAGACTGCAATTTTTCTTTTTATGTTTTGGAATGTTTTCTTGTTTTGTTTTGGCATAAAGTTTGTACTAGTATAAAAATATGTTGGAAAGAAATCTCTGTTTATGTACTACACAAAAATGTATAAATTTGGAATTATTTATGTTCTTAATGTTTTGGAAGCCCTATCAGCCTATCGGGGGATGGTATTTTCTCTGTGGAAAGGTTTTTCACTATTGAGTCAATATTTTTGGTGAATACAAATCTATATAGATTTTTGAATTTCACTTGATTCAGTTTCATTTGGTAACTTTTTTTAAAGATATTCATTTTTTCCAAGTGGTAAAATTTATTAGCATAATTTAGTTGAATAAATTTATTCATAGTACTGGGAGGGGTCTTATTTGTAATTAGGTATTTTTGCCTCATAATATTGCTTTTGTGAATTTCTGTTTTTCCTTGAATACTTTATCTGATAATGTGTCAATATAATGAGCTTCATAAAGATCCTCTTTCCTGTAACTGCTTTCTATTTTGTTAACTTTAATACCTTATATTTGTCATCTCTTTACCTGCTTCATTTAAATTTATTTTTTTCATAACTCTTGATGAATTTCCAGCTTTTATTTTCTAACATAAACTATTTAAGGATGAAAATCATTCTCTAAGTACAGATTTATTTTTATTGGTACATAATAGTTGTACTTATTTATGGGGTACATGTGATATTTCAATACATGTATATAATATGTAATAATCAAATCAGAGTATTTGAATATCCATCACCTCAAACAAGTTTTAACCAAATCTTATAAGTTTTAATATGTAGTAACTCACATTTATATTCAGTTATAAGTACTTACTGATTTTCATTTATGATTTCTTATTTTATCTAAGAGAAATTAGTATATTATAAAATTTACAAACATATATATTTTTGTTTTCATTTAAACATCAGAACACATAATCTGTATGGTACATATTTTTGAATAACTACTATTTCAGATTTTATTTATCTTGTCTAGTTTTCCCTCTGTTTAATGTACAGTCATATGCTACCTAATGACATTTCAGTCAATGACAAATTGCATATACTACAGTGGTTTTATAAGATTATAATAAAGCAAAAAAATTCCTATTGTCTAGTGACTTTGTAACCATCCTAATATCATAGCACAATGCATTACTCACTTGATTTTGGTGATGCTGGTGTAAACAAACCGACTCTGCTGCCAGTTGTATAAAAATATAACACATACAATTATGTACTGTAAGTAATACATAATAATAAATGACCATGTTACTGGTTTATGCATTTGCTATAACATAGCTTTTATTATTATTTTAGAGTATACTCTTTCTCCTTACATAAAAAAGTTACTGTAAAACAGCCTCAGGCAAGTCAGGAGTCAAATTCAGGAGGAATTCCAGAGGAAGACATCATTATCATAGATAATAGCTCCATGAGTGTTATGGCCCCTGAAGACTTCCCAGTGGGACAAAATCTGGAGTTGGAAAATAGTGATATTGATAATCCTGACCCTGTGTAGGCCTAGAGTCATGTGTGTGTTTGCATCTTAGTTTTTAACAAAATAGTTTAAAATTGTTAATTAAAAAAATTAAAAATAGAAAAAAGTTATAGTATAAGGGTATAAAGAAAATATTTTTGTACAGCTGTGCAATGCATTTATGTTTTAACCTAAGTGTTACTATAAAATAATCAGAACATTAAAAACTAAAAAGTTTATAAAGTAAAAAATTACAGTAAGCTAAGTTTAATTTATTATTGAAGAAATACATTTGGTGCAATCCAAGTGTACAGTCTTTACAAAATCTGCAGTAGTATATGGTAACATCCTAGGCCTTCATATTACTCACCACACACTCACTGAATCACTCAGAGAAACTCCAGTTTTGCAAGCTTCATTTATGGTAAGTGTCCTATACAGATGTACCATTTTTTATCTTTTATATCATTTTTTCTGTACCTGTTCTGTTTAGATACACAAATACCACTGTGTTATAATTGCCTACAGTATTCTGTACGGTAACATGCTGTACAGGTTTGTAGCTTGGGAGCAGTAGGCCATTCCATACAGCTATAGCCCATGCCATATGGCCTAGGTGTGGTGTAGGCTATACCATCTAAGTTTGTGTGAGTACTCTCTGTGATGTTTGCACAACAACAAAATCATCTAACCACATGTCTCAGAATGTATTCCCATCCTTAAGTGACACATGATTGTCATTCTTTCTAACAGCATTATCGCATTATCTTAAAATTTTCTACTGTAATAGTAAATTAGTAAACTTGCCATTAGGATAAGATCAAAAAATGCTATTAGGATAAAATCTAAAAACCCTTACAAATCTCTGAATGGTCTGGTCAACACTTTTCTTTCCAGCTCTGTCACTCTACTTCACAGCCTACACTGTAAACATTATATTCTTTTAATTTCCATATCATATCTTTTTTCTCTTGCCTCTAAAGCTTCGTTCAGTAAGTGTCCCCACCCCTGTTACCTAGTTAGAGTAGAGTTCTTCTCAGTCAAGTAGCCTCCAAGAAGCACATACATGGGAGAAGGAGGCCCTGTCATAGTCACTCCCTTTGTAATATTTTGGAACTATGCTTTAGTTCCCTTCTTTGTGTATTTCCTGAAGGTAAGGACAAAGTCCATCTTGTTCCCAGGACATAACACAAAATCTGATAAATAGAAGATTCTCCACAAATACATACATATATTTAATGAAATATTAAATGGTATTTCATTTTGCATTCTCTAATTTTCCTGCTATAGAAATGGTAAGTAGACTGGCTCAGGCTGACCTAGCCATAATTTTATAGGCCTTTTTCTTAACCCTTTTCTAACTCATTTCCAGACTTATAAAATTAGTTCTCATATCTTTTGTACTACATTGCATTTCATTGACAATAAATTCTATTGCTATTGATAGGGGAAAACATCTTATACATATCTCTATAAATCTATATATATAATTATATATCATATAATATAATATACTTATTATATTATATATAAATATATATAATTATATATAACTATAATGTATATAAATTATATATTATATAATATATAATTATAAATATATATCATATATATAAATAAAATTTCAACACTGGAATCAGAAGTGAAACACAGGGCTCTAGAAATACAATTTCTCATTTTAAAAATAATTACACATGGTTTTATTTATTTTATTTTTATAGAGACATAAAAGTTGTACACATTTATGGAGTACACGTGATATTTTGATACATGCATACAATATGTAATGATCAAATCAGAGCATTTAGAATATCCATCACCTCAAACACTTACCAATTTTTTGTGTTGGGAACATTTCAGATCTTCTCTTCCAACTATTTTAAAGTGTACTATAAATTATTATTAACTATAGCACCCTACTGTGATATCGAACACTAGAACTTATTCTTTCTATCTTACTGTATGTTTGTACCTATTAGCCAACCTCTCTTTCTCATACTTTGAAAAAAAATTAGCTTTGTGGTGAAATAAACACTTATTTAAAATATAGACTTTTAATTACCTACAGCTCCACCGGCATCCAGCAAGATGACAGCCACCAAATCCAGAAAGATATTAAAGAAAAGCTATATTCACCACTGAAGCTGTACTTCTCTTGGGTATTGAGAGATGCTGTTTACATCTTAAAGATTCTCAACTTTGCTGCTCATTAGAATGAAAAAAATAATAATTCTAAGACTGAAAGTGTATTTTCTGCATTATCCAGCAAGATTGAAAACCCTTTCGTGTTAGTAATTTTCTTAAAGCTAATGGTTTCTTTTATGTATATGTTAAAAATGTGACAAATGCCTTTCTGTATAGTATTTCATCTCCATAACAGTCTGATCCTCAAAATAAGGTTGGGGCCCTAATTATATAATATTATAATGAAAGGATGACAAGAAATATCATTCCTGACCTCAGCTGGTCAGCTTCTTGCATACCATCTTCTTTTTAATTCAGGAACTACTCAGATACTGTTTTCCATGTGTCTTATTTTGAGTCATTCTCAGTAATTTACTGCTATAATTTAGAATCACATAGAGTCCCATAGGTTAATTACAGAATCTTCTGTGTAAAAAAAAAAAAAAAAAAAAAAAAAAAAAAAAATGTATTTTCTTTTCACTCCTTTCAATGATGCTGCTCCTATTTCATTTAGCATTCTCTAATTTTTCTGCTATAGGAATGGTAAGTAGACTGGCTCAGGTTGACCTAGCCATAATTTTATAGGCCTCTTTCTTAGCCCTTTTCTAATTCATTTCCAGACTTATAAAACTAGTTTGCATATATTTTGTACTACATTGCATTTCATTGACCATAAATTCTATTGCTATTGATAGGGGAAAACATCTAACATTTCGCATTCACAAAAATCTTCTAACCTTTTGTATAAAAAAGAATTCCACAAAATTGAGTTGGGTGGGAAATGTGAATACTTTCTAATTACCCTACCCAACATATACACATTCATACATAATCATTGCTTTCTCATAAAATTATAATTATTAGTTATAATTTTATTTTTTGTGTAATCTGGCTGCATAAATATCTCTATTATTAGTTGTAGATGAATACATTATTGTAATGGGTCAAAATAAGTGCTTTAATGACAACTCCTTAGGAAAAAATAATAAATCCTTTCTTTACAGGTACTTCTCATATAGAACTAGTTTTCATAACCTAAACTGTGATAACGTGATTAATTTCCTGGGGAACATTGTTTGAATATTGAAGGCTACCTGTGTTTATACCTCAATATGTAACCTGAGACCAATAAGGCAGTTGATATCAGGAACTAATATCTCTCAAATAGTTAAGAAAATAGAGTATACGTGAAATGCCATTTTTGAGTTTATTTTTAATTATTAAAACAACAGACGATAATGGATTTTTAATCATTATCACTTTGACAATAGGAAAAGAAAGGCCATCACTATTCAAATAAAGCTAGATATAGATACTACCTTTTCTTGGTGATATTTAGGTTTTATGCTTTCTTCTCAGCACTATTAAAAATAAAAGCAAACCCCCTTTCTGTTAAAATTCTTCCAATATAAAACAACATTGTTGCTGCGTATCTGAATCCAGAGACTAACCATCAACCCCCTTAGTTTCTTTTATTGAATAAAGAAACAAGGGATTTCTTAGAAAAGCAATTCCCATTAACTACTGTAGAGGCTGTACCTCTGTTGTAAGGCTTGGTAATTGGAAGTATAGGCTCTGGGTTTAGATTGTATGAGTTTTAAATCCAAGCTTTATTATATGCAAGCTATTCAATCTTGAACAAGTTACTTAACCTCCCCAAGCCTCATATTCACCTGTGAATAAGGATAATAATAATCTGTATCTCACAGAGTTGGTGTGCATATTAAATGAGCGAAGTGTCTACTAAGCATAGTACTAACATATAAGTGTATAACAAATCTTAGTTATATCTATTACAAAATTAAGAAATTTCTATTTTGAATATAGTTTCCCATATTAACAATATGTAATAACCACTTAGCCACAGTATTTTATACAAAAATTCAACTATAAATTGATATAAAACTTAAAATAAGTACTTTATAATTTGTTAACTATTTTTCTTTTCCAATTTTGAATCTCTCTTTTTCTAAAACTAATTGGTAGCTTAAAGGTGTTCATTGATGCTACTGTAAAACAATAAAGAGAACAAAATATAGTTCTATTAAAAATTCAGTTGCCATGGATACTTCATAGAATAGGAATGAAACTCCCAACCCAAAAGTGGTTTCAGATGTTGAGACTGTATGCCACACATGTACCAAAATGGTGTGAAACAAAATAAGGCTTTCTGGGAAGAGTAGGACAGGCTTTCTAACAAGAGTCAAAAATAGTTTGGGAGAACAGGGAGAGGAAACTGGTTTGGCCTTTTTTGTGGTTACCAGGTGGACCGGGTGAGGGTCCCACAAAAATGCCTTGAACCTCCCACCAGGCTCCAAAGGAGGAAGCACCAGGCTTTATTATCAATTTGCCCTGATGGAGAGAAAAGGGGAAAGGGCAGAGGTGGGATTTGAAAGCCTCAGCAGCAAAACATCAAAAATGAAGTCAGTCTTTTTAATCATAGACTCTTATATTGTAGGGTGGCGGGGGAATCTAATGAATAAAATTTTCTCAAGGGACTGTATATACATACATATAGGTTCATCCTCAAAATAAGACGCTAATAGTAATATCTTGGAAGAATGTGTCTTCTGCATTTGAATTTTGCTATTTTTTAAAGCATTCTAAGTGAGGTTAAAAAGAATCTGTATAGGAATGGCTTATGGATAAAATTGTAGTGAGGCAAAAAAAACTAATGATTGAATAGCCAAGCCTGACATAACTCTCTTTTTTGCTGGTGGTTTGATTTAAGCTGTTTGATTATGCTAAAAACAACATAACATTTTATAATAGACTATGATACCTATTTTGGATCCAAGAACTACTAAGGGATAAACTGTATATGCTTGCCTTTCTGCTCTCCACTCGATCCTATAATTCCCAGAGGAATCAGGATCTTGATATGAGCTCAGATCTTATATCTTTCTTGAAGAAGGGATGGTGGAGGAAAAGAAGCAAAGAAGGAATCACCTAGAAATCAATTTTGGCTACAGAATAAGTATTGGCACCTGGGGAGAATAAGCTTCTGGATAAAAATTTTAAAAGTCTCTCTTGTTTATCATGGAACGCCAACAACAGCATTCAATAAACAACATGGATAAGGAAGAGGAAAGAAGGGCAATCCAACATAAGCAGCAATGGATCTGAAAACAAGGCTTATTTCCTATAATATATCTTGGTCCACATAAAAAAGAATAATGTGAACAATTCTACTCACATTCTGAGGTCATATTTGTATTCTTGCTTTGATTACTCTTATGTCTTATTTTGAGGATGATCATATATATGATATATATATATTTTTTTTTTTCTTTCATTCTATATACTATCATGTCTGTCTGATGCTTCGGATGTGCCTAAGATCTTGGAGCCAATTCTAGGATGTTTGAATCTAAAGACAAGAAGAATATCTACAACAGGACTATCTTCTTCCCTTTGATTATTTCATTTTGAATTCTGAATTGCACTTGAATTTCTAAATCAATTATCTATAGTCCTAATAGATTAGTGAGTGATTAATGATGTAGAAATGTATTGGGTTTCACCATAAAGAATACCTAGCACTATAGGAGAAGAAATAGAAGTCTAAGGTACAAAATCCAATGTTTATATTAAGAAAGACAGAATTGAGAGTTGAAAGAAGGCTCTCAGTCAAAACAGGAGGTGGAGGACAATTGCCAAACCACAGTATTTTGGTCCTAAAAGTTGCCAACGGGCTGGGCGCCATGGCTCACTCCTGTAATCCCAGCACTTTGGGAGGCCGAGGCCGGCAGATCACAAGGTCAGGAGATCAAGACCATCCTGGCTAACACAGTGAAACCCGTGTCTCTACTAAAAACACAAAAAACTAGCCCGGCGTGGTTGCACACACCTGTAATTCCAGCTACTAGGGAGGATGGAGCACGAGAATCGCTTGAACCTGGGAGGCGGAGGTTGCGGTGAGCCTAGATCGTGCCACTGCACTCCAGCCTGGGTGACAGAATGAGACTCTGTCTCCAAAAAATAAAAATAAAAATAAAACAGTAAAAAACAATTGCCAATGGGTAAGGTAAATGAACAGAGCCAAGTCAAAATGTCCTACTGAATTTTTCTGAAGTCTGGTATGAAGATATTCTAGGAAGAATTGAAAGCATTCCATGTGGAGGACAGAGGAAATATTTCACTAATATAAAGATCAAGAGTATCAAAGTTAAAAAAAAAAAAACCAAGATGCCATTTGTAAACATGGTTATACGGTTTACAAAAACAGTAGGTAAGATTGCCAGGGATGCGGAGGAAAGGCAGTTTAATGTTCTGCTTGTATATCATTTACATGACATTTTTTTCAAGAATATTCAAAGATTTTAAAATGTATATATTCCTGGCACCAGCGATTCCACTTGTAGAAAATTTTCTTAAAGAAATTAAGAAGGAACAGATTTTCATCAAAATTTTTGCAAATTCGGCCAGGTGCGGTGGCTCACACATGTAATCCCAGCACCTCGGAGGGCAAAGCAGGTGGATCACTTGAGTCCAGGAGATCGAGCCAGCCAGGCTCAACAGGCTGGAAGACCCCCATCTCTAGAAAAAAAAATAGTAAGTTGACTTTTAAAACATAAAAGGATATTACATTATAACCAAATAGAATTTATACCAGGAATGCAAAGTCAGCTCAAATTCAAAAATTGGTATTAATTTCAACCATGATGGAAATACAATTGAGCAAAGAAGAGATATTTTCAACAGTGTTGGAAAAAAATGACTATCTGTGTAAAAATAAAAAACTTTGATCCATATTTTGTACCATATCCCAAAATAAACTTTTAAAAAAAGTATCATAGACCTAAATGCAAACTCTAAATCTATAAAACCTGAAGAAAGAATACATAGGATAATACGTTTGTGACTTGGGCTAGGCAAAGATTTAATAGATAGAAAACCAAAGGATAATCCATAAAATAAAAAAACTGATAAACTGAACTTTATCAAAATTAAGAACTTCTATTTGACAGATTGTATTGGAAGAGTGAACAGGCACTTTGCAAGTTGGGGGAAAACATTTGCAAATCACGTATCTGATAAAAGATTTGAATTTAGAATACACAAAAATTTTCCAAAGCTCAATAATAAGCAAACACACACATTTTTAATGGGCAAAATATTTCAACTACTTCACCAGAAAAAATATTGATGGCATAAAAGAATATGGAAAATATGTACAACATCATCAGCCATTAGGGAAATGCAAATTATAATCTTAATGGGATACTTCCATAATTTATTAGAACGTCCAAGACTGAAAAGACCGACTATACCAATGGTTAACAAATGTTAAGGCAGAAGAACTGGAGCTCTCATACACTGCTGGCATTTATGTTACATGGTAAATGGTACCACCACTTGGGCAAAACATTTGACAATATCTTAAAATGTGAAACACAATTATTTTATGATTCATTCATTCAACTTCTAGATATTTAACAATGAGAAACAAAAGTGTATCTTCATACAAAGACTTGAATACAAGTGTTCAAAACTTCTTTCTTTGTAATAGCCAAAGAACTGGAAATAATACAAACATTCATCGATAGGTAAAAGGACAAACAAATTTTGTTATATATGTATATTCCATACATGGAATACAACTTAATACAACAAAGGAATAATAATACAGATAACAAACATAAGTTACTCAGAAAGTCATTATGCTTAGTGGAAAAAGAAGGACAAAAAAGCATTCATATTGTGTGAGTTCATTTATATAAAATTCTAGAAAATGCAAACCAATCTATAGTGACAGTAATCGGGTCATTGATTGCTAGGAAATTGGAGGGTTTTAAAGGTAGGATGAAAGCATTACCAAGGGTTAAAAAAACTACTGAGGATGAATACATTCATTTTCTAGATTGGGGTAATTGTTTTACGGATGTGTGCATATGTCAGAACTTTTCAAATAATTCACTTTTCTGTATTTTAATTATATTTTAAATATACCCATGTTTTTAAAAGTTACCAGGCATGTATTTCTCTTAGAACAATTGCATTAATGTAACCAACTCAGAAGAAGCAACTATCTAATGAAAGAGTCCTGACAACTAATACACTTATTTAACACATATTTATTGAGGATTTACTGGTTGTCAGGTATTAATTTGTGAATTCAAATAGGAATGAACCCTTGCTTTCAGGTCACTCACAGTCTATTGGTTGAGGTCAAATATAGCTAATCTATTGAAATCAGTTTTATAAAAGAAGCCTGCAGGAACTGAGAGGTGGAGAGTTCTGAGGCAAGCTGGACAAGGCTTTCATAAGAAGGGGATGCTTGAGGTAGTCCTGCAGGGTTAGAATGAATTTGCCAGAAAGATGGGGATGAACAATGGGAATGGCATGAACTAAGGCACAGAATCGCAAACAAGTGTGGTGCAGTGAAAGAGAGATGCCATGAAGAGAAATGAAATTGGAGAGGTAAAAGTAGATCAGATAAGGAAAGCTTTTATATGTTGGGCTATGAAACTCAAATTTATTCACCTGCCTATAGAGAGCTATTCAAGAGGTAAGAGTGATGTTATCAATTTTATATTAGAAAAATCACTTTCAAAGTAATGTGTACAGCAGTTAGGAGGAAAGTAAGACTGGATGCAGTGTGATCAGGTGAAGAACATTGCTATAGTTTAAGCAAGAAATGCTGAGCACTTCAACCAAGATGAGAGCATGGAGAAGAGAGTTTGGATTCCGTTCAACATTTTGGAAGTAGAACTATAAACAGTGAGATCTCTAAATTATGAGTGAAGGAAATGAAGCATTATTTGCTACAGCCATTTACCTGATTTGGACAATCAGATGAGCAGTCATGCCGTTTATAAATTAGCGAATGGAGGATACATAGCAGGTTCGAGGGGGAAAGATGTGTTCAGTCTTAGAAATGTCAAGTTTGATGCACCTTTGGAAAACCTATATGGAAATATTTTGGCAGGCAAGATCCTAGATATATCCTAGGGCTCCTAGGACTCAGTGAAGTTCTGATGTGCCATGTTCATCTCCTAGTAAAAGAGACAGTATTAATAGTTATCTTTTATTGAGCACTTCCTCATAGTAGTTATTGGGCTAAGCACTTTGCATACATCACACTAAGCGTGCTTTGCAATCCTTACAGCATATTTATGTTAGTATTTTATACTTGTATTACTTATGAGAAAAGTGAGGCTTAGAAAGCTTTTGTAACTTCCCCAGGAACAATTTGTAGTAGAGTTGTTATTCAAGACAATGCTCTCAATATTAATAACTATACAATGCTAGAACACTATATTTTAAAGGTGTTCCTAGAAAAATAGAGGCTGCTGTGTCCCTAACTCACCCAAAAGAGAGCCCCCATAGGCCTATGAGTAAAAATAACCTTTAGAAAGCACCTTGTCTTCAGAAAATATGGGGAAACAAAATGAGTAGTAACAATGAGACGAATCCAGTGTCTGAGTCTAGGTCACAAGGACACAATCAGCTTTTCTCCAACCCCTCTCAGTTATCTATGTTTTCTGCTTTATATTCTCAGATGTGATAATTTTGCCTAATTGATTTTACATCTATGTCCAACCTTTATTCTCTGCACTAAATTGTGGACTCATGTAAAGTAATGACTCAGTAATTCAGCACTTTGCTTGAGAATTAATCTTTAAGCAATAGCCCGAGGTCTGTCTCTTAGGGGCTGTATGACCTTACACAAGTCATTTAGTCTCTCTGAGCATCAGTGTAATCAAAAGTTAATGGGAATAATATATCCAAGCTATCTGCTTCAGCAGAATCTACTTAGAAAATGTATATTAAAATGCATTGAAAACTATGAAGCACTATAGAATTGTAAGAATGCACCATAAATTTTTGTTTGTTTGTTTGTTTGTTCCTTTCTCTATGTTGTCTTGGTGACCTCTGTATGATTTCAAAGGACAGGCACAAGACTCAAAATTATCTGGTACCATTTATTTGCGAAATTTTGTTTTTCCTTGAAAAGCCTCTGATAAATTGCCCGTACTTTACAAAACAAAGAAAATACTATTTTCTTTTATCTACTAAATTGCATAGCTTCATCTTTCAAAGTATTGCTCAAAATCCAGATATCAGTCTGTCTTCCACATCAACTTTCTTGCATAAAAATGAATTTGATACATTGCCCCATAAAACATAAACACTAGTATATTTCTCTATATACTTTATTACTATTTTTTGTAAGAAAACATAATGCTAAGCTCCTGAGCTCCTGAGTTAGAAACTTGGGTCCAAATAACAGCTCCATTTTTTAGTAATGTGACTTTGGTCAAATGACATCCCTTCTAAGCCATCATTCCCTTGTCTATAAAATGGAGCTAATAATAACATTTAAATCATAAAATTCTGAGTGTTAAATAAGACGTATATAAGAAAATTATTATATTGCCTGCCATAAATAAGAGTTCGATAAATATCAAGTATTATTCATTAATATCACTGATATGCATTTTACATGTATATAATAAATTGCTCTCACAATCACATATTTATATTTGTTTTTTGAAATCCTGGCCTCAAGCAATCCTCCACCTCAGCCTCCCAAAGCACTGGGATTACAGGCCTGAGCAACTGTGCCTGGCCCTTCTGTTTGTTTTTTAATCTTGCTTTATTTCTTCTTCCTTACCATGTTTTATATTCTACAACCCATTTTTTCTTCCCTACCATATTTCATATTCTATGTTATCTCAATAATAATGTCTTCTTGTTGCTATGTCTATTTTTTCTGTTAATAAATGTTTCCAACCAAAAACACTGAAGCATTCTGTAATAAATTCAGACCGTCTTTTAATGAAACTCCATAGAAAGTACTATTAAGCATTAAACTTCCAATAATATAGAGATATGATGTCTGCTTAGCCTTCTCAATAATTCTGAGACACCTGGGAATGATCTCTAGGTCTTTGAATTTTTAATTGATGTCCTTATGTTCCTCTAATTTGCATGACCGGATCATGCTTCCTTATGTTTCTCTAATTTGTTGTAGCAACAACATTTGGTGAATGTTTTAGAAGTTTTAGTACATTTTATGGAATTATGCCCATGTAATTATGCAGCTATATTCCTGCAATCATTGTATAATTTGATCTTTTACACCTCATTTTTTCATAGTCTAATATCTGCTCCAATCCTGTGACCTACTTCACTACCACTTTCTCCTTCAGCCTTGCATGCACACATGCACAGAAAGTTTCTTCGGTCAGCATAATAATAGTGGATGTAGATTCACATCAACCTGAGGTAGAATCTCCTCAGTCAGCCTCAAAAGAATGGGTGTGTAAAACTGGAGTGATAGTTTACTAATTTCCAAAGAAAATATAACTATTACATGGATCAGGACACTGACATTAATGTGATCATTACATTCTCTGGTTGACAAAGTATGTAGGGAAGAAAAAATCAGAGGCCATTGAAAAATTATTTTTGCAGGTACTGAACCAACTTGGAGCTCCGTGAATGGGATATTATCTCCCTCCGCAAACCTACATAAGCAGCAACACTGCAGTCAAAGGCAGCTCAACAGGCAAGAGATCTGCAATGAGTGTCAGAGAAATCAAATGATTAATAGGACCAGAGATTAACCAAATGATTAATAGGACCCACATCAATGGGGCTGGAGTTTCTGCATCTGCTGACCAAGCTTTCCTCTCCCATGACAGTGCTTTAATGACCCCAGCAGAGGAAATGGGAGCTGCTCTGCCTTTCTCTTCCTCTCTCCTTCCTCAGGTGAACCTCCTACTCATGGACATATTCTTTTTTTATTTGTATTGCAATATGCAACTCAGGTTATAACTAAGACTTATAATGGAAATTTTACATTTTTCTACTCTGATCTGGTATTGATTTTTATAGTTTAACTCTTTTTTAAAGTCTCACTTCCCTTACATCAATTCCTAGCAAAAAACCTCATTTGAATGTAGGTGAAGATTGCAAACTCAAATATTTTGATGTATAAACACTAAGTCAAAAAATTAATTGTGAAAAATATCCACTTTGGTTTGGGGACATTTGTCTAAGCACATTCAAGGCGTCTCTTGGTCCATTGACTGACCCTACTCCTAAGGAAGTGGCCTTTTTGACTGGTAAATTTGGAAAGAGTAGTTATTTGGGCATACTTAGTTTAGTATTGTCTTTCATTCTTTTGGGAGTAATGCTGCCTCCATGTCTAAGCTTTTGATCTGCTTATCTAGGAGTGTGGTGTGTGAGTGTACCAAATTATGGGAGTTTTTAATTAGAAATCCAGTTTACTAACAGGAAATTTGTTGTTTTATCTTTATTTACTTCTTATTTCTGAACTTGCTCATAAACTGGGTGGAAATGAATATACAATTTGTTAGCCCACTCTTTGGATATCTCATGTCCCATGCATGCTAAATTATTAACAATCTTAACTTGGTTTTCATTTTTTGCCCATTTAATTTTCATCTGGTAGCTCTCAGTTTATATAATTACAAGTTTTAGGTGTGACAAAGTTTGTAAAAGTATCCTAATACCCAGCTACATTTTTAAAAGTGTAGGTCCACCAGAAAGTATTTATCTTGTATTGAAGGTAATGATGATATTTATAAACTTAGATACACAGAGTTCAATTTCATAATATTTTGAATTGTAAACTATATACAAGCCTCTGAACTTCAGGTGACTTAACATCAACCTTTGGATCAACAATTTACTCTTTATCTTAGAAAAGATGCTAAATTATTTGTTTAAATGTCTTTTAGGCCAGTGCACAATTTTTCTAAAATGGAGTGGTTCAAATCTCTCCATCTGCCACTGTAAGCACTAACATGCTTTTGAGACCACACAGGTCTGAAAGAATGCACTTTCCCTTCCCAAAGACATCCTTAAGCCAGACACTATAATTAATTCTTTGGGGGCAATGTAGTGAGGGAAGACTCCTGGGACCATTTTTATTTATACCATCAGCTTTTGTGAGAAAGGTGAGATGTGTTTAGCTCCAAGTCTCAATTACTCCTGCCTTTTCTCTAGTTGCTGACATTGGGTCACGCTGCTGGTAACAAAATCTTTTCAGGACGCTCGTGCAACAGTGAAGCTAAAGTACAACAGAGCTCTCTTCTTTTTAATGAGAAAGCTTTTCCAAACTTGACAAAACAGTACTGTATGACCACTTGATTTTAGTCTTTATGAAGTAAATTTATTCCCAATCAATTCCCTCTGTTCACAGGTAGATTTGGCTTTTCATTAAGATTTGTTAGGTTAGTGATATTCAGTATTTGCTGAGTCTCTCAGTGAGACACTGAATTTATTGGATATCTTTTCATCTTCTTTGAAAGCTGTTCAGCTTCAGCAAACAAATTTTTAAAGTCATTTTTTCACTGGGAAAATGATGTGGACTCCTTGTTAGAATTCTGATTACACAGTACACCCTTTAAATGTAAATTTCAGAAGCAGATGAAGTTGCCAAAATGTCTCTTTCTCATTTAAATTGATTAAAGTATTCTTTTTAAAAAATATACTAATTCTTCTTCCTCAGATTTCTTTGACATTCAGAGAACTACCATACAACTGGTCAAGTTGTTGAATGAATGCTTTGAATAACAACCTCATCAAAAGAACATAATCAGGAAAATAATCACTGCTCCCCTTTAAACCATTCTGTAAAGTGTGAGAGGGATTTAAAAATTGAGTCATACATGTAGACTTTCCATATGTATTCATCCTATTGACCTAAGACAGAAACTGATTCAAAATTAATACAGAGAGTTTGTCTGGGCCAGGGTTGAGGACTGCAGCCCAGGACAGGCTTCCAAGTTGCCCTGGTGAGTGCTCAGTTTAGCCTTTGTTACACGCAGGTTTTTAAAGGCAAAAAGGGAAAAAGGAGCAGGCTGATACAAAGTTGTCAGGAATTCTCACTGGTTTACAGAAATGACATTGGTTATAACTAGCTATCATTATTGAACTATAGGGTATGAGTTATGGTGTCCATAGTATGGAATTTTATGGCTACTTGGCATCAGTTAGCCTAGAACCCACATAGCCAGTAGCTTCAAGACGTAAATATGTACCTCAAGTGGGGAGTAAGAAGTGACTAGTATTGCATGTCAATACTTTTCTGGGCCTGATAATTAAAGAGCCCTCTCAGACAAAATTTTTCTTTCTCAATCCACCATCTTTCCTATAACAAATATCTAACCGTGGCATCCCTTGAATCAGGTTCATTCAAGGGTTAGGCTATATGGATAAAAATTGGAATTCAAAAAATTGCATTTCACTGGGCTTCCATTTCAAGGTTCCAGACTTGCCATAACTGTCATTGGTTAAAAATCTCTCCATGACCCCAGATAGTTTAACTTCAGGGAAATAACCAGTCTTAAAACCACCAACAAAGTGTGCAACATTGTTGTAGCTTTAGAATGACCTTTATAATAGAATAAATCCATCATATGTGGTGGTAAATCTTGAGAGAGAAGTAAGTGGAAGAAATCTGGGAAGAAAAAGGACAGCATATACTTCAAACATGGGTGACGTCAGTAGATAAGCTCTCAAAACACCTTCCCTGCCGGGCAGCACTACCTCTGTATCACTTAGGTTGATCGTAGGACAGCTGTTTTTTCACTCTGGAGTCTACTTCTTTCAGACTCTTTGAAATCTTTGAGATAGCATTGACAGCAGCAGATGAGATGAAGATTTACAGCTGGTGTCAGTAGCATATTAATGCCTCCACAGTCCATGGTGTCTCATGAGTTTCTATAGAGGTTCCACATAAATTTTGACTTGAGACATAAAAGGATGAAATAGCCTTTTAGGATGATGAAGATAAGGCCCTTAAGTTAGACAGCAAAAGGAGAAAGGAGCAAACGATAGGGTCTCCATAGTAGTCATAATAGCCTCTTAATTGTTAGGATCCCTAGCAGTTTAATCTGAAAGAGTGTGTGTTACCCAGTGTCATCTAAGGCAGGGTTTCTCAACAGCAGCACGCTGACACGTGGGGCTGGGTAATTCTTTGTTGTGGGGCTGCCCTATTCACTATAGAATATTTAGCAGCATCCTTGGGCCCAACTCCTCCAGTTGGGATAAATCAAAAATGTCTCCAGACACTGCTGAATGTCCCTGGCAAGTAAAAATCACCCCTAGTTGAGAACCACTGAACTAAAACGCCACAAGTCCATCACACTGAATTTTGTATCATTTTACCCAGTCACATTTTTGCAATCTATATCTATGTGGACAAACTACTTTTAGGTATGTTTCTATTATCTTTTAAAAGGTGTGTTCCACATGACTAAAAAATTCCCTGAAGTGTTAAAGAAACGTACTTTTGGGATCAAAGAGTAGAGTGAACCAGAACAGCAAAATTTTCACTTTGTATGTTCTGATTCCAAAAGTTTTTGGAAAGAAATTTTAGGCATTTGAGAAGGATTTTAGTCATACTCATAAAATTATAACAATTCAGATTTTTATAGTACAGAATATGTTATAAGAACTTCTATTTTCCTTACTTTATTTAAACCTCACAATGACCATGTACCCTAAGCATAATCTTTATTTTATGGAAAAGAGTCTAAGTGACTTGCCTAAGAGTAGACAAGAGCATTCAGAAGGAGCCAAATATCAAACTCACATATTTTGCTTTAAATCTAAGTATTTTCCAACAGAAGACTTGGCGCCTGCCCCTAATGATGAAGCTTTAAGCATTGAGTAAAGTGTTCTCATCACTAGGATGAGAAAACTTAGAGAAAGAAGGGGGTTAGTGCTCTCTGAATTGACATATGTGGTTGGATAAGTTTGCTAGGCTTTTCAAAAGGCATCTAATTTTATTTTTAAAAATAATTCTGGTTTTGAAATGTTGTCTTAAAAGATGGATGCAATTACACATGCTATATCCTCCCTGGTTCCAAAGCACATAATTATCAGTCTCTTTTACCTTCTATTCAGAAGGAAATTAGATGGGCCCTTTGTCAGATGTAAAGATATCATTGGCCAACAGAAATATCATTTGATGGACTCATCTCATCTGGAAGAAGTGAAGTTAGGAATGGACAAATGTGGAAATTAAGACCGGATCACAGACCTACCTGTAAACAATTATAGAAGATTCCAATTACTATTGAATTCAATCTATTTGCACTATAGCTTTCATATACCTCAAGACAGCAGGAAAAATAGGTTACAGTCCCTTTTCTGACATTCATTGCTTGATTTTGCACAAGTCACTTCACCTTTCCTAACCTCCATTTCCTCATCTGTAAAACTAAGATGATAATAGTACCTGTCTCAAAGGTGTATTGTACAGATTAACTATGGCAATGACTAGGATATAATAAATGTTCAAAATGTTACTTGTTATTATTAACTGTGCTGTGTAATTATTACTAACTTCCTTAGCAGATTCCATCACTTAGCAGCCATGATGGTGATAACTTATATAACAGTACAATTGTCCTTTCTACCCACTCGCATGATTATATATCCCATCTCAAGCTTCTTCTAATTAACATCTGTTTACACAAATGACTCTCTTGGAAACTCTACTCCCTGAAGTCTTTACCTTTGGAAGTTTTTCTGCTGTGTATTTTAATATTCAAATATGTTTTATTTAAAAAATTAGTGACATTAGCATCTTTCTTAATACCTTTTTATATAGTCTTTACCAGTGTCGTTGACAACTTCTGCTTTTTTCTAAGTAAATAAGATAATGGCAAAAAAACATTTTGTAGGTGTCTTGGATTATATAGCCTCTTTACATAGGCCAGAAAAAAAGTAAAGCAAGTAATTTGGCTATCATTAAGTAAACTTTGTGAACAAAAACAGTAAAACTGGTCTATTTAAATTGATCAAATTATCTAGATATCCACCCATCCTCTTCCTTTTTGTGCCAGGTAGAAGCAAACGTATTTGGTGCTTAAAAAATAATATACTATATTATACACATTGTTCATCCTACTGCTGAAAAAAAATTACCTCCAAATATAGCAGCTTAAAACAACACATATGTATTTTCTTAAATTCTCTGTTGTTTAGGCGTTCATGCACTGCTTAGCAGGGTTTTTGATCACAATATCTCACAAGGCTGCAGTCCATGTGTTGTTCAGGCTGCAGCCATCTCAAGATTTGATGAGGACACAGTTTTGACCTCACTTATGAGGCTGTTGAGAGGTTCAAGTCTTTGCTGACTGATGACCAGAGACATAAATTTTTTGCTGCATCAGCTTCTTCATAGAACAGCTCAGCGCTCAGCAGCTGGTTTCCCTCAAAGTGAACCAGTGAAAAGCAAGAAAGGGTATTCAAGATGGAAACCACAGTGTTTTTGTAACCCAATCATGGAAGTGACATCCCATCACTTTTGCCACATTCTTTTCACGGGAAAAGAGTCATAAGATCCAGCCTACACATAAGGGAAGGGAATTACCTAAGGGTGTTGATCCTAGGAAACAGGATCATTAAGGATTATCCAAGAGGCCCTAACACATAAATCAGTAGAAAGTGACTAGGAAAGAACATCTAAGAATATTGAGTGAGTAAATTAGATTCAGTGCTTTCCAGATCCTTTATTCCTAATGCAGGTCAGATAGCAAGAGAATATAAATTATTTTTGAATGAGGAGTTTCCACTTCCCTTTATGATGCCAAGTTTAGAAGTGCAGCATTTTAAGAGGAATTCTTTGAGAGGAACAGCTCTGCACCAGCCAAGGCTAATGAGCGAACACCATGATACTATTTCTAGAAGTGTCACCTTTCTGGTGATCTTTTTCTTTAAAATTCCCCTGGAGGTCTGTATTAATGTTCTTTGAGTAGGGAATGTGTAGTAGCTCACTGCAGAAAGATGGAGTCCCACAGGAGGAAACCTTCTAGGAGATATTATTTATTATTTTCCTCCCTACTTATTCTAAAAGGAAGGGAAATTGAAATAGAGGAAGCTTTTGAACATAGCGTGAATGCAGAGCTTGTAACTGTCATGTTACTTTTAGTTTAAACTTAAGCCTCCCTTATTCTTCCAGTACAGCCTTTGAAACAGCTGCTGCCAGTGCAGAGGAGACCACGTTATTTCAGAGTGACTACTCTTCAAGCAAACACTGCATCTAAGTTAATTAAAATGCCTATGTTGTTTTCTTTCTCAAGCCTTAACAGCTTCAAGGAAAAAAGCAGACAATTCAACTGCCAGGGGGGAAAAGGAAAAGTCAAACAAATTGACAAAAAAAAAAAAAAAATCATGGGCTGAATGTAATCATCACCACATCCTTCAAGCTATACATTTCTTTTATTGGGCTTTTGTTTTCAAGTTGTTCCTTCTTTACCTGTAGCATGCTGATGACCCACTATTTATTTACCTTTGGTTTCAATGACTATGTCATTATTAATTACAATTCTTCGGGTATATCTTCTTTCCCACGAAGCCATTGATCTGCTCCTTTGAGCTTTGTCAGGCTTGAAGGGGAGATGAGTGTACCCTACTGGCTCAGCCACATATGTAGGCAGAGTAGATGGCCACATGCTGGGATATAAGCAGAGCAGCCTATTATTAAAGTGTTCCATTCTTATATTCAGGATTCTTCTTTGTTTTCTGTAGTCTTTCACTTTTTGACACACTTGAGAGGAAAAGAAAAAACTTATACAGGCACAAGTAATTTCGTGTGAATTCATTAATCAATTTGCTTTTCTCTGGGATTGCGATGACAAGGAAAGCAAAAAGTCATAGACCATTTATAGGAACTGCACCTTCAACCCAGTTCTATCTCCTCTCCTTTCACCCCCGCCCCCAAGGAAAACTAATAAGAATCCACTGAAAATGATAACATGATAATATAACAACCCCATGTAGCTCAAATCTGCTCTGGAAGCTGGAAAACTGTTCTAACTTGTGATGATAAGTTGTATGTGTCAACTTGGCTAGGCAATAGTACCCAGTTATTTAATCAAACACTAATATGGGTATTGCTATGAAGGTATTTTGCAGATATGGTTACCATCTACCATCAGTTGACTTCAAGTAAAGGAAATTATACTCCATAAAGTGACTGGGTCTCATCCAATTAGTGGAAAGACCTTGAGCAAAAACTGAATTTTTCTGGAAAAGAAATTCTGCCACAAGAATACGCACATACAGACACACACGCACACACACACACAAATACATACACATATAAGATTTGGGAAATCTTTCTCTTGTATGTCCTTATTCAATCGAATCAGTTCTACTTTATAAATGACTCTGAAATGAAGATAAGGGGACAGTTGAAAGATACAAAAGAGTTTGAGTCTGTAAGACTTGCTCACCAGATAGATGTGTAGGGTGAGGGAAGAGGAATATGAAATGGCTCCAGAATTTTCTATTGGATAATTGAGTCTGTAGAGATGTCTTTGATTGAGACACAGAATACAAAGGAGAAAATGTTTTTCAGAGAAGATAGGTTTAATTTTGAAATTTTGATTTTGAGGTATCTGTGAGACTGCCAAGAGAAAATGCACAGTAATTTTTAGACCTCACAGATGTTACAGTGATCTGAACAAAAGCAGTTTCAGTGGAACAGAAGCTAGAAGGCAACAGACTGAAGAATAGATGGAAGGTGGGAAACCAGAGATAATGATTACACTGTAGAAAGGAGGAAGAGGAGCAGAATGTTACCTAGAAGACAATGCACGTTCAAAGAGGAATGCCTACTTTAGCTAAGGGGGAGCCTAAAACATTCAAATTAAGAGATATTTTTGTGTTATTGTTTATTTTAACTAGGGACAATTCACTCCAGGATATATTTACATGCTAACAAGAAAGAAGAAATGTAACAATTGTTTTTTAATCTGAGAAATGTCTAGATGGTCTATAGGGGATCCATAAATCCTACAAGTTGTAGACAACTACTGTATATATACTATTGTGTGCAAATTAGTATTTCTGGAAAACAGATACCCATTTTTCAAAGTTCTCTGACACATATGTTTAAAAAAATTGATTGAATGAATAGATAAATCAAGTAATCATGGAGATCTGTGACCCAAAACTGTTCAATAGAATCTTTAAAGATAAAATCAAGAGAGAAGCTAATAAGTAGATTAAACTGGTGAAATTATATTTACATCTAAAAAAATAGAAGCTTTGAAAGACCCTAACGTGTATTGCACTGAATATATTCAGGCAATCTTCAGTTAGTTCTGGGATAGTTACTTAGAGTGGAGTAAATCTAGTTTTCTGGCTTATTTGCTAGTACATAAAGTGCCAGGCAAACTACCTATGCCTTGACTACAGACCCTTATTTTTGACAAAAAGAAATTTAATATTAATATCATGATTTCTGACCCTTTCTCTCCCTTTCTTTTTGTTTTTATTTTTACACATGACTTTGTATCTCAACCAAAAGTAGACTGAGAATATTAAGCAAATTTGCTTACTTGAGGAATAGTTGGAAAGAAGGCAGCTCAGCTTAGCCTTGTATTTGGGCTCAGTCTCTGCAAAGGTTGTGTGTAGAAGAGATGAGCTTCACTTACTTTTAAGGGAACTCTCAGAAACATTTCTCTTAATGAGGGTCTGGAGAAAATGGCTGAGAAGAAACCTTAATGGGAGGTATTCCATCTTGAAAGAGTAACATAGAAACAGGTACTAAACCAAACAAACCACAAATATTTAAGCTGTAAAATGAGAGGAAAGAAAAAATATATTCTAAATCTGTATTAAAAGTAATGCCATGTAGCTGTATAAAGCTCTAGTGAGGGTTGTGGAATGAATCTTTAATGGTATCATTTATACTTGTCCCAATGCACTATGTTCACAATGAGAACTGCCTACAAATCTTGATGTACCATTTTATTGCACAGAAAACTGGCCACCATCTCACAGAGCAGCAATTGTAAATTAGAAATATATTCTGTTTGGTTTGAGCACAACACATTTGGAAATTTATGAGGTTGCATAAAAGCACACAAAAGCATTTCAGAGACTGTTTAGCCCTGTGGCTTTCTTCTGGCCTTGGGATTCAGAGAAGAGAAAATTGAGGCTGCTGACCATGCTTGCTGCCTCATCAGGAGTCTCAGAACAAGCCTACCTGTGTGCAGCCTCCCACTTCTCATCATCTGACTGGTAATCACTCCAACATCCCCCAGGGAGTCTAGTAGAGATTCCCCGGTGAGCGTAGCACCTGTATCTTGACAAAACACACTTACCCTACATGACCATGGTGAGGTATGCTCTCGGACCTCATGTTATTTGATTCCATTTTAAGTTAAATAAGACTTTGTCATGGGTATGGTAATACATTTCAAGGCAATTTCAGATGTAAGAAACTGCTAAATCAAAGTTTTTTGACAAAGTTTACTGTATTTTCAGTGGTTATTTTTTAAATCCTGCTTTTATGAAAGTATTGAAGACCTTGGACTTTTTTCTACATTAGTAAAACAGGTGATTTCTCTTTCTCTAGCTCCATTTTGCAAGAAATGCTGCTGCATCTGGTTAGCTTGGTCCTAAATTAAATATTGATAACAATCCTGAAGAATGGGCTTGACCTTCTAATAGTCTTTTGAATGATCTTTGGATTAATATTGTTTTATATCAAAATCAAATATCAAATTTAGCAACCCAATTTTCAATTTTCAGATTTCCGTCCAGATTTATGATAATTACATGAAGTAAGTTTCCAAAAGACAGAACACTGGAGAGGAATGATAATTATATTTTGTTTTTACATAATTAAATTTAAATTAGATATCAAATCACATCCAGATTTAAATAGACTCAAGCCTTTATTTTCTTAAAAAAGAAATAAGTTTCAAATAAATAATTAGGAAGATGAGGAGGATAAAAAATTATTATCAATGAGGAGAATGTGAGGTAATTAAAAGCTAGGATTAGGGGAAAAATAGAGAATTTTAGCAGATAATTTCATTAGTTTGGAGAAATCAATTTCCAAATTTAGCTTCTGCTAATTTGAGAACTAGTGAGGAAATGATATAGAAAATATAAATTGACTAATAACTACAAATATATTAATAATTTCCCACTCGATGTAGACAAAACAAGTATCGATGCTAAATGCAAATTTCACCGCCAAAATATGTCTGATCATGAAGGTAGTATTACTGAAACAAAAAAAGAACTTCTTATGAAATACATCTCAGAAGACAGTTGAAGTTATCAAATGGAACATATTTGAATATAATTTTTTTTAAAATATGGAACATTAAAAATTATTGAAGTTAAAGACATTCAGAGCATATTATACCAAAGTAGGCTACCCTGGCATTAGAATTATTTTGAGTTAAAGGCAGTTGAGGAAAAGCCGATGAGATTTCTACCCTTTCCCAATCTGCCTAAAAATGGAACATAATTTCCCTTTATGAAGGTGTTTTCCCACTCTCTTCGCATACCAAGAAGATAACATCACTGAAAACAAGATGGCACGGAGATGGACTTGCACAAATGGACCTTGCTAAAATAACCCATTATATTTGCCCCCTATATTTACCACTCCACAGTTCGTGGCCCCTAAAAGCCATAAAGCCCTTTTCTTTTGTCCGATTACTTTTCTACAAATGTGTTGTTCTTTTGTTAAGATGCTATAGAAGCTCACGTTCTAATCACTCCTTTGAGTTACTCGTCACTGAGTTTCTCCCACATGAATTTGTGCTGCACATGTTAATAACTGTTTGTTTTCATTTTGTTAATTTGTCTTTTATCAGTTTAATATTCAGAGTCCTGACCAGAGAACCTAGGAGTATAGAGGAAAAGATCTTTTTCCTCCCCTTCAGAGTCTTGAGGACTCTGAAGATTTTGAGGTATCTGGTAAAGATGTTTGAGCAAAATTACAGGTATGTTTTAGATGTTATACTGAATAATGGCTAATGAAACAAGTGATGTAGTATATGGTATTCTTGGCCTACTGCATTATGCTAATTTTTTGAAGGATAATCTATTCTCAAAATATAAAGTTTTTTACTGTCAAACATGTATTCATCATTGTTTATTCTTTCGGAATTATGGTTACTCAGTTTCTTATGCAGAAGTACAAGTAATAGTTGTCTTTGAGCAATTTTAATCTAAACTGAGAAATTACTTAAAAATGAAAAAGAAAATCTCTTTTCTAGGGATTGAATAAATAGATAGAGAAAAGGAAAAACTGATAGAAAGAGGTTGTAAGATGAAGATAGCTGACAAAATTTCACATTACTTCCGTGAATCTATTTTGAAATATCAAAATCCTAAAATTTGTATAGTTACTTAGAATAAAAATTCTAAAATCAATAAACTTGAGTTTTTCTACTACGACAACCTCATTTAATATTATTTTAAGAAAAACTTTGGTAGTGTTTTTTTTCCTCCTAACTGCGCTTAGTAAAAATGTTTCTCATAAATCCCAAATTAATTGTTAAATTAGATAATTTACTTCCCAATGGCTCCAATTAGCTTTAATAAACAAAATAATTAAAGGATGATTAATTTTCTGGTAATGTTGAAAAATAAACTATTAGAATAAAAAATCTACATAAATTACTGTAATACATATAACACATTTTAAAGCATGTATGCATTTCATACCTTCTGTGGTAGACAACTTCTAAGATGGCTTTCATTTGTCAATTTTTGTCTGTGTGTAATTTTTTCTTCTGATTGTAGACTGGATCTAGTGACTTCCTTTTAGTGGATAGAATACAGCAAAAGTGACAGGATGGTACTTCTGAAATTAGATTTTGAACAGTTTGGCTTCCACCTTGCTTGCTCTATTTCACTCTTTCGCTGACTTGCTCTGAGAGAAGCCAGCTGCCATGTTGTAAGCTGCCTTGTGGAAAGACCCACATGGAAAGGAACAAGCCAATAGCTAATGAGGACGTGAGGCCTGTCAATAGCCACTTGAATGAATGTGAAACCAGATCTTCCCCCTGTTGTGCCTTGAGGTGACTGCAGCCCAGGCAACACCTTGTGAAAAACTCTGAACCACAAACACTCTGCTGAAATACACCAAGATTTTTGACCTACTTTGACATAATAAATATTTGTTGTTTTAAGCCAGTATGCTTTGGAGTAATTTTTATGCTGCAATAGGTAAATAACATATCCCCTAAATTGTTATTACAGGCGCAGTGGCTCATGCCTGTAATCCTGGCACTCAGGAAGGTGGAGGCTGGTGGGTCGCTTGATCCCAGGTGTTCAAGTCCAGCTTGGGCAACATGGTGAAACTCTGTCTCTACCAAAAAAAAAAGGGATTTCCAGGCACACAGTTGCAGGCAACAGTAGTCCCAGCTACTCAGGAAGCTGAGAGGTAGGAGGATCACTTGAGCCCAGGAGGCAGAGGTTTCAGTGAGCTGTGATCACCACTACACTCCAGCCTGGGTGACAGAGTGAGCCCCTGTCTCAAAATAAAAATGTTATCCATTCTGGGCCAATCCTACGAAGCTTTTTATCTGGAAAAACTTTTATTTTGTATCTTCAGTGGAAATATTTGTACAAAATATTTGCATACAGGTAACACTTGGTTAAAATCATCATCAAAGATACCGTGAAGGAGAAGAAATACAGCCAAGGGAGGACTTAAAGCCCAACTGATATGGAAACAATCAGGGAATTTCCTCATTTTGCTTTACATAATCATGGTGATGGAAGCCTGTTGGGACACTCGCATGTAGAGAGTTCCCAGGGAATCCGCATGGGCTGTTAACACAATTATTCATGAATCATTGACTAGCTACTTTGCTTCTGAATCTGTAGGAATTTCCCCATTTCATGAATATCTATCCACAATTTTGGGAGGGCTTTAATTCTAGCACATGGAAGTTCACCATTTTACCATTTTATCGTCCTTTATAGTGATTTTACAAACAAGCTAATGCTCCCAAATTATTTGTTGTTTTTTGTTTTGTTTTGTTTTTCTGGGGTGGTTTTTTTTTTGTTTTTGTTTGTTTGTTTTTCTGAGAAAGAATCTGGCTTTGTTGCCCAGGCTAGAATGAGTGCAATGGTATGATCATATCTCACTGCAGCCTCAAGCTCCTGAGCTCAAGCAATCCTCTTGCCTCAGCCTCCCCAGTAGCTGGGAATATAAGCACACATATCCACACCCAGCTAATTATTAAATTTTTTTGCAGAGATAGGGTCTCACTTTGTTATCCCAGGCTGATCTCAAACACCTGGGTGAGCAATTCTCCTACCTTAATTCTGTTTTTATTGTATTTTTTAACAAACCATTTAATAATTGCTAACATTATTTGGCTATGATTTTATTTTTACTCTTTTTAACCCACTCAGAATCTTTTATCTAAGTGATATTTTAATATTACATAGCAAATTTTAAAGAAAAAAGATATCTATGATTTAAATCAATAATCAAATTAATATTTATAGAAAACATGAAGAAACTCATGTAATCCAAACAATATCAGTGGTGATCCCTGAATGGAATCTCTTCCCTCAAAAGATCTTCTCAGAGGGCTCCAAAGCAAGTTTCCTCATCAGCCTTTCCTCTGGAGAAAAGTTTTGCAGACTGTGTATGTGACAAAAGTCTATAGCCATCTGTATGTCTAACAGTCTAATAGTCCATCTAAAAGTCTAATAGTCAATCTATATGAGATTTAAACAAGTTTGCAAGAGAAAAACAAACAACCCCATTAAAAAGTATGCAAAGGGCTGGGCGCGGTGGCTCACACCTGTAATCCCAGCACTTTGGGAGACCGAAGCGGGCAGATCACGAGGTCAGGAGATCAAGACCATCTTGGCCAACATGGTGAAACCCTGTCTCTACTAAAAATACAAAAATTAGCTGGGTGTGGTGGCATGTGCCTATAATCCCAGCTACTTGGGAGGCTGAGGCATGAGAATCGCTTGAACCCAGGAGGTGGAGGTTGCAGTGAGCTGAGATCACGCCACTGCACTCCAGCCTGGCAACACAGCGAGACTCCATCTCAAAAGAAAAAAAAAAGTATTCAAAGAACATGAACAGAAACTTCTCTAAAGAAGACATACATATGGCTAACAATCATGAAAAAAAGCTATACATCACTTATCACTAGAGAAATGCAAATCGAAACCACAATGAGATACTATCTAACACCAGTCAGAATGGCTATTATGAAAAAGTAAAAAAAAAAAAAAAAAAGATGCTGGCAAGGTTGTGGAGAAAAAGGAACACTTATACACTGTTGGTGGGAGTATAAATTAGTTCAACCGTTGTGGAAGACAGTGTGTGGTGAGGACAGAAATACCATTCAACCCAGCAATCCCATTACTGGATATATACTCAAAGGAATATAAATTGTTCTATTATAAAGATAAATGCACTCAAATGTTCATTGCAGCATTATTCACAATAACAAACACATGGAATCAGCGTAAATACTGATCAGTGATAGACTGGATAAAGAAAATGTGGTACATATACACCACAGAATTCTATGCAGCCATAAAAAAAAATGAGATCATGTCCTTTGCAGGGACATGGATGGAGCTGGAGGCCATTATCCTTTGCAACCTAACTCAGGAACAGAATACCAAATACATGTTTTCACTCATAAGTGGGAACAAAATGACAAGAACACATGGATATATTGAGCGGAACAACACACACTGCTGCCTCCTAGAGGGTGGTAGGTGGGAGGAGGGAGAAGATCAGGAAAAAACAACTAATGGGTACTAGGCTTAATACCTGGGTGATGAAATAATCTGTACAACAAACCCCCATGATACAAATTTACCTATATAACAAACCTGTGCATGTACCCCTTACTTAAAAAAAACAAAGAAAGAAAAAAGAAACTGAAAGAGAAAAGCAGTCAGATCAATGGAATCACTGGATTAGCAGATGTAAGTCAAATGGCTTCATCGCCCTAGCACCACACAACACAACTGAGTAGCTATGTTACAAGTACATCTAATCAGTATTTCTGTATATTCTTAACCCTTTCTCTTTCTTACAAAAGTTTTATACTATAAACTTCCTATTGGAAACAAAGAAATGGGAGGTGAGTTGTCATTTATATGCCAGCTCTCAATTATTCCTAGTTTCTGTGTTAAGTAGTCTGAAGTTCAGCAGGAAAGAAAGTTGAGACCTTATCAGCAATGACCACCACTTCCCTAGGAGACAGGAGTGACGTGAGTAACATATTTTCACCTATTTGCCGTCTCTCACGTGTGCTATTCAGCCCTACAATTCTACAGTGATTTAAGCACAGTTAATCCTCCATTCGTATTTGGATGATGTTTGCATGCCAAGAACAAAGAAAAACTATAATTAAATTTAATGCCTGAAGTTACTTCTACCTTTTCTTGCACCTAAATTGGTGCCTTTTTCTTGACCCTGATAACTGTATCTAATCATCTAATCCAGATATGAAAAAAGTGCATTACACTAGGAAAAGTCTTCATTCATGAATCATTAACGAGAGGTCTAAGTGAGAGGAAAAAACCTTGAAATTTAAAATGTAGTAAGTCACAATTCTGGGATGAACCAAAGTTTTGTTTCAAGATAATAACTCCATTTTCACCCTGCCAGGCCCTTAAAATAAGTTTAGCATGAAAATCCATAGATATAAAATAGAAAAGATAAAGGAAACAGGAGAGTGGGCACTTCAAAATTTCCAATACCTAGCTGAAAAAAAAATCTTGTCCTAATTAGCTATCTCTATTGGGTTGCAAAGATTCATAGGAGATAATAATGACCTCACATCTTTTCACTCTTTACACTCTTGTACCTTAGTCTCACATTGTCCCATTAGAGGGACAGAGGTGGTTCAAGGGCTCTTAACACCCAGATATGCCAGATCTGGAGAAGCTACTATTAATTCTATTATGTTTTGTATTAACACATCAAGTCAAAAGAACAGATTTGAACTAATGGATCCTGCACCCTCTGCTTCCCTAGGATATGTGAATATACTGTGCATTTCCAAAATTATCTTCAAAAGCTGATATTTAAAGTTCATATTGAATACAGGAAGAAGTTTAAGAGAAGGTTTTTTCTTAAGTACATGGATAAACTCAGTGTGCACAGTCCTCATAAAATTCACAGAATCCCTGTTATTTTAAACTTTAAGTTAATATCTTCTATTGCAAAGCACAATTTTACTTTCTTCCACTACTGTAAAGCTTATAAAACTCCCTTTCACTATGATTTTCTGGTTTATTCATTTATATACTTATTTAATTTCTTTTTTTTTTAACTGAAGACTTTCTATTAACTTTTGATCTCAATGTGTCTGAGATTTAAAATAATACGGGTGTTTTACAAAGCTTTGGCAATCTTCCAGAATGCTCACAATGCAACATTGATAAGGGACATAACTCTTTAGTCGTTAAGAATATTTCTTCGGCAACACCTCCAATGTCAGCGTTCTGGAGCTTCAGAGACACCCATCAACATTCTAGGGGAGACAGCGGAACATTCTGGGGTGACCTTGCACCAGGAAGCCTCAGCCACAGAGGCCTTTTTCCCGCTTAAAAGAGAGAAGTGCTTTTTCCTTCACTTTTTTGAGTATGGGGTTAGGAAGTAAGGCCCAAATCTCAGTAGTCAAATGGAAAAGATTTTAAAAAAGAAAAAAACAAAAACAAACCTAAAACCCTTAGAAGGAATTTTGAAAATTGTGTTTGTGTGTGAACCGAGTTGCATCTCTGAATGGGATAGTGTTTTTATAGGATTAAAAAGAGCTCAACATCTCTTGCAGAGCCATAAATTCATAATTTGGAGAACAGAATGATTCCAGTTACAAAAGGATACCTCATTCTATTAAAAAGATAAAAATCATACGTCCCTTTAAATGCTTGTTTAGAGATTATTGAGAACTTTATACAATAAGAAACAAAATGCTGAAGTATTTCAAGTCACTCTTGATTATCAGAAATTATAAGACAAATTTAAAATTATAAATAAATAAACAATATTTACATATCCATTTTTTCTTTACTGTATCTTACAAAAACCTATTTTGTCAAAATGTTGAATCCTCCCATTTTTACCTTTCATAGCCTCACCTTTCATCACTGTGACTACCATTTTCTCTTAGATAGACGAAAAAGAAATAGATGACCTCAGTATACGTTTTTCTCCATATATCTTTGCTTCATTTCAATGCCACCTATCTAGTCCAAAGTTCACCATTTCCCACTGACCTTCTTTTGCCATCGCCTTGGTACAGACCTTTCTCCCACCTGTCGTCTCGTCCTCCCCAACACCCTTTACAGCCTCATCTCACACCATATCCATCATTCTTTTCTTCTTCTCCATGTTTCAGGCACAATCTCCTAATATTTCTACTGATTCCCCCTGCTCCTCAGAGTCTTTAGAATCCTCATCCCTCTATCTCGCTTGGTTTTTTCCATTCCTGTTCTTATTTAGTACAAATTATTTCTTTAGCTCACCAATCCTTAGACTTTTTTTTATTGTACTGCCATCAGTATACCTTTCGTATGCATGTCCTAATAAAAATGTATACATAGATACACATGAACATGCATATTATATACAGGTACAAATATGCTATGTATGTGATGAAAAATACGAACAATGGAAAATTTAAAGGACATCCTAAAGATGAAATTTAAAATACTGTATTGGCTGTACTTATTAATGATTAAGTAGCTCCTTTCTTTGCTAAAAATGTTTTAAATATTTTAGAAAGAAAATGTGATAAAATATGCAGTGATTTCAAAGTTTGCTTCTAAATTCTGTTTACTTTTATTTTTGATATTAATGGCTGTTGTGGCTAAAAAAAAAAAAATGCCTCACAAAGATACCTAGATAAGAGTAGCAGTAAAATTTAGTAATTGACTCTAGAGCCAGACTGACCAGATTGGCCTGATTTGACCACATTCTATGTGATCTATGGGAGATTTCTAACTTCTCTGTGTCTCAGTCTCCACATCTGAAAAATGAACTTGGAACTGAATCACCCTCCATATAGTCATGATGACTAAGTGAGTGAATGGCGCGGTGGCTCACGCCTGTAATCCCAGCACTTTGGGAGGCCAAGGCAGGTGGATCACGAGGTCAGGAGATCGAGACCATCCTGGCTAACATGGTGAAACCCTGTCTCTACTAAAAGTACAAAAAATTAGCTGGGCATGGTGGCGTGCACCTGTAGTCCCAGCTACTCGGGAGGCTGAGGCAGGAGAATTTCTTGAACCCAGGAGGAGGAGGTTGTAGTGAGCCGAGATGGCGCCACTGCACTCCAGCCTGGGCAAAAGAGTGAGAATCCGTTTCAAAAAAAAAAAAAAAAAAAAAGTCAAGTCACTAAGGACAGAGTCTGGCATGAAGAAGTGTTTTTTTTTAATGCCAGGTATCATTTTTGTTGTGTTTATATGTTTGGGGACATATCATAACATTTTGTGTACTTCTGGCCTCAATTTCTCTGCTTTGCTGTAAATTATCATGCAATGAAAATATTGTAAACACGATGCTAACTCTGTTTCCTTTTGCCCCATGCTCATAAATTTCAGCCAAGTTGCCACCACATGAGTTTATACCTATGCTGTTTGTCTATAGAATGTTTTAATTAAAAAGTCATAAGTCCGGTACAGCTTTTTAGTAATGTAGTTCACAAAATAATTTTATATTTCATTGCTAAAACAGAATTTTGAAAATACCATAAGTTCAGGCATGTTGGAAATATCTCTTTCTTTATCGAACTGCATGGCAAATATCCCACATTGTGAATTTGTTCTAGTACTTGTTTCTTCCAATATTAAACAATATTTCCTCTATGTCTGTTTTTACTGGGAAAGTGATGTAGTCATCCTTTGCTATCCGTGGGAGATTGATTCCAGGACGTCCATGGATGCCAAAATTAATGGATGCTCAAGTCCCTAATATAAAATAGTGTAGTATTTGCATATAACCTATGCATATCCTCCTGTACACTTTAAATCATCTCTAGATGCACTTGCAATACCTAATACGATGTAAGGCTATGTAAATAGTTGTTCTATTATATTGCTTATTTGTATTATTTTTATTGTTGTATTTATTTTACAATATTTTTGAGCCACAATTAGTTGAATCCAAGGATACAAAACCCAAGGATATGGAGGGCAGACTGCATTTCAGTTTGTGTCTTACTGTTCTCCATGTTTATTTCATCCATTTCTGTTATATAATCCAATGGGGCATTTTGAATTCTGTTAATAAAGGAAAAATCTCAAATGTTTTAATCACTGATCCCTATGCTTAGTGAAGACTTATACTAGGTTGGGTATCAAAAAACATTAAACATAGTTGAAAACATTATAGGGCTCAATACTGTTGTTCTGGGTTCGTAGGGCTCATTAGCTAATTTTTGAAGGTACTTTATACACTCTATGAGTAGATGATAAATGCTTTATCCCATAAGGTGGCCTAGGAAGAGCTCAAAGAATGGATAAGTCAGCTCTGCTATTTTCTTATTCACTCTCCTTGCAATATTAGTGTGTTCTTCAGTCTGGAATTTCCATGTAGTTGCTTTTTTGCAAGCAACACATTCATTTTCTGAGGACTAATTTAGTTGATAATATAACCTTACATGATAGGACCTGGGCAAAACATGTATCATTATCTACCTTGATATGCCAAGAGCAAACAGAGAACTGAACACACCACTGTAGACCTCTCAGCTTGAAACTTCTCTTTTTCCTTCAGGACATCTCAAGTTTTTAACATGGCTCAGGTCTAACTTAGACACTGATTTAGAGTGTGCATATATGTTCGCATAGTATCAAATAATGGTCAAATGTGATTTTTTTTTCTAATTTGTAGATCAAATAAACACGTGGAAGTTCTATACTCTCTCTGTGTCCCCCGAGCAGAATATTTTGTACATGCTTTTTTTTTTTTTCATTTTGGAGGCCATTCCTTTAGCTCTTTTCTCAATCACTTCCCCAGAAGAGTCTGTCAGGGATCATGAGTGACCAAGAAGTGATAGCCCAACCCGTTGACTGTCTATGGAAATGTGTCCTTTCAAGGGGCCACCATGCTGCTTTTCTACTCCTGACAGACACAAAGTTGACATAAGGACTGTATATAGATTGGTCTAGCAATGAATGTTTTTCCATATGGTACAGGAAAAAAATGAATTGACTTTAATATGTCATTATGGCCACTCGTGAGCTGAAATACTCCCTGGTTTTTTGACTTAGCATAAACATGCATTTTTTATACTTTTATTTTCCTTTTTAAATTGGTTTTGACATTTTCCAAATTACATCTTTTGGCCTCCATCTGAGTCTCTCTTATCTTAAAATTTACAAGTTTTCCTCAAATTGAATTGGAAGATGCCCAGAAAGCTGGTCTGAAAAGAGGTAGACAGTCATAGAATGTAAAATCTAAGAATGAAAGCTACAATTAATTCAGTAAGGGAAAAAAGAAAGATTACACAAATATGTTTCATTTATAAACCCCTCTCAGAAGTGACATAGTGTGTGTGTGCATGTGCACACACACATGCACGCATGCATGTGTGTGTATGCAGTCTGGCTATGCAGTGATTAAAGTTGACAGACATGATAACTATCTACAAGTGTTGTAAGGCATGCACATTAAGGAGTCAGAATAATATCCAAGTAGAATTCAAGGCATAAAGTAAAGAGACAATAAAATATGTGCTTTGTTTCTGGAAATACTTTGGAGAGTGGAGACCTTCAGAATAGAAAGAAAGATTCCCGAAAGAAAGGATAAAGAAATAATGATAATCACCTGTTGTTCCTAATGACATAAGCCAAAACACTCTTGAGGGTATTCTGTGAAGAATAGTCCTGAAACCTCAAAACAATCTATTGGACTTGTGAATTACTTGATTTTTCCTCATCTGATTTTTCAAATTCAATCAATTTCCAGCCAGCTTTTCTACTTTGCCATCTGTTTCTAAAGCAAAACTTAACACAAGTCTGTGGAGGATGAGGTTTGTTTTGTTTCTTTTCAATCTAAGATTTAGTGAATCATGTCTAGGCTAAATTCCAGGTTGAATGGATCATCAAAACTCCGCATCATGCCCATATGTTTTCTTAACTTAAGAGTAGAGCATGTTGTCTTTCTTGTTATGTTATGTTTGAAGCATAGAAATAGATTTACTATGCTAAAAAGCATCCAAATAGCACGTGCTTCCTCAGTAAAGAGGCAGTTAACAGGCATTTCAATGCTGTTCATCTCTACTGAGTACCAAATTCTTTGCTGTGTTAACCCTAATGCATTTTGAAACTGTTTATTCTGAATCTGATGGTTCTTGTGCAAATGAATTTTACATACTTTGTGTAGGATAATCTGGCACATGTTGACATGTAAGAATAAACAAGCTTCACACATTTAGTATTTTGATTCTGGTATGGGGTGACTATGAGTTCAAATTTATCTCACTGGGGTATACAAATGTATTATTATATCACAATAAATTTCCACATGACAAAATGCTTCTGTTGTCTCTATGGATAAACAATGCATTTGCCCTTGACGTTTGGAAGAAAATGAAATGAAAACACTATGCATAAATAAAGACAAAAAAATACAAATATCACAATCCCTAACAATTGGGGCAAAAGTAATATGAGGCTCAATTAAGAAATAATACATGAGAAATGGTTGGTACATAAAAAGTATTCAATACATATTAGTTATTGTTATTAGGCTCAAAACAACTGTAGAATTTCTGATTTTTAGTTTTTAAAGGACTGCATGAGGCAATAAAGTGCTGTCATTTTGCATACCAAGACTATGACTCATTTAGGAGGAATAAAACTCATTTCAAGGATAACTGGCTATCCTGTATCTTCTATCTAATATAAGGGCTTACGTAGAAGGATGCATGGAAATGGCATGTATGTACTTTGGTGCAGGAAAAGACCCATGGGTGTCGATCCAAAGTGTTTACTTGATTCCCACTCAAGTACTGCAGTAAGTTTCTTTCTTTGTGTGCAATACTTAGTTGAAGCTTGAAAGTCTGAAGGTAAAAAAGAAGTCTGTGGCAAGAGGGAAACCCACTCCTGAAAGCTTCCTTGGAAAAACCTGAACTCAGCTGATTACCATTAAAACCTGCATCCCCTCAGGTACTGAATTTGTTCCACATTGAGTTATTTCCTTCTGATTCAATAGTTGTTGATTTCTAAAAATTCATTCAGAAATTCTAAATGTAAATCTGATGATCTCTTATAAATTTTTTTTTTTAATTATACTTTAAGTTCTAGGGTACACGTGCACAACGTGCAGGTTTGTTACATATGTATACACGTGCCATGTTGGTGTGCTGCACCCATTAACTCATCATTTACATTAGGTATATCTCCTAATGCTTTCCGTCCCCACTCTCCCAACCCCACGACAGGCCCCGGTGTGTGATGTTCCCCTTCCTGTGTCCAAGTGTTCTCACTGTTCAATTCCCATCTATGAGTGAGAACATGCAGGGTGTGGTTTTTTGTCCTTGCGATAGTTTGCTGAGAATGATGGTTTCCAGCTTCATCCATGTCCCTATAAAGGACATGAACTCATCCTTTTTTATGGCTGCACAGTATTCCATGGTGTATATGTGCCACATTTTCTTAATCCAGTCTATCATTGATGGACATTTTGGTTGGTTCCAAGTCTTTGCTATTGTGAATAGTGCCACAATAAACATACATGTGCATGTGTCTTTATAGCAGCATGATTTATAGTCCTTTGGGTATATACCCAGTAACGGGATGGCTGGGTCAAATGGTATTTCTAGTTCTAGATCCTTGAGGAATTGTCACACTGTCTTCCATAATGGTTGAACTAGTTTACAGTCCCACCAACAGTGTAAAAGTGTTCCTATTTCTCCACATCCTCTCCAGCACCTGTTGTTTCCTGACTTTTTAATGATCACCATTCTAACTGGTGTGAGATGGTATCTCATTGTGGTTTTGATTTGCATTTCTCTGATGGCCAGTGATGATGAGCATTTTTTCCAGTGTCTGTTGGCTGCGTAAATGTCTTCTTTTGAGAAGTGTCTGTTCATACCCTTTGCCCACTTTTTGATGGGGTTGTTTGTTTTTTTGGTGTAAATTTGTTTGTGTTCTTTGTAGATTCTGGATATTAGCCCTTTGACAGATGAGTAGATTGCAAAAATTTTCTCCCACTCTGTAGGTTGCCTGTTCACTCTGATGGTAGTTTCTTTTGCTGTGCAGAAGCTCTTTAGTTTAATTAGATTCCATTTGTCAATTTTGGCTTTTGTTGCCATTGCCTTTGGTGTTTTAGACATGAAGTCCTTGCCCATGCCTATGTCCTGAAAAACCCTAGTTTTTCTTCTAGGGTTTTTATGGTTTTAGGTCTAACATTTAAGTCTTTAATCCATCTTGAATTAATTTTTGTATAAGGTGTAAGGAAGGGGTCCAGTTTCAGCTTTCTACATATGGCTAGCCAGTTTTCCCAGCACCATTTATTAAATAGGGAATCCTTTCCCCATTTCTTGTTTTTGTCAGGTTTGTCAAAGATCAGATGGTTGTAGATGTGTGGTATTATTTCTGAGGGCTCTGTTCTGTTCTATTGGTCTATATATCTATTTTGGTACGAGTATGATCCTGTTTTGGTTACTGTAGCCTTGTAGTATAGTTTGAATTCAGGTAGCGTGTTGCCTCCAGCTTTGCTCTTTTTGCTTAGGATTGTCTTGGCAATGTGGGCTCTTTTTTGGTTCCGTATGAACTTTAAATTCATTTTTTCCAATTCTGTGAAGAGAGTCATTGGTAGCTTGATGGGGATGGCATTGATTCTATAAATTACCTTGGGCAGTATGGCCATTTTCATGATATTGATTCTTCCTATCCATGAGCATGGAATGTTCTTCCATTTGTTTGTGTCCTCTTTTATTTCGTTGAGCAGTGGTTTGTAGTTCTCCTTGAAGAGGTCCTTCACATCCCTTGTAAGTTGGATTCCTAGGTATTTTATTCTCTCTAACTCATTTTATGAGGCCAGCCTTATCCTGATACCAAAGCCTGGCAGAGACACAACAAAAAAAGAGAATTTTAGACCAATATCCCTAATGAACATTGATGCAAAAATCCTCAATAAAATACTGGCAAACCAAATCCAGCAGCACATCAAAAAGCTTATCCACCAAGATCAAGTGGGCTTCATCCCTGGGATGCAAGGCTGGTTCAACATACACAAATCAATAAACGTAATCCAGCATATAAACAGAACCAAAGACAAAAACCACATGATTATCTCAATAGATGCAGAAAAGGCCTTTGACAAAATTCAACAGAACTTCATGCTAAAAACTCTCAATAAATTAGGTATTGATGGGACATATCTCAAAATAACAAGAGCTATTTATGACAAACCCACAGCCAATATCATACTGAATGGCAAAAACTGGAAGCATTCCCTTTGAAAACTGGCACAAGACAGAGATGCCCTCTCTCACCACTCCTATTCAACGTAGTGTTGGAAGTTCTGGCCAGGGCAATCAGGCAGGAGAAAGAAATAAAGGGTATTCAATTAGGAAAAGAGGAAGTCAAATTGTCCCTGTTTGCAGATGACATGATTATATATTTAGAAAACCCCATCGTCTCAGCCCAAAATCTCCTTAAGCTGATAAGCAACTTCAGCAAAGTCTCAGGATACAAAATCAATGTACAAAAATCACAAGCATACTTATACACCAATAACAGAGAAACAGAGAGCCAAATCATGAGTGAACTCCCATTCACAATTGCTTCATTTATAAATTTCTTAAGAGCAGAGGTTATTCTCTCTGTCCCCTTTTAAAAAATGCAAGTGGTATATTACCTTGCAGATTTTACTCTTCATAGCTGGTATTTTAAAATACAAGTTGCAGCTCCAATGATAATGATCAAAATAAAACACATGGGGGAAAGTACTGTGATTTGATATAATTCCAAGCACTTAATTTTTATTTTAATAGCTTTATAACATATAAATGATATAAAATGCACATATTGAAAGTGAAAAATTTGGTAAGTTCTAATATGTATACACCCATAAAAAGCATCACCATAATTAAGATAATTAACATAGCTATCATCCTAAATGTTTCCCCATGTCCTTTGTAACCTCTTCCTCTGTCCCTTCCTCTTTGTCCTGTCCATGGTTCACAAGCAACTGATCTTTGTTCCACCAATACTAATTCGTTTGTACTTACAAGAAATTTGTATACATGGATTGATACAGAAAGTACTCTTTTTAGTATGACTTCTTTCATGTACCCTCAGAATACTGAGTTCATCTTTATTATGTTATATATCAATAATTCACTCTTTTTTATGCCTAATATTCCATTAAATTGGTATACAGTTTGATGATCCATTCACCTATTGATGGATAGTTGCGCTGTTTCCCCAGTTTTTAACTGCTGCTATGAACATTGATGTACATAACTTTATGTGAACTTATACTATCACTTCTTTAGAGTAAATACCTACAAGTGGAATAGGTGGGTCATACTGTAGATATATGCTCAGCCTTAAAGAACCAAGCTGCAAAGTGGTTGTACCTTTTGCATTACATTCCCACAAGCATTGTATAAGAGTTCCAGTTGCTTCATGTCCTTTTCAATATTTTATATAGTCAGTTTTTGTTTTTATTTTTTGAATTTTATCTGTTCTGATGTACTGCTATTTCATTGTGGTTTTAATTTGCATTTCCCTAATAACTAGTAATGTTGAAAAAGTTTTAATATTTATTACTTGCCATTCATATCTCTTCCTTGATGGAGTGGCCATTCAATTTTTTGGCCCATTTTTATTGGATTGCTTATTTTGTTATTGCTGAGTTTGATTGTTATTTATATATTTTGCATACAAATTATTTTACAAATAGATTGTTTCCAAATAATTTCCCATGTTTGTCTTTTCATTTTATTAATGTTATTTTTTGAAAACACAATTTTATTTTTGATACAGTCAAATTTACCAATTTATTCTTTAGTGTATCATGTCTGAAGAGTGTCTAAGAGATTTTAACCCATGTTTACAAAATTATTTTCCATATTTCTCCTAGAAGCGTTATAGCTTTGGGATTTCACTTAGGTCTACCAAGTTTGAGGGCTTTTGTTTCTACATTGTGTGGCTTACATGAAGAGGTTAGTTTTTTGCATATAGATGTCTAATTCTTCTGGCTCCATTTGTTGAAAATGGAGCTTTTCTCCATTGAATGGCTTTTAACTTTTGTCAAAATTAATGACCATATATATGTTGCTATACCTCAAGGTTCTTCATTTTGTTCCATTGATCTATTTGTCATTCTCTTGAGACCACCAGCAGACATTATTGATTACTGTAGCTTTATAGTAATTCATAAGTTATGTAGTGCTACTCCTCCAATTTTGTTGTTTTCAACGTGGTTTGATTATTCTAGGTCCTGTGCATTTAAATATAAATAAGTTAGATTAAGTTATTTACAAACATTTAAATAAGTTTGTATATTTCCATCCAAAAGCCTGCTAAGATTGTGGTTGGATATCATCGAATGTACAGGTCAATTTGGGAAGAATTGATATTTTAATAGTAAGAAGGGTTCTGACCAATGAATACAATAGAGCTATCCATTTCTTTAGTTCTTTAATTTTTTCAACAGTGTTTTGTTGTTTTCTATGTATAAATATATCTACAAATCTCTCTTTCTTTTCTCTGTTTTATAAATTTTTTTCATTTCAAATTATTTGCTGCTTGCATATAAAAATACTTTTGATTTTGGTGCATACATCTTGTATCCTGGAAACTTACTAAACTCATTAGTTATTTCTAATATTATTTTTGTATATTCCATTGGATTTTCTACCTATATAATCATGTCATATGGAAATAAACAGGGTTTTACTTTTTTCTTTTCATTCTGGATACCTCTTATTATTTTTTTCTTTATTAAAACACAGGCTAGAACATACAATAATGAATAAAAATGATAAAAGTGGACATCTTTTTTTCCTAATTTTAGGGAGAATCATTCAGTCTTTCATCATTAAATATAATGTTAGCTGTACAGTTTTTATAGATGATCTTTATCAGATTTATCTATTCCTAATCTGCTGAGAGTTATATCACAGACGGATACTGAGTTTTGATCAATAATATATTGCAACTATTGAGTTGATCATATGTTTTCTTCTCTTTTAGTATTAACATGGTGAACTGATTCAGTTACTTTTTAAAATGTTAATCTAACCTTAAGTCCAAATATATGGCCCTGAAATAAACATATATATACATTGATTAATTTTTTATAATTATGCTAAAGATAATTTATTCAGGAAAGTGCGAACATTTAAACAAATGAGGTTGGAACAACTGGGTATTTATATTTCACATGGAAAAAAAAGTATTGACCCTTACCTCATCGTGTATGTAAAAATCAATCCAAAGTAGTAATAGTTTTAAATGTAAACGGTAAAGCCATTCATCTTTTTGAAGAATAAAGATGAAAAATTTTCTTAACCTTGAAGTTTCTTAGATAAAAAACAAAGAGTATGAACACACTTTATATTGGTGACATTATCAATTAAAAATTGGCTCTTTAAAGGACACTATTAAAGCAATTCATAGGCATATCACATATTAGAAAATGTATTCAAAATATATATCTTCCAAAAGACTTGTATCCAGAATAAAGATATACACAACATGATCGTATACAAAAAACAACTAATTTTAACGGGAAAATTTTGAATGAACATTTTAGAAAAAAATGTATAAATGACAAAAAGCATATTAAAAGATGTCCAACATCATTAGTCTTTGGGGAAATGTAAACTTAAACCAAATTGAAATTTCATTAACTCCAAATTGATCTACAGATTTTAAGACCATTATAATTTAACCAGAAGAAATTTTGCAATAGAAACCATTCAGCAAGCTCAGTATAAAATTCACATGTAAATACAAACATTCTAGAATAATTGAAACAATTTTAAAAGGAAAAATTTTTATAACTTTGAAGACTTATAGTACCTGATTTTAGTAAAGCTAGTAACTTAGTTCATATGATCAGAAGAATGGTAAATACTGCATATAGATTAATAGAATATAGAGTTCAGAAGGAGACCCACACATCTAAGGTCAATTGACTTTCAGCCACTATCTAATGTTTTTCTGCTCAAAGTGGGTCCTCACATTAACACCGCTGGCATCAACCTGTGACATCAGAGCTTGTCAGAAATGCAGCATCATGGGCCCAACCCCAGAACAACAAAGTCAGAACCTACATCTAAGAAAATCCCCAAGTGATTCAAACGTGCATTAATGTTTGAGAAATCCTGAAATCCTTTTCTAAGCTGGAGTTCTTTTCTAGGCTGCTCAGAAGTTGTCTTAAGATTCATAGTCTGTTCTACAGGGTCTAAAGATCCCTGAAGTCTTTGCTCTCCAATGAGAGTATTTGATTCATGAATATTTTTATTTCTAAGAAGAATTTTAATGGCCTTTCCTGAATATTTGCCCACTTGGTGTTTTCAGGAATGTGCATCTATCTCTCTTTTCCTTTCAAACCATGGCAAGAACAGAAATCTGTTCAAAATTCTACTTGCCCTTTACATGCCATTGGAACTGCTACACCTGTGTTTTCTCCTAATCAGAAGGGAATCACTTTGTTACCTGCCTGCCTTAATCTGAGCTCTTTGTCCTTTGAAGCTATAGTTTTTAGGTGTATAATTTTCAATAATTAATTGCTGATTTCTCTTAAAATCTTTTTAAGTGTCCTCAAAGGGACCTTAACTAGCTCCTTTGGTAAACCAGCAAGGTTTACACAGTGCTTTTTAAAGCTACCTTCATTTTGAAAGCAAATCTGTTCTGGTCCCTGAAAGCACAATTTGAAAATCATTTAGATGTACCACAAACACTCTTTGCTATAAAATTGCAAAGTAGTTTATTTAATCTGTAGTACTTTGGTTGCCATTTAGCATCTCTTCACATAAAGAAAACATACATCCTAAATTATAGGATGTAAAAATATTTTTAATGGTCAAGGCATTATCTGCATGTCATATAACTAGGAAAGAGAAAGAATTTTAAAAGTTTTATCTTTTTCTCTTGCTTTAAAGCAATATGAAAAGTAGAAGGAGTTGAGGAAACAACAAAATCAGAAATAAAATTTATTTAACTCCGATTAACGTTAGATATAAAAACAGATGAGACTGTCAGTGTCCTTCATGTATATGAATACACTATTTATATAACAGCTACATGAAAACAAGCTGTATTGTAAGAGCTCACTTTGAGGCCAGGTGCAGTGGCTCACACCTGTAATCATGGCACTTTGGGAAGCCGAGGCAGGTGGATCACTCGAGTCCAGGAGTTTAAGACCAGCCTGGGTAACATAGAGAAACCCTGTCTGTAGTAAAAATACAATAATTAGCCACACATGTTGGCATGCACCTGTAGTCCCCACTGTTTTAGAGGCTGAGGTGGGAGGATCGCTTGAGCCCGGGAGGTCAAAGCTGCAGAGTCATGATCACGTCACTGCACTTCAGCCTGGGCAACAGAGTGATACCCTGCCTCAAAAAGCAAACAAACAAAATGTAACAGCTGACCTTGGATGGATAAATTGGTCAATAATTAAAGATCTTTTATTCATAGTGATAAAAGAAAAACTTTAGACAAAAGTTAGCATTTTAATTGACAAAAGAACGATTATTGAATGAATAGTTTCAGAGACTCCAGCATTGCTATGTGATCAGAGAGGATTTATGGACTGAAAAAGGAAAGTGTGGCACAGAAACAGCAGGATTGGTTACAGCTCATGTTTGCCTTATTTGAACACGGTTTGAACAACTGGCCGCCTGTGAGTGGTTGCAGTATGGCTTCTGTGACAGGCTGAGGCCCAGCTACTTGTTACAAGAATAGGTTACAGTCTGTTCACACATACAGTTAGGTTACAGTTCTTTATGTATGGATAAAACTTTAGACTGAACTTACAAGGAGGGAGCTTTAGGACAAACTTAATTTTATGATACCTAGGTGAGAAATTATCTGGGATTTACATCAGAATTGCCAATGCATTACCCATAGAAGATCTTTTCATTCCAGAACATTATGTAAGGTCTTTACTAACTATATTTTCTTCATTTCTTTATATAGATATTAAAAGTGAAAATATCAATATATGTATATCTTGCAAAATGGCTCCCAATACATTGACATTACAATGATTTCTTTTAAAATATTTCAAATAACTTATGCAAAAGATTCCTGCATATATAGGTAGAATGTTATATGCTTTCATAGGGATTATCAAATTCAAGAAAGAAACTGGTTAATTAAATTAACCTGGTCACACCAAGTTTTTTCCTCCTCTTTTAGCTTAACATTTGACATGGCTCAAATATAATGAGCTCTTGTGCCAAAGCCTACATTTAAGACTAATATATTTCTCTTTTGAAACAGCAGTGTGATATAAAGTTTGCTGAAATAATAAAACCAAGTTTCTAAATGAAAAACAAATAATTAAGAAGTAGTGAGAAATGCTTCACAAATAGAAATGTAATAAAGACACATCAATGGCTCACTTCTGGTCTCAGAAATATCATATCCTGACCTTTTCTCTACCTGATTCTCTGAAGTTCTTTCAAAATGCATTTTGCATTGACACAATTCAGTTCTCTTTTTAACCCATTGGTGTCATTCCAGCTTTTTTTTTTTTTTTTTTTTACCTACTATTAGTCTTATTTGTCTTTTACCGATTTCTACAATAGCTATAAATAATCAGGGCTTGGAAAACAAAAAAAGGAAATAAAATTGGTTCAGCAACAAGCTTTTGCTTTTCTTTCTCTGGTGCTTATAGAGGATTTAGTTGGTTTTGTCATTTTCCCCCTGTGCTATAGACCATGAAAACAAAACCTTTAAAGCTCAAATGCAGAAACTTGGCTGGAAAAACAAATAAAGAATTGACTACTCTCAGCAATGCAATGTTAATTGGCATCTCAGAGATTCAGTTTCCATCAGAAGGGCCATTGGCACTGATTCTTTCCAGAAAAAAAGAAGATTCATCAGTACATTAAAAGAGAGAGAGAGAAAAACAGAGGATGCTAAGTGGTCTGATTTGATAGGGAAAAGCTCAAATCTTCTTTTCAGTATTAGTTCACAGCCAGATGATTCCTCGGGCTCTTACATGTTGAGAGAGAATTCTCCAAGGGTTTCTCACATTTCTGCACATCTTGCAAGCAGATGCACTGACAAGTTTTGTACTGGGCTATCTTTTTGAGGATGTTTATATAGAGAATAGCTATGGGAGGTACAGAGCTGTCTTCCTCCAGAGCAGAAGGTAGGTGTGTTTACTGACAAGAGTACTGGGTTAAAGTTTAAGCAGGTTTCCTGTTGCTTATTATAAAAGAGTGGGGTTTCCCCAGTTTGGGGTACCTTAGTTGAGACAGAAACATATTGCCTGCACAGCATTCATCTATATCCATCTGTATTGCCCTGCGGGATCTGGAGATCACGAGGAACCAGTGGGAACAAAGCTTGTGCTGCTTGATGTGACATGAGTAGCAAAGCCTTTTGTCTCTGACCCAGGAGTCTCATATTTTCTACCATTTTCTGTAAAGCTGTGGCAGGCTACCTTGTCAACTTGCAAGCAGGGTAGAAACTGAGACGCTTCACACTTTTTGAATACCATACTCCAGCCATTTATAGACATCTGATGCACCTACTTTCCTTAAGGATCATAGATTTTTAAAATTTGTTCATAAGGAGGTGTTGACCCAAATGTTTGGGCCACAATGTTGATTTATTCTTTAGTTGTTTATATTTTTTAATTCCTATATAGGATACTAATAAGACTTTTTTTTTCTTTTTTTTTTTGAGACGGAGTGTCGCTCTGTCGCCCAGGCTGGAGTGCAGAGGTGCGATCTCGGTTCACTGCAAGTTCTGCCTCCCAGGTTCACGCCATTCTCCTGCCTCAACCCCCTGAGTAGCTGGGACTACAGGCACCTGCCACCGTGCCCCGCTAATTTTTTGTACTTTTAGTAGAGACGGGGTTTCACCGTGTTAGCCAGGATGGTCTCGATCTCCTGACCTCGTGATGCACCTGCCTCGACCTCCCAAAGTGCTAGGATTACAGGCGTGAGCCACCGCACCCGGCCCTAGTAAGACATTTTTAATGGCAAGAAAACTTTAGTTTTAATGAAGCAGTTGCAATATTTTTATGGTTAATGTATTTTCTATAATGGTTCTGTCCTTTCAGTTTCTGCTTAAGTCCTGGCTCCTAGGAAAAGAAACTTTAAGTGGTATAAAAATATAATCAGAAAGCCCCATTGGGAAGAGTGTCTGAGTAGAGTTTGTCACAGTTGTTAATAAATTCTGCCTGTTTATACATAGACCAAGGAAAGTCAAAGAGGTGACTGACCATTAGCCTGACACTCGGCTGGCACAGACATATAAATGTCCGGGTTTTGTATGGTTACAGTAGTTGTATTACAGGCACCAGTTGTTTATGTCTGGCATTTCTTCTGACTGGCTATTCACTCATACTGTCTTTTGTCTCTGTTATCACAGTGCATTTTTTTCTTATTCTTTGTAGGACAGTCAGAGTTAGGTACACATAATGTCAGGATCTCATGCAACAACATTCCATCTAAACAAACTCACAGCATACTCAAACAAGGAGGTATCAGAAAACTGGCAAAAGATCTTGGGTAGAATGAAAAACCAATGACAATTAGAAGGGATTCTGTTCAAGAGTAATTATTAAATAGTTTTATGAAACTGAGGTCGTATATAGTAGATTCAAACTGATTAAAAGCTGCTAGGTTATACCAATATTAGAATAAATAGATGGATATTTAGATAAACATAAGAATAAGATACTAGTGGAGTAAAAGGAAAAATTTCTTTCCTTTTCTGTTCCAAATGGGTAAATTATTTTCTGGTATTCACTGACTCCAAGAATATAATGATCTTAAACACAGAAATAACAATTAAAGGGTGCAAGCTACATGCTAGGCAAAGATAAATGTTATTCCCAGCATTCTTTGATAAAGTTATTATTAGCCCTATTTGCCAATTAAGATTGGTACCTCACATAGATCTACTAATTGCAAGGAGCTAACAAGAGGCAGACCACAAGTTTAAACCCAGGTTTTTCTGATGCCAGAGCCTCATTAGTTTGACCAGTTGTAAGGATTTAAAGAGATGGTATGAAAAGTACTTAGCACAGTGTCAGACACATAATAAATAACTGAATGCTATTATTGTTGATCATTTTAACTATTTAGAAAAATGTCAGCTGTATTTAAGAGTCAGGTTTTGCTTTAACACAAGGAGTCCTATTTATTAATCAATACACTAATATTTCAAATGCTTACTCCCATTCAGACATTGGAATGTCATGCCCAAGGTATTAACCAGTGAATAAAATCCTTAGGGAGCTTACAGTTCAGTTGGAGACAAGCAAGAATACAAACAATTTCAAGGCTGTGTTTTCAGAGAAATTTTGGTGAGGTTAATACAATTACCATAGAAGGACAGAAAACACACCTACCTGGTTTAGGGAAGTTTAGTATCAAGCCATTTTCCTCAGTGGTTTTATTTTAGTTAGACACACCTACTTGAGAAGAGTTTGTTGGTTCCTACATACAGCAGCTTGTTCCACAGAAGTCTGTGTTTGCTGGGGCAGATTACTGTCTCTAGGATTTATACAGACTTAAGTGTCAACAACAGCAACACCCAGAAAAACCAGCAACATCATTGCATGTTGGAGTCCTGTTATCTGACACTACCAAAGTTAGAATTAACTTCTGTAGCTAATTTAGGTTCTTCCTTAAACTAGTCTCCAGCAATGAACCACATATGATATTTTCCTCACTGCGTTTGCCAACACTCAAGAATAAAAAGACAAACAACTATACTATTATTTCTAAATTGTACATCCAAAATGAACTTTAAAAAATATCTATAAGGAATATATTATTTGTACAATCAAATTTGAAGAGAAGTAATTTATGACTTCAAAAACTTGCTGAATCCTTTAGGACTAAGTAAACACACCCTAAGTAAGATATTTATTATGCTCTGAAGGCACATCTCAAACTCCCTCGAGCTTCTCTGCCTATAATACCTGCATTCAGTTTGGAGCCAACTTAAAGGTAGAACAGATCCCCCAGAGACCAATGAATTTGAAGAGAATGCTAATTATCTTGGGGAAGGAAAGGTTCTAAACTACATTTCATCCTCTCTGCTTTCCTCCAATCTCTCCTAAAAGAGGGATTTGAAAATGAGCACTGCCCTATCCTTTGTCCACTTTTTGAACTGGAACAACTGCAAGAATTTGCTAAGGGTTGAAACAGCAAGAAACAGAGAAAGGATAAGCAGACCGTTAAGTCCTTTATTGCTACAAAAGTCACTCTGGGAAGCCCCATCCTTTATCCATGAAGTGTACCACAGCAAGTATAGGAAATAAACACACACACATAAGACTAAATCTGAGCCACTGTGGATACGCAACACCGGGCCCATCTTTTCACAAACAAACAAGTACCCAATTCTGTAAACACGGCACAATCCTGGAGCTGGCGCTGACATTTACTTTGCTTTTGAGGATACCCAAAACTTCTACAAACCAAGAGATTAACAAAGAAGATAGGTCCACAATTGTTCACATTGTTAACAGGAAATTACAACCTCAGAAGTGATTTTCTAAAAACTCTAGGATATCAACAAATGAAGTAAAACAAATGAAGGTTTGTAGAAGTAGCAAAACTAAATACCTAGATAATGTTACGGAAGTCACCAAAAGCAAATTAAGAGGCTAAAAGCCATTTCATACATCTGATTGTTTTCCTCTTAAAAAAAGAAACAAAATCAACATGTGTTCCATCTGTGTACAGGCAGCAAACACCATAAATGTCTGATCATTTGGCCTGATATCTTGGAGCAAAGCCCTGGCTATTATGAACACAGGAGAAGCTGAAACAGACTCTGTACATTTAGACAAAGGAGATGAATTGTGCCCAAATCAGTGTGCACCCATCACTGCCAATGATTTATGTCCCTGAATGTTTAACTCTTCAAAACAGGTTGAGTGGATGAATATTTGTGTTTAACTTTGAGGTTTACGCCACAGGGTTCCTAAAGGGAAATGGGACAGTGGAAATGAAAACTGATTAATTCTGATGTGAGGGGCATCCTATGCAATGGAAATTAAATCTTGGAGCCTTGGAGACTGCTAGTTTCTTTAGCTCTTGAATAAAATCGGAGGTTGCACAGGCTTTTGTGAGAAGCACACTCTGGCTTCTACAGGGAAAAAGGTGAAATGTTTTGTTTCTTTTTGCCTCAACAGTTTTTCTTTTAATAATCTTAGACTTTTCACAGGAATTTTCTTGCAAAGCTTTCATTTTCTTGATAAGTATGGAAATGTACTCTTTTAAAAAGTAAAATGTTCTCTGCATGCTTGTCTATATAAGACAAACACACCGTTTCAGGGAAGAACAAAGCAAGCTCCTTTGCATAAAGGAAGGGACCTACCATTGTGGAAAAAGCATTATGTGTCCTAGGTACATACATTAACCTGATAACCTCAATAACTTAGTATAGATACCATAAATACTGATGTAATAGAATATACCAGCCTGACAAATTAAAGTGACCATGCTATTAGAACAAGTCTGCCTGTTATTATTGTATTTACTATTACTACCATTAGGTGTGACCATAGTGGTAGTAGTAGTATTTGGGCACATGGTGTCTCAGGCCCTATAGAACAGGCACATTATATAAAATATTTCTTATCCTCACAATAACCCTAATATATGTTGTTATTCTCATTTGACAGATGGGATACAGAGTTTAAGCAACAGTTTGATATCTTTTTAAAAAGTTCAACTTGAGGAATTAAGCTTCACAGACAGAAAACAAAGCCAGGAAGAAGTGGAGTTGCAAAAATTGAAATGAGGCTATCTCCCAAGATGGTGTAGTGTGACACATCTGTAAATCTTAAGTCTATAAACCAAGGAATGCAAGCTTTGAAATTGTATTTTTTTCAAAACTGAGCTAAATTTTTATTAAAATATGGAGAAATACTATATTTTTCTGGTACCAAATTCCTGCCCATTGGGCAGAGTTTCATCTAAGAGCTGGGAAAGAGGCGTCTACAGTGAGAAGGACTAACAGGGAGGGGAGTGGCCTGGGCGTTGGTGGATAATTCATGCAGGTTGGCATTAATAAGCAAGTCCGTTCCCTTTGGCCTTTGACCAGTTGGAACACAGGTGCATGCATAGACCTATTGGTCTATGCAGCCAGGGTCTGTTGGCTGTTTGAACCATGTTTGTTCTCTCTTGGGTGAAGCGAGAACATCCTTCCTCTCTTCTCATGCTGCAAAGGCTCTGTGATCTGCTTCCACAGCTACCCCATAGACATCTCTTCTAGGTTCCACTGTGAGAATGATCCTAGACTCTCTACTTATCTGGAAGTTCTGTTAACAAGTCATGATTTAGGGAAAACTAGTAGCTTAATGGGTATACAGCTGGCCTGGCCCTACCCTCTGTGAGCCCTATAAAGAGATGTATTAAGCAAGATGAGTGCAAGACACTATCTCATCATAAGAATGGTATCCTATCATCTGCTCCCCTCCATTCCCAGCCCCCCAAAGAAATATCTGCTCTGGTGAGAGATTTTTAACAGGAAATTAATATAGAATTGAATGAGTGTAAGAATGAACACATAGCTCCTTATTCTGACTCATTCTAGAAAATGAAGAAAGGGCATAAAGTGGTGTTGAGGCTAAACTACTTTGTGGAATAATGGATCATTTGAGGTCAAAGTCAAGACCAAATACTTCAACTACTACCCCTTAGCTGTTTTGCCTATGTAAAGTTTCTAAACATTTTGATACTTCAGTATACTCATTTGCAAAGGGGCATCATAACACCTTCATTACAAGAATTTTGTGAGAATTAAATAGTATATAAGGTAAAGCTTGTATAGAGCTTTCATATGTTAGGCACTCTTTGAAGGGCTTTATGCATAATGATTCATTTAATTCTCATTAAATGATGTTTAATGAGAATCCACCTTAACAGATGTTATTATTAGTCCTGCTTTACAGTAACCACAGTAGAGAGATATTAAGGAAATTATTAAGGATATTAAGGAAATATCTCACAGTAGAGAGATATTAAGTAAAGGTTACAAGACTAAAAAGTGACTCAGCTTGAATTTTTCCCCTGAGAATTTTGTGCTAGAGTTCATATTTTTAATCACTCTACTCCACTACCAAGACTCTACCACTCACTAGCCATATAACTCATTGTCAAAATCAGGATCCTTTTGAGGAAAGATGGTACTATAATGATAACACTGAGGCAATAACATGTACAGAGATTTCTCCCCAAGGAAACCAAAACATAAGAGCACCCTAATGATAACGTGAACTTCAATACCGCACATAGGCCTTGATTTCCAAAACAGAAAATAAGTAACCTAACATGACCCAGAAAGTAATCCTCAGTCATATTTGTTTCACTGTATCCTACAGATGGTGAGGTTTTCATCAAGAAAGTAATAAAAACAAAATTAAGCCACATCTTCGTACATACTTATGGTCAACTACCATATCAAGTTTTTCTTCCACTTTCAACCTGCAATCACCCTCTCCCACCCTGTTCTCTTTTATCAAATACCTTCTGTGGAGAAGGTCTTTCTCAGCATCTTTGCAAATGACACCACTAGTCTACCCATAAGAAATCAATCGAGGTCTTCACTGAAAGAAATTGGTCAGACCCCACTGCCAAAGTCTTTCCCATTGAAGATTCCCCTTTATTTCTCCCCTAAAGAATTATTTATCATCTAACTGGGAAGTCCCTCCCTCTCGGTAATCAGAGTCTTGTGGCAGATGGGACAAATAAGGCTGCACAGTGAGAGGCTGAATGATGTTTTTTGGTTCTCATTGTTGTATTGCTATTTTACAGGCACAGCTCACATTTATTTAAGCTACATTGTAACACTGATGACTCACAATCTGTCTGGCATTCAAAATACATCAACCAACATCAATCAATGCATATGTATTGAACACCTGTTTTAAGTGTACACAGAGCCTGACCTTCATTTTAACACAGCAAAGTATTCTCCATTGTACTGATGAAGGGTTTGCTTTTTCTTCCAAGGTCCACTACTCTGTCCTTGCCCTCACTGACTCCTCAGTTAGGTTGTCTTGACTGCCTGCCCAGATCAACAAGGGCATTTCAATTTTGATCTAGGCTTTCTGGATGTTGGCTACTCTCCCATATCTTTCAGCAAATAAAACGATGTAATGAAATTTTTTCTTACTGACTCTCTACCTCACCCAGTAACCATTCACAATCCTGAGTCCAGGAATAGAGGGCCTAGGGCAATATTTTCAACATAGTAGATGCATTTGTTAAATATTGCTCCAAAATTATCTTAAAACATAGTGGCTTGAAATAATACTTATCGTATCACACAATTTCTATGGGTCAGAAATCTGTGATCAGCTTAGTTGGGTAGGTCTGGCTTACAATCGCTGATGAACTTGCTGTCAAGATGTCTGCTAGGACTACAGAATTCTGAAGGCTCAACAAGCACTGAAGAGTGCACTTCCAAGACGGTTCACATGGCTGTTAGCTGAAGGCTCCGGTTCCCCATTATTTGGGCTTCTTTATAGGGTTGCTTAAGTGTCTTCAGGACATGGAAGTCACTTTGCCTCAAGAAAGTGATCTCATAGAGAAAACTAGAAGGAAGACAAAATGCCATTTTATGATATTGCCACATAATGTCATTCCACTGTATTCTATTCACTAGAAGAAATCACTGAGTTCATTCAGCCCACATTCAAGGGAGAGGGGAACTAGGCTCTACCTATTGGAAGGAAGAAAGTCAAATAATTTATGAACATATTTCAAAATAACCTCAGTAGGTATGTTAGTTATAATTCTCCAGAGAAACACAACCAACTACATATACATACACACCCACACACACATTCTAGATATACATTCTAGAAATAACTTAGAATCTAGAGACAGATTTATTGTAAGGAATTGGCTCATGTGATTATGGAGGCTGGCAAGTCCAAAACCTGCAGATCTGATGTCCTAGTTCAAGTCAGAAGGTGAGAACTGCTGTAGAAACAGGAAAAGTCAATGTCCCACATCAAAAGCCATCAAAAGACAGGAGAATTCCCTCACTAAAAGGAGGGTCAACCTTTTGCTCTATCAGGCTTCCAACTGACTAAATGAGGCTCACTCATATTAAGGAGGGTATCTGCTTTACTCAAGTTTAAGAATTTTAATGTTACTCTTATCCAAAAACACCCTCACAGAAACACCCAGAGTGATATTTGACCAGCTGTCTGGGCACTCTATGGCCCAGTCAACTTGACAGGTAAAATTAACCATCTCAGTCAGCACCCAAAAAGTTTATCAATAATGACATATTTGGCTGGGTGTGGTGGCTCTCATGCCTGTAATCCCAATACTTTGGGAGACTGGGGCTGGAGGATCACTTGAGCCCAGGAATTTGAGACCAGCCTGGGCAACATAGAGAGACCCTATCTCTAAAATAAATAATTAATTAAAATAAAATAAAAATGTAAGCAAATATAGTCCCAGCTACACTGGGAGTGGAAGTGGGAGGATCACTTGAGCCCAGGAGGTCAAGGCTGCTGTACTCCAGCCTGGATGACAGAGTGAGACACTGTCTTAATTAGTTAAATAAATAAAGAGGCTCTTTGGGAGAAGCAGAAGGGTAACTGGGACATCATGGTCATTTTACTGTCAGCCAGATGGCATCTAGCTCTGGTGTCCAAAAGGGTCTTCAGGAAAAAAATTGGAGTTTAGATTTGGGAGGAGGAGTATTGTATTGGGATTTATCCTGAACTGCTTACACTCTCACCTTTAGATTAGGTCCAAAATATATTGTTTCCAAAGTTAAACTCCCCTCAGTTTTCTGTGTTGTAGAAAGAGAATTACAAAAATATATATAATAAAAGTAGAATGCCAGAGCAAAAAGGTTTTTTTGGAAAGGTACTTGGCAAAGTGAATGGTAACATAATTTAGAATGTCTGACTACATTACTTTTTATAATTAGAACATTTCCTGATTAGAAATGGTTGATTATAAAACTTCAGCCAGCCTGTCGGCCAGACACCTTCAAAAGCTCTAAAAAGAATAATTTATAATCTAAAAAAAGTATCACCTCAACAATAAAGTAAGGTAAAATAACACTCCCAGGTCCCAAATGGGTAAAGAACAGTAATTCCTGAAAAGTCAGGCTAAAATCAATACACTCAGCTCCTATTGTGTACTACAGACATGGAATCACACTCCACACTGCCTTTTCTTACTTCTTCCAGCTCAAACGCACTAAATTACATGATGTCACTGCAAGTCTTCAAAAGTGCCAATGGCTACCCATTACCTGAATGACAACCTTTTAATTCCTGATCCAGCATGTTAGATGCTTCGAAATATACCATAATTCTGTGCCATTGCATATTTCAATTCAATTCAATAAATTTGACAAATATTAGTTGAGGATTAATAAATTCTGTGTTAATTGGGAAGATAATAACAACAAAAAAGATATGATCTTGAGAAGCTTTTACCTTAATAGGATAGCCTAACAGGTACACAAAAACTGATATATACCATGACATATGCAATAATAGATATAACACAAGGGACAGAGAAAGGAATGATAAAGTTAGAGACTTTCCAAAATAGCAATTTTGCACTAGATGTTAAAAAGCAAACTGATTTTCTTAAAAATAGAAAAGTTAGCCAAATGAGAGGCAGGGAAGTCAAGTGGCAGGCAAAGGGAGGAAGAGTGACCTCCAGACACAGGAAATAGCCATCTAAAGCTTTGTAGGGAGATTACCAGTGGTTTCTCTCCCCAGCATCATTGGAAGCAGTTTCAGAAGCATAGGTGGGAGAGGAGGCTCCTTAGCTTCCTACTCTATGGCAGTAATGAGATGCCAGTACTAGCAAAGGCATTGCCAGCTCCCCTGAACATTGGCCCCTAACCTTCAGCCAAAGGCCAGCTGCAGCTCCTAATTTTGAATAACCACTTGCTTTTCTCTTTTGCTCTTTTGACCTTCTGATATGTATAACTAATTTCCTGTGTTGAATTCTCTCTGCTTGAAATGCCTAGAATAACTTATGTTATCTTGATTAAATATTGACTAATACAAGATCCTAGCACAGTGTCAATCCAAAATAATGAAAGATTTTATAGATGAAAGAATGAATAGATGAACAGATAAATGACAAATTAATGAGGATGTACTTAGTCTAAAATTAAGGCCTAGGTTTGGCAAAGAAGTCAGAAATTTACAATGACATCATAAGGTTGAAGAACAACTTCATTGAAAAATTAAAAATTTCCTAACATTCTTAAACAAAACATGGAATGACCAGAGCTTTATTTTCAGCATATTAAGCTACACAGGGGACTTTCTAATCCTCCATCATCATTCTCCAACAAATAAGAAAGGAGAAAATTAGTAATCAGTTTGAATTCAGGTATTAAAAATTACAAAGTACACCCTGTCTATTTTATGTTGGAAAATAAAAGTGCCAGTGGAAAGGTTCTATATTTTTTGTTTGTTTGTTCATTGTTGTTGTTGTTTTGTTTGTTTTTTAGAGGTGGTCTTGCTCTGCTGCCCAGGCTGGAGTGCAGTGGTGCAATCATAGCACACTGCAGCCTCTACCACCAAGGCTTAAGCAATCCTCCCACCAAACCCTTTCTAGTAGCTAGAACTACAGGTGCATGCCACCACACCCAGCTAATTTTTAAATTATTTTTAGAAATGAGGTCTCCCTGTGTTGCCCAGGGTGGTCTCAAACTCGTGGGCTCAAGCAATCTGCCTGTCTCACTCTCCCAAACTGCTGGGATTATAGGCATAAGCCAGTGAGACTGACCTATACTTTTCTTCATAAACTTCCTTAATCTGAGCACTTGCTTTAGCTCTATTTTCCTATAGACTTTGGAGGTCAAATCAGAGTTATCTGCAAACAGTTTTCATTTTGAATGAGGTCATAAAGTTTGAAATGCACAGAAAATCATGTATTGACTATATACAGCATTTGGGACTATTAGAGCTAAAGCAAATAGACTCTTCTTTTGCTATGGGACAATTTTGTCAGTAAGCTCCAGCAAGAAAAGATCAGACAGGGGAATTATAAGGACAGCTTGATTTCTTAGGGAGATCAATGAATATGACAGGTTAATAGACGGCATACAGCTGGTGTCAGGTTCAGAAGAAGTAACAAGGGACAAAGGAGAAGACAAGATGAGCGTTTATAGAACCAGAGTCCAGTTCTGTGTGGAAAATCAGAATGCCCTGGGGAAGAAAAGAGTGAGTGGTTATCATTCCTGGGATAAGCAGAGCAATCTAAACATCTTAGACATTCAGAGGGCCCCCTAGGAACGTAGCCACTTCCCCTCAAAGCCACAGGGATTTCTCTGAACAGCACTCTGTGTAGCGAAAACATAAGCCATGGTTTCTGGATTAGTCTCCTGAAGTGACACGCTACCCCAGGGAAGATAGGAAGTAGCTCACAGCTAGTGAAGGTCAGAGGCAGGGGAGACATTTTTTGTGTGTGGCTGTTTCCACCCATGAGACATAGTATGGCTGAGCAGGACAAAAAAAAAAAAAAAAAAAGGTCACAGAAGTCAAACACACCTGTGTCAAAATTCAGTGTCTACCATTTATTAACCAGTTAAGCAATTCAGCTTTTAGGAACCTGCTTCCATAGCTGTCAAATGAGAATAATGAGATCTACATTGACCGATCATTGAAGGTTTTAAATGAGATAATGATGAGATGATCTTGATGATGACAAAAGCAAACATTTGTGTAAAATTTACTATCAGACACTGTTCTAAGTGCTTTACACATGTCGAGTTATTTGAGAAACATAATGCTCATAAAGTGCCTGTATAATAATGGGCACATTGAGAGTGCCTAATAAATGGTAGTTGTCTTGCTGGTTGGTGGGGATAGTAGTAGTGCTATGATCATTTCTTCCCTTTGAGATCCAACCACTAAGGCCATTAGTGTATTAGACTGAGTATGCCATCTCAGGTTTGTGCCTAAAGAGATGCTAACTGAGGAAACAGAAGAACTATAAACAATCTAATGCAAATATATTTAAGGGAGATATTTGAAAAGACAATTTCACAGTAATTGTGGGTGCTGAATATATATTTGTCAGAGGGTCACATACACATGAAAATATTACAAATCCATAGAACATCAGACACAAGCAGATAAGTATCTGTATCAGAAAACATATACTATGATCGTTTTTTAAATTTAATTTAATTTTATTATTATTATACTTTAAGTTTTAGGGTACATGTGCACAATGTGCAGGTTAGTTACATATGTATACATGTGCCATGCTGGTGTGCTGCACCCATTAATTCATCACTTAGCATTAGGTATATCTCCTAAAGCTATCCCTCCCCCTCCCCCCACCCCACAACAGTCCCCAGAGTGTGATGTTCCCCTTCCTGTGTCCATGTGTTCTCATTGTTCAATTCCCATCTATGAGTGAGAATATGCAGTGTTTGGTTTTTTGTTCTTGCGATAGTTTACTGAGAATGATGATTTCCAATTTCACCCATGTCCCTACAAAGGACATGAACTCATCCTTTTTTATGGCTGCACAGTATTCCATGGTGTATATGTGCCACATTTTCTTAATCCAGTCTATCATTGTTGGACATTTGGGTTGGTTCCAAGTCTTTGCTATTGTGAATAGTGCCGCAATAAACATACATCTGCATGTGTCTTTATAGCAGCATGATTTATAGTCCTTTGGGTATATACCCAGTAATGGGATGGCTGGGTCAAATGGTATTTCTAGTTCTAGATCCCTGAGGAATCGCCACACTGACTTCCACAATGGCTGAACGAGTTTACAGTCCCACCAACAGTGAAAAAGTGTTCCTATTTCTCCACATCCTCTCCAGCACCTGTTGTTTCCTGACTTTTTAATGATTGCCATTCTAACTGGTGTGAGATGGTATCTCATTGTGGTTTTGATTTGCATTTCTCTGATAGCCAGTGATGGTGAGCATTCTTTCATGTGTCTTTTGGCTGCATAAATGTCTTCTTTTGAGAAGTGTCTGTTCATGTCCTTCACCCACTTTTTGATGGGGTTGTTTGTTTTTTTCTTGTAAATTTGTTTGAGTTCATTGTAGATTCTGGATATTAGCCCTTTGTCAGATGAGTAGGTTGCGAAAATTTTCTCCCATTTTGTAGGTTGCCTGTTCACTCTGATGGTAGTTTCTTTTGCTGTGCAGAAGCTCTCTAGTTTAATTAGATCCCATTTGTCAATTTTGGCTTTCGTTGCCATTGCTTTTAGTGTTTTAGACATGAAGTCCTTGCCCAGGCCTATGTCCTGAATGGTAATGCCTAGGTTTTCTTCTAGGGTTTTTATGGTTTTAGGTCTAATGTTTAAGTCTTTAATTCATCTTGAATTAATTTTTGTATAAGGTGTAAGTAAGGAAGGGATCCAGTTTCAGCTTTCTACATATGGCTAGCCAGTTTTCCCAGCACCATTTATTAAATAGGGAATCCTTTCCCCATTGCTTGTTTTTCTCAGGTTTGTCAAAGATCACAATAATAATGGGAGACTTTAACACCCCACTGTCAACATTAGACAGATCAACGAGACAGAAAGTTAACAAGGATACCCAGGAATTGAACTCAGCTCTGCACCAAGCAGACCTAATAGACATCTACAGAACTCTCCACCCCAAATCAACAGAATATACATTTTTTTTTCAGCACCACACCACACCTATTCCAAAATTGACCACATACGTGGAAGTAAAGCTCTCCTCAGCAAATGTAAAAGATCAGACATTATAACAAACTGTTTCTCAGACCACAGTGCAATCAAACTAGAACTCAGGATTAAGAAACTCACTCAAAACTGCTCAACTACATGGAAACTGAACAACCTGCTCCTGAATGACTACTGGGTACATAACGAAATGAAGGCAGAAATAAAGATGTTCTTTGAAACCAACGAGAACAAAGACACAACATACCAGAATCTCTGGGACACATTCAAAGCAGTGTGTAGAGGGAAATTTATAGCACTAAATCCCACAAGAGAAAGCAGGAAAGATCCAAAATTGACACCCTAGCATCACAATTAAAAGAACTAGAAAAGCAAGAGCAAACACATTGAAAAGCTAGCAGAAGGCAAGAAATAACTAAAATCAGAGCAGAACTGAAGGAAATAGAGACACAAAAAACCCTTCAAAAAATTAATGAATCCAGGAGCTGGTTTTTTGAAAGGATCAACAAAATTGATAGACCGCTAGCAAGACTAATAAAGAAGAAAAGAGAGAAGAATCAGATAGACGCAATAAAAAATGATAAAGGGGATATCACCACCAATCCCACAGAAATACAAACTACCATCAGAGAATACTACAAAAACCTCTATGCAAATAAACTAGAAAATCCAGAAGAAATGGATAAATTCCTCGACACATACACCCTCCCACGACTAAACCAGGAAGAAGTTGAATCTCTGAATAGACCAATAACAGGCTCTGAAATTGTGGCAATAATCAATAGCTTACCAACCAAAAAGAGTCCAGGACCAGATGGATTCACAGTCGAATTCTACCAGAGGTACAAGGAGGAACTGGTACCATTCCTTCTGCAACTATTTCAATCAATAGAAAAAGAGGGAATCCTCCCTAACTCATTTTATGAGGCCAGCATCATCCTGATACCAAAGCCGGGCAGAGACACAACAAAAAAAGAGAATTTTAGACCGATATCCTTGATGAACATTGATGCAAAAATCCTCAATAAAATACTGGCAAACCAAATCCAGCAGCGCATCAAAAAGCTTATCCACCATGATCAAGTGGGCTTCATCCCTGGGATGCAAGGCTGGTTCAATATACACAAATCAATAAACATAATCCAGCATATAAACAGAACCAAAGACAAAAACCACATGATTATCTCAATAGATGCAGAAAAGACCTTTGACAAAATTCAACAACCCTTCATGCTAAAAACTCAATAAATTAGGTATTGATGGGATGTATCTCAAAATAATAAGAGCTATCTATGACAAACCCACAGCCAATATCATACTGAATGGGCAAAAACTGGAAGCATTCCCTTTGAAAACTGGCACAAGACAGGGATGCCCTCTCTCACCACTCCTATTCAACATAGTGTTGGAAGTTCTGGCCAGGACAATTAGGCAGGAGAAGGAAATAAAGGGTATTCAATTAGGAAAAGAGGAAGTCAAATTGTCCCTGTTTGCAGATGACATGATTGTATATCTAGAAAACCCCATTGTCTCAGTCCAAAATCTCCTTAAGCTGATAAGCAACTTCAGCAAAGTCTCAGGATACAAAATCAATGTACAAAAATCACAAGCATTCTTATACACCAACAACAGACACACAGAGAGCAAAATCATGAGTGAACTCCCATTCACAATTGCTTCAAAGAGAATAAAATACGTAGGAATCCACCTTACAAGGGACGTGAAGGACCTCTTCAAGGAGAACTACAAACCACTGCTCAATGAAATAAAAGAGGATACAAACAAATGGAAGAACATTCCATGCTCATGGGTAGGAAGAATCAATATCGTGAAAATGGCCATACTGCCCAAGGTAATTTATAGATTCAATGCCATCCCCATCAAGCTACCAATGACTTTCTTCACAGAATTGGAAAAAACTACTTTAAAGTTCATATGGCACCAAAAAAGAGCCCGCATCACCAAGTCAATCCTAAGCCAAAAGAAAAAAGCTGGAGGCATCACGCTACCTGACTTCAAACTATATTACAAGGCTACAGTAACCAAAACAGCATGGTACTGGTACCAAAGCAGAGATATATATCAATGGAACAGAACAGAGCCCTCAGAAATAATGCCACATATCTACAACTATGATCATTTTATACATAATTTTAAAAATCACATATAAAAATATTTGCAAAAATAATGAAAGAGTAGTGGCAAGTGCATTGGCATTAGAATCAGACTTTTAACCTGACAAGTTACTTATCTTAAGTTTCATGTTCTTGTCTGCTAAATGGGGATATTAACACCTGCCTCACAGAATTGGATCTGTTAAATGAAGTAATGTATGTGAAATGCATATTGTGCTAGTCTCTTCAAAGAAGTTGCTCAATAAATGTTAGCCCTTTCTCCAACTTAAAAGCTATAAGTTCTTCAATATTAATAGCTGGATAAAATGTGTCCTATTGTTTGGATTAAAAATATTAATTTGTAGACACCTCATGGTACCAAATAAGATCAACTTCATAGCTCTTGTGGAGTAAGGTACAAGAAATATTGGAATTTTTTATTATGTGAATAATGATCATTATAATTTGATAAATTATAATAAAAACAGTAAGAATCCATAATCAACTTTTCTTATCAATTCTTTATAGAGTACAGAATGTTTTTAAATGGTGATCTTTAATGGGCTTGATAGGAAAATGGAAAAATAAAAATTAAAAACTAGACCACAATACAATGTTTTGAGAATAATCTTTAGGAATGAATTAACTGCCTTAGGAAACCAAGGAAACAGAAAACTCTAGAAGAGGACATTTTATATAGGTAATAAAATATGCCACTTTTTCACATCCATAAGCGAAACTTTGTAATATGCATAAACTATGGAAAATCAACTGCTATAAAAATAAAATTATGAATAAGAACTAATAAGATTCATGGATGTATTACATCAAGATTCCATTGGATATTGACATTATGTCTTCATTATTCAAAAAGAATTTCAAATAACTGCTGAAATTCAGTGGTTGGTGCTTTGGGAAGGGATGGTGTACATTGTTTCTAAACATGCAGTGTAAAGTGGTGTATTAGGAGACTTTGATTTAATATCCAGCCATCACCCAATTTCATCTGAAGCCATTCCCTTATATCTACACCAGTTATTGCAGATAGAGCACCAGAGTGAAAGCAGAAAGGCTGCCTGTAGGGTGTCAGCCACAATAGTAACAGAAGAGCTTTTCTAAGGTTTCTCTCTAGTTATCAAGAAGCAGTTTGCTGTGCAACACAAGAACCTACTATTTGCTTTTCTCTGCTCTCAACACCCTTGATTAGTTGTGCTGCAAAGCTGTAGGATATCGTCCCAGGTGAAATAGGTATGTTTCAAGCCTGTCTCTTCCCAACTTCCTAAGCTTTCTAAGTTGCCTGATTTGAAATTGCTCAAAGTGATACAGGTGTCTACATCCACCCACTGATTTTATTAAAAAAAATTAAAAACTTTCATTCCATTGAAGAACAAAATGTCTCCCATTTTTCTAATATGTTTGCAGTGAATCATTTTAAAGAGCGAATGCTTTCTCTAGATCTTTCCATGTAGCAATAACCATACTAAATACAATTTTATATTGTTTTGTTTCTTGAGTGAAGAGAGAATGCTTCAACCTACCTTTAGGTATTTATACCTGATAAGTCTAGCTATAAAGTAGAAATCTCCCTGTAACTCCCTTCACTTTTTCCCACATGAGCTATTTATTAAGCTGTTACTATGTGCTCAGACTGCCAAGCACTAAATGATTGAAACAATTAAAATCCATCCCATTTCCCAAATGCCTATAAAAAGTAAATGAAAACATGTAGAAGCTGTAAGAAAATAATTAAGTGATTAATACTTTTTTCAATCATAAATCAAACAGCCAGCACATTTATTGATCATATATGAGGCAAAATGATATATTTATTAGAAGGAAACCTAGCACAATTTCTCTCTCTCACACAGCCTTCCATAGACCCAGACTCTCCTTCTCTCTCTCTCTCTCACACACACACACACACACACACACACACACACACACAATCTGAGGTCAAAGAAACAGATTTAAATCCAGGCTCTGAGAATATACCAGCTCCAAAATAAAACAATTTATTTAATCTTTTTCAGCTTTGATTATCTCATTTACAAAATGAGGATAGTAAAATCATGAGATATTAATAAAATCTATCAAGGATAAAATATATATATGAGATCACATGCCCGCCCATAACAAATGTTCAGGGAATACTAGTTTCTTTCTCCATGTGCAGAGCTCTGCTATGGTTTGGGGAAGGATGTGTGACATCCTAAAGGGACTTGCAAAGTATCTGGTATATTTTGACCCTCAAAGAACTTCCACTTCAGTAGAGCATGAAAGGTATTTATTCACAGAAAGGTAATTCATAATATTTTAGTAAGCAGAGATTTATAGTAAGATGCCCACAGAATTTTAACGCAATTTTGTGTCTGAAATTAAACTCGTAAAATTGAACCCCTAATTGATGAGAAGTACCATATATTGAGGAGACCCATACTAACAAGTATCCACAAATGCAAGTCTCTGGAGGCTTGAGGAAATCCAATTTCAATTAAGCTTGCAGGGCATAATTTGCAGTGGTAATGAGATAGATGTCCAGGAAGCCGTGAGTAGCAGACATTGTTCTGGTCAGTCAATTCAACAGGTATTGTGTCAGGAATTGGTTCCTTCCAGTGGGTTCTTGGTCTCGCTGCCTTCAAGAAAGAAGCCGCAGACCCTCATGGTGAGTGTTGCAGTTCTTAAAGATGGTGTGTCCAGAGTTTGTTCCTTCTGATGTTCAGATATGTCTGGAGTTTCTTCCTTCTGGTGGGTTTGTGGTCTTGCTGACTTCAGGAGTGAAGCTGCAGACCTTCACAGTGAGTGTTACAGCTCTTAAAGGTGGTGCGTCTGGAGTTCTTCATTCCTCCTGGTGGGTTCGTGGTTTCTCTGACTTCAGGAGTGAAGCCACAGACCTTCGCAGCAAGTGTTACAGCTCATAAAGGTAGTGCGGACCCAAAGAGTGAGCAGCAGATTGATTTATTGCGAAGAGTGAAAGAACAACGCTTCCACAGCATGGAAGGGTACCCTAGCGGGTTGCCCCTGCTAGCTGGGTGGCCAGCTTTTATTCCCTTATTTGGCCCCGCCCACATCCTACTGATTGGTCCATTTTTACAGAGAGCTGATTGGAGCATTTACAAACCTTTAGCTAGACACAGAGCACTGATTGGTGCATTTACAATCCTTTAGCTAGACAGAAAAGTTCTCCAGGTCCCCACCTGATTAGCTAGACACAGAGCGCTGATTGGTGCATTTTTACAGAGTGCTGATTGGTGTGTTTACAAACCTTTAGCTAGACACAGAGTGCTGATTGGTGCATTTACAATCCTTTAGCTAGACAGAAAAGTTCTCCAAGTCCCCACCCCACCCAGAAGCCCAGCCGGCTTCACCACTCAGTATGACACTTAACCTTAACTTACTTTGCTCTAATACAAGCTCACAAACAGTATTTTGATCATAATATGATTTCTCATGTAGGCTTTTATCCCAGGGAGAGGATTTACCAACCAATGGAAATGAAAGTTTCTTTCTGTTTGGAAGTTCTGTTTTTATTTTAAACTTTTTCCCTGTAAATTAATAATCACAAATTTTCCATGAGTTTGTTTAACCATAATTATTCCCCTTGAGACCAGCCATCTCTAGGTACAAAAGCAAAACAGAACAAAGTTCTGGGCAACCAAGCTGTGACCAAATCCTGGTTCATATAAAGCTGCATGCTTTTTCTAGTTTCAACAAATACTAGGCAGTATGGTTAATGTTCTAGATTAGTGCCACAAAATTAAAATCCAAACAAAAAAAAAAAAACAGAGTAGAAAGGAATATCCTTTTTTATGTTTAAATCATTGAAAATGTAAAATAGCAGATAAAACCTCAAATACCACAGCAATGGTTCTCTGCTGTGGTTACACAGTAGGACTACCTGTTTTTTGGTTTTGTATACACACACGCACACACACATATACCACAATGACTACATCCTAACGGACCCATAAATTTAAACCTTTGTGAGCAAGACCCAGTATTAAGATATGGGTTCCTATACTTTAGAAAATTCTTCAAGTGACTCTAGTGTAGGTAAGGTTTATGAATTCATAAATGTAAACAATTAATATAAATGAGTAAATAAAGCAGGCTAGGTGGGAATTATAGGTAATTGGAGACTGTAAAACCAACTTGAAAAGGCAGTCCAGGCCGGGTGCAGTGGCTCATGCCTGTAATCCCGGCACTTTGGGAGGCCGAGGCGGGCAGATCACGAGGTCAGGAGATCGAGACAATCCTGGCTAACACGGTAAAACCCCGTCTCTACTAAAAATACAAAAAATTAGCCGGGCGTGGTGGCAGGCGCCTGTAGTCCCAGCTACTCGGGAGGCTGAGGCAGGAGAATGGCGTGAACCTGGGAGGCGGAGCTTGCAGTGAGCAGAGATCACGCCAATGCACTCCAGCCTGGGCAACAGAGCAAGACTCCGTCTCAAAAAAAAAAAAGAAAAGGCAGTCCATACTTCTCTAAAGTTCACTGTTCCTATGTGGAATCATAGATTCACTGTCAATGGATCACTGGCATGTTTAAGAAAATTCAGAAATCTGGAATTTTTTACCATTTTCCCAATTTTTAACTGTTGACAACAAATACAAAATTTTGAGTATTATTCTGTAAGTCTCACAAAACATCTTCAGGCTACAAGTTTGTGTCCTCTGATGGTAGAGTAAGAAAGGCTATGTGACATGCAAAGCCAACAGAGAATTTAAATAAACCAAGTCCTTTGAACAAGAAAAAATTAACACCATGATTTGGTTGTTTGACATCCTACAGATAAAGAAGACAACCAATATAAAGTATTGTTTTCCTACTAGTATTTTCTTGACTTTATGCAAGAATGTAAGTGTCTTGAAGACAGAAACTGGATTTCATTTCTTTATGTCGGCTTTACTTCCCTAGCTGTGAACACATCCTTGAGCACTTACAAATCCTGTAGCATGTGATCATTGTAATGTACGAAATGCTTTAAATGCAGACTAAGCCAGTCTTTTTCATGTTGATTCAGAAAAAAAAAAATGTGTGGTGAATTGAGCAAGTATCCAGGGAATGTAATTAATGGTCAAAACCAGTTTGTTCATTGCAATGTCTAATCTCTCTGTCTCCCCTTCTGTCTCTCCCTCTTCCTTCACTGTCTCTCTCGCTCTCTTTCTCAAAAACTGGAATCCACCTAGTCTTGGAAATGGCACTTTCTATATAAAAATAACCTATGGAAACTGAGGGGAGTCACTTTTCTTAAGACTAACAATGAACAACCATAGAAAGGCTGAAATATCGACCACGAAAGATTTTAATTACACTGATACTGATTGGGATAATGACAATTTCATTATAAAAAATAATAAAAGTTCTATCCTCATGCCACATTATTTTCTTTTTCTAAGAGTTTTTTGGCTAGTCTTTATGAAAAGACAAGGCTTTAAAAAATTTTTTTTGTTTTTCATTCATGTTTTCTCCTGGAACTTTTCCTAAAAATTCAGCCAAGTATGATAAATCAGATTAAAGCTTAGGAGCATCTCGAATCTAGTTATCAATTTATTATTTGATTTGAAATGCTCAAAAGAGTACACTGCTTATGAAGAGAAACAATGCAAGCATTTTTGACTTTGGAAGAAAGGCTTTGAAAGAATGCAGTGTCCTGAGAAATGTTGATTGGAATTCTATAAGGTATGAGAAATCTACTTCACAGAAGTAAGAAACTGAGTATTTAGGAGACAATAGGAAAGGCTAGCATTGAAATTCAACTGAGACAAGTAGTAATCACAGCTCTGAATTTAGAATCAAAGAGTTGAATATGAAATAAAATATAAAACACTCACTAAAAGACTGTTAAAGGCAGTGCTTGTAGTTGAGGGGCCTTAAAAAAATCCTAGTGTCCGTGAGAGTTTATTTTAAAATACATAAAACATTACTTACTTTGAATGTGCAATAAGGTAATTTATTGTATTGTGGTATTGGAGAATATAAATACATAGCCTCTGATTAAACACTTCTTCTGTGAAATTTATTTGCTCCAAAGAAATAAATATAGACAACTTGGATCTTTAAAACGATGATACTTTCCTTAGACATTTTTCATTACTATAAGTAACAACCTTCATTATAAGAAAAAAGTATTTAACTTGGTTAATTTGATTATTTGTAATAATTAGATGGAATTGGAATAATTTTGCTATGTAGGGATTCGGTTTTATTGGCATTTGTTAGAAGGGAATTGATCCCTGTGAGATATATAAAATCAGAAGATTATAATACAAACATAATTACATAGTTGTATATGACAAAACATGGAGAAGAACATAAAACATTTTAATATATGAGGGTTCACAGCCTGCCTTCCCTGTTTAGTCCTTGCCTGCTTTTAAATCTCATTACATTCTGTTCCTTTATTTTGTTTTTATTTTATCCCTTTAATCACTTTAAGCATAAGTATTTTATAATATCTTTCATATTTTTCCCCCGAGTTCTTGCTAGGTAACTTCTGGCTCTCTGTAGTGAATCATTTCCTCCTGTGGTTTGTAATTTTTACCAGGGATTATTTTAACTCTGGGAGTTCTATGTAGTCTGGGTTGTATAAGATTCCCTATGGAGTGATGATGTGTTTGCTTCTACAGAAAAATCCATAGGTTTTATCAGTATGGGACTAATTTTTACAATTAATTTCTTGGCCTGAAGATTTTCACACCATGCCAAAAATATAAATTTGGTCGCATAATCCAAACATGTTACAACTTGTGGCTTTGATTACTTATGGGAGACTCACCCCACCTCCAGGACTTTAAGCAGAATGTACAGAATTTCACTGACCAGGCAGTGCTTCCAGGGTCCTGCTTTATGCCTAAGTCTCAATGCCAGCTCCCCACTTTCTACAAGCGAATGTTCCTATCTCTTGTCCCAATATGGATATAAGAACCTCAGCCCTTGACCTTAGGCCATATGACCAGCAGTTCTGGACCCCAGTGTGCTGTGACACCAGCATGGATGCTTACTGCTCTGGCTTTAATCTCTGACGTGGATATTTATGTTTTCTTTTCTTTTTTTTTCTTTTCTTTTTTTTTTAGCTCAGTGTTCAGGTATTTAAGTTTTGTTGTATTTCATTTTGTTTCTATGGACTTACATTTTTTATTTCTAATAGTAAGAGGTCAATGTTACATCAGTCTTCCATGTTGCTAAAATCAGAAGTCTTCTCCTCACTCTCTAATAATGGGGGAGGACAGATTTTCCACATACATACACACACAAAGAAATAAAATAAAAGAAAGAAAGGTCAAGAGGAAAAAAATTCCTCAAAAAATTTTTTTGATTTGCATTTCTCTGATGGCCAGTGATGATGAGCATGTTTTCATGTGTCTTTTGGCTGCATAAATGTCTGCTTTTGAGAAGTGTCTGTTCATATCCTTCGCCCACTTGTTGATGGGGTTGTTTGTTTTTTTCTTGTAATAAAAAAAAATTTTTAAGTTACTATGAAATATTTAAAGCCCTTTAAAATTATTTTAAAAAACATGAATATGAGGCCAGGTGCAGTGGCTCATGTCTGTAATTCCAGCACTTTGGGAGGCTGAGGCTGGCAGATCACTTGAGGTCAGGAGTTCAAGACCAGCCTGGCCAACATTGTAAAACTCCATCTCTACTTAAAAAAAAAAAAACTTAGCAGGATGTGGTGGCTGGAACACACCTGTAATCTCAGCTATTCAGGAGACTGAAACCGGAGAATTGCTTGAACCCAGGAGGCAGAGGTTTCAGTGAGTTGAGATCCTGCCACTGCACTCCACCCTGGGTAACAGAGAAAGATTCCGTCTCAAGAAAAAAAAAAGAAAAATGAAAGAAAGAAAAGAAATAAAGAAAAAGAAAATATGAGTATGAGAAAATCTTATCTTGAAAAGACTTATATAAAGAAAGTAGTACCAGTCATATATCTAACATGTTTTTCTTCCACCAAGAAAGTGGAAGCACATTGGTGTTCCTGGAATGTGACAAATGGGAATTATTGATATAACTTAGTCCAATCCAAAATTTGAACGACAGTGAGACAGTTTCATCAATGTTACCAAGTACCTATTCTATATCTCTTAACCCAACAGAGACCAGAATGCCAAAATGAACTGGGGTGGTGTGGTGGAAGCAAAGGGATATAGGGCAGTGAAGAATCACAGAGCAGTAGATGCAGATTCAGTTCTTTCCTTTATAGAAGCTTTTAGGGAGTAGCAGCTGCAATCAACCACCACCAAATATGCCTAAGAAGCATTCCATCCATGCCAGAACTATACAAAGGTAATAGCAACAAACCAAAAAGTCAGGCAGATAAGAAAGCCAGATTCTGATATCAGAGATGAATGACAAAGCAGGGAACAGCGAGGCATAAGGAGTGCATCCAGAAGGCAAATCTGTTCTGACAGCTTATTTGCAATAGTGAACAATTCCTGAAGTTCTAATCCAACCTCTGGGTTAGAATGCCTAGGATGGAAAATGCCTGATCCTTGGACATAGCCATAACTTACCTCAACAACACATATTCTACTGTTTTCACAAGAGTACCATCAAAGTACATGCACCCAAAAAATGGGGATATATGCACCCCAAAAATGAGGAGTATATGCACCCAAACCATATCTGCAGGGGTTTCGTCCTACGCAGGATAGGAAGTCTCTTTGCCTAATATTGACAAAAGAGAAAAGAGCTTCTATCCAGCCTTTTTTTAAAAATAAATATTAACTATATTGCTTCTAGTAATCATACATATGTGTGTAACTCTTGCTGTATGTATAAATAAATTAACATGTTCATATCAACGTTTAAAGCCAGAAGATGCTTTGCGGAGCATACTATCAAATACCTGCACTTGGAGAGAGGAAATTCTGGTCCAAAAATTGATATGGCTTAGTCAAATTTGTACTGCCAGGCAATAAGCATGGCAAATATGGCAGAGAAAATATGAGAGGCAAGTGTTCTGACTCTCAATTCAGTAGTCTTTCCAGAAGGGCAACATTGTTATACAGATTTACCCTACTGGTAAAGAGAGTTGAGTTAATTATAATCCTCATAATCCTCAACTATTGGCATGCTGTCATCCTTAGTCCGTATAAGGCTCTAAGTAATTTTAAAAATTTTTCTTTCATTTTTTCCTTCATCTTTGACCCCCATTCAATTTCCCCTATTCCACAGAAAAATCCATTCAAATGTGACCAATGTGTGACTTTTGATATGTAAATTTCCTTCGCACATTGTATGTCTGTTTGTAAGTGTGCATCAATTTGTTTTTAATTTACCTAAGTGGTATTCATATAGTTCTAGTTCTTACTCCTCTTCCTAGAATCTACATTTTAAGAATTGAGCATGGTGTTGCACACACAGCCAGTTCATTGGTTCTTTTTTTTTTTTATTTTTACTTTAAGTTCTGGGACACATATGCAGAAAGTGCAGGTTTGTTACATACGTATACACGTGCCATGGTGGTTTGCTGCACCTATCAACCCATCATCTAGGTTTTAAGCCCCACATGCATTAGGTATTTGTGCTAATGCTCTCCCTCCCCTTTCACCGTATCCCCAGACAGGGTCCGATGTGTGATGTTCCCCTCCCTATGTCCATGTGTTCTCATTGTTCAACTCCCACTTATAAGTGAGAACATGCAGTGTTTGGTTTTCTGTTCCTGTGTCAGTTTGCTGAGGATGATGGTTCCCAGCTTCATCCATGTCCCTGCAAAGGACAGGAACTCATTCTTTTTTATGGCTACATAGTATTCCATGGTGTATATGTGCCATATTTTCTTTATCCAGTCTTTCATTGATGGGCATTTGGGTTGGTTTCAAGTCTTTGCTATATATACTAGTGCTGCAATAAACATACATGTGCATGTGCCTTTATAGTAATCATTGCATAGTAGTCCATAGTAAATATCTATCACATTTTAGTTATTCATTCTCCTGATGATAGAACCTAACAACTTAGAGATGATTTTTTTAGGTTACTATCTCTTTTTTGCTGAAATTCAATCAGTACAATCTACAGCCATACTTTATGGTTCAATAGGCTGTTTTTTGTATGTTGGTGTTGTTATTCTGGATGATGTATCAAGTAGATGTCTTATGGGCTTCGTGTCTTTAATTTATGGACTCTTTCATTCACTATGTCATTTCTTAAATATACTACTAATAGATAATAGCATGGAAAAATGTCAGTGGTTATAGGAATTAGTGATATGTACATATCATTACCAAGATGAGTGGCATGCAGATTTTCTGTAAGATTATAACATGTTCTCAAGTAAATTTATCTGTGGCAGTTAGCACTAAAATTATTGGTTCACAATAGAAAATGGCTTTATAATGTGTAGAAATATCATTTGTCCATTAAAATTCTAAAAATACAAATCAATTATTCTCTTCATCACTTTAGTCACAAGTAAATAGTAAGAAAGTATTCACAGTACAATGTGTGGGAGCAAATATTCAAAGCAAACAACAAACTAGTGATCCAATATCCCAAAGACTAAATGTTGCCAAATGTTACTGACATGAAAAGAAGAAAGTTTGATTCTAATAGTTAGGATATTTATTCAAATCTGATTATGTATTTGGTTCAATATGCACAATGAATTTTTACTGATAATTTTAAGCTGCAACTTAGAGAGGAAATGATAGGACATCAGGCATGCAAAAGATTGAATGAATGGAGACTCTAGACAAGCAACCCAGCATGGCAAGCTAAGAATTATTTCATACATATTTAAGAGCTACATTAAAATGCAGCATGAACCACAAGCAGTACTGTCAGGAAAGCTTAGTTCAAAATGGAACACCTTGTTTGATTGATGTATGACTTTATGTTAGTCATCCAACCTCTCAAGAATATTCTGTTCCTCTATTAAAAGAGATAAGGAACATGTCCCACCCCACAGAACATGTTTTGATCATAAAATTCAGTGACATTAAAGCACTTAGAATAAAAATGAACATAAGTATTTTAATATTCACGTAGAATGATTCACAACTGAAGCCGATGTGCTGACCGCCAAGAAGGAAATGTGAATAATATGAAAACTGATGCTATAGGCTTTTGAGAATTTTCCCTTGCAGTTAAATCTCTTTTTATTGTAGTTGATGTGCTATATCTTGGGAATAATTTAGGATAGAAGAGTATTTAAAGACCAAGGAAAATTATTTAACAATATTATTAGGTTAATACACACTGGGTCATCAACCAAGAAGTGTTATTGGGTACAATTAAAATATGAACTACTACATACAAAGGAGTGAGAAAGTTCCCACTGAAGCTTACATGAGGGATAGAGTGATCTAAAGCTGTCTATACAATGAAGGTATTTCCATACCACCCACTCTACAAAACAGGTATACACACACACGCTTGTACACATGCACACACACACACACACACACACACAAATCAGGAAATAAAAATAAGTACAAAAATTACCTTGAAAGAGCTGAGGTAAAAATGACAACAATGAAAACGATGCAAAGAAAGGTAAGAGGCTTCGAGGACAGATCCAGTATACATTTAGAAAGAATTTCAAAATAAAAGCAAGATGCAATGAAAATGTAAATAACACAAGAAAAACTATCTACCAGTAAAAGTAAAAATTGAGTTTGCAAATTTAAAAGGAACTTTCCTAGCAGAATTCAAGACAGAATACTTATTTCTAGATCTACCTTGGTAAACTTATTATCATAAAGATTAAAAATCCAAAACAATCGTGAAGGTAAGAAAAAGTAAACACATTTACCTACTAAACAATAAGTAGGTAAAAATTAGGGTAAAAAGAGAAGGAAGAAAGCATAAGTAGTTCTCATCTTATATCGAATAGATTAAATAGCAACTCCACTCTATAATAAGATAAACAGATTCAGAAAAGTTTTTTTTTTTTACTTAAAGGTAATAAACAGAAGAAAAAGAGGGTGCATGCCTTCCACATCACTAATGAAGAAAAGGGAAAACAAATGTCAAAAAAAGAAAGTATAAAAGCAAAAAATGGGAGAAATGGAAGAAAATATCACAATTGCATCATGTTGTTCCCCTACAATACTGGAACTTAGAAAAAAGTAGAAGAGCAGGTATGAATTGAGAAAGAAGACATTGCAACTCAAGGATCCTCTGTCAAACCTAGATATCATTTAACTACAAAGACTCAAGAAAGCTATTCAAGGATAAATAGATTATTAGATAGATAGGTAGTTAGGTACATAAGTTGGTAGGTCGGTAGATAGACAAATAGATTATGTGGTTCATATAGGAGTATATTTGTGTAGGGAGCAGGAAAGAAGAAAAAATACATCTTTTAAAAATGCATGTATATAATTACAGTTATTTATGGCAAGTTATATTTGTGTACACATGTATAAATCTACATATAAAATCCTAAATCAAAAGATATTTTTGGAACTGTATCCTCATCTCTCACCTTCTAAAAAAATCAACTCAAGATGGATGAAGAACTTAAATCTAAGTTCTGAAACTATAAAAATTCTAGAAGATAACATCAGAAAAACTTTTCTAGACATTGGCTTCGACAAAGACTTCATGACCAAGAACCCAAAAGCAAATGCAACAAAAACAGGGATGAATAGGTGGGACTTAATTAAACTAAAGGGTTTCTGCACAGCAATTGAACAGTCAGCAGAGTAAACAGACAACCCACAAAGTGGGAGAATATCTTCACAATCTATACATCTGACAAAAGACTAATATCCAGAATCTACAAGGAGTTTTAAAAAATTAGCAAGAAAAAGCAAATAATCCCATCAAAAAGTGGGCTAAGGACATGAATAGACAATTCTTAAAAGAAAATATACAAATGACCAACAAATATGTGAAGAAGTGCTCAACATCACTAATGATCAGGGAAATGCAAATCAAAACCACAATGTGATAGCACTTACCCCTGCAAAAATGACCATAATCAAAAAATGAAAAAAGAATAGATGTTAGCATAGACGTGATAAAACGGGAACACTTCTACACTGCTGGTGGGAATGTAAACTAGTACAACCACTACAGAAAACAGTGTGGAGATTCTGTAAAGAACTAAAGGTAGAACTACCATTTGATCCAGCAATCCCACTACTGGGTATCTACCCAGCAGAAAAGAAGTCATTATACAAAAAAGATACTTGCACACACATGTTTATAGCAGCACAATTTGCAATTGCAAAAACATGGAACCATCCCAAATGTTCATCAATCAAAAAGTGGCTAAAGAAATTGTGATATATGGAATACTGCTCAGCCATAAAAAGAAATGAATTAATGGCACTCACAGCAACCTGTATGGAACTGGAGACTATTATTCTAAGTGAAGTAACACAGGAAAGGAAAACCAAACGTAAGTTTTTCACTCATAAATGTGAGCTAAGCTATGAGGATGCAACAGCATAAGAGTGATACAATGGACTTTGGGAACTAAGGGGAAAGCATGGGAGGGGGTTAGGGATAAAAGACTACAAACTGGGTGCAATGTATACTGCTCGGGTGATGGGTGCACCAAAATCTCACAAATCACCACTAAAGAACTTACTCATGTAATAAAATACCATGTGTTCCCCAAGAACCTATGGCAATAAAAAATTTTTAAAAAAATTAAATGGAAAAAAAGATATTTTTATAGAAAAAATGAATTCCTAAAATTGACTTAAGAAATAGAAAATATTAATAGGTCAATAAATAAGAAATAAACTGAAAGATGTTTTAGAAGTATTTATAGGAAAAGATGTCAAAATACAAAAAACTAAAATTCTAAAAATTCCAGAAGGAAAATACAGGAGATCGGCAGAGCATCCTTGTGATAAGACACAAAAAAATACTGACTAAACAGAAAAAAAATACAAATTACAATTCTTCAAATTAAAAACTGCAGTTCATCAGAAGACACTAGTAAGAAAATGGAAATAGAAGTATCTGAAAAAGAACATGTAGTCAGAATACACAGAGGACACAATTAGATCAATGATAATTTAAAATAACAATAAATGGGAAAATACTTGAAAAGATACTTCACAAAAGGAGATTAATAAATGTCCAACTAGTATATAAAAGATGGTCAGCATCATAAGGCAACAGAAAAATGCAAATTAAGACCACGAAGGAGATTTTATTTCACACCACTAGAATAACAGGGAAAAAAAGACAATATGAAGTATTGATGATGAGTGTAATAACTGTCATTCTTACTCATTGCTAGTAGTAATGTAAAATGGCACAACCACTTTGGAAAATGTTTGGCCATTTCTTTTATTTTTTTCTTTCTTTCTTTTTTTTTTTTTTTTTTTTTTGAGATGGAGTCTCGCTCTGTCACCAGGCTGGAGTGCAGTGGCATGATCTCAGCTCACTGCAACCTCTGCCTCTCAGATTCAAGTAATTCTCCTGCCTCAGCCTCCCTAGTGGCTGGGACTACAGGCGCATGCCACCATGCCCAGCTAATTTTTTTTGTATTTTTAGTAGAGATAGGGTTTCGCCATGTTGGCCAGGATGGTCTCAATCTCTTGACCTCATCACCCTCCCACCTCAGCCTCCCAAAGTGCTGGGATTACAGGCGTGAGCCACCGCGCCCAGCCATGTTTGGCCATTTCTTGCAAAGCTTCAGGTATCAGCCAGTAACCGTACTTTCAGGTATATATCAAAGATAAATAAAAGTATATTTCTATAAAAATGGCTGAACACAAATATACACACTGCTTCATTAACACTTGACAAATAAATATCTATTAACTCATGAATATATAAAAGAAATGATCACCAAAATAACCAACGGCTTGAAAGAATCTCAAAATCATTACACTAAGTGAAAAAAGTCTCAACACAAAAGACCATATACTTACTAATTTTATTCATATGAAGTTCAAGGACTGACAAAATTTTTGACAGAAATGAGAATAATGATTTCCTTTGGAGTGGTTACTAGAAAGGAGAATGAAGAAATCCCTTGGGATGGCAGACACGTTCCACTAGATGGCAGGTTCAAAAATTTATTTATTTGACTAAAGTCAACAAACATTTTACTTAAGATCTGACATGTTGCTGTGTATAAGTTACACTTCAATAAAACTGAGTTTAAGAAGAAGATCATATATAAAAATATGAATGAATAAAATTGGCACACATAAGAATATGAATGAGTAAAATCAGCATATAATATTAATGCTGGAAGAAAAATTAGAGAACATTTTGCAGTTAAGAAAATTGAATCTGCAAGAATTAAGATTAATAATAGTTTTAGTTATCATTTATTAAGAACCTTATCTGTGCCAAGGGCTGTTTAATGCTCTTTTCAACATGATCCATTTTAATCCTAATAATAACACTATTGATTCTGTTTCTCATTCTTTTCTACCAGAATTTTGTTTTTGTGTAAGTTCCCAGCCCTTTCCCACTGAGCCAGGTGCCTCAGGAAATCCTGCCCTAATCTTCAGCTCCACTGGTGGCTCAAGTTCTACTTGATTCTCCTTGAAAATGATCCATTCAGGAATGGTCAAGTTGTCAAATCTGACCAATGAGATGTAAGGGAAAATCTAATGAGATGCTCTTGAGAAATTGTCTTCACTGTAAAGCAAGCCACATGAAATTATCATTTCTCTTCTTCCTCTTGACATTGTTATGTCTGGATGCATGCCATCTTGAAGTCATCGAAGTGCCATCTTGAAGCTATTGTGTGGTTATTCATACCTAAAAACAGCCTAGGTGACATAGTTATTATTAATCTCTTTTTACAAAATAAAGAAATTGACACTCAGAGTTTTGACAACTTCCCTGAGGTGACATTTTAAGTAAGTGATAAAATCATAATATATCTCTGAATCTATCTCATTCTGAAATTAATGTTCACTCTAACACCCTTATTGTCTCTAGCCAAGTTTATGGTTAGAGCTAATATTAAATTTATGTTTATAAAGCTTTATAAATTCTAGTCCATTGTTTATTCTACTACATCATCATGTAAAATACCCAGGGACACAGACAAACCATATCACAAGGTAAGCCCAAATACAGTTTGGGTAAGAACAGGCTTACTTTATGATATGGTTTGGCTGTGCCCCTACCCAAATCTCATCTTGAAACATAGCTCCCATAATCCCCACGTGTCATGGGAGGGACTCAGTGGGAAATAATTGGATCATGGGGTGGGTCTTTTCCCATGATGTTCTTGTGATAGTGAGTAAGTCTCACAAGATCTGATGGTTTTATAAAGGGCACTTCCCCTGCCACACACTCTCTTGCCTGCCACCCTGTAAGATGTGCCTTTGCTCCTCCTTCATCTTCCACCATGATTGTGAGGTCTCCCCAGCCATGTGAAACTGTGAATCCATTAAACGTCTTTTTCTTTATAAATTGTCCAGTCTCAGGTATGTCTCTTTCAGCAAAATGAGAACAGACTAATACATTTTGCCACTGCTTTTCTTGTCTTCTCTAGACTATTTCTTATGATCTCTCTTTGCATTATTGGCAAGACTCAAGTTAAATGCTACCTCTGGTAAATCTTTCTTGACTTCTGCAGACTCTATCCAGCTTCCCTTCTTTTGTCTTCCTTAACACCAAACATACATCTTCCCTTGTGAGCGTCTGTTCTAGTGCTCTCTTGTTTCAACATAGTGCCATGCCTGGTGCATCATAAATGATTAATGAAAAGGGAGAAGTCCTTGAATGAACTGTTGGATGAGTGAGTAAATGAATGAATGGTGGTAGATGCATCACCCTATAGTCAAGCTCTATTGAAACTCCAAAAGAACAAATTGCCATTGTTATGCCCACATTCTCTGAGTCTCAAAGACATTTGATTCCTCTCCTACTACATGTGCATCCTGCCTGGCATCCCCCTAATGTTTTTTTGCATTGTTATAGTACTTAGCAGCTACACTTCAATAAGCAATACTTGTTTACAAAGCTTGATATTGTTTACTAACCATTCACCAACTGCAAATCTAGCTTTCTCAAAAAGATTGCAATTCTGAGATGAGAAACTGGAGTGCATAGTCTCTGGCATTTGCTTTCCTTGAGAGTCTATTTCTATGTGTCTCTTCTAGGACCAAGACATGCATTATCTTATATGGTATCTATCAAGGTGCTTGGCATAGTAAGTATTAGCTGATCATTTGAATATCTGGATGAGCGTGCCATCAAATGTGGGATACTGGCTATCACGCTAGTAGGGCATTATTAGAAGAGGGAGCAATGCTCATGTTGTTATATCGTGACATTTTTAATACCTCAGAAAAGTCATACTCTGATTATTAAAATTATGAGAGAGGAAGGAGAAAAACAATATGCCCAGTTGGGCTCATTGTGCCAGTGTGAAGCAGGGATAAAAGAATATATGTATTAAGATACAAATCCATGCATAATTCTCCAGAGACACCAGAAAATAGCAGCATTTAAAGTGACCTATAAGATAAATTTGACTAAAGAACATAAATAATTTAGGTAGAATATTTGAAAGTGATAACATGTTTTCCACATCCCCATGCTCCAGCGAATAGTTAAATGAGGGGGTCAGAAAACTATGTCTCATAAGCCAGCTATTTTTTTAATGAAGAGTTATTGAAAAATACATATACTCAGTTGTCTGTAAGTTGTGTATGGCTGCATTTGAGCTACCATGGCAGAACTGAGTAGTTGTAACAGAGACCATATGTCCTGCAAGCCTAAATATTTAATATCTAGCTCTTTAAGAAAAAGTTTGCAGAGCCCTAAACTATGTGCAAATATCAAGTTATTATGGAGGTGTTCCATCACAGCTAAAACACATTTTAAAAGATGTGAAAGAGTTATGTTTGACATGATTAGGATTAATCGAAAACTCTTCTCTAGCTTTGAGGGACAATTCAAGGGGTGTAGAGAGCGTAGGCACAGCACAAGCATTTATCGAATTACCCAAAATGAAAATTTGTCTTTAAAATGCCAAGTGGCCTGTTTTTCTTCATTAGAAAACAGTCGCAGATACATGTACAGTATGGATTCATCACAGCAGCAACATTCTAATTGCAGGTTGTGAAGAGTTCTAATTGAAATAAGATTAATAAAGAGCCATGCCAACCTCCTACAAAATCACAATCTGTATGAACACTTAGCTTCTACGAGTCATTTTCTTCCCCAAAATAACTCAGATTAAACAGTAACTTCCAAACAAATGGCAACATTTCCGTCCAGATTTCTTTTTATGTCTTGCATCATGTTCCAGGATAGAGCACACGGAGCAGCACTCATTTTCTGCCATCAGCTAATGTTGTTAAATGTCAGGCATTTTATAAAGTTAAAGGGCAAAAAAGTTTTAAAGGATTATTCTGCCTAGCAATCAGGAAAGGTTCAGGATAACTCATTGCTTTATTGACTGGATCAGGAGAAATTTTCTTATTAGGTCCTTCAAACATAACCCAATGCCCTTAGAAATTCTAAATCTCTATGAAGTATATTCATATATGTCTATGTATGCATATTTGTGTTTGATTGTACATACCTATGTATTTAAGAATACCTAATATGATATTAACTCTAACCTTGTACACACCAAATGTGGAATTTGCATACTAGGAAAGAGAGTCAGATTCAGGTGTTTGCAAGCCAGGATACAGTTTCTAAAAAGGGCTATTGATATGTTTCAGTTTCCCAAATAAGAGTTTTCTGTATGAACCAAGACAATGGGGGACAGCAGAAGCCTGCCAACTCCGCAAACTGAAATAAAGGCTCTGTCTCTGGTCGTCTTCCCAGTGTCTTTCAGAGAGGGTATCCCCTCAACCTGCCTCCTCTGTTCTCCCATTGGACCTGAATGGAAAGATGAGGTTTCCTTTCTATTGCCTTGATTTTCTCTTTAAGTATGTCATAAGGAGAGAGGAAATAGTTTGTTAGAAATTGAGGAGTAATTATTTAAAATACTGTCTTGGAAAAAAATTCAAATTTGCTAGGAAAGGGTGGTAGGAAGTGTTGGCAATGTCAAGTACTCTGTTTATTGAGTTTCTGTGCTAAGATAGATGGTATCTATCTACACACACTCTAGTGTAGGTATTTCTAGTTAAATTTTAAAACATTGTAGAGATTCCTCTTGTTTTCAGTACGTTCCATAGAATTGATGTCTCTATTAGCTATCTTAAAATGGAAATTCTACAAAAAAGGGACTTCTTTTTACGAAATATGTATAATGAACAACACATCAGTGGCAGACTACCTTTCTACTCTAGGAGCAAATTTACATGAAAAAATATATACATACCTGGAGCTTTTTTAAAAACTCCAGACCAAGGTGCCATGAGCCTAAGAAATTGTTCTTTCTGATCTCTTGGGTTTTAATGATTAGCTAGCCGCATTCAGTTATAAACCAGCCATTAACAAGAAATCTATTTGCTATCAGCTGACAGGTAAACAACTCATACTGGTATAAAAAAGTACATGGAGGGCTATTTTGTAGTATCAAGAGAAATATGGGTTTTCTTGCCAAAGAAGTAACATCATTGTATTTATTAAACTATGCTAATCCTCCACTTCATATACATTGAAATACAGGTAAAGACAACAATGAAGAACAATGATATCTCATTTTTTAAAGCACAACAAAAATGAAGATGATAAATAAAAAGTTGATAAGTCACAAGGGCCACTCTGTAGGAATTACATCCCTACCATTGTTCAGGGTTTCAAGAACTTAATCTACTACTGGAAATTAATCTTTTAACCAAAGGTGATCGAGAAAGTTTACCCATGATTGTATTATGTTATTTAAAATATGTACTTATTCATTCAGTTATATTTATGAAATAGTATATTGTAGTTATATTTTTATTAAAACAGAAAAAAGGAAAATATATAAAAAGTATCAAGAAAATGTGAATTTAAGATAACAAAAAATTATATGTTTTATTCCAACACTGTTTCAAATTCTTTTAAAAAGATTCATGTTGGTTCCTTGACAGGAGTGCCAAAGTTATTCCCCACCTTTGTGGAGTCTCCTAGGTGATTTTGCATCAGCTTCATCAGTTTATCAGTTAGAACTTAAGAATACACACACACACACCGTCCCTTCCAAAGTGATCAAACATCTTCCAGAATCTTTTCCTCTCTAGATAGAATCTTTTTCTTTCTGTGAGTTTCAACTTGCAAAGAAAATCTTATGCTAAAACCATAGAGAATCCTAGTGAAACAAAAAGAGACCTATTATAATAAGAAATTTATTTATCCACATATAAACTCCATCTCACTGATGAAATATGTATAGTGATGACCACGTAGCAAGATAAACATGCCTGGAGTTTCACCAACACTTTAAAGACTCCTGCGGCATTCTTTTGTGACCATGAATGTTCAAAATTGAGTCACAGTGGAGAAAAAGGTAAATATTCTGCTATCAATGTCATCATCGGGTTTGGAAAAACTAATTTTACCTGGAATTATTTTTTAAAAAAGACTTCTTAGTGTTAAAGAGGCTCTGAAAAAAAATCATAAAGATCAGGCAGTGTCAAAGACATCTCAGATGTGCCCCAGTAATTTTGTTCTCAATATTGTATATCTCTGGCTCAGAGGGAGGGAGGGTACTAAGTGATGTTCACCCCAAACATCAGTTTAGAAAAGTCCACACCCCTCTCCCCTAGAAGTTGCCACTTTCACCATTGAATAGTCCTCATGGTTAAGAAAATTATATAATAATCATGTTCTTGTCTTCAGTCTAAGCTCTTGCCACTTTGCAAATTCATTTTCTCTTGTTTTCCTCTTTGGAGACACAGAACAGCTGGTTGTCATCTTCCAAATGCTGTAACAATCCCTCATATACTTGAAGATAGTAATTAAGTCATCTTCTCAGCCTTCTCTTTTTGAGAAACTCAAATTTCTTTTTAACACAAATTATCAAAAAATTGCCACAGCCATGGACGTGAAAAATTGTTATTACATAGACTTTCTCTGTAAACCCCTCTTGTTTCTGTAAATACTCTCTTTAGAAGCAAGAGAAGCAGCACATTGCCTTGATGATTTTGAGCTCCCACCGCCTGGCTTTCTACTTCTTACAACATAATATCACCAGTGAACTTGGGTTCTCCATTAGCCTCCCACGCGCACTTTGCAGTTCTCAGGTAAACTTATGTGACTCTTACCTCCCAGTAACCTTTCACTCTGTACCTCCACCTCCTCATACTCTAAAACAAGAAAACATCATGAGGAGTAGGTTCTTTGGCAACCATGACAGGAGTACAGTATCAAATATGAGGCTACTTGAGCCAAGTGTACCACTCTCAGCTGGGTGAACTTTCATCAGAAGATACTAGTATGGCAATATGATTTTACAACAACAAATTTTTTTTTAGCCATATCAATAGTTTTATAGAATAGCACTCAATGCACAGAGACATAAAAGAAAAATAAATCATGCTTACTAGCTGTGTGATCTTAGGCAAATTATTTAATCTTACATTTTTTTCATCTGTATGATGGGAATATTAACCCACAGAGTTGTGTTAATAAACGAATTAAATAGTATGCTACCTGCCACACTACTGACACGATTTTCCTCTCTGGCACCTAGATGGCATTTTCATCCTTTGGTGTAGTGTTCCTCATGAAAGTACAATGAATTCATGAATGTATTCTCCTGGGTCACATATTTGCATTTAAAGAGGAGCTTTCTAGAGTTTTAGCACACAAAAAAGTGACTCTAATAAGCATTCCAAGTAGAAAGTCAAACTTGTAAGATGATGTTTTGAGGCAGGATTACCCCATGAATAGTGCAAGCTAACTCACAGATGTGTGATTTTATCTCATATGGAAGGCATAAACATGTTTATTTAGAGAAAATATCCTCACCCTCAGTGATCCTGTGTAGTTTATAGCAAGATTTTCTCTGAAATACAATACCACATATTTTGCATTGTATTATCTCACACTGGTAAAAAGGATAGCCCTAATCTTGGAAAGATTTGGCATGACAATTTATCTGCAATATAAATCTAGAATATTAAAGCATCATGCTTTAACTTCATTTTGCTTTGAATAAAGTAAGACAATTACTCTGCTTAAGAATGGAATATTTCATTTGTGAAAAAGTTTAAAATCTTTTTTTATATAACTACAATTTAACTATTTATATTCTCTCTCACTCTGTGTGTGTGTGTGTGTGTGTGTGCGTGCGTGCATGCGTCCCCTGAAAATAAATTGAGCAGGTAGAAAGAAGATCCACCTTATATGCAGATTTTAATAAATATTATTTGAGAATATATTATATGAGAAGAATTTGGCCATCAACTTACATGGAGTTAATGGATGACTTTTAAAGTTTCAGGATTCCATGATTTACCTGTTTGCTAGTATCCATAGATAATGATTAATGATCTGTCCAGTAATTAACGTCACTTAAATTTAGGGACTGCAGAGAAGAGGTGGAGGAAATGTACCTCATGTAAGAAACAGTCATCATTTTTGTTGGAAAAAGAGAGCAATATTAATATTCTAAGTAGGCAAGTGAAATGGCTCAACCAGCTACCAGATGAAACACTTATTTATCTAATATAAGCATCTTAAATGTGAACCAATACAAGCCATCACTTTGCTAGAAAGTTTATCCTTTTGTGTTTACAAGAAAACTATCTGACTATTTATGTACACAAAAATGTGTGTGTGTGTTTGTGAATGACGTTTGTGAAATGTGGGGTGAGTAGAGAATTTTAAATATATATATATATATATATATATATATAAAGCTATTTCTGCTTTTTCCTAAGTGGCAATGTTAACCTGCTACTTAGTGATTCATTTAATATTTCATTTTCATTTTTGAAAAAAAAATTGACAGTAGCATTTGAACAAGTTTTGTTTGGTTTATAAAATGTTCTACCTTAAAATGACTATCAACCTAACAGACCCACAACAAATGAACACTGAAAGGTAAAACAATATTGATATGAATGCAGAAAAAATGAGCATTTTCTCTAAGTATTTCAGAAGCATTTTACCACTCTCATTGGCAATGCTTACTCCATCCCCCCAGCAAATGATATAATTTGTTGTTTGATTAAGGTTTAATCAATGTTAGTAGCTTTTCAGGGATTATAAAATTTCCCTCTAGGAAAATAAGAGTCATGTACCTCCTCTTTGGCATCCTCAGAACTGTATAGAGGAGGCAGATGACTGGGAAACTATTCAATAACTAGCCAAGATGCCTGGACAGAGAAAGTTGAGGAATTCAGAAGGCCAGACTCTTAGGGCAGCAGAGACTAGTACAGAAGAGTACAAGATTTGTTAAAGTAAAGTAACTTTTACCTTAACACTCTTCTAGGTAGCAATTAGACCATTTATTTTGTTTGATCACCTGTTTCCTTCATATTGTTTGAAAGTTCTATTCCATTTTTCTGCCATCGTTTCTTCTGCCATTCAATCCCTCCTCTGTCTGGCTTGTACTACTTACTGATTTGCAAATATTGCATATAATTTAGTTGTGATTTCAAAGGTTACATTAACAGGAAAAATGGTCTCCAGGACTTTCAAAGTTATCTTCTATGGCATGTTCTATTCATTTTTTGAATGTTCTCCCTCAATCCATATGCCTTTCTTTCCTAGTCTTCTATTCTTTCAGGTCTTGCTTTCAATAAGATTTTGGCTTCCTCTCACATGACTCCTTTCCACTTGTTATCTTGTCATTTTTTTCTGCCTAAATATAGTCATTGGACTATTGCTAAGGCACTTATTTTATATCACAACTGAATCCTTCAGAATTACACAAATATGTTTCATTTATACTTTTATTCATTTCACAAACTCTTAAAACATACCAGAGCTATATTGACCAGTAGGGATGCAAGACTCATGTATAATACTCACCAAGAAAATTCACAAATAGTTTCTATCCATGCACATCAGCCACAGTCCATACAGCACTGCTCCCTGCAGCACAGAGCAGCTCCCCACCTCCTAGAAAAGTCTATAATAACATGTTTCCCAACCTTCTTCCCAAGCGAAAAGAAAGGAGATGGGAGGGAGAAGAGAATCAGTACACTGTGTGTCAGAGCAGTGGCAGTATCAGACATAGACTAGTGAAGAATAGAACCTGTGAACGTGATGAATCAAGTGTTTATTGCTTATTGAAAGAAAATAATCAACATGCACCACATACACAGCTGAAGGGGAAAGGATGTACAAAATGATGAGTTCCCTTAAAGGAACAGTGTATGTGTCCAAAGAGCTAAGAGAATGAACTTAGGCAGAAGTATACTGAATCTGTCAGCAATTTGCTTGGGAAACTTTTGGTATAAAAGCAAGGGCACATATGACTCTTCGTAAGTAAACAAAGGAGGAAGAAGAGCATAAAGAAGAAAGTTGAGTCAAATGAAGGTAAAAATGCATAAATAAAGGAAACGATAAAGGACGCATGTTTTTAATAAAAGGAAGAAAATTAAAAATCCACAAACATATTACTAATATAATGATCATGTACATATACACCTGTGTATATTTTCATGTTTATATGTGGAGAGGAGGATAAGAATATAGAAAATTCTTAATCATTGTATATATAAATTGGGTTAGTATCTGAATAAATTTTGTGAAATTTATACATTCAGGCTATTAATGAATTCAGATTCATAACTTGATGGAATAATGGACTACACCTACCAGTATGTAATTTTGAACTGCTTTTCAATTCCTTTTGTGTTCAGGTAACCTTGCAAAAACATATAAATGCATAAGTAAAATAAGTTAATTAATGCAGAATGAACACATTTATTATGACTTCATTACTATAGTGTATAGGCAAAACTCTCATTCCAGGAAGCATATGTCTAATTCAGCCTAGCCCTTTCAAATTCACAATACTGAATTTTTCTAAACAACATTTTTCAAAAAGAGTTTTAATTTTTGCAAAAGTTAAATCAATCAAAATGCTAAACTTGGAAGAAAATGGTATACAGTACAAAAATAAAGGGATAATTAAGTATAATATTCTAGAATACTTAGAACTGTTTACTTCTTGCAGGCAATTATTTTTCCAAATAAAAGCTCAGGGTGAATTAATTGTTGTAAAATAAATACACAATCAAGCAAATAACATTTTATAATTCTGAATCAAGCATATAATGGAAACCATTTCAAAGATGCCTAATTCAAAGGAACTGGCAACTGGAAGTAGATTTGCGAATTAGCAAACGTGATGATCTGGCACTCAACATCTCCGGTTTTCAGTGTTTAAAGCACGCTATAGAAAAAACACACAGGAAATTAAATATATGCACTGTATGAAAAATTTAGCAGGTGGAGGAACAGGGAAGGGGAATGAGTGAACAAGCCTAGCGGGAGCAGAAAAGCAGGGAAACTGGAGAAGGAAGAAGAGAGGGAAATGAAAAAATATTTGAGTTCTCAGAAAACGTAATTATCTTCTTTGTTCAACATCTTCTATTGATCACCATCAGTGTTGGCAACTAGCTTGAAGCTGTGATCCTGAATTGATATTTAATTAAAATCTAGTTCTATTTTAATAATATGGTAAATACATCACAATTCTGTTTGTAAATAACATCAGCAGATGAAGGATAAAAGAAGAATCAAAACTAAGTGGTAGGAAGTTTACAAAGAAGGCAAGGAGCGAATCATGCAGAGAAAAACAATAATTAAACTCTGCTTCCAATTTATTGTTATTGTGGCTTTTATTAAGATTCTGCTTTAGTACAAAAGTTATTTTCTTTCTGTCTTATTTGTCTTGCCAAGGAGGAAAACAAGCTGAAATAGCATTACAGTCCTCTTATCCGTAATATAAGAGTGAAGTTTCCCTCAACAACCCACTCCCAACTCTCCATGGGCTGGGTTAGTTTCTTGATCGTCACCCTCCACTCCCTCTGAGTAAAATTTTTTCTCCAAATTCTTACCTCTAATTACATTAAAATACCAAGTAATGGGAGTTATATGTGAATTATCTAGGGAACCATTTTGCATCACAGATAGATTCCACCAGTCAGCCTAGCCAACTTCTTTGAAAAATCACCATAATGTCTAAGAATCCTGACAGGTTCTACTTCATAGATATGGTACAGACTCCTAGGAGCCATTGTCATGCATATATGTTCATACTTATAAATTGTATGTATGTGCATGTATAAAATGAGAAATTTTTTTTTGTAATTTGCAAACTTCTTTCTAAATTTGAAATAATTTTATATCTGTAATGTTAGTCAATATCATAAATCTGTGGGCATCAACCCAAAAGTGGGCTAAACTATGATTTCTTAGTGGCCTGAAATAGTTACATCTATAGCAAATCTTTGGGTTCTCCAAGTAGGAAAGACTTGCTAAAAACCACAGCTTTTCTTTCTCTCCCAGTTATTGGGAAAAGTTCTTCATAAAATAGAATCATTGAAATTTCTACTTTATCCTCTCCTTCCCATTGATCTATTGTGCCTCAGTTCCAGAGTAAGAAAATGGTAAGCAAATAGAAATATCAAATGGATAGCCTCCATCCATTCAGGGTTGAAAAGAGCAGTTGGAAATGCCTTCCAATCAGGTCACAAAGGGGATGAAATGCAAGTTTACTGAGAAATCACAGCCAAATCATCTATCTCCATATGCTCTACCTCACCTAAGCCTCCCATCAGGCAAAGACTTCACAGAAGCTCCATGGATATGCAGAAAGGGGAAGGAAAGCATCTGTCCCTCTCCTTCTCAGACTCCCTTCTCTTCCAAAAGCATAGGGTCTAGTGCACTTCTGTGCACCATTATTCTGTTCCAAAATAAGCAGATCTTAAAAACCTAAGATTGCTGTACCAGGGGATTCTCAGGGTGAAAGGAATCACCTTTATCATTTGCATACATCTCAAAGACGCATGTAGCAAAGTGTCTGCACAGGTGGTAGCAAGAGGAGAGGCTTGTTTTACTTACTTAGTCTATTCTTGAACTAGCCAAAAAATTCAGAAAAAGAACATTGAGGGGGCCAAAAGGGACGATTTTCCTTTCTCCAAGACTAGCAGAAGGAAAGTAAAGCCAGAGCTCCAGCTCCTCCGCAGTTAGGCAAACTCTAATTACTTGAATGGAAAGAGGTATACCAATGCCAGAAACATAAAAGAGGCAGAATAAATTCAAACACTTAAGAAAAGGATGTGATTTGGCTAAATTATTATTTCTGCCTTTCTACACTTCCAACCCACTTTAATTCAAGCAGTTCACATCTGGTGTTTTATATGAAGTCAGGAAGAAAACCTCATTGAACTGATGCAGAGCAGCTCTAGGCTGGGAACGAGGCCCATGTGCTCACAGAGGTAGAGAAAATCACAGAGCAGACTTGCCTGCCAGTCTCCAGTTTTCAGAGCCCAGGATTTGCACCTTGAATACTTTCATTTCAGTTAGAAGAAATTTAAAAAGAAGAAATATACTGTTTATAATAAGTAAAAATCATATTGGACCCATGATATTAAAGAATGATGACCTTATTATTCTGCTTTGATCATAGGATGCTATGTTTTACATTCTTTTAGAATATCCTTACTTTTGAATTCAAAGTTATTTATTTAGAAAGAGACTTAATTTTTAGTCATAAAACTTGTAAGGCTTTAATTACAAAGTTAGAGTTGAGATATTCTACATACTGCATAAATCTGCAGGTCAAAACAAAATATAGCTACATGGAAGCTTGACCCACTGTACTCTATAAGTACATTGTGTTAAAATGAGCTCTGATAGCACCACGGGTCTCTACTAATGTTTAAAGTTGTCAAGCTAACAAAATAACTAAAGGAAAACACTACGTTCCAGGTAACATTTTTCAAAAATCTGGGTGCATAATTTGAAAAACTAGATTGATGCATGGTATTCCCTCAAGAACTAAAAGGGGAATTTCTGCCCTAGAAAATTCCATCTCTAATCTTACTCAGAAGGCTTGCTGCCAACATCTTGTATTTCTCTGTCCAAGTTTTATTCCCATTTATAAATGAATATTTCAAAGTGATTTATCAGAAGCTCCTTAATTCTGAGTCCAATCTGAGCTGATAAGATAGGCACCATAAATTTGTGAGTACTCCTGGGGTATTTCCCAGTTTAGCCTGGCTTCTAGTTGAGATCCTTTTGTGAGTTAGCTCTCATTATTTTCTTCAATTCTCAGGGATCAGTCAGAGCTTCAGTTCTTATTGCCTATATTCCCTTTAGAGGAGTTCTGAGTTATGTCAGATTACTCTCTGTTTGCCCAAATTAAAACACACACACACAGAATTTTTATTTTCCTCAGGATGTCAGTATTGTATGTACATCTGGTCAGTCAGAGACACATTTCATACTCTGCATGATAATGCTCTTGTATAAAGAGAGGGTCAGCCGCTCCCACTTCCTCCCCAAATCTGAACTGTATGTGGAGCCATTGCCAAAAATGGATAGTGAATTCTGTGATCAGGGGACTAGTCAAGGCCTTGGCTGGGAGAGGAGAAAACATGGTTCAAACTTTAAGCATGGGCAGGAGGGGGTGAAGAAACAAATTGGACTACAATAGATGTGTTTATTGGATGTGCAAGAGGCAGGGAGTATTACAGTAATTGCAGGGCCTGGTGAGGGGTAGTAAAGGGAGCAAGTAAAGTAAACCAAAGAATGCATAATGCATTGGTCAATTAATCACACAGGTAAGTGCACAAAGGAAAGGTATCATGGTATTTATGAAAAGCAAGCTACTAGTTAGACATACCTCTTTAAAGATGTCGCTGATGGCTGGACAATCTTCAAAAACCATAATACCTACATTCATGACTCCTATTAATCACCAATTCAGTCTTGCAAGCTGAAACTTTACTTCTTACCTTTGTTTTCCACCTGAAGCTTTGGAGTCTTTAGGAGTTTTCAATTCTTAGAATCTGAATTCTTTCAAAAAATAATGGCACCACAGAAGTATATTCACTTTAGCAATTGTCTGCCATCCTATTTACTAATGTTGAAAAAGCATCCAGATATTACAGAAAATGTGACCATGACTCTAACTGAATTAAATCAGCATTATTCAACAATATGAAACAAACCCTGTGGCTACAAATGTGTTCATCTTTCTTTACAGCTCCATTAGTTTGGACCTGAACTTCAACCCTTTGAAAATGTCAGTCCTACATAGGTTGTAGAGATAGTCAAATTTCTTATCTTTGATTTGTTAACAAGAATGCAGTCATGAATTAGTCTGAATTCACGTCCAAGGGCATTATGTACTAGCACATTTTCAAAAGATAGAGTAGAGATGAGACAGAGCTGGAGATAGAAAGTGGAAATGGATGTTATTATAGATAAATGAAATATACATCTTGTATTATTTTTCACATCTGCACAGCAAAGGACTTTTTAAAAAGATCATGAATATCTCATTAAGGAAATATTTTTGATACTTTCTTAAAGAAAATGTTCCTAAAACCACTTTTAATTACCTTGTAATCTCTATAGCATATATTGTAGATTCTACTCTAGACTTGATATTTGTTTGGAGTTACCTTCAGAAAATAGAATTGTCAAAAGGTGATTGTCAAGCCTTAAATCAAGGGTAAACTCTTAGAGCTTGAAAGAGCGACACAGATTTTCATTCTATTAATGGATATAAAAACTACAGAATACCATACACAGCTTGGCTCAAGTGTTAATTGCATAGAGTAGAAACAGCAGGTCGGGGTTTGGGGGACATGTGAACAAGCTATGAGAAGAGAGCAAAATGTCGAGTCAGAAGGAAAACAGGAATGTAAGCACATTGAACTGATGTGATAGAAAGTTAAGAAGTGAAACTAAAATGTACAAGATGGCAGATCATTTTTCCTGTAATTTTTAACATTTCCTTGTTCTGCCATGGCCTCAAACGTTATAAAAACTTTGTTACTGTATTTAAACTTTTCAAGTACACAGAAGCTTGAGAGTTCATTGTTTAAAAATGAAAACAAAAGTTAAGCAAAACTTGACCAAACATTGAAAAGAGATTTCACTTCCATTTAAAATAATATCTAATTCATCCCTGCTGATTTTTCATTCATGTTGGCAAGGTTAATTTGTGTCTCATATTATTATACTCTTTACTCACTACTTTTGCAAAGAAATAAAAATAAATGCAATCTTACTTTTGAAGAGTGATAATTATGTTTCTGTAGCTTATATGAAAGATCTTAGAAACTCCCTCCTGCTTGAGACTTTTTGAGTTATAGGTCTTTCACCTTCATGACAGAAAGATAATAGTCATACTTCACAGGTGAGGCATTCTGCGATTGTGAATGGGAAGATAAGAGTTCCAGTTTCTCTTGGCAAAATATCCTCCACTGGAGGTTGGAAGAGTCAGCCAAATCATTCAAGGTACTGATTCCTCAAGGAGGTATTCTTTTCCTCAGATAACAATTTGGGGATTGAGAAACCCAAGATTATCTGAGCATGGAAAATGGAAACACATAAACACACACAGATGTGTATACACACACACACACACACACACACACACACAGTTGGTTATACATAAGCATACATAATCTATTAATTTATATAATATATATGTGACATATATATATGAAAATAAGCTTCAATCATGGTGCCATTATATATGGCCACACAGAAGGCCATATATTGTCAACATAATACCTTCTCCTCCATGACAGTCCACTAAATAATTGAAGCTAGCTGCTATGTTAATATGCTTATAACCTTAAGCATAATTTCATAATTATCTCATAATTGGGATACAAAATAGGGCTTCTGTAAAGATTAAATGAAATTATTAACCTATTATAATCAACAAACTGCCATATAAGTAAAAATAATTTAATTGCTATATTATATCATTTCTTAAGACACAATGACTTTGTTCTGTCCCAAAGATTTCATGGGAGAAATTAGGCTTTTAGTTAAATTTAAAAGGTGATGAACAACCCACTTGTTAGGTTCAACCTGTAAATTGTGTGGCACAAGACAAATTTAAAATTTATGATATAGAAGAAGTTTAAAGAGTCAGTTTTACATACTAAACCATAATAGATCTGGGATGAACCTCATTCTGAATTGGGGGTCAATTTCATTTTAAAAAGCAAGGTTATTGCTTATCAAATATTCCATGTGCTTCTCCTTCCTTTTTGTTTCCCAGATTCCCTTGTATTTAAGATGGGGCCATGTAACTATTTCTAGCCAATTGTTAATAACCACATATGTATGCCATTGCTGGTACAAGAGATTTAAGAGTGGCTGAGTTCTTCTAACTCTCCCAGCCATAAGATGGGATGTCTTATATGAAAATAACAGGATCTTTGGATGGAAACAGCCCAGATTTCTCAAATATGATCGGAGATTTCAACACTGCTATTTAAATAACTGACAGAACAAGTAGACATAAAAGCAATTTTAAAAAATTACAAAGACTACTTTGAAAAAAAACACTGTCTTGACCTAATAACTTGTTCTAACCAACTTGACATGACAATCCTACCCAGTAACAGCAAAAAATACATTCCTTTAATACATCTGGAATATTTAGCAAGCTAGACAAACTTCTGTACCATAAAAGAAGTCTAAATAATTTGAAAAGTGTGCAAACCACACATGTTCTTTAAGTTAGAAGTTAATAACAAAATAATAAACAGCAAATCCCTTAATATTTATAAACTAAATAATATAATTCTAAATAACCGATGGGTAAAAATAAAATTTAAAAATACTTTGAACTGAATCAAAATAAAAAATAAAACATATTAAAAGTTGTGGAATGCAGCCAAAGTAGTATTGAAATGGTAATCATAACATTTATTTACTGGCATTAAATAACTGTATTACAATAGAAGAAAGTTTTCAAAATCAATGAATTTGTTTTCACCTTAAAAATCTTAAGAAATTATAGAAGTTTAAAGCACATAAAAAAGAAGGAAATAATAAAGACAAGATCAGAAATCAATGAAATAGAAAACAGAAAAACAAACCAATAAAATCTGGTTATTTAAAGAAGTCTATAAAACTGATAAACAACTAAACATACCATTAAGAAATGAAAGATAAAGACATAAATTACCAATGTGAAAAATGACAGAGATGGTGACACTGTATCTTCTAAAGATATTTCAAGAGAAATAATGAAATATCAACAAATATGTGCCAATTAAAAAAAAACTTTTTTGCAAACAATCGACCACTTCCTTCTGTGCCAGTAATTTTGACAATCAATATAAAATGTAAGAAGTATTTGACTGACACAAACTATCAAAGCTCACTCAAGAAGAAATAGATAACCTATACAGCCCTTTACCTTTTTTAAATAAATTGAATTTGTAGTTAAAAACATTTCCCCACAGAACACTTTAGTCCATAAGGCCTCACTAGTGAATTCTAGAAAATATTTTGAGAAAAAAATAATACGAATTTTACATAAACTCTTCTAGAAAAGGAAGAGAGAATACTTCCCAATTAATCCTATAGGGCCAGCATATTATGGTATCGAAATTGGACAAAGACATTGTCTTAATCCATGTTGTGTTGTTATAAAATAATAGCTAAGGCTGGGTAATTTATAAAGATAAGTTTATTTAGATCATCGTTATGCAGGTTGGGAAGTTCAAGAAGCATGGTGTTGGCATCAGTAAGCTTCTAGTAAGGGTCGTGTGCTGTATCAAAACATGGCAGCGAAGGTCAGAGTGGAAGTGGATATTTGCAAAGAGATCACGTGGTAAGAAAAGGAAGCAAGAAAGAGAAATTAAGCAAGGAAGTCAGACTCCAACAATCTATGCTCTTGGGAACTAATTAATTTCCATGACAGCAAAATCTCACTCACCACCACCTCCCCCAACCTCCACCTTGGGGATCTGTCCCATGACCCAAACATCTTCCACTGAGCCTCACTTCCCAATGCTGCCACATGGAAGATCAAATTTCAACATGAGTTTTGGTGGGGACAAACCATATCCAAACCATAGAAGACATTAAAAGAAACCTATAGGTCTTTAACTCTTATGAATATAGATGTAAAAACTATTTAAATTTTTTTAAAAATCCAATATAATATAACAATATGTAGAAAAGACAATACATTACAACCAAGTAGATTTTATCCCAGGAATGGAAGATAAGCTTAATGTCTTACAGGAAAGGGAACATCACACACTGGGGCCTGTTGTGGGGTGGGGGGAAGGGGGGAGGGATAGCATTAGGAGATATACCCAATGTTCCATGACAAGTTAACGGGTGCAGCCCACCAACATGGCACACGTATACATATGTAACAAACCTGCACGTTGTGTACATGTACCCTAAAACTTAAAGTATAATAAAAATAAAACCTACATCAAAAAAAAGATCAGTCAACGTAATCGACCATATTAACAAACTAAAAATGAAAAGTATATGATTATCTCAATAAATGCAAACAATAATAATTTAACAAAATCCAAAGTGTATTTCTCATCAGAAAATCTTAGCAAACTAGAACAGTAGGAATCACCAAAAACCTATAACTAACAGCATATTTAATGATGAAAGCATGAATAACTTTTCTCTAAGAGCCTTAATAAGACAAGAATGTTCACTCTTATCACATTTATTCAATGTTTTTCCATAGGTTCTAGCCACCACAATGGGTCAAGCAAAAAGAAGTTTTAAAAACATCCTTAATGGAAAGGAAGAAATAAAGTGTTTTTTGTTTTTTGAGACGGAGTTTCACGCTTGTTGCCCAGGCTGGAGTGCAATGGCACAATCTCAGTTCATTGCAACCTCCACATCCCAGATTCAAGCAATTCTCCTGCCTCAGACTCCTGAGTAGCTGGGATTACAGGCATGCACCACCTTGCCTGGCTAATTTTATATTTTTAGTAGAGACGAGGTTTCACCATGTTGTCAGGCTGGTCTCAAACTCCTGACCATAGGTGATCTGTCCACCTCAGCCTCCCAAAGTGTTGGGATTACAGGCATGAGCCACCACGCCCAGCCAAGTGTTTCTTATTTGAAGACAACATGACTATCTATGGAAAAAACAATTATATGAACTTTATTTTAAAAGTACTAGAACTATTAAGTTTAGCAAGATTACAGGATCCGAGATAATATAAAACAGTCAATTGCATTCCTATATTCTAGCAACAACAGTCAATTGCATTCCTATATTCTAGCAACAAACAATCAGAAATTGGAGTTATAAAACACATAATTTATGATGACATCAAACAGTATTAAATTTATAGGGATAACTCTGGCAAAAGATGTTGAAGACTTGTACACTGAAAAGTACAAGACATTCCTTAGAGGAACTAAAGAACACCCATATAAATGGAAAGATAAACCATGCTCATGAATCAGAAAACTCGTTATAGACAAGAGATTTTTTTCCCAGTTAATCTGTAGATTCAGCACAAGCTCAATCAAAAGTGAGCAGCTTTATCTGTAGAAATTGAAAATGATTCCAAAATTCACATGGAATAATAATGAGGCTTAAGTAAACAAAATGTTTTTGAAAGAGAATCATAAAATTCTGTGAGAGAAGACAAATTTTCAAAAGCAATCAATCAATAAAGGATAGTCTTTTCAACAAATGCTACTGGAACAATTGGATAGCCATATACCAAAAAGAAGAAGACAAAGAGGAGGAGAGATGGGGAGAGGAAGGAAGAACTTTGAGCCACATAAATATTAACTCTCAAAATGGATCATATACCTAATTGTAAAACCTAAAGCTATAAAACTTACTATAGAAAAAAAATAGTAGAAAATATTTAAGATTTTTTGTTAAACACGGCTTCCTTTGCAACAACACCAAAAGCACAATTCATAAAACTTTTTAAAAAAACAATAAAATTGGCAATTTTATTTCATTAAAATTAAGAAAGTCCTCTTTGAAAGGCACTGTTCAGAGAAAGAAAACATAAATCTCAGACTGGGAGAAAATACTTGCACATCACCAATAATTCTCAAAATTCAATAATAAGAAAAAATAATAATCCAATAAAAACAAGAGCAAAAGATTTGAACAGGTGCTTCATAAAGAGAGTATATGGAGCTCAAAGAAGTACATGAAAAGATTTCTAACATCAGTGTAGTTCAAGCCATATTGGTACCTGAAATGAACAAATCAGTAATATTAATACTATATTTAAAATTTAATATTTTGTTTATTGTGAGTATTTTGCAGTAATTTTTTAAAAAACATTATACTAGAATATGATTTATGATGATGACTGAATTTTTTGGTATCCCTTTAAATTTTATGTCCAAAGTTAATGTCTCATGCACCTCATCATATTGTCTCTGCTTAAAATTATTAGTTATTAAATAAAAGGAAAATAAAACCCACAATTAAATATATCTACACACATATTAGAATGTCTAACATTTTTTAAAAGATTAATATTTTGTAATGTTAGTAAGAGCAAAAAGTGACTTGGACTCTCACACACTGGAGATAGGAGTGTAAAGTACTATAAGCCCCATTTTGAAAAGCAGTTTGTCAGTTTCTTAAAGAGTTAAACATACTGCTACCATATGACCAAATTGTTCCACTCATATATTTACCCCAGATAAGTGAAAGCATATTTTCATAAAAAGACTATATACAAATATTAACAACTTAATTGGCAATGGCCAAAAACTACAAACAACCAAAATGTTCAACACATAAATAGATTAACAAACTATAGTTATCCCTAAAATGGAATACTGCTCAGCAACAAATAGGAATAAAGTACTATTATGTGCAAAAACAGATAAGTCTCATAAATATTATGCCATTTGGGAAAAAACAGAAAAAATAGCTACTATATGTTTCCATTTACATAAAATTCAGGAAAATATCAAGTAACCTATAGTGATAGAAAGTAAATCAGTTTGCTTGGGGTGGTGGAGGAAGTTGCAGGGAGAAGTGGGAGGGAGATGACAGAGGGGCACAAAGAAACTTTTAGTGGGAATAATATGAACCTTGTCTTCACAGTAATGATGGTTTTTCAAGTCAGCACATCTGCCAAAACTTATGGAATTGAACACTTAAATTTTGTACCGTTTATTGTAGGTCAATTACACCTTAATAAAGCTGTTTAAGAAACATATGGTTGTATAAGAAAGAAGTCATGTCTTACTCTATTCCTTGATATATATCATTTAGAAGTGTCAAGGGAGATGTCTGGAAGTAATCAGTGTTGGACTCAAGAAGATAATACATTACACATGGTGAAAAAAGAAATACAAGTGAAGTTCAGGGTACAGAAAAAGAGGCTGTTATTTTTCATTATAAGGCTTTTATATATTTTTACTTCAAAATTATCTATAGTGTATTGGTTTAATACAATTTAAAGTAACTTTAAAAAACAAAATGTTGGTGTTCCTGTAAATTCTAAAACTTCTTGAAAATTCTGAAATTTCCTGACAGAAATTTTGATGCAAGGTAAAAGTTAAAACTCACATAATTTTGGTGGTGCCTACAATAATACTAAAAAATACAAGATAACAGTGTGTAAAATAAGTTAAACTTTATTATTTTATGCTAAGAGCCACTGATTATTGGCCCTGTTGTTTATCTAGAATTATCTAGATGTTAAACAAATGCTATTCATTTTCCCCTAAAATAATAGTTCCTGAAATATTAGGAAACCACCACTAAACTCCAAAGTACTTTGAATATGTTGGTCAAAAAGCCATAATTTTATACCTCCTGGGAAGTTCCCAAATATGAAAAATACTTTATCCCTTTCTTTGTTTGATCATACAGTACTCTTTTTTTTTTTTTTTTTTTTTTTTTTTTTGAGACGGAGTCTCGCTCTGTCGCCCAGGCCGGACTGCGGACTGCAGTGGCGCAATCTCGGCTCACTGCAAGCTCCGCTTCCCGGGTTCACGCCATTCTCCTGCCTCAGCCTCCCGAGTAGCTGGGACTACAGGCGCCCGCCACCGCGCCCGGCTAATTTTTTGTATTTTTAGTAGAGACGGGGTTTCACCTTGTTAGCCAGGATGGTCTCGATTTCCTGACCTCATGATCCACCCGCCTCGGCCTCCCAAAGTGCTGGGATTACAGGTGTGAGCCACCGCGCCCGGCCTACAGTACTCTTATATTAAGGAAGAAGTATGCTCACTGTATGGGAAAAGATAGCATTTTATTAAAAGTAAATAAACTTCATTCATAACAGTTGTTAGTGGTGACCTCTGAAATAACCTCGGTGTCAACATCATACATCAGGGAGCTGTGTAATCGCAGGCTACTCATTTAATTTCTTTGCGTCTTACTTCCTCAAATATTAAATGGAGAAGTTAAACTAGTTCTCTAAATCTCTCCTGGCTTTAGGTGTATTTAGTTCTATGATATGATGACTAAAGGCTATATTTTATTGAATCTAAAATACCATTGATTTATACGATGTATTATTATTTACCTACCACAAATAATAAAATAAATGCCAAGTAAACTACATTTTACTGTCCTTTGAGATTTTTGTTTTAAATGTATTGAAAGAGCATTTAAAAACACATTAGGTTTGGCTTTCCTCCCTCCATGTAGTGTTCTTGTTTATACATTGAAAAGGGAAGTATAAATTAAATAAATATTTAAAGGTTTTGCAAAACTTCTTGGTATTCAGAAATCAATTCTTCCAAACTACATTTTTTACTCAGCCAAGAACATGGATGCAGCACTTCCTAAAAGAGCATTCTGCTATTTTTTTCAGGATTTTCTCCAAGCTATTTGTATACATTATTCAAGATTTCATATTGGTGCATTCTTAGAAGAGTTTCAGAATAGCAATCTCACATTCCTTTTTCAAATAGTTCTTAAATGATGTGTTGATTAACATGTCAAGGAGTTACACTTTTTCAGTTATGCCAATACATTCAAATATGGATAGGCAATGACAATCATGGCAAAACTGTCCCCAGACACCATTAGCTGGAAAATGTTCTTGATTTCAGAGGAGTTAAATATGAGGGAAAACACATTCATCTTAGAACTGATGAAATATGACAATAGCAATGAAGAATCAGTGAAGTATATAAATTACTAACTTAGAGATTTATGGCAGCTATACTAATTAAATTAACGAAGGCTCAGGACATATGCCCATGGACAGTCTACCTCCTTCTCTCTCTCTCTCTTTCTCTCACACACACACACACACACACACACACACACACAGAGAGAGAGAGAGAGAGAGAGAGTGACATAGAGAGAGAGACGTGCATGGCTTAAGTAGACCAAGAATTAGGATATGTGCAAGAAATATTCTTAATATAGGAAAACACTTTTCTCAATTTAGATAGTTTGTTTCATCAGAGTATTAATGATTTTAATCATACATTAAATAAATTGTGGTTATGCTCTGTGCAAGGAAAAATTTGAAAGAACAATCAAAATATACATCATCATCTTAACCATGTAATAATTTCTGGTGTGCATGCCTCTTACCTATACTAAAGTATGAATACAAACATTTAAATACACAATTTCCATTTCTCCCATCATAGTGATATCATACATTCTCACCAATGAGCTACCTCTAATGGAAAAATTCTCTGTTGATTTCTCCATCCCAAGTAGGCTCTATGTTTTGCCTGGTCAACTGGATTTCATCATATCTCATTGCTTGAATGAATGTTGGTTCCTCTCAGGAGTCAATAAGGACTGTTTCCTCTAAGAATTAGAAAAGCAAAGCATTGTAGGGTCATTAGCAGTATTATTGCGGGGCAGGCTGTAAATAGAAAATAAATATACATGGGTCTTCATCACTTTTACCGAAAATGAATTGGCAGAAAAAAATACCCAGCTGATTGGTAACAAAATATGTATTTACTTTTGCTTGCTCAAGCTTGGGAATGAGTGCAGAAGCAAGCTAGCTCTGGGACCAATTTCTCTCTGCCCTTGCTGCCCTGCAAATGACATTCTTATCAGACCATTAAGAAAACCGTTATAACTTCTAGTGAGACCACCTGCTAGGTCTCAGCGCTGGGACGATTACATCTATCGGAAATAATGACCCATAACTAGAATAAAACACATTAATAACATCACATTTACCCAGGATAATGCCTTTCACCATTTTATATCGCAGAGACCAAGTTAATCAGTAAAAGCAATACCAAAAAACGAAGCAACTAACAGCACAGAGTAGATAATGAATATAAAAGCAGAATGTTCAGGCTATTTTTTTTTCCTTTAGAACTGAGAAGATGTATAATGGGCAGTAATGGATGGAGCATTCGGTTGAGAATGGCTAATCCTACCTTCTGTCTGTGGCTTTATATGTTAAGGAAGAGCTGAAAGTGCCTTCCTTCAGACATAAGAGAAAACATGAGGTTGTGCAGTACAATGGAAAGAGCCCTGGATTAGAAGTTGGGAAACCAAGGTCTTATTCCAGCTGTGTTGTTAATGAGCTGTGTGACCCTGAGCAATTCACTTCACTCTTCTGAGTCTAAATTTCTTATCTGCAAAATGAGCCGCTTAGATGAGGTGATCCCTGAAATCCCCTCCAATTCTCATATGTTGTTATTCAAAGCAGACTGTCAACCTGACATGGGAATGCTGTGAGATGTAATAAAAATGCCTATAAAACCTTGAAGCTTCAGGATCCTCAGAGCTGCAGGCAAAAAGGGTAAGATTGCAATGGCATTTAGGAGGCTACTTCAACACTGGACCCAGGCCCTGGTAAAACACGGAGACTTTCAAGAAACAACACACCTGAACCACAGCAAGGCAAGCCTATGGTTCTTCTATTACTTACTTTCTTAGGCAAGAGCTTGGGTTGACTATAGTTTATTTCGGAAATTTTCATATGTAGAATTACAGGACAAAACTAGCCCGAAATAAAACTGCGAATATACAACCTAAATAAACCTCAATTCTTACAATATATAATGCACAAAATTTAACCTAACAATTCCATATTTTTGGAGTGTAAGGAAACACGAGAACAGGAAATTATTTAAGGATTTTGAAGCCCTTGATCTTTCATACTTTTCTGTTTTGTTTCTGTGACTAAGAATGGTCGTCTTAGAAAAACACATTTCCTAACTCACTGCAACAGCATTTCCACTGAGACATAAAGTAATCAGAAACAGTCATGAGGAAATGCATATGATGAAACCCAAAGATCTAAAGATTCCAAGGCCAATGCCTAGTGTATGTCTTATCTTCTTCATCCTGGTTTGTAGATACTCAGTTCTCAGGACTACTGTCAATATTTTGAAGGAGAAAAGTCAGAGTGACCTTTTCATTTTAATCAAGATGCAAAGTGTTGAGTTGATTTTACGGAAAGGGTAGAAGTGGGTACAGTACATGCTGGCATTTTACATGCAGAGAGCTGCACTGACACCTGCACACCAAACCTTCTGGGACATTAACAACTCTAATCTTGCTACATAATGCTCTTTCATTTTAGCCTCGCATTATTACTTGAATCGAATTTTAAATTAGTCCACTTTAAGAACAAATTACCAAAAGTTTAATTTTCCTGTTTTCAACAAATCCCACTACAAGCACCAGCCACCTGAAGCCAAGTGAATTGTACAGTTTTGTCCAAATGCTAGTGTATTAAATATTAAAATCAACTAATTCTCCCTCAAAATAAATGTGCAGCCCATTTATACTAACATTCTTTGGTCAATCCATATTTTAGCCAAACATAATCAGAAATGGTTCTTTAGTCAAGCTCTCCTTGTTACCCCAAAATAAAATACAGAATATAATAGAAAAGCTGATAGCTTCTTGTAATGAAGGCAAAGTGACTGAAAAAAGATGTAAAAATTAATGATATCTGGCTGACATTATTTAAATAGACAATGGCTCTATCAATAAAAAGAAACCCTAACAAATGTGTTTCATGACAGAAATATATTAACCACTTTTCATCATCTGGAACCTTCATAAATCAATAAGAGATAATATTTACTCTATCCTGCTGGGGTGGCTTTTTGTATTTCTAATAGAATTCATTTAATTCTGGTTTCCATAGTTACGACGGAGTTTTAGAATGAGTTTGTTTCATCATAATTGCTGCATGTTCGTATATAAACAGCTGAACTCTACCTTCAACTAGCAGCATTCATTTGTGAATAAAGAAAATCTCTTATCATAAAGTAATTGAACTAGAATTCAAAATATACCACTGAGTCCTCGTCCTCCTCAGAGAGTTGGCAAATATGTCTCAAACTTCTTTTTAGCATAGTTATCTCTGAAACCCACATCAGTAGTACAAGAAGAATTTGGAGGAAGATTAAAAATGTTTAAAGTGTTGTGGATATTTGCAGAATTGAAAATAATTTATTTTTGGCCTGTACCATAAGGCATAAAGAAAATTTTGTTTCTTCTAATTGCAACCTTCGATATGTCTTTTTACTAGATAGTTGTCAGTTCATGTAAATATTACATTTGAAATGTGTTCTTTCCCAGCCAGTTCAGTGCCAATTGGTTCAATATAACTTTATCCATTTAAAAAGCACAACAGCCAGAGAAATTACTGTTAAGCCTGATATCTTTTTCACATTAATTTCAAAAGCCACAGGTAAAGGTAAAGTAAAAGAAAATAAAAATGTATTCTTTCTTGTTACTTGTTTAAGGTAGCAAAGAACCAGAAAACGTAAAATCAAAAGGGAATAATTGGATCCCACCGCTTGGGTAACAGGGTATTTAGAAATCACAAGGTGTAGTATTTGTGCCCAAAGCAAAGCTGATACAAAAATTTCGTGGACAAACAAATCTATGCCAGTAGTAAGTAAAATAACAGTTAAGTTAAAGATACAAACTTTAATTTTTTTTTTTTTTTGAGAAGGAGTCTTGCTCTGTCGCCCAGGCTAGAGTCCAGTGGTGCAATCTTGGCTCACTGCCACCTCTGCCCCACCAGGTTCACACCATTCTCCTGCCTCGGCCTCCCAAGTAGCTGGGACTACAGGCACCCGCCACCAAGCCCGGCTAATTTTTTTGTATTTTTTAGTAGACACGGGGTTTCACCGTGTTAGCCAAGATGGTCTCCATCTCCTGACTTCGTGATCTGCCCACCTTGGCCTCTCAAAGTGCTGGGATTACAGGCGTGAGCCACCACGCCTGGCCCTACCCTTTAATTTTTTAAAAACAAATACTTCTATTTATCACTAAGTTTTTTTCAGATGTATTTATCCACTTGTAAAATTCTACAGTGATGAATGTGAAATCCAAAAGAACAAGTCATGAGAATATGGAAGGACAAGCAACTTAAAGTAAAATTGTCTTTTCCCAAATGGCAGCTTTAAACAAATAGTCTTAGCCATGTTAGTTTGAGAGATACACAAGTTTTAAATAACTGTAGATACCTCAATTATTCTAGAAATGAAAATAGAAATACTTTCACTTATTTGCCTTATACTTTTTCTATTTAGAGGTTACTATTCAATATATTCTACTTGAAACTCTTTATTTTCTTTATATTTGTAGAATGTATTGATTTTGAGGGGAACCATTTTCCTATGTATATGTTAGATTTGAGTTGTGACAATTTGCATGAAATTCTATTAAAATGCATGGTTTTGAGCATGAAGAAAATGATGTGCTAATAATTCAAGACATACAGTGGTAAATAAGACAGTTCTTGCCCAAAGGAACAGATACTAGAAGAACTTAGAAAAAGAAATGGGGAGATATGTTGTAATAGGTAATATTATATGTTGTCATGAGTCACTTAATGACAGAAATACATTCTGAGAAATGCCTCTTTAGGCGATTTTGTCCTTGTGTGAACATCATAGAATGCACTTATACACATCTGGATGGTATAGCCTCCTACACAACTAGCCTGAATGGTATAGCCTATTGCTTTTAGGCTACAAACCTGTACAGCATATTACTGTACTAAATACTGTTGGCAACTGTAACACAATGGTAGGTACTGTGTATGTAAATATAGAAAAGACACAGTGAAAGTATGATATTATAATCTTATAGGACTACTGTTGCATATGCAATCAGTCATTGACCAAATCATCATTATGCAGCACACGATTGGTTCCATAATATGGGCTGGTTTTGGAATGTGGTAAAGGAAAATGGAGCAGAGTTTGTTGTGAGATTCAACACAGCAAAGAGATATAACCTTAGAAGAATTAGAAAAGGCTTCAAGAAAGAGGTAGTGTTTGAATTGAGTGTCCTATTAAAGGTAAAGTCAACAGGCTAAGAATAGTGAGAAACATTCAGAAAAAAGGGAAAATATTAGCAAAAATAAAATTGATGACCAGAACAGGGTATGCAAAAGTTTGTTCCAGAACCTGGACCAACTTTTAGATGTTGTTATAACCAAAGGCAAGAGTATTAGTCTGTTTTCACACTGCTAATAAAGACATACCCAAAGACTAGGTAATTTTCAAAGGAAAGAGATTTAATTGACTCATAGTTCAGCATGGCTTGGGGGGCCTCAGGAAACTTACAGTCACAGCAGAAGGGGAAGCAAACACATTCTTCTTCACGTGGCGGCAGCAAGGAGAAGTGCTGAGCAAAAGGGGGAAAACCCCTTATAAAACCATCAGATCTCATGAGAACTCACTCACTATCATGATAACAGTGTGGGGCTCCCACAATTACCTCCCACCAAGTTCCTCCTGCAGCATGTGGGGATTATGAGAACTAAAATTCAAGATGAGATTTGGGTAGGGACACAGCCAAACCATATCAGAAAGTTATTAGAAATACATTTTGATTTTGGCCAGGCACAGTGGCTCACGCCTGTAATCCCAGCACTCTGGGAGGCTGAGGCTGGCAGATCACAAGGTCAGGGGTTTGAGACCAGCCTGGCCAACATGGTGAAACCCCATCTCTACTGAAAATACAAAAATTAGCCAGGTGTGGTGGCGGGCACCTGTAGTCCCAGCTACTCAGGAGGCTGAGGCAGGAGAATTGCTTGAACCCGGGCAGCAGAGGTTGCAGTGAGCCGAGATCATGCCACTGCCCTCCAGCCTAGGCAACAGAGCAAGACTCCAACTCAAAAAAAAAAAAAAAAAGAAAAGAAAGAAAGAAAGAAAAAGAAAGCCATGCAACATTTGTGAAAATTGTAAGACCTTTTTATAAATTGAGGGTAAAGCATCTTTCCACCATGCAGCAGGGGCCTTGGGAGAGGAAAGGCAATGTTTGAGTGATGCCAGGAAGCCACTGCAGAGGTAAAGAACTAGCTTTGAAGGCAGCCTGTTTCTGTGTGAATACTTGCTCTAGGTGAAACTAGAAAGTTCCTTAACCTCTTTGTGCCAGTTTTCTGATATAAAGGAGGATTATTAATAGCATTTACAATTTAGTATTCCTAAATTGTCATAAGTATTAAAGGAAAATATGGACAAAACACTTAGACAAACATCCTGCAAATTGAAAGTGTATATTAGTTCTTATTATTATTGTGTAGAACAGAGCTGAAAATATTTCAATACAGATATAAATATTGTTTTGAAAACTGTCTTTTTTCCTTATAAGTAATATCATCCTGCTCTGGAATATCTAAGAATTTCATTAATGAGGGGAAAATATAGTAAACTAAGCTGGTCAATTAAAGATAACATCCAATTTAAAAGTATTCTTCAAGTTTCTTTTTTCTTGTTGCAGTGGTTCTAGAATCTGGCTATACTTTTTAATCATATGAAGAATTCTCAAAGGTAAGAATGCCAGGATGCCAACTTCGGAGATTGTAAGTTAATTGGCCTTAGCTTTAAGGAATTTTAAATGCTTCCCAGGTGAATCCAATGTGCAACCAAAGTTGATAACCTCTGATCTAATGGTTACATCATCTACCAATTTGAAACTTAAAATCCCCATGAGAGCCATTCACCCCTTCTCACCAGGGTTTTCTCTTCATTATATCTTTACCCATAACATTGGTACTGGGGAAATTGTGACACCTCATAGTGATGTAGCTTTGGTTTGAGTCTTGACTATTCTCCCCTACCATGAGTTTGGTCCACTTTTATTGTGAGAAGCTTGCACTGATGCCTACTAATGTATAGATCCAGTATGAACCCTGCCTTCCCTGTCCTGATATCAGCCCACATAGCAATTAATCTTACCTAGTCTTGGTAGGCACTTTGCTTGACCTGCTGCTAAGGCCCACAGTCTCACACATGTGCCACTTAGGCTCTCTGCTGGTCCCTGGTCCTCTTGAAACCTCCCTAAACCCCCTACTCTATTCTCAAAGCCATGCACATGAGAACCCTTGGGTAGCTTGCAAACTCTGTGCAAGCCTTGGTGGCTTATGATCCTTTTACAGGTGGGTCTATCTAGACATCCCTTTCTCTATGCTCTTGCTCTCTCTATTCCTCTTGGGCAACATTGGAAGCAAAAGAGAGAATAATCTGGGATTTGACCAGATTTATATTATCTTGTGGCTGAGACCTAGGAGTGTAGATTCTAGTTACACACAAGGGACTCAGGAGTCACCTCACTCTAGTCCGTCCTCTTCTGGTGCACCTCTTCCTTCCCCACTCCTCATCTAGTTTCTATTATCCTCTTTGCCACATGCTTCTCATTTCTATTATTAATAGCTTGGCATTGGTCATACGCTTTCTATACTATAGCTTAAAGCAAACTCTGTGATCGAAGTCTCCTTGGGTTGCCTCTGGAAATAAAAGGGGGAAATTTCTGGAATTCAGAAAAATCTTTTTCTGTTAGTGAATCCTGGCGTACTTTCTCACCACAGGGAGAAAACCCTTCATTTGTAGTCCAAACTTGAATAGTAAAAAAATTATCTTTGTTTTCTAGCCCTAACATTTCTGCCTAAATCCTTCCTGAGGCAATGGATATATCTGGCTGAATCAAGGGACAGCCTAATACAAGGAAGTATAAATAAGAAAAGTACATTAATATATTTCAAACTATATTATTCCCATGATATTAGTAATTGCAAATAATTCCAGCACGAATCTTCCACTTATCTTGAAGCATTTAAACCTTCTAGCTCAGTAGACAGAATAAGCTTTTTTCAGCCTCATGCATTCATACCACTGTTTTTTCTTTCTATCTCTCTCAATTCAAATCTGTGTGTTAACTCTTATATATTACTCTCTAGATACTTTCTGTATGTGTCACAGCATGCCAATATATTCTAAGCATTTAAGAATAGGAATCCTGTCTTGACTATCTGTTTTAGTCAGCTTAAGCTACCATAACAAAAATACCATAAACTAAGTGACTTAAATGAAAATTCACTTCCTTACAGTTCTGGGGCTAGAAGTTCATAATCGAGGTCCATGTAATTTGGTTTCTGGTGAGGGCTGTCTCTTTGTGTTGCATGTGGCTGTCTTCTCACTGTGTCCTCACATGACCTCTGTGATGATGTGAGAGAGTGCAAGCTCTCTGGTGTCTCTTCTTGTAAGGGCTCTAATCCCATCCTGAAGGCTCACACTCATGACTTCTCAAAGATTACACCTGTGGGTGTCACCATTTGAATTTTGGGGGAAAATAAACATTCAGTCTATAACACTCCATCCTTGGCCTTCAAATAAATCTGCATGCTTCTTATATACAAAATACATCATGTGAGGCTATCTCAACAGCCCCAGAAGTCTTAGTCTTAATTCATTCCAGCATCAACTCTAAAATCTAAGGTCTGAAGGCTCAACTAAATATTATCTTAATTTGCAGGTATGTGTTAATATCGATGTAAAGATTTATCCTGAAGCAAAATTTCTCTCCAGCTGTGAATTGGTGAAACCAGACATGTTATGTTCTTCCAAAATGTAATGGTTGAGACAGGCATGTTCATATCTGAGGAGTTCTATGGTCTGGTGCTATAGAATCCAAGTCCAGCAGCTATCTTTTATCTCATCTAACATTCTCTGTCCCCTTTAGTTCAAGTTGGCAGTGTTTAACTGACATAATTCCATGTTTATTCCTGTCTTCTATTGAGATGGCTGAGCCCATGAGTAGCATGGCTGATCTCTTTTTCAAATCAAGGTTCATGCTCAGACGAAAAGAATGGCATATTCTGTTTTTATTGGGTGGAGGGTCCTGTAGATGTCTGTTAGGTCTATTTGATCAAGAGTCAAGTTTAGATCCTGAATACTTTTGCTGGTTTTCTGCCTCAATGATCTGTCAATTACTGTTAGTGAGGTGTTGAAGTCTTCCACTCTTATTGTGTGGTTATCTAAGCAACTTTGTAGGTTTCTGAAAACTTGTTTTATGGCTCTGGGTGTTCCAGTGTTGGGTGCATATATATTTAGGATAGTTGAGTCTTCTTGTTTAATTGAACCTTTTATCATTAGGTAATGCCCTTGTTTGTCCTTTTTGTTCACGGTTGATTTAAAGTATGTTTCATCTGAGGGAACATATCTCAGTAACAGTGTTCTATCTTACTCATACTGAATGGGAAAAGCTAGAACTATTCCACTTGAGAATGAAGCAAGAAAAGGATGCCCACTCTCACCACTTCTGTTGAATATAGTACTTGAAGTCCTAGCCACAGCAATCAGGCAAGAGAAAGAAATCAAAGGCATTTAAATAGGAAGAGAGAAAATCAAACTATTTCTGTTTGCAGATAATATAATTCTATACCTAGAAAACCCCATAGTCCCTGCCCAAAGGCTCATAGAGTTGACAAACAAATTCACCAGTTTCAGGATACAAAATCAATATATAAAAATCAGTATCATTTCTATACACCAGTAAAGTACGAGCTGAGAATCAAACAAAGAATGAAATCCCATTCACAATAGCAACAAAAAAGAATAAAATACTTAGAAATACAGCTAACCAGGGAGGTGAAAGTTCTCTACAACGAGAATTACAAAACAGTGATGAAAGAAATCAGAGATGATGCAAACAAATGGAAAAAAATTCCATGCTCATGAGCAGGAAGAATTAATATTACTAAAGTGGCCATAGTTCCCAATGCAAATTTACAGATTCAGTACTATTACTATCAAACTACCAACATCATTTTACACAGAATTAGAACAAAACTATTCTAAGATTCATATGGAACCAAAAAAGGCCCAAATAACCAAAGGAATCCTAAGAAAAAAGAACAAAGCTGGAGTTATCATACTACCCAACTTCAAACTATACTAAAATCCTACAGTAACCAAAATAGCATGGTACTGGTAATGGTACAAAAACAGAGGCACAGACCAATGGAACAGGTTAGAGAGCCCAGAAAGAAAGCCATGCACCTACAGCCATTTGATTTTTGACAAAGTCGAAAATAACAAGCAATGGGGAAATTACTCCCTATACAATAAATGGTGCTGGGATAACCGGCTAACCATATGCAGAAGATTAAAACTGGACCCCTTCCTTTCACTACATACAAAAATAAACTCAAGATAGATTAGAGACTTAAATGTAAAACTTAAAACTATAAAAACTCTAGAAGATAACCTAAGAAATACTATTCTGGACATAGGAACTGGCAAAGATTTCATGACGAAGACACCAAAAGCACTTGAAACTAAAGCAAAAATTGACAAGTGGGATCTAATTAAATTAAAGAGCTTCTACACAGCAAAAGAAACTATTGACAGAGTAAACAATCTACAGAATTAGAGAAAATATTTGCAAACTATGCATCTGACAAAGGCCTAATATCCAAAATCTATGAAGAACTTAAGCAAATCACCAAGGATAAAAACATTAAAAATGGGCAAAGGACATGAACAGATAATCCTCAAAAGAAGACATATAAGTGTCCAACAAGCATGTGAAAAAATGCTTAATATCACTCATCATTAGGGAAATGCAGGTTAAAACCACAATAAGATACCAGTCAGAATCGCTATTATAAAAAGTCAAAAAATAACAAAATCTGGTGAGGTTTCAGAGAAGAGGGAATGCTGCTACACTGTTGTCGGGAATGTAGATTAGTTCAGCCACTTTTGAAAGCAGTTGGGAAGCTTCTCAAAGAACTTAAAACAGAACTATGATTTGACCCAGCAATCCCATTACTAGATACATATTCAAAGGAATATAAATCATTCTACTATAAAGACACATGCATGCATATGTTCATTGCAATGCTTTTCATAATAGTGAAGATATGGAATCAATCTAGATGCCCATCAATGGTGGACTAGATAAAGAAAATATGGTGCATACACACCATGGAATATTACACGGCTATAGAAACAAACAAAATTATGCCCTTTGCAGCAACACACTTGGAGCTAGAAGCCATTATCCTAAGTAAATTAATGCAGGAAAAGAAAACCAAATACTGCATATTCTCACTTATAAGTAGAAGCTAAACATTGAGTACACATGGACACAAAGAAGGGAAAAATAGACACTGGGTCCCACTTGAGGATGGAGGGTGGGAGGAGGTTGGTGAGGATCAGAAAACTACCTACGACATATACTATGTTCATTACCTGGGTGATGAAATAGTTTGTACACCAAACCCCGGTGGCATGCAATTTACCCATGTAACAAAACCCCTGAACCTAAAATAAATTTGGAAGGGGAAAAAATAAAAACACATACACAGACCACAATAACAATACATCTTCAAAGCACTTAGTTGATTATTATAGTTGAGCCCAAGAATTATGTGAAGAAAGCCTCACTGATACATATTCGTAAGTCTTTAAAAGGATTCATATAAATATAAGATTTTTCAGTGTCCTCAGAAACAGTAATAATATTTAAGAAAATAAGACATTGATCTACATTCAAACTGTTGTTGTTATTAAATGTAACCAAAAGACAAAACAACCACTTTGAATATACTGGAGTACAGATGTTAGTGATATGTTAACATGATACTACTCTTTTTGTGAGTTGTGGTGGAAGAGTAAGCACAGTAACTGTAGCAACCTGAAGCTCCTTTTAAATAAAGAAGTACTAAGAAAAATTATGCAACTTCTTTTAGATTACCTTTAGTTCAAAGTGAAACGGTATGAGAAGGGATGAAAAACCCACAAGACATTAGAATGATAAATAATAATAGTGTCAAACCTACTATACTCCAACATCTGAGATCTGCTGCTTGGGCATTAGTTGCAATTAATAAACATAGTATTGAAAGAGAAGCTCTGGCTTTATCCTAGTGGTTTAATGTTGTAGGGAATAATAGCCCTGCCTCTTCTACCAGATCACATAAAAATGGAATATGATATCAGAAAAAGACAAATGCATGTTCAACCATATCCTTAGTATTCTCTTAAGAATGAATGTTCTCATTTTTTGAAGTATGAATAGGCTGAGAATTTTCCAAATCTTTATGTTCTGGTTCCTTTTTGCTTAACAATTTTTTCCTCAGTTCATCTCTTTTCTTTCACATTTTACTATAAGAGATCAAGAGGAACCAAACTATTCCTTTAACAATTTGCTAAGAAGCCACCTCAGCTAGATACTCAATTTTGTTGCTCACAAGTTCTACCTTTCACGAAACACTAGAACACAGTTCAGACAAACTCTTTAACAATTTTTAACAATGATCACCTTTCCTCCAGTTTCCAATAATACATGTCTCATTTCTGTCTGAGATCTTATCAGAATTGCACTTCGTGTTCTTATTTCTAGCATGTTTCTCAAAACCCATCCCAAAAACCGACATCAGCAAGATGGTAGAATAGGACTTCCCAGCCCATATCCTTCCACCAAAACAGCAACTTGAACAACTATCCCCATACAAATACAACTTCACAAGAGCTAACAAAGCCAGGTGAAAGAATACAACACCTGTGAGTAACAGAGAAAATTTAAAAGGTGAATTGAAGAGGTTAGAAAGGAAAGTTTTATATTACCCAAGTTTTCTCTCTCCGAATCCCAGGCAATACAGAATGGAGCGGAGAGAGGGAAATGAGCACTAGACTTTTCCTCAGACTCTGGGTTTCTAGGCCTACCCCAGGGCCAAGATGGTCTGGCAGCCCCAGCCTCCAGAATATTCTCAACACCTGTCTGATCCACGAGGCCTCAGGCCTCAGGCCTGCCCTAGCATCAAGCCAGCTTAGAAACTCTAGTCATCTGGCCAGCACTTGCAGATCCAGTCTTCAAGCCAGTCCCTCTGGATACAGGCTCCAGGTCCACCAGCCCCAGGCAAATCCCTGAAGCTCCAGGCTTCAGACCTGTCCCAGATTTCAGACTATCCCAGAGCATAGCCTCAGGCTTTGTACCCTTTGTACCCTTCCCCCCAGTCAACAACACTAGCCTCAGACAGCAGGCTGGCACCCATGGACACAGGCTCCAGGCCTACTCTAGCAGATCCAGGGTTCATGTTCATTCTACCCCAGTGCCAGGCCAACCCCCATGGATGGAGGCTCCAGGTCTGTCCCTGCAGAGCAAGGACTCAGGCCCAACCCTGTGGACTCAAGTCCCAAGCCTGTCTCAGTGCCAGGTCAGCCCCCATGAATTCAGTCTCTAGACCCACCTAGTGGCCGCAGGTGCCTTCCCCATCCCAGCAACTGTCAGCTCCTTTGGACCCAGACTTCAGACCAACCTCTGTTGATACAGGCTCTAGACCTACAACATAGACCCAGGCACCAGGCCCACCCACATTCTGACCCAGGCACTAAGACAGCCTTGCTGAGGTCTCTAGCAGCAGGCCCATCTATGGGCCATGCCAGACAGGCTGCCTTGAATCTCTGGATGGGGTGACTGGTGAAGGGCTTTCCTAAACAAAGCCAGTCTACAAAGACTGGAATTCATCCCTATTTCTTCAAATGTACACAGATCAACATAAGGCAATGAGAAACATGAAAAACCAAGGAGACACAGCACCACCAAAGGAACACAATATGCCAATAGCTTGCCCTAAAGAGGTGAAGATATGCAAAGTGCCTGACAAAGATTTAAAGATAATTTTTTCAGGGAAGCTCAGAAAATTTCAATAAAATACGGAGAAATAATAAAATAAAATCAGTAAAACAATAAATGATCAAGATAAGAAATTTAACAAAGATTTAAATTATTTTAAAAATTCAGACAAAATCTGGAGCTGAAAAACAATGAAACAAATAAAAAATGCAATAAGAATGTCACCAGGAGAATTGATCAAGCAGGAATATCTGTGAACTTGAAGACAGGTTATTTGAAAATATACAGTCAGGAGAAAAATAAAAAAGGATAAAGAGGAATGAATAATGCTTATGGTATTAATAGCAGGGCATCAGAAGAGCAAATATTTAATTTATAGGAGTTTGTGAAAAAATAGAGAGACAAAGGGATAGAAAGCTTATTTTAAAAGATAATAGCAGAAAACTTTCCACATATTGGAAAAAATATAAATATCCAGATACAGAGTACAGGAAGGCCAAACATCCCCAATCGGATTCAATCCAAAGAAGATTACATCAAAAGATATTATAATGAATCTGTCAAAAATCAAAGACAAAGAAAATATCTTGAAAGCAGCAGGAGAAAATAAGCAAATAACACATAAGGGAGTTTCAATAAAGTTAGCATGAAATCTCTCAGCAGAAACCTTACAGGACAGTAGATAGTGGGACAATATATTCAAAATGATTAAGAAAAATAACTGCTAATCAAGAATACTGAATATTAGACCCACTTGTATGGTTCCTGAAAGAGACTCACTTCAAATGTAAGGATACACATGGATAGCAAATAATAGATGACAAAAGATATTCAATGCAAATGGAAAGCCAAACAATGCAGGGGTGACTTTACATGTAGAGTATATCTTATCCACAATGCTTGGGACCAGAAGTGTTTCAGATTCCAATTTTTTTTGGGGGGAGGGGAATTGGAATATTTGCATTATACTTACTGGTTTTGCATCCCTAATCAGAAAATCTGAAATCCAAAATGCTCCAGTGAGAATTTTCTTTGAGCATGGCCATTGAGCATCATGTAGGCATTCAGAAGTTTCAAATTTTGGAGCATTTTGGATTTCACGTTTTCAGATTAGAGATGCTCAACCTGTACCGTATACCACAAGTACCATTGTTACCATTTTGGTATATTTTCTTTAATGAATTCAGAATAGATTATGATCAAATACATAGCTGCCATTTTCACTTTAGAATATTGTGAGGATATGCTCATGCTATTAAAATGTCTTTGAAAGTGCTTGTTTCAACTGTTTTTACTCTTATAAATAAAACTGATGAAAATAGCAACAATATGAACAAAATGTAATATTACTTAAATTTATAATTGCCATGCACAAGGCTAACACTTTAACATGTATTATGTCATATAATCCTCACAGAAACTGTCAGTCATTATTAGCATCATATGCATTTTATAGATGAGGAACCTGGGAGATCCGATGATTAAAATAATATGGCCCTTAACACAACAAATATAAAGATGTCTTCTGTGGCGTGTGACACTACATTTTATAGTTACTAAATCTCTATTTATGTTTGAGTGGTGTGGACAGTGGGACTCCTGTTATAAAGTGATTTGTGTGCATGTGTTCTTGCTCACTCTAGGCTCAATTATGCACCACTCTTCGAATGAGGGTGTGAACTTTTCTGCCCAACACCTTATGTAAAACAGCCTGGCAATCCCCTCCAAGGGAAGGGTGAGTGAAGTCAAGGGCCAGCCATAGACCCTGTCTACTAGCACCACCACTTTTGAATATGCCTCTCTTTACTCCACCTCACACAGATAGCAGGACCCACCTGAAGCACCAGGCATACCAAGTGACCTACATGTAGGACTGTAAAGTAAGTGGCCCCACCCATGCTGCCCACAACACTGACAGAGAACGTTTTTACAACTCTTCATCCTTGGTGTTCTCATGAAACTCCAGAGTAACAAAGATAAAGTAATAGACAGAATAAAGACTATTATTCTCCCCCAATGAGTACTGCTTTTCTTATCCCTTCTATTCTCATCTTATCCTAAAGATATCTTGAATAATGCTCTCCAAATGGAAATGAGCTAACCAGAGATGGACTTATTAAGTAGCCAAGTTCTTTCTCCATAGAAACCTAACTTGCGGATTTTTAAAAAATATTTTTCTCCAGCTGTTTAATTTAGCTTAGTGTTCATCCAACAACAACAACAAAAGAAAAAAACGGAAAAGAAAACCTCTACCAAATAATATGAATACCCATATATAGATTTTTCACATTTGCTTTCAAATCTAAAAGAAAATAAGATTTGAAGCTAATTTACAGTGATATAATACCTTATCTTTTGACTAAGACCTGAATCAATGAAAGTCTTCACAATTTGAGCTAACATGGATTGTGCTTGAATTAGGTTAGGTAATGTCTAACATTATCCACTTCAATTTATATTCACCAATAATTGCCATAACATGTTTATTCTCTCCCAGAATTCTGCTACTAGCTTCTCTGCCCTGGCCTCTGACTTAGCCTGCCAGTGTGAAGTTTGTCTTGGTTCATTAATACCTATGTAGGTTTCTGACTTGCCTCCAAGTCACGGAGAGGATTTGTGGCTCTGTAAAGCTCTTGCAAGCATCTAATCCGTGAGGGTCCTTATAGCTGTGCAGGAGTCACCTCTGGCTCTGGGCTGCCTGTATCCACAGGCACAGCTGACTGGTTTTCCCTTGGGTCTCAAGGCCAGGCATTGCACTAGACCCAAGACTCTAAGGCTGAGTAAGAAACTGAACTCCTTAGGAATGGAGGAAAGCCTTTAAGCCTTTTTACCTTATTTCCCAGCTCTTCTCTTTGGGGTAGTGAGAGCTACAGCAAACAAAGACTCTATCTCTCTTCCCTGTAGAGTTTCTTGACTAATATTAAAGCCATCTCAAATATCCAAGTTCTGCTATCAATTTTATTTCTGATCATGTTGTTTGCGGCTATTCTTTCCCACCAGTCAGGACAGACTTGTCCATGGTACCAGTGCATTTCATTTCCTTTATTCATTCTCAAATCCCTCCTGCCAATACACTTAAGGATTCTATAAAAAAGTCACTCAAGTTTCTCTTACGTATTTCCTTCTCACATGGTCTAGTTTATTGAAAAAAAAAACTAGCTTAACATTTGAAATAGATACAAAAGAAAAAATCTATACCAGCTAATAGAAATATCATCATCATCATCATCATCATTATCATCATCTCTAACAATTACATAGTATTAAAAGGTACCAGGCACTAATATAACCGCTTTACACATATGAATTCTTTCATTCCTTACAAGTTAACAGGGGAGGTAATAGTATTGTCCTTATTTTACAGATAAGGAATCTACAGCACAGAGAGAATAAATAATGTGTGCAAGGTCACAGAAACAGTAAATCATAAAGGCAGCATCAAAACTGGATTCAGACACCCTGCTCTAAACCCCAGCAACATGCAGCTTTCCTACAATGTCAATTCTTGATGGCTTCCACAAATCACTATTTCATGTAACCAAACACTCTGTCTTTTGAGTTTGTAATTCTCTCCTGAGTGTGTATCATGGTGTATTTACCCTAAAGGGATACTCAGTGAGAAATTCAGCAGGTATGACTGTCAAGCAGGCTAGTATAAAAACTGAGTTTGAATGTCCACAACAGAATAGAAACTTTGACACCTGCATACCAACATGTAAACTATATCAAAACTTTTTTTTTTATTTGCAACATTTATTTTAAGTTCGGGGGTACATGTGCATGATGGGCAGGTTTGTTACATAGGTAAATGTGTGCATTGGTGGTTTGCTGCACAGATCATACCATCACTCATGTATTAAGCCCAGCATCCACTAGCTATTTTCTTCCTGATTCTCTCCCTTCTCCCATCCCTCACCCTCCAATGACCCCAGTGTGTGTTTTCTCCACACCATGTGTCCATGTGTTCTCATCATTTTGCTCCCACTTCTAAGCCAGAACATGTGATATTTGGTTTTCTGTTCCTGTATTAGTTTACCGAGGGTGATGGCCTCCAGTTCTGTCCATGTCCCTGCAAAGGACATGATCTCATTCTTTTTTATGGCTGCTTAGTATTCCATGTTGTATATGTACCACATTATCTTTATCCAGTCTATCACTGATGGGCATTTAGGTTTATTCTATGTCTTTGCTGTTGTAAATAGTGCTGCAGTGAACATATGTGTGCATGTGTCTTTATAATAGAAAAATTTATATTCCTTTGGGTATATACCCAGTAATGGGATTGCTGGATCAAATGGTATTTCTGTCCTAGGTCTTTGAGGAATCGCCACACTGTCTTCCACAATGGTTGGACTAATTTACACTGCCACCAACAGTGTAAAAATGTTCCTTTTTCTCCACAGCCTCACCAGCATCTGTTATTTTTTGACTTTTTAATAATAGCCATTCTGACTGGTGTGAGATGGTATCTCATTGTGTGGTTTTGATTTGCATTTCTCTAATGATCAGTGATGTTTAGCTATCAACAACTTTTATGTAACAGTATGGAAAGCATTGCCCACATTTTATGGAGGAGAAAACTAAAGCTCAGGACATTCAAATATCTTGACCACCATCACATATGTAGTGGCTGAACTATTTTATTATAAATTGTATATTCTTTTCCATTTTAACACAATTTCCATTCAATAAAGATAGTCTAGTAAATTGCATAAAAGTCATAACATACTCTAACAAGGTACTCTTACACTTAATCCTAGTGGAAATTTTCCACATCTCCATGGCCTTCTCCTCAAATTCAGATTACCCTCCTGAGACATTCAAATGCAGGCAGTGGCCTAAGGTGGAGGTAATAGGAACTGTTAGATGGACCAGGCAAACGTTACACTGAGACAGTCTATCATGTATGCTTCACAGCCACACCCTTAAAGTTTTCTGTGATTCCACAAACAGCTGAAAGTATTTTCTTCAATTTCTCTAGTCTGCTCATTCAGTGACAGAACATACAAACTGACTTCTCTGCTAGGGGATAGCCAATCACTTTGACCAAAAAACATTTGCAAAGGGCAAAGTTTCACTATTCACATTTTTTAGAGTCATTATGGTGTGAAGTACAGAAAAAAAATCTTTAAAAAAGCAACAGTCAACTAATTCAAGTCCACTGATAGTAATTCACTATCAGTGTGAACATGGGAAAATATCCCCCAGCCCCAGTTTTAGTTAATTCACCTGTAAGTATATAAGAATAATATGTATTGATAAAAAAATATGATTTTTAAATTTTAAAAATTAAAAAATAAAATAAATAAAATAAAAAGGAAAGAGGAGGTGGAACAAAGTTTGAAAGTGCTAATGTCTATCTTTCAAATCATACAGACAATAAGTATATTCTTTAAAATTAAAAAATCTATATATGAGGTGGGAGGATTGCTTGAGCCCAGGAGTTCAAGACCAGCCTGGGCAATATAGTGAGATCTAGTCCCTACAAAAAAAAAACTTAATTAGGCAGGTATGGTGGCATAAACCAATAGTTCCAGCTACCCAGGAGCCTAAGGTGGGAGGAACACTTGAGCCCAGGAGGTCCAGGTTGCAGTGAGCTGTGATAGCACCATTGCACTCTGGCCTGGACAATAGAGCAAGACCCTGTCTCAAATACATATATGTATATATATATATATATGCTTAACATTTATGCCTAACTCTAGGCTCTATTATGCACCACTCTTTGAATGAGGGCTTGAACATATATATTTTTATTATTTACATATATATAATACATACATATGCATACACTTAATATTGTTATAATTTTTGGGATTAGAGAGAGGCAGTAAATGCCACTGTATCTTCCACTGTAGAGTTTAGAACCAGCTAAGAAATAAGAGAAACGAAAAGGGCAAATCCTTATCAAAGTGCCTGATTTGTTGACAAAACTGTTCAAAGACCATAACTTTAGTTCTGCAGCTAGGTTGGGTTCCTTGAATGTCTCCAATATTGGGCATGATTTTCCTCTACTTACAGGTAGAGTAAAATAAGGTCTAGCCGCTGGCATCTAGCCCAGATGGAAATCTACTCCTGTGTCCTGAAGACATGTGAGCTCTGCCAAGAGCAGACCCAGAAAGCACAAAGCCATGCATGCTAAGCTCCTTCTACAAGATTTATCAGTAAGATAAGTCAATAACTTCCCTCAAAAGAGGAGTCAGTGAGGAGGAAGAGCTGAAAGTGTTCCTTTAATATTTTTCTTCTGTGGAGTGGAAATTCTCTCCTCATTATAAATTCACAAAGATGATGTTTTCAGCTAAGAACTCTCTTATGCATACCTAATTGCATGTTGAATATTTCAATTTGGATACAACACAAGTACCTAAAATTTAAAAGCCTGAAATTGAATTAGTAATCTTATTTCTTAATTTATTCCCCCTCTAAGGTGCCCCATCTCCATAAAAGATACCACCCCCCTTTCAGGGACTCAGACCAAAAATCTAGGCTTTCCTAATGCTTCTCTGTCTGACTTTATTGAAGTAAACACGAGATCTTACTTAATTCTACCTTCTAAATATTCCATATAAATCTCAATTATCTCCCCATTCCCACTATCATCATTCTCTTCCAGGACATTATCTTCTCCTGTATTTTTGTCTTATGTCCTATTTTTCTTTTTCTACTCCTGCCCTCTACCTTATCATTTACTTGAACTAATTCTCCTAGCAATGCCCAAATTTACTTTCCAAATATGTAAATTGAATTCCATTTATCTGATGCCAAGCTATGATTTCTTCAGGTTTCAGCTTAAATCTTATTTTTTTCAGGAAGGACTTTATAATTTTCTGTAGAGTTAGTTTACAGAAACTTATTATTTACTTTGTCTTATGATAATACTCACCATACTTTACTTTAATTGCTTTTAATATCTGTCTTCTCCACTAGCTTCTGATTTTCATCAGAGAAGATACCAGGGTCAAATTGTTCACAACTGTACACAGAAATTCAAGCAGCATAGCTGAAGCATAATGGGAGCATAAAAATATTTAATGAATGAGTGAGCTCTGAATTATATTAATCTTTGCTGATATTGAAAATCTCTAATATGAACTGTAAATGAATCAGTCAAAAACCTATGACCAGTCAGCCAGTCAGCTTGCAGAAATGATAGTCTAAGAACTTATCAGATTTTTCTCCTGCAGAAAATAACTATAAAATCTGGAAGCAATACAAAAAGCAATTCCATAAAGGTACTAGAAGTTAAAAAAAGCAGACAGATTCTGGCATGAGTACATACTCAGAGGAAGAAAGCTGGGTGATTTACAAATAAGTTCCCATCTTTATGGCTTTTAGCTTAGGAAAGTAGAGTTGGTACAGTGAGATGCTGATTGAAAAAATATAGTCTCTGTTGCCTAGGTAACCAGACAACTGAAGCAAAGTGAAACATGGTTGTTGAAAACAGCAATGAAATCTCAGAAAGAAAAGAGAGAAGGGGGATTCCCCATTTGTGTCTACCCACATCTCTGACTGAGGACTGGGCTGTAAATATTTAGAACAAAGCAAAGCAGAATTTCAGCTAAAGCAGAATTTCAACTCACGTAACTCTGAGCTGAAAGCAAAGCTACCACCCGAAAATCTGGGTTTTCTCTTTGTGTCCAGATTTTTTTTAAATGCCTGCTCAGAAGGGGAGGAGGAAGAGGAAGAAGAGAAACAACAATACTAGTTGGAAAAAAATAATAGAATCCTGAATATTCACAACTTTATACTCATAATGTCTAGGATATAATCCAAAATTACCTGATGTCTAAAGAACCAAGAAAATGGAAAATATTCTCAAGACGAAAGAAAATCAACCTTGCTCAATCCCTAAATGAACACAATGCTAGAACTACCAAATGATGAGTTAATGATTACATTTTAATGATAACAATACTATCACATCACATTTCAGTGCTATAGCAGTTAATCTAATTAACTGTTAGAACTTTTCTAAATAAAACAAAGTAAAATAAGTGTATGATACATTTTTTAAAATCCAGCAAAGAAATAGAACATATAAAGAAGAACCAAATGGAAAGGTGAGAACTGAAAAAATACAATATTGAAATTTGAAAATCACTGGATGGACTTAACAGGGAAATAAATATTACAAAGGAAATAGTACATGAACTGAAATGTACATCAATAGAAATTACCTTAGGGACTTCTCATGAAAACCATGGAGGCCATTAAGAGATTGTAACACATCTTTAAAGAGCTGAAACAAACAAAATCTTGCCAACCAGAATTTTCTAACTAGTAAAAATATTTGTCAAGAATCCCAGAAAATAAAGACATTTTGGATAAAACAAATTAAGAGCATGTGCTGTCAACATTACTGCACTAAAATAGATGCTAAAGGAAGTTCTTCAGGCTAAAGGCATATGATGTAACATGAAAACTTAGGCTCTCAGAGCAGAAGAAAGAACATCAAAAATGTTATATATCTGGGTAAATGTCGAAGACTTTTTTTCTTTTTGATTTATTCCTCTTAAACCATACAACCACTTAGAACTAAAATTATATTATCTTATGGACTTTATAAATGTATTTAGATGAAATTAATATTATGATATGCATTAATTTTCTTTTGCTGCCATAATAAATCACCAAAACTTAATGGATTAAATGCACAAATTTATTATATTACAGTTCTCTAGGTCAGAATATCTGATTTGAATCTCACCAGGCTAAAATCAAGGAGGCAGATGTGTTTTTCACTTAAAGCTCTAGGGAAGATTTTGCTTCTTTGCTCATTGGGTTATTGGCAGAAGTCCCTTGTATGTGTAGGACTAATATCTCTATTTCCTTCTGGCTGTCAACTAAAGGAATTCCTAATTTCTATGGGACACTCTTATTCCTTGTCTCATGAACCTCTTTCTTTATCTTCAAACAAATAGCAGGTCAAATCCCTTTTTCAATCCTTTTTCTTTCTTCCATTTCTTCTCTGTGACCTAGCTAACAAAAACTCTCCTTCTTTAAAGACATTATGATTAGATTTGGTCCACCCATATAATCAAGGATAATCTCCCCATCTCAAATATATCTGCAAAATATGTTTTGCCATAGAAGGTAACACATTTACAAGCTCTGGAAATTAGGGCATGTGGATCTTTGGGGGCATATAGTTCCGCTTATCACATAAAAGTACACTAAAATTTGGGGAAAGAGAATATACAACTATAGCATTGAAATTTTAAAATATTTTACAGAAAGTAATACAATATTAATTGTAAGTAAAATATAAAAGGTTAAAAAATGCAACCCCAAACACAAGCATTTTTTAATATTGCAGAAAAATATAGCCAAAATTTTATAGACAATTTTTAAGAATTGTAAAACAAAATCAAATTTTTAAAAATCTGTCAGGAAAGGAGGAAGTGAGGACCAGAAACAGAGACAAAAAGAAATAGTAACAAACGGTGGAAATAAAATTCAAACATACTGATACTTACATTAAAGTATAATGACCTAAACACACACTAATTCAAAGGCAAAAATTGTCATAATAAAATTTAAAAGATAAAAACAATTATATGATATCTGTAAGAAATGCATTTTTAACATAATGAACAGACCGAAAGTAAATAAAGAGAAAAAGACATACAAACAGTAAACATAGAAAGAGTGGAGTGACTGTTTTTACCAGATAAAATATATTCAAAGACAAAAATTATTCTCAGAGGAAAAAAAAAACCTGACACAGAAGGCCATATAATATATGATTACATTTATATGAAGTGTCCACAAAAGGCAAATCTAAAGAGACAGAGAGTAAATGAGTGGTTTCCAAGTGCTTGACAAAGGGAACAATGGAGAATCACTGCTAATAGGTACAGAATTTATTTTGAGAGTGACAAAGTGTTTTGAAATTAGATACTATTGATGGATGTAAAACTCTGTGAATATACCAAAACTCTCTGAGCTCTGCACTTCAAAAGAGAAAAATTTATGATATGTGAATTATATATCAATACATCTATTATTTTAAAAGTATTCTGAGTAAACATATAACTCATAATAATAAAAGGGTCAATTTATCATAAAAGACAGGATAATCATAAATATGTAAGTACTAATTAAAAGAGCTTTCAAATACATAAAACAAAAATATTACAGTATTTAAGGGAGAAATAGACAACCTCACAATCATCGTTAGCTATTTAAAGACCCTCCTCTCACTTGATAAAACTAGACAAAAATATAGCAATAATATAAATGATCTGAACATTATCTACCACATTAACTTAATAGACAACTGATGATAGATGATAGATTAGAGATAGATAGATGATAGATAGATAGATAGATAGATAGATAGATAGATAGATATAAAAGAAGGGAGGGGCCGGGCACAGTGGCTCATGCCTGTAATCCCAGCACTTTGGGAGGCCCAGGTGGGTGGATCACAAGGTCAGGAGATTGAGACCATCCTGGCTAACACGGTGAAACCCCATCTCTACTAAAAATACGAAAAATTAGCCAAGCGCGGCGGCGGTCACCTGTAGTCCCAGCTACTTGGGAGGCTGAGGCAGGAGAATGGCATGAACCTGGGAGGCAGAGCTTGCAGTGAGCCAAGATCATGCCACTGCACTCTAGCCTCGGCGACAGAACCGGACTCCATTTCAAAAAAAAAAAAAAAAAAAAAAGAAGGGAGGGAGGAAAGGAGGAAGGAAGGATGGAAAAAAGGAACTATACCCAACAGCAAAATACTCATTTTTTCAGGCACCTAAGGTGCTTTTCCCAGGATATATCATATGATGTGCCATAAAAAAAGTCTCAATACATTTAACAATATTGAAATCACACAAAATTTGTTTCTGAACCTCAATGAGACTAAATTGGAAATCAATAGCAATAATATAACTAGGAGAAATACAAATATTTGGTAATTCGTGAACATACTTTCAAATGATATGTGGGTTAAAGAAGACACCCAAGAGAAATTATAACATCATTTAAACTAAACAACAATAAAAATGTAACATATCAAAATTTACAAAATATAGGTAAAGCAGTATTTAGAGAGATATTTATACATGTAAATGTCTATGCTAGAAATAAATATTAAAAGATAATTATTTGAATTCCCATCTTAAAAACTAGACAAAGAGAAAAATGAACCTAAATGAAATGGGAAGAAGAAAATAATAAAGGAAGAAATCAATGAAATGGAAAAGAAGAAAAACAAGACTATTATCATTAAAACCAAAGCTAGTTATCTCAAATACAAGTAAAATTAAAAATCACTTGTCTATGCTAATAAAGAAAAGAGGGTCCAGGCACAGTAGCTCACGCCTGTAATCCCAGCACTTTGGGAGGCTGAGGTGGGCAGATCACTTGAGGTCAGGAGTTTGAGACCAGCCCAGCTAACATGATAAAACCCAGTCTCTACTAAAAATACAAAAATCACCTGGGTGTGGTGGCACACACATGTAATCTCAGCTACTTGGGAGGCTGAGGCAGGAGAATTGCTTAAACCTGGGAGATTGAGGTTGCAGTGAGCCGAGATTGCTCCACTGCACTCCAGCCTGGGTGACAGAGCAAGACTCTGTCTCAAAACAATAAAAAAGAAAGAAAGAAAAAAGAAAATAGAAACACATGTCAAAATATCAACATAGAAAGAGGGTACATCAGTACAGATCCTACATACAATGAAAGCACAATAACGGAATACTATAAACAACTTTATGCAATACATTAACATCCTAGATGAAATAAATTCCTTAAGGTCATAAAGTACCTAATTCAACCAAAGGAAACACAAAATCCTTGAATATCTTATATCAATTAAAGAATGAATTTATAATTTTAAAGCCTTCCCACAAAGAAAACTCCAGGATCAAGTAGCTCTGCTGTTGAATTCTATCACATATTTTTAAACCAATTCTATGCAAACTCTGTCAGAAAATAGTAAAGAACACTTCCAAAATTCCTTTATCTGGACGGTATTACCCAGATCCCTAAATCAGAAAATATTATAAGAATTATAAAACTATAAACCAACATCCATTATGAACATGACTGCAAAAATTTTGAACAAAAGTTTACAAATCAAATCCAACAGTATAAAAATAGATAAAATGCATCATGACCAAGTGAGACTTATTACAGGAATGGCTAAGTTGGTGTAACATCTGAAAATCAATGTAATTCACCATATAAAAACATAAAGGAGAAAAATTATATAATCCTTTCTCTTTTTTTAGTGGCTTAAATCAACACACATTTATTATTTTATGGTTCTGGAGGTCAGAGTCTCACTAGGCTCAAATGAAGATGTCACCAGGTCTAATTGCTTCTGGAGACTCCAGGGGCAAAATCATTTCCTTGCCTTTTCCAGCTCCTAGAGGCCACTTGCACTCCTTGGCTCCTGCCCCCTTCCCCCCATCTTCAAAGCTGGCAGCACAGCACCTCCAAGTGTCTCTTTCTGACTCTGAACCCTGCCTCCTTCTTACAAGGACCTTTGCAATTAAATGCTTGTCTCTGCATCTCGGGATCCTTAATCATTCATATTGCACATTCCTGTTGCTGTGGGAGGTGCCTATCACAGGATCTAGGGATCAGGCATGGGCATTTTAGGAGGTCATTATTATGTTTACCACCATACTTCTCTCAAAGGGCTCCAAAGAAGAAAAGGCTTGGGAATGGGGCTGGGGTGACAGGCTATGAAGAAGATGCTGCTGAGCAATTAACTCAAGCTCCATCTTAGAATATCTGGGTTTGGTGAGGTTTGACGGGCCCAGGAGGTACAACCTGATGCTTAGTGTGATCAGTGGTGAATTCCTCATCAGTGGACGTATTCAACTAGAGGTTATGAGATGTTTGACCCTGGTCATCTTTTTCTTCATTGTAATTTATTTTGAAATAATTTTAACTGCAAAACTAGTACAGAGAGTTCTGATACGACGTCACCCAGTTTCTCCTAGTGTTAACATTGCACATAATCACAGTACACTGACACTGACACACTTTAACTCACTACTCTGCAAACCCCAGTGGAGTTCCACCCATTTACCCCCTTAATGTCCCTTCTCTGGTTGGAGACCCCACCCAGGGTCCCACACGCATTTGGTTGCCATGCCTTCTTAGTTCCTTCCAGTCCAGTACAGTTCCTGGTCTTTCATCACCATGACACTTTTGAGAAGGGAGCATTGACCTGTTATTTTGAGAATGCCCATGAATTTGTGATTGAAATTTTTCATGATCGTTTCTATAGATGCAGAAATAGTATTTCACGAGTTGTAATAAGTGTCTGAAAACGAAGAATAGGAGGCATAGTTTAAAGACAGCTATGAAAATCTGCAGCTAATATCATACACAGCTGTGGCATGTTCAAAAACTTTTAGCCAAGATCAGGAAAAAAGCATGGATGTCTGTTCTTCCCCACTTCACTTTAATATTGTACTGGAAGTACTAGCCAACTCAGTAAGGCCAGAAAAAGTAATAAAAAGAATAAAGATTGGAAAAATGGAATCATACTGTTTACAGAGGACATAATTGTGTTTATAGAAAACCCTTTAAAAATCTACAGAAATATCTACTAGAACAAATAAGTGATTTAAGTAATATATCAGCATACAAGATCAAACAGAACAATCAACTTAAGTTTTACATATTAGAAATAAGAAATTTAAAAATAATCTTTAAAAATGTAACTATTAGGCTGGGCGCAGTAGCTCATGCCTGTAATCCCAGCACTTTGGGAGGCCAAGGTGAGTGGATCACTTGAGGTCAGGGGTTCGAGACCAGCCTGGCCAACATGATGAAACCCCCATTTCGACTAAAAATACAAAAATTAGCAGGGTGTGGTTGCTAATGCCTGTAGTCCCAGCTACTTGGGAGGCTGAGATGGTAGAATCGCTTGAACCCAGGAGGCAGAGGTTGCAGTGAGCCGAGATTGCACCACTGTACTCCAACCTGGGCAACAGAGCGAGACTCCATCTAAAAAAAAAAAAGAAGTAACTATTGCAATAGCAGAAAAAAAAAGTAAATTTAACAAAAGATTTCTAAGAACTGAGCAATGAAAACTACAAAACATTGCAAATACAAATTAACGACCTAAAAAAAATGGAGAGCCATGCTATGCTCATGGTTCAGAAGACTAATATTAGTAAGATGGCAACTCTCCACAAATTGGATATATAGGTTCAATGTAATTCTAATAAGATACTAGGAGGCTTTGTTGAATAAATTGACAAGTTATTTTATACTTTACATGAAAAGAGAAACTAACCTAGGATAGCCAAAAACAATCATGAACTCAAGAGTAAACTTGAAGTATTAGCTTGATTTGCCTTCATTACTTAAAACAAAGCTATAGTACTTATGGCAGTGTGGCATTGGTATAAGTTGAGAATCCACAAATAAACTCACACATTTATGGCCAATTTATTTTCAACAAAGGCACTGAGGTAATTCAATGAAGAAAAAGTCTATTCAATAAATTGCACTGGAACAATTGGATATCTGTAAGAACAAAAAAGAAATAATAAACCTCAACCTGGGTTACGCAAAGAAATCTTAGACAAGACACAAAAGACTACTAAAATAGTGATAAGTTAAACTTCATAAAAATTAAAACCTTTTTCTCTTTGAAAGACAGGTACAGATCATATAACTGGCAGATGGGAAACTGGAATTCCATTTTAGGTATCCTAGGCCCTAAAACCCTAGCCTTTTTCACCACTCCATGTGGTCTCTGACACTCACTCTGGGGTAAGGTAGTCTGGTCAGAAATAAACAGCATATATCAGCATATATATCTAAAGAAGCCTAGGAAATATTTGATACAATGAGTCAAAGGTCAATGATAGTAGCTAACATATGTATTACATAAAACTAAACTTTCTTACACTACACAGAACGTTTCCAGAAAGTAGATACCTTTTGCCTCCTCATATTACATAGATAACCAATAAAACAGATGACATAAAAAAGTAAGAAATGCACCCAGAATGGAAATAGCACTGACTGACCAGGGATCTGGACCATTAGTCTTAACTCCTTACTGACAAGGAGTATGACCTTAAATTTCTGCACATTAGATTACCTCTACCTAAAATACAAAGGTTAACTTAGAAGGACAAACCCTCATGCTCCTTTCAGATTCATAATATTAGAAAAGATTCTCCAGTCCTTTAGTCAACAACTTTTATTGCCAAGTTCTAACTGTGCGTAGTTCCTCAAGTTGAGCGAGGAGCGTTAGAACAAACAGAGTCCGAACCCCAGATCTGAAGTCAGGACCATCACGATGGCTAACGCTCCCCTTTGGCAGTTGAGCTGCATAGTCCCTGCTGGGGCACCATCTGTCACAGCCCTATGAAGCCAGAGGATAAAAGGTGGGAAATGTTCACTAGCTGTGGTGTTTTATGTGGTGGGTTATTTTTCACCAGCTGCAGATGGCTCTGCAAGAAAAAAAAAAAAAGAGGACACCTCAGTGACTGGCAAATCACACCCAACAGTGTCACCAGAGATGAATGAGCTCTCTGTCTAACTGGGAGCTAGGCCTGGAGGTTCACTTTGGGGAGAGTCCAGCCTCCTCTGTGTTTTCTGACAATCTCCATCCAAACTCCCCACAGGCCTGTGGTGTCTAGTACTGCACAATCTCACAGCCCCCATGTACTCAATTCACAATGATTAATGATGCGATGCAGTGCCTCAGACTCATCCACCCATTCTAGAAGTCCCTATAAAATGGCAGTTTGTACCTGGCCCACAGTAGGTACTTGACAGGATATTTATCCAACTATATTGCATTGAAAAGTCCTTCACGTCTATCATAGAAAACTACAGATGGAGCTTGTTCTTTCACCTCTATCAAATATCTTCTGAAAATAAAGCTATTTAAGCATAAGAGGCCAAGCCTGATTCAATCTGATTGTCGCTGTTGTTCCAAGCCTTCTTCCATTGTCCCAAATTCCTGCTTTAATTTTGAGCTAACTGAAATTAACCTCTTGTACATCTAACACAGCTGGGGTAATGAGAAGTTCTAAAATTAACAATAATAGAGTTAGGGCTTGGCCCAGTCATTAAATGGTGAAATTTGTTTGGGGCATCCAAAATATTTCCTTTTTGCATCAGCCAAAATACCACTGGCTGCTCTTTTTTACTTCTCTGCAAAAACTTGCTTTCAGAAATGGCTCTGACATCTGTCATCTATACCATAGCATAAGTGTGTCAATGTGATGGATTCTGAGGAAATTTACATCCTAAGGCATAATTCTAATTGTTTCATGAAAACTTTAGCCAACCAAATAAGCAATTTAGTTGGGAGATTTCAGGGAGAGGTTCTGTTTTTTGTTTGTTTTTGTTTTGTTTTGTTTTGTTTTTTGAGACAGAGTCCCACTCTGTCGCCCAGGCTGAAGTGCACTGGCACAATCTTGGCTCACTGCAAACTCCGCCTCCCAGGTTCAAGTTATTCCCCAGCCTCAGCCTTCCGAGTAGCTGGGATTACAGGCATGTGCCACCACACCCTGCTAATTTTTGTATTTTTAGTAGAGACAGTGTTTCACCATGTTGGCCAGGATGATCTCGATCTCCTGACCTCGTGATCCCCCACCTCGGCCTCCCAAAGTGCTGGGATTACAGGCGTGAGCCCCATGGCTGGTCCTGTTTGTTATATCATAGAGACTATGTTACCTAAAAGTAAAATAGGCCTTAACTTTTTTTGTGTACTCTCTTCCACTATTTCTTTTGACCTTTAGCTAGCCATACACCTGATTCACTGTGTTAATGCTTTTGATGCTAAAAGGCGAAATGGATGGCTAATGACTTTAAAAAGCTACTACCAAGGAGTGACTAACAGTCTGGAAAGACACAAGCAGACAGCATCATGAAATACACCTGTGCATTCAAAGAGTTAATGTATTTTTGAAGGTTTCCTCCTCCTTAGAAAGATATTCCTCACTTTGAAGTAGAAAAAATCTAGGTGTACCTGAAGAGGAATGCTAAAAGAAGAGAGGCTGCTTTTAGGACATATTGAACTCCAAACTTTAAATGATTTAAATGCAATCCCCATGTGCAGCTGCTAAACTAAAGCACCTCACCCCAGGGAAGAGATGAGAAATTTTGAGGGCAATTGAACACTGAGAATTCTCACCGTGGCTTAGCAAAAAGTGACTTAGCACATGTGTTTCAGTAATTATGAAGCGTCGGAGTGCTCACTGGCTCTGAAACACAGTCACCAGTATGACAACTCGGGTGCTGGTGTAAGAGGCAATCGGATGAGGCAGGAATGAACACCTTTTGCCTTTGCAGTCTGCTCATGCTCTGGGCAACTTTTCTTCTGGGAATGGATGTCTGGGTTGTGCACTCACACCAAGATTATTCATTACTATTTAAGGTTAGCTGTGCAGAGTGAATCAGGGGAAGAAGAAAGGTGGAATGCTTATTAGGTAACCACCATGTATTCAGCGCCTACTAGGAACCTGGAATTTTACATATACTCCTTAAAAACAAAAAGAAAAAAAATTATTGTGAAATCTCACATACGTTACAGAAAGATATAGAAACAGCAAGCTCCTCTGTCACTCTGCACAAATCATCAAATAGAGTGTTGCTAGGCGCTCAGAGGGCCTCTGCAGATTCATGCTTTAGAACCACCTACCCCTCCCATAAAGGTTAGCCTCATTTATGTCAATCTCTTTGCCATATATATTCCTTGTAAACATGCATTTATAAAGGCTTGGTTTAGTTGTGTTTGTTTCTGAATTATATATAAATAGAATTATGCAGCATGAACTCCTTTGTACCTGGCTTCTTTCATTCAGAACAAAGTTATGTTTATGATGTTCATGTTTTTGTTTATAAATGCAATTTGTTCATTTCATTGCTGTCATATTATATTACATGACTATATCACAATTTGTTTATTCAACTGTTGATGGGCTTTGGGATAGAACTACTATAAATAATCTGCTATGAACATTCTTATACCTGTCTTTTGAGGCAGATGGGCATGCATTGTTAGATACATACCTAGTGGTAGAATTGAGGGTCATGATAGACTAAGGGCCTATACAGTCAAGTTAGTGCAGACAGGTAAGTCCATTATGTAATTCACACCTATAGACATTTATGGAAACTTACACAAGTACTTTGAAATCAGGAATCATCCAATCAATAATTATCTTGAATCTAATGCAATGTTCTATAGTAGACCTGCAAGTGGGAAACTCACAAATGGTGACTAAATCAGAACCAATAAAAAGTCATTCATTCATTTATTTGACTTTTTTCATTGAATACTAGCTATGTACTACATACTGTGCTAGGAGCCTGCATTGTTCTCTGTAGAGTAGAACTTTCTAATAGAAAATAAGAATCACAGAATTGCAGTAGTGTATAACTGAAAAGAGATAATATAGTTGAGGCCATTTATTAAATAATGAAATTCAGAGCCACAGAGAAGTAAAGGAATTTACTCAATGTCTATAGAGAGCTATAGGATGCAGGTCTCTTGGTTCTCAGATCTAGAGAAATCTTTTCTGAGAAGGAAGAGTGGGGTCAAGGAAAGGAAAGTTGTGTGCTCATATTAATTAAATTCACTGCTCCTGAGATTCTATTTTCCCTTTCTTCTCCCTTTTAAAGGCTAAAATAAGAAGTATACAACTGACCAAGGTGCAAAGTTTGTTTCTTCTCTCAGTCTCCAAAGACTTTGCCTCTGACGTGGTCTACATCTTCCTTCCCCAGGTACTTATTCTAGCAACCCTGAGGTGCTTAAGAAACTCAATCCAACTATTCTATAACATCGATTGATTTTGTTAATACTCTAAAAAGCCTTGCCTTCTCAGCCTCACCCACCATGTTGCCACAGCAGCTGTGGCATGAAAGAACGACAGCTACGAGAGAGTAATGCACCTTTCCCAGATCAGGTACAATATTTCTGGCAAATGAGATTTACATGGTCACTTTAGCCTCATTAAACCTAGTTCAATTTGTATCTTTCCATACATTTCTCAAAAAGTTTTGAACAGTCACAATTCAGTGATCATAGAAGCTTCATTTTGACCTACTTTTCTTTAAGAAAAAAATAGGACAATGCTATTTTCTTCCAAGACATCATTAGTACTCTTGGGTTTCTTCTCACTAAAATTTGGAGAGTTCAATATTCTGTTCAATGGTAGAAAGAGCATGGGAATTTGGGGACAGAATACATGATTTATATCCAGGCTTCCAGACAAACCATCTCCTCTGTCCCAAGGTTGTTTATTATGTATAATCCATTTGAAAAATTGTTTAATAGTTAAGTGCTTAAAAATGTTACCCCTTTCTGTTTTTTCTTTTTCTTTCTTTATTTTGGCTTAAATTGAGTTCTGAAAAAAGTGCCAATTTAACTCCTCAGAATAAAAAGACTGCAAGGTCTTGTCAGGCTCTGTATGATTCTGCAGAAACAGTGTTGTGTCTAGTTCCAATGGCAGCTACAGTCCCCAGCCTGAATGCACCAATGTATGAAAAGGACCATAACTATCTCCGGGAAGACCAAACTAAATTCAGCTTCTCTTGATGGCAAATCTCCACTTTGACAATCTGCTTCTTAAAACAACTATGTCTTTTCCCTGTTTATTTTTCTTCTACCTCCCCAGCATTTCTGTTTTAAATCTGGGGAGTCTCAAAAAAGATATGAGGAAGTTCTTTTTAATTCCTCTGTCAGAGTGTGATGACCCACTACATAGAGTCTCATAAGCTGTACCCCATAGAGCAGGCAATCAAAGATTTTAAAATGACATGTTTAGATGAGCATTTTTAGCTCTGGGCTAAAAATCAATACTGGAAAGTGCTGGAACATGGCTCATCTTGCTGTGAAAACACTCAATCAGGGCTCAACCTACAGCAGAGTTAAATTAGTAGAATGCTTATCTTTCAAAGTGTTCAATTGGGAGTACTCAAATTTTGATGCATTTTAGTTGGGTACTGATTAGCAACTAGCTGACTGCTAAATGGACGTCACCTTTCCTTTCGACAATTCACTGAAAATTTGTCCCTCAACGTTATTTGAACACAGAGGAAATGGGTTGAGAGGGCTAGAGTTAAAGATGGGATTTCATTTGGTGTATTTATGTGAGAACTTTTAGTGTGCTGCTGATATTTAAGGACTTCTGTAAATGCAAAAGAGGGGAAAAGGTTGGGAATGACAGACAGTGAGTTCGTTGACTCTATAGTCAAAGTATGAATGGATCTAGTTCTTTTTAAATGTTAATAAGCTTTTACACTGGAAAGGATTTCATATGTAGTTGCTATAATATCAGGCACTGGCCTATTCTGTGGTGGCTGCAGTAGCTTGGGTGTTTGAATTATTGCCAATATTAGGTGAGAAGGAATTCAAAAGAGATGTTTAAATGTTAATACAAAAAAAATCTTACATTTGAAAAGTAAATATAAACTATACGTATTTTCTTCCTTCACATCCGTTTCTTAATTGTATTATTTTGATATAGAATTAATTTCAGTCCATCATGACATTATCTTAGTAATAGAAAATGCATGAAAGGCAAGCATAAGCATGGGCTGAGGTGAGTAGGATCTCTACTTTCCAGTGCTTAGAGAAAAGTGTTTTCCTGAGTATGTAGTCATTATATTGCAGGGTTTGGATCTCAAATCTTCACATTCTTCCCTGACTTCTTAGGCAGCAAATGTCAAAGAAACGAAGTGATGTGAGAGGAGGTGGAATGATAATAATTTGGATCTAATAAAAATTAAATATAATTGTCTTGGCTTCCAAAAAAAAAAAGTCAAACCTATCTTAAGCAGAGTTTAATACTGGAATTATAACAACAAAAAAATGACTCAATATGCTCTTACCAGATGTATGCAAGTATCTAGATGCCAAAGTCACCCAGGCCAGAAATGGTCCCTACCCAGTCATCTAGAAAAAAAAAATAGCCATTGGATAGAAACTGATTGCATTAATCCAAACCCTGAGTCCAGTAAAACAGAGGAATCAGAGTTTATTGATGTTGAACAACAGCATTGATCATTTCCCATAAGACCTTCTGAACAGAGTGATCTTAACTCTCAGGCTAAGAGACCTGTAATTTTAGGTATATGAAACAACTCCTGATACAGAAACTTAATTGTCAAGAGAGAGAAGGCAGATCCGTCATGTGGGAAAAAGGAGGAGAGAAAGTATAAATTACAGGATTATAATAAATGTATAGATTCCATGAAATACAAATGATGACGGGTTTTGGAAATAAAATAGCAGATAAAAGTTTATCTTAAAAACATGTATGATACCAAGCTTAAAATAAACCTTGAAAAAGAAGGGTAATGAGAAGGCATATGTCCTGCCTAATAATAAAACAAATATAGCTGTGACAGTAGAATGCTTATGTTTGGCACGTGAGCTAAGAATGTTTTTTGTTGTTTTGTTCGTTTGTCTGTTTGTTTTACATTTTTAAAGCTTTGTTAAGAGGTGAGGGAGGGAATGGAGGAAGAATCTATGCAACAGAGGTGTATATGGCCTCCAAAGTCTGAAATATTCATTGTCTGGACCTTTTCTGAAAAACATTTGATAACCTTCAATTTATAATGTACATATACATTATTTTACATTTTTAAAATATGTTTCATAATACTTTTTAAAAATGACTGCCTAGTCTCTACTCTGCTGGAGGAAATGAAAGGAAAAGTCAGTTACCCATGTAACAGTGATCTGAGAATCTTTACTTGGGGCAAACACTGAAATAACAGGGTACCTTTTTCTTCTTTACCAGCTCCACATAGTGACTGCTAAGAAAGATGATCTACATTCCAAAGGACTGGATACCAGGTAAGAGACAATAATCATCAGAAATAAAAGCTGGCCCCAAGACAGCTGATTTCTCTCCTCTCTCCTGAAGAGGAAGTTGAAGTGAACTAAAAAGGAAAGGGAGAGGGTCAGGATTTGTAGAGAAAAAAACAAAATATTTGCTTCTCTTGATGATTCCAGCTCTCCTAGGATGTGTCTTTCAGGTCCTTCTCAAAGTTTGGTGGTTCCCTCGGGCAAAAAAGACCACCATTTTGTTTCTCATTTACTCCTCCATAGACGAGAAAGGCACTGGATGGGGTGTAGTGGGAGGAAAAAGAGCAGTAGGAAGAGGAGACTGCAGACAGTGCCAAAGGAAGACGCAGGACTCAGGAATATATTCCTCCCTGCCCTTACTCCCAGTTCAAGGCACAGATCCATGCATTTCTGTACCTATGGTGTGGGCCCAGAGCGAGCCAGCAGAGTTCAATGAGATCATGAGGAATAAGTTAGCCTCCATTGCTATCCCTATCCAAAGGTTGTCTGGCATATCAGGAAGTCTCCTACAGCAAAAACAAGAGGAGGTATGCTTGTGGGCCAAAGGACTGAGTGAAGAGAAACTGAGCCTTTTTAAAATTACCAGTATGTGCAAGAGGGTGTCCAGGCAGCCAGGACACTTAATGGGCCACCCCTTAGAGTTAACAGTGAAAAGTGATTGGGGGCAGCCAGAGGGTAGCATGAAAGCTGCGTCCTCTTGAAAACTGGACACTAGTAAGTGGAAAATGACCAGAAAAAGGGAACAAACCACTTCATCAAAACCTCTGCCCATGTATTTTCTGTGTATTTAGATGTTTCTGAATTGCCAAAGCTTATCCGCTTAACAATAATAAGCAAAAACTTAATAATAGCTAACTAGTAAGAACTAAACTACGCTGTTGGAAGAACTAGATAAACATTACTTCTGGGAAAGGAATCGTTATTATGGTCTCTCTGTCTCCTTCTCAACAGGTCAGCCTCCTCCCTACATATTAGTTATATTTAGAGTGACCACAGAATTTATTTGGAATCTTTTGAGAGTAAAGAGTATATTACTAATGATTTTGCCAGAATCAGGAATAAACAGATTCTGCCCAGAGCAACCAAGAATGCATGGTTACCCTAGCAATACCTGTGCCCTTTCACTTTCACAACCACAGGCTTTGTAACAATAAAAGCTGTCACAAGGAAGTGCCTACAATGTCAGGTGCTTTACCTATGTTGTGCCATTTAATCCTCAAAGCTACCCTATCAAGTAGGTGTTATTTTCACAATTTTATAGAAGAGGAATCTGAAACTCAGAAAGGTTAAGTAACTTGCCTAAGGTCACACAGCTTTCATCCAACAAGAGAAGGTTTTATCAAGCCTGTAATATATGTTAAGTCTTTTGCTAGCTGTTTCCACATTTGGTATGCCATGTTAATACTTAACCTTTGAGAAGGGGGTAAGGATATCTCTTTACAGATGAGGAAATAACATTTCAGAGGAGTTATTATGTTATTCAAATTCAACCAATCCAGGAAGTTCAGAAGTCCAAGTTGAACCCAGGGCTCTCTGAACCTGATGTATAGGGTTCTCAGCTTCCCATGCTACCCTTCAAGGGGCTGAAAGGGGATGTTCTTAGTCTTTAAATGCTGAAGCCCAGCTTGGTAAAAACAGAGTGAAGGGACAGCTGATGATGAAGTTCAGGTTTTCCATTACTTTTATCATTGGAGCTTTGTACCTGTCATAGATACATTTGTTTAAGATGCCTAGGGGGAAAAAAGCCATGCTAAATTAGCAGCACAACAAATGAGGCATAAACCTGTAGCTCTCCATACCAGAACAAATCTCACTAAGATGCTACCAAAATTAGAGAGAATTGTGTTTATGTGCAATGTTCCCAGATAGCCTTCTGCAAGGCACACAGCTAACAGAATGCACTCATCCTTACTGAATCATATCCAGGCCTTTCAAATGACTTACACGGAACCAGGGTAACTACACACTCCATCTCTTCAGCTTTGGGTCATGTAGCTGCAAATCCTTTTCGACCCTCGAGTAGATGAACGGTGTGCATATAAGCTATCTAAATTTGTGAGTAGCCAGAAAGAATTGAAGGTGGTCAGGGAGTGTGCAAAAATTAGCAAAACAGTGCCTCAGCCTGCCTTCCCTGGTGACCTGAAGGGAAATTTAACAGAGTTGGTTTTTGTAACATGCCTTATTACTGTATTTGGGTCATGTTAAGCATACTATCAAAGCCTGATACAAGTGAGGCAGTCCTAAAGAAAAGACTAGAAAAAGTCTAACAGTGAGTTATTTTCTAAGGGAAAACAGATATTCCCAGGACACCCTCGAAGGCAGAGGTCTCTCTCTGAAAATCAGTTCATCCTTCAGCTTATGAAGTCACCTTCCTGAACATGAGATGAGATTAGGACCATGGGCTTTGCTTTCAGGCAGAGTTGGATTAAAAAGTTAATTCTCGCACTGACTGGCTTCTTTCAGCTTGGGTTAGTTTATCATCTGTGAGACTCAGTTGCTTCCTCTATAAAACATGATCCTAATACCAACTTCCAAGGGTTGTAGTAAAAACTAACCCGAGAAATCATGTATGTGTACACCAGGCACAGAAGACAACATGGAGTCACGTAGTAGAGGCTTAGTGAAGGTTAATTTTCCTTACATTGCTCTAAATGTTTGATCTTCTGTGAGACACTCAGTTCCTCAAAGTTTGTTTCTTCATTTGCAAAATGTGAATAATAAAATTTGTGAGCATTAAATAAGAAAATGCATGTAAAGTATGAATCACAGTTCAAGGCACAAGTCTAGCCACTCAGTAAATATTACTTCATATCCCTCCAGTGCTGTTTCTCCAGGCAGACTTTCTCTTTAGCTGCACTAGTAGATACTGCATTATATTTGCCCAAAGTTTGCACAGAATCATAGGAGTTAAAATAGTGCTGCTATTCCTGAGCAATGAAAGAAGTGAATGGTGTCTGCCTGGTTTTGGCCATCACACCAGTTGAACCAATCTAGAATATGTGGCCTTTGCATTAACCCAGAGCCATCCAGCCTACTTCTACCACTCAACTGCAGCACAGTGACCCACCTCCTGCAGAGGCTCATTATCATAGAGACACTGATTTGTCATGCTGGGCCTTGCTAGCAGCTTTCTAGTCACTCACTTCATGCTTCTTGTGGCAAATTATATTTGACTTTCAATTTAAAATCCAGGATACTCTAAAATAAAACCTCAGTGTAATCCTGGTGATAAAGCAGAGGCACATGCACTTTTGACAGGATGAGTTTTTTTGTTGTTGTTTGTCACGAAGAATCTCCTTCTGCATATACCCATGCCCAAACCCCACCTCCAAAACCCCCACACATGTATCAGGGAATGATAGAAGGTTCACTCATCCACACTACCTTGAACTTATAGGGAGCTCACAGCGCTAGAAGTTTCTTTTAGAAGCAGAGGATTACTGTCCTATTGAAAGTCATGGAGTCTTAGTTAGGCTTGGTTCAGTGAGCATGAAATGAATGAAGTTAGAAATGGAAAGAAAAGCCATATCTCAGCAATAAAGTTTTCATCTTATTTAATCAAACACATATTTGCATATTTATTTGGCAAAGACATCAGGTTCTCCAGTTGACAAGCTAAAGCAAAATCTGCCAGAGGAAATTGTTTTGGTTCTCTCTCTTGAATGAGAATATTAACTCCAATTTTCCAGTATTAAACTTTGGTGTCTATTATTGCTATTTTCAAATCCATTTGGCTGTCATTATCTTTAATGAATTTCAAAAACACAATCTCAGATTCCGAGTATTTAGAGGAGGGTTACTTAATTTCAATAGATTATCAACTGCATGAAAGTTTGCAAAAGTTGGTCAATTCTGTTTGAGTGATCAATCCAAAAGTATTTACATTTGGTCCTAAGCTACAAGCGTACTCACATTTAAATATGGATGTTGGACTTGTATCATATAAAGTACTTGATATTTTTAGCACCTTGGTCTTGGAAACCTTAAAATTAGCTACAAATTAGGGAATTATTTAAACCTAACTTTTGCAAGCATTCTTCATGATACTTCTTCACATATAATGTTGTCATACTGATTTATACATAATCTCCTCCCTTAATGCCTTCCAACTGGAAAGCAAACTGTTGAACAAGCCAAATTAAATTCTGATATTGAAAACTTTATAAGTGCCAAAAATATAAAACCCAAAGATAATTCAACTTGCCATTGGAGATATGTAAATTATATATTAAAATTTACAGCCTATCAGATATTTTCTATAAAAGCATTTCAGCTGCATAGAAAATTGGTATTTATAAATATTTGAAAAATAACCCTATGCCATAAATTTAAAGAATAGGCAAAACGCTGTTTGCCCCCAATGACATTGTAACCAAGGGAAAAGCTGTGTGACTCAGCCTCCAAAGAGCTGTGCTAGGACTCCCCTGGATGTATCTTCTTCAGTCTCCCCATTTGCCACTGATTTCAATGGTTCCTCTTTTTCTCACACCATCTGGTATAATCTGGCCACGATTATTTTTATGACTTAAGAAGAAGAAACACTGCCTCAACACACAAGAGGTTTCCAACTTTAGTCTTTGAGAGCCAATGCCAGGAAAAGAAAGTGGGGATGAAGACAAAAATTCCAGAGACTGACCAGATGTGAGCAGCACCTGTTAATGTTCCCCCTAACTTCTCTGTGACTGGGATAGATCTGTATCATAAACTATCATCAGAAAGCAGTACTGTGCTCAGCCAGCTTCTCATCTTATGCACTCATTCTAAGACTTCACAGTCTTATTCACAATAAATTAATATGACAGGTTATCTTTCTTGTCAATGAAATCATTATCCTTGGAATTCCTCTTCCAATCATATATTTTTCTCAAGGCCCTTCTTTGGTCCAAGATCCATGTTAATATAATAGTCAATATCTATTGAGCATTTACCTTATATTGGCCAATTTACCAAATTCTTTATATGTTTTAACATAAAATAATGATATTATTACCATTTCCATTTTAATCATGAGGAAATGAAGGCATAGAAAGGTGGAAGCGTTTAATGTGAACTCCAGAAGACTGAGTCCCATGAAGTTAGGCTTAGCGTCTTCTTACCCTTACTGTTCTCCAGAAACAGTACCTTGTTTCCTCAGCCTAGCATTATTAGTAAGGCCACATCTTTGACTCTTAATTTTTGAGCTTCTGATTCCTAATTGCCTTGATGAAAACTTATTTTGAGTTCTAATTATATAATAGACACTAAGTCATTACTTTAAGGTATATGAAGCCAACCAAAAACCCATCTCTAACTAACATCATTGGCTTCTTCCACCAACTGATCCATAGATCCTGACTTATGCTGGCTCAGAAGGTAAGGAAGTTTTGACTCAGTAGAATCAAGAATATTGTCCCATTCCTGGAGCCAGGGGTTCTCTTATGGAAGGGAAGGGAATAGTGTTCTGAGATGAGCCCTCTAAAAATACCTAATCTGCCTCACTGGGAAAGATTCACAAAGGTAAAAAGAGAGTATATTGTAATAGGAATTATAAAGGCACTGTGATGTGGCCTGAAAGTTAGAAAGACACCAGAAGTACAAAAAATTGTAACAATAACCACAGAACCTATTTGTGAAGCATCTGATATATGCCAGCAATATACCAGTGATTGTGACGATGATGATGATGATAACAATACAAAATGCTTATATAGTGATTCTTATGTGCAGGCATTGTTCTAAGTTCTTTATATATAGTAACAATCCTATGAGGTACATGTATATTCATGTATGAGGTATGAGGTATATTCACAATACCTCAGGTATGAGGTATATTCACAACAATCCTATGAGGTATATGTTATTAATACACTCTAGAGATACAAAAGGGACTCTTATGTTGAGTAATTTGCTGCATGTTGGCTCAAAGATGGGTTCCAGAATATCCTCTCATAATAAAGCCCCAATTTGCAACATAAGACATGGTTTGGTACTGAAAACCCACAGGACTTAAGTGACACTTCTCTGAACTTTCAGACAAAGATGGGTGGGAATGAGGAAATAAAGCAAATAACAGTAAAACCTCTACTCAGGAATAGCTACCACAGATATTTCAAAACACAGAAATAAACTAACTTTATAGAAAACAGCCAAATTACTCGTGAAATGAAAGACTATGTCTTGGGATGTAAAAATATTGGAAAATTTATAAATAATTTCTAAGTATATATTAATTTTATTATTTATGTATTTATTTATTGAGATAGGGTCTCACTCTGTCACCCAAGCTGGAGAGCAGAAGCTGGAGAGCTGGTGGCACAATTATAGTTCACTGCAGCCTGAAACTCCTGGGCTCAAGTGACCCTCCCACCTCAGCCTCCAAGATAGCAAGGATTACAGGTGCACACCACCACATCCAGCTAATTGTGTCTGTCTGTGTGTGTGTGTGTGTGTGTGTGTGTGTGTGTGTGTGTGTGTGCAGGTAGATGGGGCCTCATCATATTGCCCAGGTTGGCCTTGAATTCCTGCCCTCGAATGATCATCCCACCTTGGGGTCCCAAAGCATTGGTATTATAGGTAGGAGCCTCCATGCTCAGGCTTAAAATAGATATTTTATGAATCCGAAAGAGTTAATGACAAAAATACCATTCTTAAAAGAACAAGAGATTATGAAACAAAAGAGACAGATAAAATCTAATATTAATAAATATGAAAAAAGCAGTCAATTAGAAATTCAGAAAATAAAAAGGATAGCCACTGAAAAACTTTTGCAATAGATGATATGGAATAGTAACATTAATAGTATGGTATACGATTGCCATAATTGATTGAGAATCATTAAACTGAAAGATAGTCCTAATGAACTTACCCAAAATGCAGTACAAAATTATAATGAACACAAAAATATGAAATAAAAGCTGTTGTAGTATTAAAAAACTCCAACAAACTATAAATTCAAGAATAAGCAGAGCAATATTTGAAGAAATAATGACTACAACTTTTTAGGAAAATATTAAAAACAGGAATCCTCAGATATAAAAGACACAATGCAACCTTAGGTTAATTACAAAGTAAAAGTAAAAAACAAAAGCAAACGGTAAGGTATACATTTATTATTTGACTCAGCAGTCTTACTACTAGAAATTTATCCTAAGGATACACGTCAATAAACTAAAACAATATATGCACAAGTTTATTCTTGATGGAACTTTTATTATACCAAAATATTAGAATAAACTCAATGCCCATCCATAGAAAGCCAATTAAATAAACTTGATTTATCATAATAATGGAATATTATACAGCTGCTAAAACAGATTGAGAAAGATCACTATGAAATCATATACAATGATTTAGAGGATATGTCGTTACATGAAAAAAGCACAGAAGAATATAAAGAATATACAGTGTTTTCTGTTAGAAAGTCTGAAAATATGTATGCACATATGTTTATTTTTGCAAAAAGAAATACAAGACAGATTGAAACACAAACAAAAATAACAACAAAAAGGTCACCTAGAAGTGGTGAGTAGGAACAAGATGAAAGGGTTAGGGAAGGGAATAAGGCTTCTCAGAATATACAGTGAAACAAAATGAATGTAGAAAGAAAGCAATGTAGTCAATAAATTAAATAAATTGGTTTGAAAATGTTGGCAAATCTATTAAGTAACATCTTTTTTAAAAGAAGCTATTATTATTATACTGTGTTAGTTTAAAAATACTTGAAATAGAATTCTATCATAGAAAAATTTTGGAAATGCTAATTTCTTTGTCTTATTTTTGTAGTAAGAGTTTCTAAGATCCTTTAGTCATGGTTTAAAAACTGCATTAAATATGTATGATAGAAATGTAACAGTAATCTCTAAGAAAATAAAAATAATTTAAATCTTCCAAGCTAACAGGAAAAAAGCATCAAGAAAAGTTTGTCAAAGAGATGAAAAAAAAAGCTAAGTGAAAGAGAAGCAATATAAAATGGCTACAATACATGATAATGTTTAAAATATAAGGAGATTAAAATCAGTTTTACAAGGCTGAAGACATAAATAGCTGAAGATAAAGAATGTCTGAACATTGGGCATAGAAATATTCACACATGGCCAGGCGCGGTGGCTCACGCCTGTAATCCCATAATTTTGGGAGGCTGAGGCAGGCAGATCACAAGGTCAGAAGATCAAGATCATCCTGGACAACATAGTGAAACCCTGACTCTACTAAAAAATACAAAAAAATTAGCTGGGCGTGGTGGTACCTGCCTGTGGTCCCAGCTACTCGGGAGGCTAAGGCAGGGTAATAGCTTGAACCTGAGAGGCGGAGGTTGCAGTAAGCCAAGATGGCGCCACTGCACTCCAGCCTGGGGACAAAGCAAGACTCCGTCTCAAAAAAAAGAAAAAAGAAAAAAAAAGAAAAAAAAACTATATATATATATTCGCACATAAATAAAAATGTACACCAATGCCAGTTCTCCCATCCTCAGACAGTCAATTCTCTCACTTTTCGGAACCTCGTGAAAAAAGCCTTGGAGAATTTGGAGAATCTATAATTTCAGAATTTGAAGAAATAAAGTAAATATTTTGAACAAATATTATTGAAGCAAGTAAATGTTTGTTTAAATTAATTTACCAATGAAAAATGAAATATTAAAAAACTAGACGCACCTTAAGAAAATGAATTTGGGGACAACATTCTAGGCAGGGCTGACTTGACAATATCCTGAATCCTTCTGCCCAGAATAATACAGACACAAACACACAAACGCTATTTTCATGTGATCCCATGGTTTGAAATTCCACCAGTCAGAGATGCATATGGGTTAAGCATCTGAATGTACAAACACATCAGGGTTGATGGAAGTTCTCTGCTATACGTGGAGGGCTCGGAGGGGAAATGGTGAGGGGAGTAATAATTTTGGAATGTGAAAAGAAAGGAGTGAATGCACAGATAAACGAAAGCAATGGGAAATTAGGCAACTAGATGCAAAAACAAAAGGAAAGGAGAAGGTGCCAAAGATACTTCATCTACTTAAAATCTTGCTTTAAGCTCAGCTCACATGTTTAAAAGATGCAGGAAAAATAAAATTATCTCATTCTCTCTTCTCCTGACTCCTCCTGAACTGCGTGGCTCTTGATAGCAGGTGACGGAATTTATGGCTCTGCTATCAGTCCTTCTGTTATGCCAGGATTAGAGATGCTTTTGCTGCCAAACATAGAACTAAATTAACCTATACCAATATTTCTACAAGCTATTGTGTTCCAAGAGAAGCCACAGACATGAAGCAGATATTCTCAAAGCCTATATTTGACAAAAGATCAATGTCCAGAGTGGTATGTATTCTAAACAACTAATTTACACACATAGATTTTGCACAAAACTCCTGTGTGGGTCAAGTTTTTCCTCTTTAGAATTACTTTGATATTTTTCCCCATTCACTTTTCTTTTTTTCTTTGAAAACCTAATGTGTGCTGGGTACCTCAGTGGATGAGGGCTATACCTGGGTAAGTAAAACAAGCTCCTGCCTTCAGAAAGCCCTGACGGGGTAGCAGAGGAATTCACTGCTGAGGCAAAAATTATCAAATGAAAGAGAGAGGAAAATGTAAAAGTTGGTAAAGAAGAAGAATTCAGTTGGGTGTGTTTTTTTCAAATCATTCATCCAGTTTTTCTCATTGCTTTCCACTATAAGTCTGATTTCATTAAGAAAGTACTCAAGAAATTTCTAAGACAACAGACACAAAAGGAACTTTTCAACAAAATCTGCCTAATACATCTCCCCTATCTTACTCCTCCCACCCCATGGAGCAGACAGCTGGAGTCAGCTGACTTGTTCATATTTGGGTATTTGCAGAGTTTAACCTCTTCACTGCACCAACAAGCCAGGCATGACCATTGAATTGTCACTGTTCTGCCCACAATCCATACTCTCCGCAGAGACAACACTGTTGGCAGTTTTTTAAATGGTTGATGTTGCATAATAGGCACTATGCAAAAAATGCTCAGTCCCCAATGCAGCCTGCTTGCCATACTCCAGAGGTTACACTTTGTGAAGTTCATGCCAGAATGTTCTGCTTTCACTGAGTGCTTAAATGCTCTTAGCAGGAAGAGAGGATAGGATTTGTTCCCCATTGAGACTCCGGAAATAATAAGTAGTTTGCAAAAAGTGAAACCTCTCAGTCAGCGATCTGTGATTGGGAACGAGCCTTTGACCCATAGGAATTTGTTAAGTTTACTTTCAAACTCTTCATTGTTAAAAAAGTTTTTTCCTTGTTGTTGTAGAGAGTTGTTTCATTTGATGCATCACTAGCTTTTTCCCCTGTTTTTTGTTTTTTGATTTTTAATCAAGGGCTGTGTGTTGTACTTTACCCTCCAAATAAAAACCGTTGTGGCTGCAGCCTTTGCTGAGAACCTTACCCAGCAGGGACTGAAGCATTTGCTTCTTCTGATGAACCTGATCATGCCCATCTTCTATCAGTGTCTCGATTCTGAGTGCAGCCCCTCAATTAAAGGAAAAATCAACCTTCTGCAGCCCTGGGCCTAACCCAACTTCTTCCCTTGTGTAGTTTCATCTCCAGACTTTCCAAACCTGGCTCTTTTCCTGGCTGCTTCCTCCCTGGCCCCTTGGAACAACAACTGACATTTATGCACCAGCATTTACAAAGGGCTTCCACACACAGAATGGGAGGCAAAATAGACTAATCACTTACTCTGAGCCAAGCACTGGGCAAGACACTTGAAAAGCATTACTATACCTAATCCATAAAACTCTGTTCAGTTTTTCTATTCCCATTTTACACATGAAGAAAACAAAATGTGCATCTCTTCAATGAAATCTGGCTTCATGATTATTGCATAAACTACAACAAAGTGCATCATTCCATCATCTCAGTATCTGTTTCCTAAAAAGACTTATGATGATCAGAAGCAAACTAGATATTTATGATTCTATCTCCATCTTTTACAATCATCTCATTCATGATTAACTCAGCAACATTTTTTAAACATTTAACCACTTTGACTTTATTGAGTCTTTTCATAGCATTCAACTTAGTTTATGGAAACCACAGTCTCCTTTTGAGCTCATATTTCAATGGCTTACATAATGATAAATTAAAACATGCAAGTGCTATAGCAAGTGCATGTGGCAAAAACAGGCTTGGGAAGAGTCCAGCTGACTTTTCATGAGATAAAATTTCAACTAGTGGCTGCCAGAGTGCGGAGATGTACTAGAGAGTAACTTTCTAACCTCTAGCTTCCAAATGAGCATTTCAGAAAATGGAGGTCAGCAGTTTTATTGCTAATTGATGTGTATGGCATGATCATATTCTTTCCTCGTGTGTATGCCTGCATTATTATAAACAAAGCAACTGAAATAGGCAGAGTATCCTTTAAATGTTTACAGACTCACCTGGGTTTGTTGCTTTTAGCTTAATTAACTGGCATATTAGGGTGTGGCCTCTGGGAAAGGATGTATTTTTAAGTGCTAGACGGAGGCTGTGACCAAGAGTTAAGTCTGGACTAAAGCAGGATCCAAGGTTATATGAGATATCATCCCACATCAATCAGAATGGCGGTTATTAAAAAGTCAAATATAACAGATGCTGGTGAGGTTGCGGAGAAAAAAGAATACACTGCTGGCGGGAAGGCAAATTAGTTCAGCCATTGTGGAAAGAAGTTTGGCAATTCCTGAAAGAACTTGGGACTACCATTTGACCCAGCAATCCCATTACTAGGTATATACCCAAAGGAATACAAATCATTATACCATAAAGGCGCATGTAGACAAATATTCATCGCAACATTACTCACAACAGCAAAAACATGGAATTAACCTAAATGCCCATGAATGGTAGACTAGATAAAGAAAACGTGGTACTTATACACCACGGAATACTACACATTTATAAAAAAGAATGAGATCATGTCCTTTGCAGCAACATGGAACAAGCTGGAGGCCATTATCCTAAGCAAACTAACACAGGAACACAAAACCAAATACTGCATATTCTCACTTATAAGTGAGAGTTAAACATTGAGTACATACGAGCACAAAGAAGAGAACAGTAGACATTACTTGAAGGTGGAGGGTGAGAGGAGGGTGAGAACCGAGAAACTACCTATCGGGTACTGTACTATGCTTATGTTACCTGGGCGACTAAATAACATGTACACCCAAACCCTGCAACACGTAATTTATCTATATAACAAACCCACATATATACCCCTGAAACTAAAATAAAAGTTAAAAAACAACAAAAAAATTGACGGTGCTTTGACTAAAATGCATTTGTTTATTCATCCACTTATTCAACAGTATTTACAGAGGATTTTCTATGTTTTAGGTGAGGAGGATGCAGTGATAAAAGCAGACATGGTCCCTCTTATCATAGTTTTCAGGCTTTAATGAAACCCTTACAAAAATAAAGATTATATTACAACTACAACAAGTGCTATAGAGAAGATCTTCTTGGTGCTTCAATTTTATGTAGTAAGGAAAGTCAAGGGAGATATTCCTGGGGAAATGATACCTATGATAAGAAGGTGTAGGAATCAGCTCCACAACCAAGGGAAAGAAGTGCATTCAAAAAGAGGGAGAAACATGTAAAAAGATGCTGTTGTGGGAACAAACAAAGCAATTTCAAGGCAACAGAGCTATCAATAAACATAATAAAGTATCTTCAGTCAGAAAGGTTATTCTCAGAAATAAGCATCTTGGTAATAAGCATCTCACAAGTTGGAAGGGGGAACTTACAGAGTTCCCCTTGGTGACATGCACAGCATCTAAACCAAGCAGTAGCACTGAATGTCTTAAAGGAAGACATGTAAGAACTAAGCTCAAGGATCAAACTCCCAGGGCACTGAGATGGAAGTGGGGCTGTACAGGGAATGAGAATGACCAGATCGGTCTACAGAAAGGTCACCAGGCTGCACGTCAGGGGACCTGGGTCATAGCCCTGCCTCTGTTAAATAGCAGCTGTTTGACATTTGGGAAGACATTACTGTGTCTGGGTCCACAGATTATGAACACCTTTCTGGGTCTAAATTGTGACTCTGCCCCTTATTAGTATATAACCTTGGGCAAATTACAAGACTAATCTGAATTTCAGTTAATCTCTTTGAACAAATAGAGATTAAAAAATCCCTTCCTCCTTGAACTGTAAGGATCTAATGAAATAATATGTGTAAAGTGCTTAGTTGTAGCAGATGCTGTTGGTCCTCCACCCGTATGCCTTGTAGCTGCCAATGTTCCCTGACAGACTTCCAATTGCCAGTAACTTCATTTTGTGCCTCAGGACATTTTCTCCAAAATCTTGAAAAGTCACTTTGCCGATGCAAAATTAACACCTGCCTCGCTTCCACAGCAGCCATTAGGCAATGGTTCAGAAACTGCACATAAATGCTTCAGTTTCTTAGCCCTTTAAATGGATTACTTCTGAGATTTGGGTTTTACTCCTTTTCTCAGATTTTCCCATAGAATTAAGCTCCACCCACCCAAATGGAATAAACCACTTGCATTTGAATCTTCATCCCGGGGTACACTCCTGGAAGAACCCAAACTAAGACTCTCTACAATATCTTTCATATAATAAACACTTAATAAATATTTGATAAATTAATAACTTATGTTTAAAAGACAGATCCATTATACCTACTAAAGAAAATAAGTTTTCTAAAACTCTAAAGATCGTTCCAGTTTCTGGGAGAACTCTAAAAATTGTTCTAGCACAAAATAACTGAAAAAGATTCATTATTTTTTCCTGGTACAAATAGAAGGGTAGCTATATGGGCAAAGTAAAAGATAACTAGATTCAAAGCACAAGTCATCTGGACTGTTAAGAAAGCCAAGCAAAGACCTGAAGATAGCAGCTGATGGTATCCATAAATTATTTGAAGGAGCTTAAAGAAGCTGCAAAAAGCAAAATGATGATGCTTCCCCTGGGAGGCAGCCCAGACTCCTGTTAGTACTCCAAACTTGGTAGCAACTGGCCCCTCCTTCTGTCTTCCAATATTTCAGGATAGCCAACCATATAAAAATGCAATATATTATGTAAGTTTACATTATAGAATTTAAGCGCACTCATGGCAGTGCTAGGTCTAGGGAAGGCTTTGCTAATCAATGAGGGGGAAGCTGTGGAGTTACAAGGATTTTTCAAGCTTGTAAGAAGATTACGTTCACAACCAGCTACCTTAACAGTGTCAAGCCTCTGCTTTGGGGATAGACACAAAGGGTAGTAATGGTAGCAAACTCTAGCCAATAAGAAGAGTATACAAAATAAGTGAACATTCAAGCCCTGAGCCATGTGGGCCCTCATCATGGAGCTCAAGCTAAGGATAATAATTATACTATTTTCATTATTAATTATTACTACCTTAATAAAAATTTCTTAGGAAAACTATGGTCAGCAGACTTTCAGATGGAAAACACTAATTTATCCAGTAAAATATGTTTCCCAGGTATTTTTGTGCACACTAAAGCCAAGAGAAGAAAACTAACTTTCAGACTTTAAATTGATCTTCAAAAATAATAATTTTTATCACCATATAACAGAAAATAGAGGGTGCAGAGAAACATGTTATCAATTCCACAGGTATGCAATCAGCAAATACAGACTATGGGAAACTCTACCAGACAACCAACCAAGTTTCTTTTGAAAATTGAAGAGAGGTGGAACGTGCATGTGTATAAAGGAGGGGAACTATAAATTAAAGAATACTTAAGGAGACATATGATGATAATAATTTTCACTATTTACTATGTGATAGACAGTAGATGAAATATTTTGTGTGTATCATTTTATTTATCCTCATAACCATCCTCTGATGTTACATGTGGCTGCATAACAAACCATTTTAATACTTAGTGCCTTAACACAACAAATCATTTATTATTTCCCATGAGTATAAGACCACACTGCTCTGGATCAAAATAATTAAGAGCCTTGTCTGGGACAACTGAGTTGACCTGGCTCTGCTCCACAGGATCTCTCATTCTCCAGGAGGCCAGGCTTGATCTCATAGTATAGGCACAGATTCAAGAGAACAGAAGCATGGGCTTGGGACTGGCACATCTTTTCTTCTACCACGATGTGCTGCCATAGCACTGACTCAGGAATTAGGGGGAAAATAGTCCGTCTTTTGGTGAGAAGAACTGCAAAGTCACATTGCAAAGAGAATGGATACTGAAAACAGTAAAGAATTGTGGTAATTTTTCAATCAGTCCACAACATCTGCTAATTGTTGTGATTGTCTCACTGATACTGTAAAAAGAAACAAAACAGCAGATCTTGGAAGTCTCAAGGTTTGCAGGCATTTGCATGCAGTCAGGGCAGGGATAGGGTTTGTACCTTTTAATTTTACTAACTAGATTTTTCCTCTGTTTCTCTGGGAAACCCCCACTCAATCCCCTGAGGCTCTTATACATAACTATAGCACTCTCGAATTCTTCAGCCATGGCTCTCATCATATTGTATCGTATTTCTTTGTTTAACTCCCTGACTTCCTTTAGAAGGTAGCTGTCTGACGGCAGAAACTGCCTTTTCCCTTCATCATTATATCCTATGCGTATCAACTGGCAGTCTGACAAAGCATCACCACACAAGAAAATACTGTATTATTTGCTGAGTGAATGAAAATTCAGAAAAATATGAATGAAAATAATAATGAAAGCCACTGTGTGACTATGAGGACACAGAAGCATGGTGGCTCTCATGATTATTCCAGTGAAGAGATAGGAATTCCCTATGATAGAGAAATCCCAGTAGTAAAATGCTGGTTAGTGCACAGTCAACTCCATTCTTGCTCTTTTCCCATGGGTAACTCTCTACTAGCGAGAGAACCATAGCATTTTAACACCATAAAAATTGCTGTCTGTTATTTGTCTGCAGGCTCTTGTGCAATTGAAAGCTAAAAGTCTATCAGAGGGTTCTAAACAAGGGTGTATTTCTTGATTGGATTTCTGTCTACCACAGAGCTTGGAAATAAATGGTCCTCAATTCTTGGTGAGGTATACAGATCTGCTGAACCATTTTCTTTTCAGCCACGTTTCCAATCACTAACTAATTATTTTCTCCAATTCCTATCTAATAAAACTTTATTTGGATCAAAATTGAATAGTCTTGGTTATGTGGAACTAGATCTGAAAAACATCGAGTAGTTAGAGAAGATATTTGAAGATATCAGGGTTGCCTTGTTGGATACAACTAGCCTACACAATTTCAACTTAAAATTCACTAAAATTTAAAATAATTTTGTTAAAATGGAACAACAAAATAAATGTAATACGGTTACTTTTTTCTGCAACCATTTTTCTTATAGTATTTTAAGCTTGAGCAAAAAAAGTATTAGGTTACATTGAGGCTAAAATAAGCCTCAATAAGACAGACTTCCTGATTATAAGCTTTTTGAAATAAAATTCAATAACAGCTTTATCATGTTCTGAACTTCAGCATATTTATTAAGCAATTCAACTCTGAGAAACAAGTTAAAGACTTCATAAAAATAAAAGAATAAATATGTATAACATTTGACCCAGCAACGTTACCTATAGAAATTTATCTTACAGATGTCCTTTCATATGTTCACAAAAATGTAATTCAACAATACTTATTACCATTTTTACAGTAAAATATTTGGAACAATCTAAACGTTCAGTAAAAAGCTGGTTAAATAAATCATATATATATATATATATATATATATATATATATATAATGGACTGTTATGCAGCAGTTGAAAATAAGGCAATACACACATATTTATACCAATATGGAACTTTCTCCAAGATATATTGTTAAGTCTAAAGAAAAAGAAAAAGGAAAAAGCAAGGTGATGAACAATGTGATTGCATACTTAAGTTTGTATTAACTATTTTTAATTGCCACAAATATCTGTATTCTCTTGAAGAATGTACCAGACACAAGTAAGAGTGATTGTTACCTGGTGAGACATGGGTCTGTGGAACAAGGGTGAGAGAAAGAGTTACTTTCACTTATTGTTTTCTATCTTTTGAATTATTGACCTTACAATTGCATTACTACTCTTGAGCAAAATAATAATGCTAAAAACAACAAGTAAAGCAAAACGTATGTCTGTAAAGCAGAATATTAATGCAAAGGCTTAATTACAGTCAATATTTCAAGTAGAGACCAACCAGAAGTTGAAAATAATGAACACTACTTTAATATATGTATATAAGTTACAAAGCCAAAGGTAAGTGTATTTAAGATGTCTTGTTATGACTCAATAATTAGTTTCAGTGAAAAATTGCACTGGCTTTTCAGTCAACTGTTTGGTTTACATGCTACTCCCCAAAGTGAAAATTAAAACTCTATCCATTCACCAGCATACAAACCTGTGATAAGCTTTCTTTTCCAAACTTCCATGTGATCAGAAATCTGAACCATAGATTAGTGAATTGACCTTAAGTGTGCACCTCCTCCATCTCACTGAACAGGCAGCTCCAGAGGAAAAAAAAAATCCATTATCTTTTCTCACCTGAACAGTTTGAATGAAATATCTATTTTGAAGTTATAGAGAAGAAATAATAATCTTACACAAGGGCTAGTTTGATGGAACTTAAGCTCTTAAATTTCATGTAATAAATGCTAGTTATTAGAATAGGTTCTTTAGTGAAATTTAAACCATCCAAACTTAACTGGGTACATTACTAGTTTTAAAAGTTAACATGGGAGAAATAAAAGGATTTTCCTGAACCAATTTAGAGCGGTGGTCTTCAACTCTGACTACAAATTAGAATCACTCAAAGAGCTTTTGGAAAAACAAGCATGGCTCCATCTTCCAGAAATTTAGACAATTGTTATGAGGTGGATTCCATATTAAAAGATGTGTCACAACATACGTAGAGAATTGCCAACCAAAGAGGCTCACTAGAGCCTTTGGGGTCCAAAATTTTTACTGGGGCTTGATTAGTTACTGTTTGCAATAGTTTCAGCCTGTCCTGTAGGTTTGGCTTAATACCTTTAGTTTCCAGCTTTTCCAGAGATCAGAATTGATCCGTTAAGTCCCATCTTAAATTATATTCATATTGTTAGAATTTTTGGTGGCCAAAATCCCCAAGCAAGCAAAGACCCTGCTCTCAGGTGGGACACGTCAGAGGCCTAGAGAGCAGCTTCAAGTAACCAAGGGTAATATCCAGACCTCTCTTTGGATAATATTAATCCTCCACTATGCAATATAATGGTCAGAATAGCAATTACCTTTAAAGGCGTGTAATAACCATAGAGGAGCAGGATCTCATTTCCAGGGTACTGGTAATGTTCTATTTCTTGGCCTGATAGTAGTGGTACAACTCCGTTTATTTTACTACATTTATTGAGCTGTGCTTTTATGATTTGTGTGCTTTTCTGTATGTGTGTTGATACTTCAATAAAAATATATACTTAGGGAAAAAAATTTTTAACCCAGAGATACTACTCAGCCCAAGCAGCTATTTAATAGTATAAAACAGGGAGTGCTATACAATTCATGGCTTCTACCCAGTAGGGAAGCACTTTTCAGGTTGAACTCAACACAGAAGCTGCACTCTTCCTGCCAGAGAAACAGCTGCAGTGAAACCCTTCCTGCTGCTAAGGTGCTGAAAGACCATTTCAACCCAAAATGGCATAGGTCATGAATGGTGTGTGGCCCAGAAAATATCAATGAAGGAGGCAGAGCAGTGTAAGAAAGAAAAAAAGAAGGGGAGGGAGAAAAGGGGGAAAAAGGAGAAATAAGATCAAGACCAAGTAGAAATATTATTTCTTTAGCTGAATATTCACTCATGTCTTAGCGTTTCTCAGAACAGTCTCCGAGGCAGGATTTGTGTATGAGTGATTTATAAGAGAGTAAGGGAGTTGGGTAATAGGACTGAGGCAGGACTTGTGTACAAGTGATTTATAAGAGAGTAAGGGAGTTGGGTAACAGGACAGTGAAAGGCAGCAATCCAAGCAAGGCTGCAATATGAGGCACAGTCCCAGCCTCAGCCTGATCCCACAGAAGAGCCCTGTAGTATAAATTATGCCTTAGGGTTCATCTCTACTCAGGGCAACAGAGCTGGATTTCCATACTCCTCTACTAGTTGGTCATTTGCTAGGGGCAACATGAAGGGGGTCATAAGCTCCTAGGCATTTGCAATTCTCTGCAACTTCAGACAAAGCAGCTCTAGTATTTTGAGGACAGTCCTCCAAAGAGAATTGGCATGTGAGCTGTTACAAGCTAAAGTATACAGATCAAGACAGAAGCCTACAAACTATGGAAGGGACCTGAGAGGATCACAGTGGAGCAGTAACTGTTCACTACACCAAGTGACAAAGAATTGCCAATTAATATACAAACATGCTATATATTTGTTACACATTTATGTACACTTTCTTGTTTGTTAAACATTTAGTACACTCCCTCTGGTTATCATTCCTGGTAGGACAGTCATCATTCTCAGTCAACCTTTTATAATGTTCCAAGTTAGATAGTCTTGTAAATTATTGTTAAAGATATTTACTCAAACTGGATGAATTACAGCCAATAATTTCAGTCACTATTTTAGGGATCAGAGAAGGAAGACAGGAGAAAAATGTCTCTGATCTGAATGTAATTCAGTATAGTCACTATGAAAAACAGTATGTAAAAATAGACCTGCCATATGATTCAGTAATCCCACATCTGGGTGCATATCCAAAGTAAATAAAATCAGTATGTCAAAGAGATATCTGCACTCTTATATTCACTGCAGCATTACTAACAATATCCAAAATATAGAATCAATCTAAATGTCCATTGGTGGATAAATGGATAAAGGAAATGTGGTATACACACATAATAGAATACTATTCAGCCATAAAAAAGAAGAAAATTCTGTCACTTGAGACAACATAAATAAACCTGGAGGAAATCATTTTAAGTGAAATAATCCAGTCACAGAGAGATAAATAATGCATGATCTCACTTATCTGTAAAATATAAAAAATTGAAACTCAGAAGGAAAGAATAGAATAGTAGTTACCCGGGGTAGGTGGAAGGAGAAAGGGAGGAGATTGGGGAGATGTTGGTTAAAGGATACAAACTTTTAGTTATACAGGATAAATAGATTCTAGAGATCTATTGTATAGCACAGTGACTACAGTTAATGATAATGTACTTGGGCCAGGCACAGTAGCTCACGCCTGTAATCCCAGCACTTTGGGAGGCCGAGGCCAGCGGATCATGAGGTCAGTAAATGGAGACCATCCTGGCTCACACTGTGAAACCCCGTCGCTACTAAAAAAAAAAAAAAATCCAAAAAATTAGCCGAGCATGGTGGCGGGTGCCTGTAGTCCCAGCTACTCTGGAGGCTGAGGCAGGAGAATGGCGTGAACCCGGGAGGCAGAACTTGCAGTGAGCCAAGATTGTGCCACTGCACTCCAACTTGGGAGGCAGAACTTGCAGTGAGCCAAGATTGTGCCACTGCACTCCAACTTGGGAGACAGAGTGAGACTCCATCTCAAAAAAAAAAAAAAAAAAAAAAAAAATAGGCCAGTGCGGTGGCTCATGCCTGTAATCCCAGCACTTTAGGAGGCCGAGACAGGCGGATCACGAGGTCAGGAGATCGAGACCAACCTGGCTAACACGGTGAAACCCCATCTATACTAAAAATACAAAATAACAGAAAAGATTTGCATCTTACAAGGGACTAATATCCAGAATCTACAAAGAACTCAGCCAAATCAACAATAATACAAAAAACAGGTTACCCCATTGAAAAATGGGCAAAGGACATGAACAGAAATTTTTCAAAAGACATACAAATGGCCAAGAAGCATATGAAAAAAATGCTCAACATCACTAATCATCAGAGATATGTAAATTAAAACCACAATGAGACAACATCTTACATCACTCAAAATGGCTTTTATGAAAAGGTCAAAAAATAATAAATGTTGGCAAGGGTGCAGAGAAAAGGGAACATTATATACTGTTGGCAGAAAGGTAAATTAGTACAACCTCAATGGAAAACAGTATGGAGATTCCTCAAAGAACTGAAAATGCAATTATCATTTGATCCGGCAATCCCACTACTGAGTATCTACACAAAGGACAAGAAATCCACAATATCAAAAAGATAACCTGTGTTTGTAAGCTAATCACAGCATTGTTCACAATAGCAAAGGTTTGGAATTGATCTAAGTGTCTGTCAACTGATGATTAAAGAAAATGTGATATATATATATATATATATATATATATATATATATATATATATATGCAATGGAATACCACTCAGCCATAAAAAATAATGAAGCCATATATTCTACAGCAACATAGATGGAAGTGGAATCCATTATCTTAAGTGAAATAACGCAGAAACAAAAAATCAAATGCCACGTGTTGTCACTTAAAAGGGGGATCTAAATAATGTGTACTCATGGATATAGAGTATGGCATAGACACTGGAGATTCAACAGGGTGAGAGGGTGGGCATGGGGTGAGAAAGGAGAAATTACTTAATGTGTACAATGTACTTTATTCAGGTGATAGTTACACTAAAACCCCAGACTTCACTGTGCAATATATCCATGTAACAAAACTGCACTTGTACCCCTTAAATTTATACAAATAAGAAAAAGAAAACAAAGAAGAAAAAAGAGGAAATGTTCCCTGACCACTGTTATATCACATTAGGTGTAAATTATAAAATTTGAAAATATCTGCTTAGAATTTACTTATAGCTTTAAAAGAATTCTACTGTCTATGCCTTCTTAGAAGCTGGATATTGGTGTCATTTTCTATCTTATGTGGTAAAACTCTAGGGGCAGTGGTAATGCCTATTTACATTACTTTCACTCACTACTTTTAACACTGAAATGTGAAACCAGGTCTCAAAAATAAATGTTTGTGATGACTCATTCCTCAGCCTTTCTGTTAGCAGTAAATCTTCAACAGATTGTTGAAGATTGTTAGTCAATCCAAAGGCAGTGAGAAAATTAAATAATCAAAACCCCATAAAATGGATGAGATTGCTAATTTAATATTCAAGAAGAATTTATAGAGATACAAAAAAGAATAAGATAGTTTTGGTACATTTCCAGTTTCTAATTGGGTCTGATTATATGAAGGACAGAGTTAGAAGAAAACATATCTTCAAAAAAACCCATGAGAAAAATGAGAGTAAGTTAAAGGTATTAATAGTGAACTCAAAATTTAGGAAGTTGGAAAATTTGCATATATTTTACAGATGTACAAACAAATTTAAAGGTATAAATTGCCATTTTATAAAACACACCAAGAAAGGATTTTAAAACTGAGGTGAGGCCAGGCATGGTGGCTCACGCCTGTAATCCCAGCACTTTAGGAGGCCAAGGCGGGTGGATCACTTGAGGCCAGGAATTTGAGACCAGCCTGACAAACATGGCAAAACCCCATCTCTATTAAAAATACAAAAATTAGCCAGATGTAGTGGCACACACCTGTAGTCCTAGCTACTTGGATGGCTGAGGCACTAGAATGGCTTGAACCTAGGAGGTGGAGGCTGCAGTGAGCTGAGATTTCACCACTGCACTCCAGCCTGGGTGACAGAGGGAGACTCTATTTCAAAATGAAAAAAAAAAATTGAGGTGAATAAATTCTTTAAGAAGGAAAAAAAGAGTAGGATGTTTATAGCAATTAATCACCAGACTAATAAAGTTTTGGCTTTGTTTAAATACTTGGAAAGTCATTCAAAAATTCCAGAATCAACTTATGTCTTAAAAAAAAGAAATACTTGTTCTCATCACAATGGTACTTATTATTTACATTTTTGAAGGACTTTATGGTTCATGGGGCATGCCAATCATATCACATCTAGTTGTATAGTTTCTCTCAAATTTTATGATTTATGTCCAAGTAGATTTGTCCATAACCTTACTGTAGTTCAGCAATGTGTCTGTCTCCATTGAGAATTGATTTGTACAAAGGTCTTTGGCTTCCTGCTGTCAGTAAAGAGAACATATAAGCTCCAGGAATGATTAAGGTAAAGGCTGAAGTAAGTTTTTCACTTTAGAAAAATATCAAAACACTTCGAGATTGTGCTTTCTTAAATCTCGCTATATGGACTATAAAATTCAATTATCACTAACCTTTCAACCTTAAAAATTTTCCAAGTTAGTTGAGGTTAAGTTGGAACTTCTGACTCTCAAGACGCTATCATGGTCTTACCTCTCCATGAATATGCTTCCTGATCTTTTATTACTTTCTGTTTACTCAGATACAAAACTTTATATTAAGAAACCAAACTTCCATTAAGTTTGCCTTTATTTAATTTCATTTTGAGCCCAATAAACAGCCTTCAGGATAGAGCATATAGACTTCTGTTCTTATTGTAAAGCCCAAACAAGAGTCTTGGAAAGTAGTGTCCTGAGGATTTAATAATAAAAGCAAATCCTTGAAAGCCTCAGCCCCATTCATTAGCATAAATCAAACCCCTGCAACTAACTGTGGGGCTAGATCTAAGGTGACTCCCTTGCCAGTCAATATTTAAATAAGAAGGTTTGTACCTACAGAATTTGAATTATTACAGCAGGGAGCTGAGTTCAAGCCATAAATAAAACAAATAGCTTGCTCCTCATAAAGGTGATGCTAGGTAGGAAATCAATTTTCCTCTCTGCAGAAAATGACCAGCCTTCCATCACCCAGAAGGTTTGTTTGGAACAGTGCCAGTCACCTAATGGGTGCTCGATAAATACATCTAGGATTATTCCAGTCAAATCCTTTACAGTCTTTTTAGGACAAGTCAATGTATCAGCATGATCCTCGACGTTGTTCTCTTGGGGTATTTCTTGCTTTTAGAGTGGGAATTGTTTTCCTTAATCACTCTGAACTTTGGCTTAGTGCTTTTTTTTTTTTTTTTTTTTGACTTGGCAGTTCATTCCAAAAATTATTCAATAAAACAGGTTTTGCCCTGGAGATCTTTTATAACTGGACAGAAAAACCCATCTGACCAAAATAGTTAGGTGCTGTCTTTACTGCAGGTCAGATACCCAAAGTAAACATATTTTTATTGTTTTTCCTTATAATCTTTTAAGTCTCTGATTTCAAATCTAGACATAATGCTCTAGAAAAAAGCTTTTTCTAAGTGGACCCTTCAATGGGTCTGACATAGTCACTCTGTACAGAGACTCTGGTTTATATACTAAGAAGTATCTTAATGCCACTCCAAAAAAAGAAAATAATAAAATGATCTTTTTAACGCTATATTTTGTTCTCTCTTTGTAACTGAAATGAACTAACTCAGAAATCTAAAATCTTTTGCAGCAATAACACAAAAGGGTTCTTTTTCTTATTTCCATAAATAGAATAATTTAATCCCTGTCTATCATTCACAATTTTTTGTGCTCGTCTTCCCACTCCTTACCTCACAAGCCCTACAGAATGGTGTCAATGTGGAATAATGTGGAAGGTAAGAGTTTTAAATACTTTGAGGCCATGGGCCAGGTTTTTTGAACAGTGCATTTTACACATTCTTATTCTCATTCTCTCTATCTCTTTCTCTCTTGCTTTCACTTTTTTCTCTCTCTCAACTTATTGGTTTACAAACGCTTCCACTAATTATACCATTTTCTCCCTAGAAGAACTCCATGATTCATTGTTATTACCTCAATTTTATTATTTTTTATTTTTTTATTGATGGGGTCTCATTCTATTACTCAGGCTGGAGTGCAGTGCCACGGTCATTGCTTGCTGCAGCCTCAGACTCCTGGGCTCAAGTGATCCTCCTGCTTCAGCCTCTCAAGTAGGTAGGACTGCAGGCATGTGTCACCACACCCAGTTAATTAAAATAAAAATTGTAGAGATAGGGTCTCTCTATATTGCCCAGGCTGGCCTCTAACTCTTGGCCTCAGTTCCTCCCACCTCAGCCTCCCAAAGTACTAGGATTACAGACATGAGCCACCACACCTGGCCAACTTCCACTTTAAAGATGAGAAAACTGAAATGTACAGGCTTTTCCAAAGTAACATAGTGATTCATTCATTCATTCATTTAGAAACATTGAAATGAGACAAGAGTCTACTCTTTCTTCTGCTTAAAACCCCTCATAGTCTTCTAGTTGCTCTTAGAACAAAGTCCAATAACTTTGAGTTAGATGAGGAGTTCTTTACCAACTGGCCTCTGCCTCAGTCTCCCACCTCTTTTACTCTATCCTCCCTATTGCTGCTTCCCCTCCAGCCACATTGCACAGCTAGAAGTGCTTTGGAGTTCTAAGTCTTCTCTCATCTAGGCCACTCTGCATATATTATGGATCCATATACATGGATCTCTCTTCCTGGATAACTTACCTATCTCTTAATAAATGCTTCTTATCGTTTGTTTTGGGCTTAAATTTTAGTTCCTCTGAAAAGCCTTCTCTGATTCCCTCAGACTACAGAGGTCCCGCTTATATACATTCTCATAGAAACAAGCATTTCTTCTCATACATTAACCAGAATTGTTATCTAAAAATTATTTGCTTAATTACAAGCTTCCTGAAGGCAAGCACTGTTCAGAATATTTTATACATAGCTGGTAACCAATCAGTATGTCTCAATATGTATAAATGTATGAAAGAATGAAATGTATGAAAGAATGAAATGTATGAAAGAACAGTATCTGCCTAGCAAAGCAATAAACCTCATATAATGTTTTAATAACATAAAAAGTCATTAAAACTTAATGACTGTCATTTTCCATTTGAATTTATTAATTTTGCTCCCATTTTTTGTATGCAATAGTCATAGACAAAATTATAACAGCATATATAATTACCTGTTTTCAATCACTTTTCTCGTAACTACTTTTTCATTTGTAAACATCTTTAAAGATAATCTAAGAGCATATAATAATAAATTATTATTTATACTGTGTATTCATTGCCCATGCAAACATACACTAATAATACATACTATTATTATCCCAGTTTTACATAAGAGCAAATGAAAGTTTAGACTTCCCCAAAGAAGTAGAAACATGGTATCTGAATGGTTTTGACACCAAAGCCTATGCTTTTAATCCCCACTTTGGATCATCTTCCCAAAGTGCTTCCCAAATATTCACTCCCCTCATATACAATCTGAGAAAAGTGTAAATATACTCTTAAAAAGCTTAATAAGTATGCTGTTGGGCTTGTTTATAGTGTTACGTATAATTCGTAATAACAGCATGATTGGCTACACTATTTTTTCAGTCGGGTGCTGAAGACTCGTGGCAATTTTCATGAATAAGTATTATGTTATACATTATTATAATTATTGATTATTATAATTAATGAACAAATGTTTTGCTCTTTAACTCAATTCATAATCTGCTTAGTAAGTACCGATAATCCCCAACTTATTATTTTTTGATTTTACAATGGTACAACAGTAATATGTATTCGTAGAAAACAGACTTCCAATTTTGAATTTTGATCTTTTTCTGGGCTAGTAATATGTGGTTTAATACTCTCTCATTATGCTGGATCAGAACATGCCACACAAAACCTATTTTATAATAAAATGATGAATATCTCATATAATTCACCAAATACTGTACTGACAGAGTACTGAGAATGTTTAAGGCAGGCTAGGCTAAGCTATAATGTTCAGTAGGTTTGGTGTATTAAATGCATTTTCAACTTTCAATATTTTTAGCTTATGATGGATTTATCTGAGCATAACCCCATCCTATACCAAGGAGCATCTCTAGTTAGTATATAGTCAGGATGTCTAAGATCTTACATATCACTGAGATTCAAACCACACATGTATAAAACAGATAACAATATAAAACAATAAATAAATACAGAAATAAGTAATACATAGTCTATTGTGGATAGAAAAAATATTAATAGGGCAAGAGTTTTTTTTTAGTTGCCTTTTTTTATTATTATACTTTAAGTTTTAGGATACATGTGCACAATGTGCAGGTTTGTTACATATGTATACATGTGCCATGTTGGTGTGCTGCACCCATTAACTCGTCATTTAGCATTAGGTATATCTCCTAATGCTTTCCCTCCCCCCTCCCCACACCTCACAACAGTCCCTGGTGTGTGATGTTCCCCTTCCTGTGTCCATGTGTTCTCATTGTTCAATTCCCATCTATGAGCGAGAACATGCAGTGTTTGGTTTTTTGTCCTTGCGATAGTTTGCTGAGAATGATGGTTTCCAGCTTCATCCATGTCCCTGCAAAGGACATGAAGAGTTTTTTGTTTGAATTCTTTCAAATCATAATGTGTATGTAGTTACTATCTGAATCCTTCATTTGGCCCTTATACTTCTTTACATAATTATCTTCTACATGTTTTCTGTACTTTCTGAACTAGATTTTATTTTCTTGAAGACATATCTCATAGTCTATAGGGTTTTTCATATCCCAGGTATCTTGAGAAGACATGGAAAACTTGACATTTAATTAGCATTTATTTACTCTCTAGATAGGAGCAATAGAGTCGTGTTGTTAAGGCTTTTGAAGACAGTAAAGAACCAATTCAGCTTAATCCCAATAGCAAAGTAAAATGTCTGAATGTTTTTGAGGGGAGGAAATTTTTCATGATACGTATGTTTCAATGACATTTATTAAAGATAGTGAGAGAGTAGACAAGGACAGGAAAAACTTGATCCAGGTAAATCAGTTTGGAAGCTCTGAAAAGAACTAAAGAAAAGAAAAGAAAAGATAAGAAAAGAAAAGTAACAGTGGGAGTAGAAAGAATGGAGGGAAGAGATACTTGCAGGTAGAACTAGAAAAAACTTAGTAAATTATTTGTGAGATGGGGCTGAAAACACCTCATGAGTCAAAGATAACTTCAGGATTCCAAGCCCGGGGAATACAAACTATGGTTTGGTCATTTCTAGCAACAGGAAATTAGGGAAGGATATCAAATTGGGATGTCAAAAATATAATGAGTTGTGCTTGAGATGAGAGAAATAGCAGTAAAACTAGGTAGGAATAGCTGAAACATTAACCTGAATCTTGAAGAAAAACTAGATTAGAGATATGGATTTTGTAGTGAACCCCATAAAGCTGATAATCATAGCCATGAATCAGAGGAGTAAATTATCATACTCAGAACAAATGCAATGCCTATTTTCTTTCTTTCTTTCTTTCTTTCTTTCTTTTTTTTTTTTGGAGATGGAGTCTCACTCTGTCACCCAGGCTGGAGTGCAGTAGTGGGATCTCAGCTCACTGCAACCTCTGCCTCCTAGGTTCAAGCAATTCTCCTGCCTCAACCTCCAGGTAGCTGGGACTACAGGCACATGCCACCACGCCCAGCTAATTTTCTGTATTTTTTTTAGTAGAGATGGGGTTTCATTGTGTTAGCTAGGATGGTTTCAATCTCCTGACTTCGTGATCCACCCATCTCATCCTCCCAAAGTGCTGGGATTACAGGTGTGAGCCACCACACCTGGCCTGCAATGCCTATTTCCTTTTAGGTAACTATCTCTAATTTTCAAATAATTTGATAGTATTCTATTACATACATATTTATAAAATGTTCAGATCTTATTGTATTCTCATATTTTTGTAAGCTTATGTTCTTTAAAATGAACTCAGAACCTCGAAACACTGAATTTTTTATAATTATTGTTTATTTCTTGGAAATTATTTACAGCATTTTTTAGTCCTATGCTGTATTCTAGAAACCCAAAATGCTGCAATATGCCAGTTGGAACTGTGTTTCATTCTGTCTTGTGTTTTCCCTAAACATTGCTAATGTGATTAATGAACCAGACTAGAAAATTGGAGTGCTTTTTTTTTCTCCCACCTCCTATGGATGTAAATGGAGACGACACTTTAAAAAACATTCTCTATTCCCTTCCCTCCACCCGAGGGAAGAAATGTACATTTCTGTCTCTAAATTACACTTCCTCTCTGGCATCAGACTTATTCCCAAAAGATTTTCAACTCAAAACACAGTGTGTTTTCTGTGCAAATCACATAACCAATCTAAATTTTAATAGCTTCAATATTGTGCCTTTTACAATGTCTACTGCAAAATAAAAGTGCAAGGGTAACCTTTAGAGATCCCCACTTCTTCTGGAACTCAGCACTCAGTCATTGTGAAAAACAGTGATGCTTTTTTAAGTATATCCAAATGATTTTTGAGGACTCCTATCTTTCATGATAACTTCTGAAGTCTTTCACATTGCTTCTCTCTTTGCAAAAGTCATTTATCAAGCACTGGCTACTTACCTGTTACCAAATGCAACCAATAATTTTAATGGGGTACTATGTTAATATTAAAATAAAGAAATGTTGTTAAAAAGTAGTAATTAAAAGGGATTATACAAGAAAGGCAAATATATGAGCCAAGGGTACACACAGGCGCCGTGTTTTATTTAAAAGATAAACTTTGGCTAAGATACATAATTGTGCATTCAAGATGTACTCTGTCCTTGGGAGAAAAGTTCCATTTTCTTGTGAGAAGATCTGATGAAAAAGACTTTTGGAAAAGCAGAAATGCAGGATGAAGCAAATTATTTATAATTTAGTAAAAGCCAAGTGATATTCTGAGATTGTCTTCAGAGGACCCAAACAATCTGCCCAGACATAATGGTGATATCTGGCAATTACTTGGCCTACAGGAGAGTAACTGTTATGGTCTGGCTGAATATGCATAAAAGCACAGAGAAAACTCATGAGGGTGTTTGTGCATACGTTTTTTGTCCTAGATTATATACAAGAAAATGGTGCCCCGCACCGTGAAAGCATTGTAGCAAGAGGGTTGGCCTAGGATGGGATTATCACTTGGGAATGAACACATTTTGTCAATTGATTCACATTACCCATTCTTTAAAGAGTATTATTGATAAATCAGGATATTAACCTAAAGAGTATTGATCAATAGAATATAAATCTAAAGTGAAACTAAAACAATTAAGTCTAAAATCCAGACACCTACAAATAGTATCAAAGAATGTGGAACGCCAACTTGGTAATCTGAAAGTATTTTGTTAAATCAAGAATCAAAACAAAATGATTTGTACAGTAATCCAGCATATATAATTTCTATTATATTTGAGGTTTTAGAGTTTTCCCTTCTAGTTATTTAAATGTTTCTATTAAATATTGTCTCCCCAACTTTTGACTAATTCAGGGGCTGTTTCTGATATGGTCTCACCCTCCAGTTCTCATTATAATATATCCCATTAAGACAACTGACATTTGTTTGAATTTGTCATTAAGTCACTTTCCTTCATTTGTCATATTATAATTCAAAGTTTGTAGATAATGAGGAACTGGTAATATTTTAGGTTAACTGCTTTCTGCTTACATAGATAAAAGAATCTTTAGCCCATCAGGAAAATATTTCTAGTCTACATTTTTCAATGGATGATTCCTGATCCTCTTCTGAGAACTTGTTCATTCAACTTACTTTGAAAGGTGAGGCAGCTCTCCTTATTAGACTGTCCATATGTAATTGCTTTTTTATTTTAATTTTCTCTGATCACTTTAGGTTCTATCCACTCATTACAAGTGTTGGAATAAATTTGATTTACAAATTTGTTTCCCAGTGTATTAATAACCCAATTCAAATGTAGAAAACCACTAGAGACCACCTAAGGCTGCCAGCCAGTCAATCAGTGCATATTTGTTGATTGCCTATCAACATGCATAAAGGTGGAGAAGATATTGTCCTTGCCCTCCTAGAATTTACAAAGTAATATGTGAGAGAATTACACAAAAAGCTAATATACAAGGCACTGTTTTAGAGGAAATCTCAAAGAAGCACACAGTATCCTAGAGGAGTCAGAGAATCAAGAAAGCTCTCTGAAGACATGGACTTTGAAGAATGGGAATGATTTTGACTGGCAGAATTGGGTAAAAGCACATTCCAGATATGACAACTTTTTCTTCTAGCTTCAGGCAGAAAATAATTCTGCGTCTTTTTTGCTTATCAAAGTCAAGTCCTCAAATGCCTTACATACATTTTTATATACTTTTATTCATTCTATGGATTCAATTGATCATAACTATTAGTGATATTTGCATATCATCATTTATTGCTTTCAAAGTATGTGGACTGTGATAATACTGTTTTTGATGACAAAAATTTTAAATTAGTTTATTCTAAATATGGTCAGTGTTTATCTGCAAATTGTTAGCTTTCTGAATATAAAACATAGTACCCAGAATGCTGCCTTAGAGCTAACTGAATTAATGTGGGTACAGACACCAAGGGTTCTATCAAAAAAGCAAAAAGCAAAACCTTTTATGTAAAGCTTGATTGTGGTGCAACTGCTTTGGATATTATAGGTGAATCCATCAATTTCTTTGTAAAGCCCTTTTGTACTTCCTGAGGATGAATATGTACTTAGTTCATAAGACCACACTTTAGAAGACATACTCTAGAGCTAGACTTTCCCAATTCAAATTCCAGATCCAATACTTAGAAGATCTGTAACTCTAAGCAAGTTATTTAACCTCTCTCAGTTACTTCATGAATAAAATGGGCATAATAAGAGTAGTCACATCACCACAGTGTCAGGTGGATTACATGAGTTTATAGATGAAGAATGCTCTCAACAGCACACCTGGAACATCACAAGCCATCAGTAAATGACACTAAAACTCAAACTCAGCACACAGTAAGCATCATACAAATGTTTGCTCTTATAATTATTGTTGCCCTAAATGTTAGATACATTTTTTAAAAAAGAATGACAACTGACGGCAGCCCAAATTGATATGGTAGAAGGGTTAAGTGGATAAAAGAATGCAAAGTATTTATTACCAGCTTGTCAGGTGAAGACATTTCCAGAAGAATAAAACTTTAAATGTGGTTGATTCTGTAAGTCAGAAATTTACAAGTGGTCTATGGCTCATTAATGAAGCACTAAATTGGACAATCAGTGTTAATGGGAATTTCACAGTAAAAGCACTACACATCAAGTTGAGACACTGGACTAAATGCGTAATCACACACTTCAGCAATTCAGTTCCAAACACCCTTTGTGTCATCCTTCAGAATAGACAGATGGGTAGATAGATAATCATTATTTGTAAAGGATGTTTTATTTTGTCATTTATTAATTATATCTTACCTCATTCAAAGAAAGAATTACAATCAAAATGGGCAGTTAAACTAGATGGAAAAATACTAAGTTGGAGCACAGAAATAGAATAAAATTTATCAAAGAAACAAATGTAGTTATTGTGATTGAATACAAAATTGAGCTGAAAACTTCCTGGTCATCAAAAATAAGAGCAAGTGTTTAATATTATTGGTAACTCTCTTAGCAAGAAATTTTTTGAAATATATTTCTCTTTTATACCTGACATGCTTTTTTCTATTAAGTATGCAGGAGACACTCTCTAAATGCCCCACATTCATTTCCTTACTGCTTTAAAGTTTTGTTTTCCCTTTATTTAATATGAGGAACTGTCCAATTGTTGCAGAAGTTTCTTTATCATGTCTCCTAGGAAACCTAGCTAATCCTCAAGCAAATAAGCCTATTTGTATGACAGCCTTAACTCCCAGAGTTCCCCAGAGAGAGATGACGAGTAGCAGTCTACACACTACCCCTCCTTGAAGAGCTAACCTTTTGCTTGTGTGATTAGGCATCTGAAATACATCGCACTTTTCTTTTATAGCTTATATTTCCTGGACAGATGATTGACACGACACCTCACAGTTTAGCATCATAGAGCAGTTAAATCCGACTCCATTACCTGTCGAATTTAGTTTCTTAATCCCAAACACAATATGCACACAACTTAGCCCTATCCAGCTTTTATTTAAAGCTCATGTCACGGTGCTTTATGTGGAGTCAAGAAGTATTAAACGTTGTGGAGTGAAGCAAATGGAAAGATTAATTTTGCAATGTGACACTAAAAGGAACACTTTAAAACAGGGATTAGGGGCTGGGTCTGTTTGGGGAGAATACTGAAACGTATCCATTATAAGCACCAATGCCTCAACCTACTGCCGTGAGAAAATCCAGCTTTATAAACATAACTTCTATCTTCTTAGGAAAAAACGAATGTGGAATAGAATAAAAAGTTCAACATTTCTGGCTAGAAGTAGTCAGCACCTTTCTGACTTATCCCCTCCACCCCACTGACCACCACCTTTAATCAAAAGTTTTTAGAGGAAAATAAAAACCGAAGTTTCTACAGAAAAAAAAAAATATCTATGAATGTAACTTACAGAAAACTCAAGCTCATGGAGAACTGCAAATAAGTCTAATAATTAGCCTTTCAAAATTAATCATTACAACCATTTTGGAGAATATAAGTATGTCATGACTTTGCTATGAGCAAAAATACAAGAGAACTAAAAAAAAATTCAATTTTGGTTTTATTTAGTGTTTGCATGTTTCCTCTGGTGTTCTTTTGAACACAACTACAAGCAAGACATCACTGTTAAAAAATATATACAACGATCATTTGAAGGCCCATGATTTTGTCTTAAGAAGCAGCTGAAGGAAGACATGAAACTTCCAAGTATATAAAGGGCTATCATACAGAGAATGTTTGAAGACAGTGAAGAGAGGAAATGGCAGGAGGTATTCAGACAAGAACCAAGGGCAAATTTCTTGATAGTTAATGCTGATAAACCATGGGATGTGTTTCCATAGGACGCTGAGGAATCTCATTTTCAGAAATATTTAAAAACATGGTAGAGTCTCATCTCACTGAACAATAAAGCTTATTGAATTTCTGTTCTAATTAGAGCACTTACTGTACAGTCTTGGGAGGATCAAAATAAATAGAGGGCATTCTCTAACTTTGAAGAACTTTGAGTAGGAAGATGGAAAACACAACTAGAAAATATTTTAAAATGTTAAACCAAAATTAAGTTGGTGAACTCTCTTTAGCTGGATAGTCAACACTTCTCAATTAGCTAATATTTAAATACACAGAGAATGATGACAAAGAAAGATTTTCCAGGCAAAAAAGATCTTGTAGGAATGTAGAGAAGGTCTTATCAACCATAAAAGTACTGAATTCTATAAAAATAATATTGGTGTATTTGTTTCTTCCTCTGGAGAAAGAGAACATTTTCTTTCTCTTTGAAAGAAGTAATAATTTCTTCACATGATTGTAAAAGTACAAAAATAATCTGTATAACACATTGATCAAGCAAGAACTCAACAAATTGAAACCGTTCCTATCATCATCACCACCATTATCATGAACATCTTCACACCTACTTCTACTACCTACTATCCTATCACCAGTAATAGGGTCGAACGTATCAGGTAGCAGTTTCCAGTGTTCCACTTCTACTGCAATCTGCATTAAAGCTATTTCTTCTAACCAGCTCACATTCATGCTGGTTAACATGCCTAAGGCTTTGTGATTCCTGCAGTGTTAAGCAGGACCTGATAAACTGAAAATAAAAGATTTTTTCATTTCACTCTAGGTTTAATGGGAGTCACCCTTGTCTGAACACAGGAAAGCTAATGCCTCAAACCCAAACTCTTGGGCAAATAAATCAACAAGTTGAAGCCACATTTATGTTCAAGATTAATTTTTACCTGGCATTTCCTCAAAGAAAGACCTACACTTATGTGAAGGATGTTTTTCACGTTTTCAGATTCATATTTATCATTTTCATGTGGGTGGTGAATGATTTTATTAGTAGTATTCACTCAGCCCTATAATTTGGCAACTTCCAGCAGATACACTCACTAATTTATTATTGTGAATTCTCTCCTCAATCAGAAGCAAAAAGTTCATTACTGCATTCATAATAGTCCTTAATGAATGTGCTAATTGGGAGCACATTAGCACATTTCATTTGCTTCTGTGTTTATTTCTTTAAAAAAGTAGTAAATTTGTTTCCTGTGTGTGTTTAACATGAAGTAAATTTCTACTGTAAGAAAACCATTTTCAAGTTCTCCACCTCAGCAGCAAAGACTTGAAAGATATAAATAATTCACCACCAAGATATGTTTAAAAGTGATCTTATTCAAAGGAAAATTGTTATGACTTTCAATAGAAATGACTGAACTCTACTGGTGTCTTCTATCTTGTTACATGGAGGAGTCATTCATGATATTGACCAATAGGAGTCTACTGAACCCCTGAAACTCAGCAAAATCCCACTCAGTTTCAAAATGGCTGAAAATGTATAGGTTTAGTGCACTGATATTTACTTAAATGTTCACTGAAGGTCATTTCACAAGGTAGAAACATATATATGTTTTCTAGAGGAATCATTCATTTAAACGGGCCCCAATTCTGCCCAGTTTTCAACCTCAGTTTACAGTTTACAGATTTTGTTTTTTGAGTGCACATATCTGATAAAATGCTCTGTTTTTAAAAAAAATATTTTATTCTTTGTTCTACAAGCATCTTTTTATTTTGGACCCTTATGGAATGAACTTAAATGGTCAATGATAAACAGGACACTGCTCTTGAGGTGGAAATAGACATTCCATCACCATCCTCCTTCAATACCAATTAATTTTGTATTCAATAATGATTTTGAATTTTGTTATAATTCCAGTAAATGAGGAGGAGTAAAACAAACTGAACTTTATTAGTCAGGGTTCTCTAGCAGAACAGAACCAATAGGAGGTAGATGAGAGAGACAGAGAGAGATGAAAGGTAGATAAATAGATAAATAATAGATAGATAGATAGATAGATAGATAGATAGATAGATAGATAGATAGATAGATGAAAGATAAAGATAGGTGATAGATAGATTATATATACATGATAGATGGAAGAGATTTTTGAAGGAGTTGGCTTATGTGATTAGGAGGCTCAGAAGTCCCATGATATGCCATCTGCAATCTGGAGAACCAGGAAAGCCAGTAGTGTAGCTTAGTTCAAGTTCAAAGGCCTAAGAACCAAGGAGCCAATGGTGTAACTCTCAGTCTGAAACCAAAGGCCTGAGAAACTGAGGGTCTGCTGGTGCAAGTCCTAGACTTTGAAGGCCAGAGAACCTGGAGTTCTGATGTTAAATGGCAGGAGAAGATGAGTGTCCCAGCTTCAAGACAGAGAGAGAAGAATTCACCTTTTCTCTGCCTTTTTATTCTATCCAGGACTTCAACAGATTGGGTTGTGCCTGCCCATACTGGGTGAGGGTGAATCTTTCTTACTCAGTCCACTCTTTCAAATGCCAATCTCTTCTAAAAACACCCTCAAAGACATACACAGGAGTAATGCTTTACCAGCCACTGAGTATCCCATAATCCAGTCAAGTTAACACCTGAAATTAACCATCACACAAAGAAGACAAATAAAACAATAATGGCCCTGAATTTTAAAGGGAAGCTTTGGTATCAGGTAGAGACCAAGGGGTTCAGACAACATTGCCTATTCTTTACATTCCATTCTCTGTCTATCCAAATATCACCAGTCCCTTGAGTTCTCACTCATGTTCCATTCTCTCTTTAAAGCAACCACCAAAGAGCCAATAGTAAGTTGTATTAGGTAGCCCTTTTTATGAACATATTTTAAGAGGCAATCAGGTCAGTTTTTACTACAAATTATTAAGCATTATCCTCATCATTTGATATCTATCTTAAAATGCAACACACCTAATACTTCAGTGCATCCAATACACATATTTATAAATACTCTGGTTTTCCTGTTTCCATTCCCAACTGGGTGTACTGCAATTCAGTTCAATTCTAGCACTAACTAGAGTAATGCAGAACTCACATGTTAAGGGCTCAGTCCTCCACAAGAGTACCTTCATTTCAGTTAACAGCCACACTTTGAGGATCCCCAGCGCACCATGTCTTCTGACTACCTAGCTATTATTCACAGGTTTCCACAATCCTATCCAGTTCAGTAATTCACTAGAACAACTTGGAAATGTGCTATGCTTATGATTCCAGTTTTATTATAAAGGATATACCTAAGTAAGATCTGAAAGGGAGGCTGGGCATGGTGGCTCACGCCTGTAATCTCAGCACTTTGGGAGGCTGAGGCAGGTGGATCACCTGAGGTCAGGAGTTCGAGACCTGCCTGGCCAACATGGTGAAACCCTGTCTCTACTAAAAACGCCAAAAATTAGCCAGGCATGGTGGCACGTGCTTGTAATCCCAGCTACTGGGGAGGCTGAGGCAGGAGAATCACTTGAACCCCAGAGGCAGAGGCTGCAGTGAGCCAAGATCACGACACTGCAGTCACTACAGCCTGGGCAACAAGAGCGAAACTCCATCTCAAAAAAAAAAAAAAAAAAAGAAAGAAAAAGATCTGAAAGGGAACACAGAGCTTCCTCCATGCCCTCTCCATGTGAAATCATGTCATCCTCCCTGCATGTCAATGTGCTCACCAATCTCTAACACAGAGTTTTTTGGGGGGTTCATTATGTTAGCAAGTTTTATTAAGTCCTTGGCCACATTACTGAACTCAGTCTTCACTCCTCCTGTCTTTCCCTGAAGGTTGGGCTGGTCCAAAGTTCCAACTCTAATCATGTGATGGGTCTCTCTGGTCACAAGGCCCCATCCTAAAACTATCTAGAAGTCTACTATTAGTCTCTTCATTAACATAACAAAGACAGTCTATCACTGAAAAAATTTCAAGTGTTTCTGAAGCTCTGCATGAGGAACTGGGGACATAGACCAGATATATTCCCCATTATACAACAATATGTTACACTTGTTTATTATTTATCCTCCAGTTAAAAACATAAATTCCATGATGTCAGAGATTTTTTTATCTATTTTTGTCTATTTCATTTGCCCCATACCCTGGCACACAGATGAGTTGAAGCACACTGTGGATGCTCAATATTTATTAACTGAATAAATGAATAAATGTATGGGTGAATCAATTCTATATTGCAACTTTTTCATTTGAATCTTGACATATTTAGTTTCCTGTCCTATTAAACCACAATATCCATAATGATTATCACTCATAAGCCCTGAACAAATAACACCTGGATTTGCATAGACTCAAGATTGGAGAAAGTTCAGTTTAATTCAACAAGTATTTTATTGAGTACCTACTAAGTTCTAGGCACTATTTTAGGTGCTATGTGTTTAACAATTGGCCCAGGTGATTTTAACTTGAGCAAGTTTGAAATCTGCTGTGATCTTACAATCTGCTGATGTCTCCTATTAACTACCTATCTGTATTATTCCATTCTCGCATCACTATAAAGAAATATTCAAGACTGGATAATTTATAAAGAAAATAAGTTTAATTGGCCCACAGTTCCAAATGCTATATAGGAAGCATGATGCTATATGTTCAGCTTCTGTGAAGACCTCAGGAAACTTACAATCATGGCGGAAGGTGAAGGGGAAGCAGGCATATCTTACATGGCTGGAGCAGGAGCAAGAGGCAGGGGGAGGTGCTGCATACATTTAAGCAACCAATTTTCATGAGAACTCACTATTGTTACGGCAGCACCAAGGGTGGGAAACCATGAGAAACCATCCTTATGATCCAATCACCTCCCACCAGGCCCCACCCCCAGCACTGAGGGTTACATTTCAACATGAAATTTGGGTGAGGACACTACGGATCCAAATCATATCACCAGCTCATGCAGTAGTTGCCATTTAATCATTTTGAACACCACTTTTATTATATCTTTTCTAGATCAAATACTTGAAATTGTATCTACAGACTAGTGGATCAAGTCCGGGATCTATCACCTGCAGACCAACTTAATCATTCTCATTTTTATCACCCCCTAGGATGAATGCTCTATTTTTCATGGACATCAGAACTCATCTTAGTTGTTCCTACTTTCAAGCACTTCCTCCTTCATTGCATCCTCCAGGAATGCTATGCTCTGCCATCTCCATTAATCTTTATCTGATTGATCTATCTGTTTTTATACAGCCGAAGGTCCCTGTTTGGTGGCTTCCCCAACCTTTCTATCTATGAAAACCTTAATTCCCACAGTGTTTGTATCTTAAACACTCATTTGGTACTTGCCTACTGATAATATAATTTTTGTGAATGTACTATAAAAGATTATTACTGATATATTTTGAATCTAAATCAAATGTTAACTGATGCTTTCAAATTGCATTCTCTATATTTGGAAAATAACTCTGGAATATTATGGAATATTGGGCTCTTATTTTCTGTTTTCTCGATCACTTTATTTTTTTTGAGATGGGGTCTCACTGTGTCATCTAGGCTGGAGTGCAGTGGCATAATCATGGCTTACTGCAGCCTCCAACTCCCGGCCTCAAGCAGTCCTCCATCTCAGCCTCCTGAGTAGCTGAGACTACAGGTGCATGCCACCACACACAGCTAGTTTTATTTTTTTAATTTTTTGTAGAGATGGGGACTTACTAAGTTGACCAGGCTGATCTTGAGCTCCTGGCCTCAAGCAATCCTTCCTCTTCGGCCTCTCAAAGTGCTGGGATTACAGGTGTGAGCCACTACACCCAGCCAAACTCTTATTTTAAGCATTTAGATACCTAGAATTTATTGTCTGAATCTCTTTACTATTCTCCAAAACCAAATAACAAAACACAAAATCATCTTAGACATAACCTACTTACTTATAACCATTATTATAGATTTTCTGCTAATTATTTTCTCCAGAATTTAATAAAGCAAACTCTTTTTTCCTAATCTTCAATACCTCCAATAGATATAAGAGCGTTCTTAAAATCTGTGATTTCAAGGTATGTAGAGCCTATATGTAGTTTTCTTTGGGGGCCATTCCAAAATAAGTGGAGTTATGATATAATTGTGTATTTGTCACTCACAATAGAAAATTATGTGGGCAGCTTTCATTATAGCTGGGTAAATTTAGATAAATGAAGTGTGTCAACTTGGTAATTACTAAATGTTATATGTGAAGCCATTAAAGCATGAATGCTTTTAGACATTGTTGTAGCTACAGGCTGTTTTTATGAATTGTGATTCAGAATAATAAGAGCTGGCTTTAAAGTGAGTCAAAGGAAGAACAAAGGTGAAAATAACATAGGAATCATTCTACTTTCAGGAAGGTTATATTTTACTCTTTGGTAATAAGAGTGTAACAGTGAGATGGCTTTTTATAATGACATCCTCTCCCCTTATGCTCAAAAAATGTACAATGCATAATACTTTTAATGTTCCTAAGAATGTAACTGAGGCAAAGATATTGTACTGTTTCATAGATTAAACTATGTTTCACTAACTGAGGTAAGACAAGAACCCAGAATTTACATATTACTTATTAAAACATATCCTCTTGACACTCCTAATATTAGGCCATTTCTCAAAACCAGCAAAGTTTTGAGAATTCCTTTACAATGAACAAAATAATACAAAGTCTAAATTCCCTTACAATAAACAAAATATAGTATACATAAACATAGTACAAAGTCTGAATTCCGTTACAATAAACAAAATATAGCCTACGTAAACTTCATGGCAATAAGGCTATTTCAAACAATAGTAATTTACAGATGGTGTCCTAAAGCGAGCTGATCAATATTCTCTTTTCCTTGTAAATATGTTGCAATAAGATCAAGCCATGCATTCATTTTGTTAAGCTCTGTGAATTCTCATCAGTTCAGGGAACTACCAAGTTTACCTATATTGATATTTGGCTCCAACTGAAAATGAAAAATCAATATTTTAGAGAAAGAAATGCGCCTTGCTCTTTAAATATTCCCTTAATAGATAAGTCACAAATAATCCTCCCTCACTCTCTCTGCCACTCTTTCTCCCTCCCCCCAGCTTCTTGCCTGCACCCTGCCCAGCCACCATCCTATTCACAACATAGTGATAACGAACATCTGTTTGGCTACTATTTTTAAATCATTCACTGAATGCTATCAAGCTTTTAAAGATCTGTCAATTATTCTCACCATTTCATTGTTCCTTATCAATGTCATCTCTACCAGGTAATATAGCCCAAAAAAGGTTATACAGAACATGGTCACAGAGACAATAAATATTCTCCCAATCTCTGATTTTAAGCTGGGTACAAGGCTGCCCAGAATAAACAACATTTCCCAGCCTACTTTCTTTTTTTAGGACGGAGTCTCACTCTGTCACCCAGGCTGGAGTGCAGTGGCCTGATCTTGGCTCACTGCAAGCTCCGCCTCCCGGGTTCACGCCATTCTCCTGCCTCAGCCTCCAGAGTAGCTGGGACTACAGGCGCCAGCCACCATGCCCGGCTAATTTTTTTGTATTTTTAATAGAAACGGGGTTTCACCGTGTTAGTCAGAATGGTCTCTATCTCCTGACCTCGTGATCCGCCCGCCTTGGCCTCCCAAAATGTTGGGATTACAGGCGTGAGCCACCGCGCCCGACTTCCCAGCCTACGTTCTTTTAGGTGGAATGTAAGCATAAGTCAAAGGTAAAAACTACAGGATGTTCCTAAGGGGACATGCCATTTTTCAAACCATTTCTTCTTCATACACTCTGAAATGGGAGCACATGGTAGCTGGATCTTAAGCAGCCATCTTGGATCTCAGTGTAGAAGACACACATTGCTGATAATAAAGCAAGAAGATAGAAAGAAACTGAGTCTTTCTGTCTTCCATGGGGGCACTATACCAGCCCACGGCTGATTGTTCCTACCTACAAATGTAAAAGTGCAGTGGCTATCTTTCTTTTGTCTGAATATGGACTTTCAGAAATCCGAATAATGGGTGCTCTTAAGAAAAGAACACATCTTCCATTGTACTTGTCATTTGATTAAATTTATCTTTTCTGGTCACCTCTAATACTGAACTCTAACACTTTAAAATATGTTTCTAAAATAATTGAAAGCAAATATATATATATATGTTTGTGTGTGTGTGTGTATACATGTATATATTTAAAATTATTTTTAAGAAAATGAAATCTGTGCAATGCTGGTGAAAACGAAATCTGTGTGAACATTAAACCTATATCTTCACCCTCTTCAGGGCCACACTGAAACATCCTGGTGTTATTTCATATCCTTAATAATATCCAATTCATTAAGCCTATTCAGTCACAAAAACCTATTATAATTCCAAGTGTAATCCAAATATCTACCACTTGAATGTCTTCAAGAACTCTGGTCATCCTGTGTCACCTTTTCCTTTAATGTGTAAATAAAACAGCCCAGTTCTATGCAACCCAGAAACAGCAGTGTGTCCAAGGAGTCCTTGGAGTGCTTAACTTCTTCTTAATCTGAAACCCTCCAGTTTCTTGCCCCCTCTGACTCCCTGACACCCATTCTCTTCTTGCTTTCTGAATCTACTCTTTCCTTTCTTCTCTGCTTTACTCCACACTGGACACGAAACCTATTCTTACCTTAAAAAACCACACACAAGGCTGATATATGTGGTTCAGGTCAAATTTCTGGTCATAGACACCACAGAAATTTCTCACTGTCCACTTTTGCACTGTAGCTCCCAATTTGTACAGATTTCTTCCCCATCTTTCTTCTCTTTTCCTCAGTTTCTTGGCTCTAAGAAACCATTCTCTCCAACTCTCAAGAGAATGTCCCCTAATTCCTATTACCTTGCTTACAAATCAATGTAGTCATCTTTGATGTAATCTTTTATTGCAGTCCAGAACAGAAAATGGGGAGAGGGGGACCCATAGGATCTTTCCTTTTCCAATCCAAAGATCACTGAGGCAAAGGAAAACAAACATAGTCATAAGAGGTATAGCCTGTATCTTCTGTTATGAATAGAGATCAAAAGATTAGAAGTATTAGTTCTTCTTAACTTTGGGCCAGGTTAAAGTTTAAATATTTAGGGAGGGTTTTATCCTAAATGAGAAAAGTCTCTGTTAATGAAAGGGGTAGCTGTAGAACATCTACTCCTGTCCTTCAGATCACATTCTGCAGGACTGTGACTTTTTTCTTCATCATTACGTAAGCCCATCCCCCTCTGCATACAACAGCACCAGGGTCTTCTAGGTGACTTCTAGGGCAGAGCTCTTTCCATTAAATCCCATTGCTTTTCAAACCATTTTATTGGAGTTTCTAAATCCATTTTGATCTCCTGTACAAAAGGAACAGTTGTTAATGACCACCTTTGAATAATATGTCTCTTGAGTGAATTAATGAGAAGGCTGTCTCATTCCTTTGAGTAAGGGCATGACCAGACTGCATTTACTTTTCATAAGTGAAGAGACTCTCTCATCATAACTATGTAATCCTCATATACAGAATGAAAATTCTTTCTTAGAAAAAAAGTCCTGAAAATGAATTCCTATAGAAGATTCAGTCCCAGAATTTTCAGAATCAGTTCAGTTTTGTTTTTCGATAGATTATGATCTATTGGATACCTTTTATCTGCTAGTCATCACACTGGTCACTAGAGCTATTTAAAGATAAGTAGCATTTAATTGTACATTCTAGAGGAGGGGAAAACTAGAAAAGAGATATGATAAAGTTATGATAAGGAGCTATGTGAGTGCAAAATAGGTCCTTATTCCAGTCAGAGAAGTATCACCTATGGTTTCATGAGGGATACAATATCTGAGTTAAATTTTCAAAGATGAAATAAAGTTAGCTGGAAAATGAGGGCTCAGAGGATATTTTATTCAAAGGAAACAATATGAGCAAAGATTTAGAGGATTAAACTTCATGTGCAAGGAATTTAGAATTGTAACATTAGCTGCAAAGTGACAAATGGAAGAAAGTAAGCTGTGCTTTCCTTATGTATGTATATACATATTTGTGTTCCATCTGTCTTCCTATTAGCTCTTTGAGAGTGGGAGTTTCATCTATTTTTTTCTTCTGCACCTAAAACAGTGTTGGTCACATATTAGATTAAAAATATTGGTTGAATGATTGAATGACTCTAAAGGTAGCCAGGGTGGGAGAGAGTACAGTATAGGGATGAAGAACATGAGCTCTGTCCAAAGAAAACCTGTATACACAAAATATAGAAAACATGTGTAAGAATGTGCATAGCAGCACTGTTCACAAATAAAAAAATTCTGGCCACAACCCAATGCCAATCAACTAAAAAGTAGATCAATAAAATATAGTACATTCACAAAATGGCTTATTATCTAGTAATCAGAGTATAATAATGTAGATCAATTTTAGCAATAATATGTCCCAAAAGATTACATGCACCACGATAGGTTTTTTGAAGTGAAAAGCATCTAACATAAAAATATATGTTTTAAGAATACATATAATAGTAATAAGACTATATAAAAAGAAAAGTAAATTCTTAATAATGGTTACTTCAGGGAAATAGGGGAAAGGAAATAAATAAAAGTACCACATTTTGGAAATTAGATTATTGTCAAGGTCTTACCTTGTGTTTGGGGTAGCACTGGGGGGTATTTATCACATTATTAAAAATAATAAATTATCCATGCATGGCAATAATAAGAATGTGTCATCAAACAAAACGCTAAACCAATTTTGTGTAATTGCAGCTCATAGAATTAAAAAAAGGAGAAAAAAATGTTTTCCTGGACACTTGCTTTCTCCTGGTAGTGGGGGTAGGGACAAAGGGTATTCTGTGCTCTGGTATCAGGCCCTCTGGGTTCAAATTCCAAACATACAGCTTCCTAGCTATGTGATCTTGAACAAATTCCTTAAAGGCTTTATGCCTCAGTTTCTTCAACCGTAAATAGGAGTTAAAACAGTACCTTCATTTTACGGTTGGTTGAGATTACATTAAATATATGTAAATGCAAGTGCCTGGCACATAGTGCTCAGTAAATGTGGTGATAAATCCGAAGAATAATTAAATATTGGCTGTGAACAATACAGGGCTAGAAAATGGAAGACCTTATGTATTATGCTAAACAGTTTCTGCTTCACCTGCAAAGGCTTTGAGATTCCAGAAACAGTTTAAGTCGGGAAATAACATCATTAGATTTCTGTTTTTCAACAGGTCTCTCTAATTGCAATATTATGAAGGGGTATAATACTACCAGCAGGGAGGCCGATCAATATATTATTATAATAGTTATGATGAGAGATTATGAAAGTCTTAACTAAAGCCATAATAGTGGAAGAGGAAGAGAAGGGGACAGAAATTGTGACATAGTAAGGAAATGGAATTTTGTTGCACAGTTATGCATGAAATGAGTAGCGTGGAATGACTCCCAAGATTCAGGATCATGGGGTGAGTGTTGACACTGTTCCCATGATTGGAAATATAGAAAGAGTGGAGATTTCTCAGACTTGGTACCATTGACATGTTGCTGTGAATAAGCCCTGTAAATAAAGAAAGAGTTTATTTAAAGGGAAAGATCATGAGTTCAGTATTGGATATGTTCAATATGTTGGCTTTGAGATGTCTGTGGGGCAAAGAGCTAATGCTAATAAAGATTTGGAGGATAAGAGTTTGCAATTCAGGAGAAAAGTCAGAATTTCCAGTATAGATTTGGACTCTTGATTCATATACTATAAGCCACAGGAGGCAACGGGTTCACCTAAGTGAGGCAGGTGGAGTAAGAATGTAAATGCATTCAGGATATACGTTTGGAGAGCACACCAATTCAGGATGAGCAGAAGATACACCAGTGTGAAAGTTAATTTTAGGCATCAACTTGACTTGATTAAGAAATGCCTAGATAACTGGTAAAGCATTACCTCTGGGATTGACTGTGAGGGTGTTTCTAGAGGAGATAGCCAGGTGAGTCAGTAGACTGAGTGGAAAAGATCCACCCAATCAGCTGGGGGGTGGATGGAATCAAAAAGGCAGAGGAAGGATGATTTTCTCTCTTTCTTGGGTCTGGGACACTCTTCTTCTCTAGACCTTGGACATCACAACTCCAGGATCTTTGGCCTTTGGATTCCAGGACTTACACCAGTGGCCTCCTCTGGTTCTCAGGCCTTTGGCCTCTGACTGAGAGTTATGCCATAAGCTTTCCTGGTTCTGAGGCTTTCAGAGTTGGACTGATCCATGCTACCAGAATTCCAGGGACACCAGCTTGCAGATGGACTTTTGTGGGACCCCTCAGACACCATAATCATGTGAGCCAGTTCCCCTAATAAATCCCCCTTTCTATATCTATCTGTCCTACTGATTCTCTCTGGAGAACCCTGTCTAATACAACCAGCAAGTAGATTTTTTTCCTTGTGTTATTGCATTCTCTGGGACCTCCACTAGAGAGCTATATAGCAGTGATATCAAGCATTTGTGTGTTTTTCTCAAATACAATAAGAATGCTTCTAAAGTATTCATCATTTGGAATGATGTTTCTGGAAAATTTTGGTAGATACCAATGGGAAGATTGTTAAAGAGCTTATTTCTAAGGAGATTAAAAATAGATAGACCAAGCACACAGGTGAAGGAATAGGCTTGAACAAAGAAGTACACAAAAGAGAATATAACTCTTTCTCCAAGAATAGAGAAAGGAAGTGAGAATGGGTTTTGGCTGTTTTCTAGTAATTACCTCCCTTTCTTTTATATAAAATATATGAAGTGCTTAACTTAGTCAGACTAACTCTTATAACATTCTGCCAATAAAATCAGAACAATATTTTGGCCTGTACGTTTGTAGGTTTAGTGGATGAAGAAAAGCTCATGTCTAATAGCCTTAAGTTTTTTGTTTTTGTTTTGTTTGCTTTTTTTTTTTTTAAATAGTAGGCCATCTGGATGCAGATGTTTTAAAACAGATTCAAAGTGCCCCGCAAAGGTTAGTCAAAGCTGTATTTACATGGCAGATCTGAACAAGGCTAATTCCACTTAGAGAAAGTAACCCTTAAATATGATTATGATTTTTCTCCATGTTCAAAATAAATTATATTGTTGCTACAATAAATTAAATTCTACTGTTGTTACAAACTTCAAAAACATTTGAAGTTTGAGAAAGTTCCTTCAGACTGAGATTAAATAATCCTCTCGGAGAAAAAGGAAGATGGAGAAACAGACGATACAGAATCAGGGGTTGGGGGATACAACAAACTTCAGCCCAGGAGCCAAATTCTCCTGTTTCTCTAGAGCCCATGGGCACCGCATGAACCAGCTAGCATTATGAGGTGCACAGGGCATCTGCCCTGTGTCCTGATCCACAGCAGCACCTGCCCTCCAGCTGGCAGCTGAGTCTTGCTGCTGCACAGGACCAGCACTCTTTGACACCTGAACACTGGGGACTTCACTGTCAGCATCGAGTGGTAGAATCTCAGTCCAGGAGTCATCTCACCACCAGGCCCCAGCCCCTAGAATCAGTTCCTGTTCCTCCAGAGAATATCTCCACTGAAATACAACTGCATATAAAGTTTGCCCAACGCCAAGGGACTGTCCCTTCCAGGCAAACATAGCAGGAAACAGCAGGAGTTTTCTCTCTTAAGACATAAGTATCCTCAATTTTGCCTCCTATCGCTACAAAGACTAAAACATTTACCGTCTGGAACAGAAAAAGTTTGGTGATCTCTGGTATAGATCACTTAATGGAAACAGAGTAAGAGAAGGAGCCAAAAAATTTGTTGCATAGAAAATTGCATCCATTTGCCTAGCTACGGAAAACGTATCTTTTTCTTCCTAGATAAACTAAATTACCAGTTATAAACAATATGACTTTGTTATAATTAAGGTAACTCAGTATTTCTCCACAAAGCTACAATTAATATTTTAGGCTTTGGAAGGCCTGTGTATTGAAGTATATTTAGGGACATCCCTAGCCTATAATGATTGCTGCAGGTAGCAAACCCTTAACTTCACCCAGCACAATTAGGAAAATCAGTGTCGCCAGATATTGCCAAATGTACCCTGGGGAGTGGAGCAAAACTCACTCTCAGTTGAGAACTAGTGGATAATTAAATGGCAATGAACTCCCTTAGATTTGTCCACTTCCATTCTATCACTATTTTAACTTTATAAAAATTACTTCATCACTTCAGGGAAATTATTTTAGTCATATTCTTTCCTCAATCAGTATGAGAACTTTAATCACTGAGACATCTGTACCAGAATACTCCCCTAGTGATATGTATACGCAGGCAGGAAGAATGGCAAGGAAGGAGGGGACGTAAAAGAGGTAGAGGGCAAAGTGGGGAGGTGAAGGAGGCAGAGGGTGAAAGCGGAGAGAGGGAAGGTGATTCAGCCAACAATGCCACTCTCAGCCCCCACATACACTGGGACACATGGAAACCAAGGAACCAGGACAAGAAACTGAGGATCTGTTCTCTAATATCTTGAAGTAGTCCCAAGGTTTGCCGAAGAGAAACAGGCCAGAAGCAAGGATTAAAGCGGGACTGCAGAGCTAGGAAGATGACGGCAAGCACAAGACATCACACGGAAATGGGGAAACATCTAAGACAGTTGCTTTGAGAGACTTCATTGGCTATGGCTTTTATTTGTCACCTACCATATGGCATTTTAACTGCCTAGCAACGTTGAAAGGGCCAGAGAAGACAGTGACATACTGCTCTGATCTTATTGGGACATATGTTAGCTAAGAGAAGTCAAATTCTTCATTCAGAAATCACTTCCTGAGATGGAAGACATGGTAATGCACCTGTGGTTACATGAAGACAAATTATGTTTCCTAAGGCTTCAAGTTTTCTGTGATTCATGGACAGGAAATGGGGCTTAGTTTGCCAAAACAGCCATCCAAGCTAAGATGGAACATATATAGGAACTCCCAAGAGGGGCTTGAGCAAAAAAAGCTAAGAGTGGTAATGTCTTCCTGTTGCTTTGCACCCTCACTGTTCCAGCCCACCGAACATCTCTGTTTAGTCTTTTTTCTACTAGTTGCGAGTGTGTCTTGGTATTCAAGGGCTTGCCAGACAATCCTCTGTAGGTTCTGGTTCCTTCTTTCATCATAGCAACATCCTTAACACTCAGATAGTGATGTACAGGATTACACATGTCTCTGAATATAAGGGTTTTTTGTGTGTATTTTCAGTACTTTGTGTTCTGTCCCTCTTGTTTTTATTAGAGTGCCGTTTTCCCACATAATTCCCTGCTGTGACTGGGACAGTTGTCTGCATCACTGCAGGTTCTTAGTAAATGCTGCCCGCCTGCCTGACCACTCAGACAAGGACTCCCATCCCCAGCATATTAATGACAGGACTTCTTTTGAGATGACATAGCTGTTGTGTTATATCTATGCTGGAGATGCTTTGATCTCTGTTGGTCTCTGCCTCATTATCTCTTTTTCTAAAGGCTTTATCAGTCATACACACAAGAATTCCAGCCATGTATTTCCCTTAGGAATAAGAATATGGGCAAGAATAGCAAAATGAGATTCAACTTAGAAAAATGCACAGAATTTTTCCTAAGAGATTCTAAGAATAAGGGAAAAAATTCAATGAATTGGAGAGGAGTAAATTTAAAAGAAAGAGAGAGGGAGACAAATAGCAGAACAATAGCACCTCTCTTGATGGTTTGCCCTTGAAGACCCCTGATCAATTTGTACTTGTCTTAATGACAGACCACAGTCTCCTTGTCTCCTTGAGAGCAATGTCCAGTGTGTGTGTGTGTGCACACACATGCGCACATGTAAGCACATGTGTGTTTTAAGTCTCGTACCTCTATATGTACATATAATAAACAGCAATTATCCTTCCCTCTATGTAATAACCCTTAATGTTCTCCCTACAATAACATTCTTGGGAGACGCTGGAGGACAAGTTATTAGATCAGATAGTTTTGGAAACACCTTTTCCTGTAGGCGCATCCCACACATCCTCATTGTTTAACTTTGCATTATACTGTGTGTCCCAGCTTTCTTTGACCCCCAAACCCTTCCATCATGTCATTCCTAGTTCTATTTCATTGCCAAGCTAGGATCACTTTGCATTTCAGGGTGAGGTTAGAGAAAGAACTATAGTAGCAGCTAGAGACTGCTGTCCTAAATGCATCTCCCCTCTATTACTATAATCTTACCAGGGGGCAGGAGAGCACCAGATGGGGCAGCCTCTCTCTCCCCTCAAAGCAGAAAGCTTTCATTAGCAGACTCAGCTAGGAACAAAAAGGATGAAACACAAAAACTTGCCCCCTCGTGACTTTCCAGAAAGCATTCCAGAGGATTCCAGAAGGCAGCCTGAGGCCAGCAGCAGGACCATGTCCAGCACTGACCCAGGCAGGAGCCTGCTGGGATTTGGATGGGGCTTTGACAGCCAAAAGACTGTCAAGTCAAAAGAGTATCTTAAAAGGGAAGGTAGGCGAGAGAGACACTGGCCTGCTGTCCTTTCTCGTAAAAACAAAGGCTGCAATAAACCATCATGACCTCCCAGGCCAGGCAACTCACTGGGCTTCCTTTTGGCTCTTTTCATTCCGTTTGGAACCCTATGAGTGACAGTTGTGGTATGAAAAAAGAAAAAGACAAGTCACGACACCTGTTCTTTTTCTTCCTTCCTTAATATAAGCTTTAAATCCTGCAGAAAGGCCAGAAGTTAGACTATGACTCTCTATACTGTCTGCTGTTAATGAGGCCTCCAGTGACATTTCCCCGCTAGACATTGAAACAGGTAATGATATTGGTTCTGAAACAGGAGAGGTGGATCATACCTCGGGCATCCATGATTATTTCCATCTGCTGACCCCTACCTTGGGGGAACCCTAGCTATGGCAGGTATACTAATCACAGCAGAGTGGCTGGAATAAAAGACCCTGGGTTATTGGGGTGACGGCCATGCCAGCCTGCAGACCTTTGTGCCGATACTTCTCTCAGGGAGTCTGCAAGTAAGCTGCCTGTGTGGGGAGAGATACTGGTTCCTGAGAGCTTTTGCAGCCCTTCAGCCACTTATAGGGAAGAAGATACCTCTAAGGCTTATGCCATGCATTTGTTGATACCCAGTAGGTGGGTTATGTGGGCTTAATCTAGAATGTGGGCATTCAAACAAAAAACAACCTGTTACCATGACTAATTTGTTTGCTTTTCCAAAGTCTGTCACCAGTTAAAAGCCTCTGAGAATAATACACTCAGAAAATGCTTCCTAAGATGGCGATGATTATGGCTGCTTCCTGAGTAGGTTGATGTCTTTGGATAGAGAGTGTGAACATTTATACTTCTCACCATCCCACCCTCTTTAGATATCATCTCTACAGACTAATGCATGCAGCTCTGCCTTGGCACAAATGTTGCCCATTTGTGTTAGCCATGAACTGGTTCTTTCATCTGCTCCATTTTACACTCTCATTTTTCCCCCTTTAGTGTGTCATTACATTCAGAGCAATTGCCACTTCCCTGACTATGATTGATCCCCACTTATTTCATCCTGCATGCAAAGTATTTGATTTCAAGTGTGGTTCATTCTGCTCGGTGAACTCATTATAAAGTCAAGCTGAACATCTCACAGATGTGAAGCACCTTGTCTTTGAGGTTCAGCAATCTAATTTGGAATCTCATTATAGAACTTCTACTAGTGGTGGGCACAGGGGCAACTACCTGGCTGGCATTTTCCTGCCCATCTCCCATCCCATAAAGAAACTGTCATTTCAATACAGGCATGCCAGAATATTCCCCATTTTGGAAAATAGCTTTATTTATCTCTCCACAAATGCCTCTTGGCACTGATGAGAGAGTAATACTTTGTAGGCAATTTTATTAAGCATCTCAGGAGGTCAGGTGCTGAAAGAGACAGCTCACAGCTGCTTGCCTCCCATCTAGTTAGTGAGCTTCTTTATGAATCTGATGTTACATTTTCTAAGATTTGCAGTGCGGTTGTCATTTTGCTAAGAATCTATATACCAAGAATCTTTGCTTGGTACCATAATGTAGTTTAACTCAGGGAGGACTGATTTCTGGTGTGTCTATGGTGAATGAAGGGAGAATGGGGTTGAAATGGAAAGTTCACTTTATTTCCAGAGAAATGCATTGATTCTGAAGGATTGATGCATTCATTTTTTTCACTTATTTGGTGCTTTCAAAACCAATGAGCATCCAAGGCGCAGTTCTCACTGCTAATGAAGTTTTTCTTTTTTCACTTTCGATTTTAAAACTTTGGTAAGAATATTTGCTTTTCCAATTGCAATTGTTTCCATTCCCCTACAGAGCAGGCTGAGCCTTCAAGAGAACAGTGCCTTTGTTTCTTTGCTATGAAAATGTAAGTAGATTTATTTAACCACATAGAAAGAAAAGTGAACTAATACATATATTAATGAATAGGGATAGGTTCGTGTGGCTATGTTCAGCAACATACATAGATTTTTATCCTGCATTTCAGTCCAGCAAAAATACAGATTTTCCCAGGATTACACCCCACCTCCTGACTTCTCCATTTGATCTAGAAAAGGGGCCAACAAACCACAGCCTGTGGGCCAAACCCATCCCACTGCCTGCTTTTGTAAATAATGTTGTTTGGAACACAGGCACATATATTAATTTGGCACATATATTAATTTATGTTCATTGCTGCTTTCCAGCCGCCCAGCCAGTTTAGTAATTGAGACAGAAACCATATATCCCTCAAACCTAAAGTATTTGCCATCTGAACTTTTACAAGAAAAGTTTGGTGACCTCTAATCTGGGAAAAGAGATCTTATGGTTCTATTTAATTCACATGTAACAAAGCATGTGTTTTGAAAATAATTTTCAGTAGGATAACTGAGAGGAGAATTACAATGAGCATGGAATGAGAATCTGACCCTACTGACTGTCAAAAAGGTTTTATGAATGTTAAACCTCTGCTTTTTCTACCCAAGAGGTCTTTGAATGGAATGATAAATTAATAACAACAATGTGATATAATTTATTCATATTTGAATGATATTTTTGACTTGGAAAGCTTCCTCTCCACTGACTTTGGATTTCCACTTATGGACTGGGGAATTAATTATTTCATTTTATTTTCATTGCATTTCATTTTATTTTCATTGCATTTCATTTGGGTCAGATGCATTGCTCAGGAAAGGTGGAATTAGGAATAAGTGACACTAAAGTTTTATAGCATATTCACCCCATAAAATTGTCTCAGTGCCTTATTTCCCCCCATTTGGTGCCCCCTTCTGATAGTTCCCCTCTGGTTGGTATGACACTTTAGGAAGTACTGGCAGCTTCAGTACCATAAGGGCTGGCTCCTATCACCCATTGCTGTGCAGTTGGGAGGATGTCTACCACATGACTATTCCTCCTGGATTCAACTCACAGACTTTGAGTTACATCCAATCATTCAAACAGGTACAGTGAGGCAATGAAATTAGATGGATGAATACAGGCAGATACATGTAGATAGATGATGTAGGTAGGTAGATAGATTAGACAGATGATAGATGATAGATGATAGATAGATGATAGATAGATAGATAGATAGATAGATGATAGATAATACATACATACATACATACATATATAGATAGATCAATAGACAAAGGGACAGAAACAGAGACAGGCAGACAGAAAACATGGGACTAGGAGTTCAAAGACCTAGATTCAAGTTTTGTCTCTGCACTTACCTTAGCCAAGCCAGGAAAGTCAGGTGCTAAAAGAGACAGCTCACAGCTGCTTGCCTCCCATCTAGTTAGTAGGCTTCTCTGAAAATAATAATAATGTACTGTAAGAATTTTATAGGATATTTTAAGAGAAAATATGATAATATAGCTGAAAGTACTTTTAAGTTACAAGTTAATCTAAGCTATTAAAATTATGACAGGACTAAAAATTACTTTTTACCTCAAAGTTCACAGCCTCTCCTATGACCCACAAAAGAGATTTCTCACATTGCCCAGGTCAACCCTCTCCTTCCTCCTTGCTTCCAGTCAGAAGGAAGTGTGTGCAGCTAGAGATGGGATAGGTCAACAAGCCTTGCTAAGGAATGGAGTGTGTGGAGATACAGAGCATAGGAGGAAGGACACTGGGTTTGGGAATATGAAGTAAGTCTGGGAGCTGCAGAGCAAAGTCCTCCAGAGCAACCTCGAGTGTGTGATGGAAACGAGAGGAGAAAAGAAAGAGAATTTTTGTAAGTGCTACTCGGGTGATACAACTCACTACCCATCACAGGCTGAGAGATGCCAATTAAAATTTGTTACTTTGAAACTTGTTGGTTGCTGGAATTTGTTTTATTTAAACTGGAAAATACCAATAGAAACTGAACTGAATAGTTCATCCGGACTTGTAAGGGTGTATTTTGCGTTTTTATCATTTGTGGGTCCCTGGTTTGATTTTATACTATTACTTTTAAGCAGGCCTAAATTTATACAAATGTGTAATTTTAGGTATATATTAAAAACTGTCTCATTTAAAAAGCTTTTCTGTAAAGCCAGTGAGAAATGCTTGACATTGATATTTTCCGGACAATGTTAGGGCACAATTTCCTGTGTGTTGCAGCCAGAATATTAGTCCAGAGATTTTTCAAACTGGGGAATGTGTGAGGTGTGATGAGCGTATAGTTTGAAAGAAAATACACATACTCAACCTATTGTTTTCTGAAAACAAACTAAAGAGAATATAACACACACCCCTCATCCATTGGTGATATGGAAAATACGAACCAGAAAGCCCTTAAAGGATACAAATCTAAAACATGAAAATTTTTTAAAGAGATTGAGAAACCTGCTAGTCAGTCACTAGGACTCCAGGATTGAGTTAGCATGATGATAAACTTGCCCTAAAAGATTTGGGAAAAAAGTTAAACATTATATATATGTTTTACACAGATTATTCCATTTAACCCACTCAATACCTCTTAAAGAAGATATAATGGTCATTATGGTCTAGAAACAACGTTGAGATTTGCAAACCTGCCTATATATAGTAAGTGATAGAGGTAAGATTTGCACTAAGGTGTTTTGGTTCCAAAGCCCTGTTTCTACTAAGCTGGGTGACTGGCAGTGTCAGGCCCACAGGCCTCAAGGTGAGTTGATTTTATGAAGGAGGCTCTGAGAATTTAAGTGACATTCCAGGGTGGCATAATTAATTAGTGATGTCCTAAACTCCTAATCTTCTGAATCACATGCATACCTATTCCTCAAATGGCAGGTCAGATAAAACAGGCAAATATTACCTGGGACCAGCTCCCCAGGAGCAATGGAAAGGCTTGTTGGCTTCCACTAATGGTGCTGCTTCTTAATTTTTTTTCTGTCAGTAGCTTCTGGTCATCTTGCCTTTTTTCTCATTTTCGATATCAAACAAATACGGCAAAAATTCAGATTTTCATATATTATTATTTTCACAATTTCTAGAAGAGAGTCAAACTGTATTAGTTTCCTATGTCTACCGTTTAAAAAACTACCACACACTTCATCACTTAAAAATCAAAAATTTATTATCTCGCAGTTCTGGAGACCAGAAGTACAAAGTCAAAATCAAGGTATTGACATGGTTGGTTCCTTCTAGAGGCTCAGCGAGAGAATCCATTCCATGTTTCTCTCCTGGCTTCTGGTGGCTGTCAGCAAGTCTTGGTGTTCCTTGGCTTGTAGCTGCATAACTCCAATCTTTGTCTCCATCTTTATTTGGCCTCTGTGTCTCTGTGTCTTCTCCTTTCTTATTTCTTATAAGGATACTCTGCATTGGAGTCAGGGCCCAAGCTAAGTCCAGGATAATCTCATTTCAAGATCCTTAATTTAATGACATTTAAAGGTGATTTCCAGATAAGGTTATATTCAAATGTACTGCATTAGGACTATGGATATGTTTGGGTAGACACAATTCAACCTAGCATACCTCAAAGGCGTTGTGACCCAGGAGGTGATTAAGCCCACAGAAGCAACAGGCTCTACGCACCATATTCCAACCATAAACAAAAGGAAACTTCTCATTCTAACCTCTCAGCATCATGAACATGCACGCTGCCAGCTGAGATTTCAAGGATTCAACAATTCAGACTTGGCTATGTTGGAATGAAATGAGGTTCTTGGAGAAAGGGACTGTGGTCTCTGAGCCCCAGTAGCTTCACCACCCTAACCTTAGGTAAGTTGTTAAATGCTCTTAAGCTTTAGTTTCCTCGTCTATAAAATGGGACAGCAATAGTTACATCTATAACCAATTTTTGATTATTATATATAAAAGTGCTTTGTAAATTACACAATAGTTATTGTCACTATTGGCTAGTTCAAAGCCCAAGTAAATAACTCTATTTCCTTCTTTATTTTGTATAGCTTTTCCTTCTTCTGCTTTTTAAGGAGCAGCATTATCCTTACAGCATTTTTGAAGACATTTTGTGTATCAGACCCTTGGCATGATCTAAAATGGCTTTCTGTATTTTATATTTACAGTGAAATGATTATATACAGGTGTGTACGGGAAAGCAGAGGTGACATTAACAACAGTTAATTTAGGAAATCAAATACTTCATAAGTAGGAGATGCATCTAAATATTTCACTATATTCATGACCCAAAATATGGCTCATCCTAATAGCAAATACACGAGAAAAAAAGAGAGGGAAAAGTTAAATGTCTTTCACAAATATCATGTAAACTTGTCCTTCTGAAAACATTTTCATGATCATTTAAAAGGAAATGAATAATATAATTCAAAAATATAAATAGATGATCATATTGGACTGCAATGACAGCAGATGTTTTAAGTTATGTAAAATCTTACCCCATCTGGTAAACAGTAAAAATGTCTCAACAGCAACCCACAGATGAAATGTTGCCAATAAAGCAAGTATAGCGGGGACTGACTAGAAGTCAATTTTACTGGATTACTTCATAAAATGCTTAAAGGCTATTAATATGCACATAATAATTTTACCCCTTACAGCAATTACCATCCTGAAAACTATTTTTAAAAATTTTAGAAATTTCAGCAAATTTCATGATAAATTTCACCATAAATCACATTCGTTAAATTAAACAGCTCATTTTCTCCCAGAGTACCTTGAACTTAGAAATACATCCTGGAGTAGTTATATGTTTAAGTTAATTAAGACATTTACTCCATCTCCAATCTAATCAGGATGAGTACCAATAAGACAGAATAAAATTAGAGATGGACCAGACTCCCACTGTTGCAGATCCCATTCTGTTTGCAAAGAGTAGGTGGATCTATCAGGAACATTTGGTTTATGTCAGTTTGCCTCATAGCTGGGTTTCATTGTGTGAACTATTTCCAGTCTTTTCAGCTACAAATAGGTGGCTACCAATATAAACTTGCTGCATTATTCCAAGTTGAGTTATTACCAGAAAACTTTTCTAAGAGCAATGGACTTGAATCTCTTCAAGTAGAAAGTCTGTTCTTTAGATTCTTCCCCATTTGGGTCTAAAAGTTGTTATTCCCATCACATCTCTTTTCCCCTTCTTTAGACTATTCTATGGAAACCCAGTACCATTTCATTCATTCATTCTAAATAGAAGAAAGGTCAGAAAGTTACCCCCACACTACAAAGAAATCTGTAAAAAGTTAAATTAATTACTCCCAGGTATGTGTAAACTCCTGCTTAAAACAATAAAAGAATTTCTTAAATTTATGAGGAGTAACCCTGAATGAAGAGAGAAATAAAGTGAAGGGAGGGGGTTTTATTACAAAGACAAATTATTGTACTTTTTTTTTAATGTGTTCTGTGAATTCAATTAAAGGGGCATCATACTCACGCAAACAGTTACCACCCCCCACTCTCCAGGGCTCTGTTTATACTAGAAGATTGTTTATTATTGTTTAGCCAAACCTTGTTCATAAATTAGTAGAAATGAAACAATTAAAACTAACTGGCCAAGACAATGAACATGAAAAATTTGAATTAAGCGTTCTTTTATTTTTGATGGTTTTATTCATGGAGACTTTGAAGGCTCTGCAAATGTTTCATATGAAGAAACAAAGACTATTAATATTCAATTAGAGTAAATAAGCCCTCTTCTTATGAAAAGATAGTTTAATTCAACAATTATCTACATTATCTTTAAAAATACATATCATTTGGCTGGCCATGGCAGCTCATGCCGGTAATCCCAGCACTTTGGGAGGCCGAGGTGAGCCAATCAGGAGGTCAGGAGTTCGAGACCAGCCTGACCAACATGGTGAAACCCCATCTCTACTAAAAATACAAAAATTAGCCGGGAGTGGTGGTGTGCACCTGTAATCCCAGCTACTCAGGAGGCTGAGGCAGGAGAATTGCTTGAACCCTGGGAGGCGGAGGTTGCAGTGAGCCAAGATTGTGCCTTTGCACTCCAGCCTGGGTGACAGAGCGAGACTCCATCTCAAAAAAAAAAAAAATTATATATACATATATATATATATATATAAAGTTATACAATATCACATTCCTGCTTAAAACCATGCAATGGCTTCCAACTAAACTTAAAACACAGTTCGGGCTGGGCATGGTGATTCACACCTGTAATCCCAGCACTTTGGGAGGCTGAGGCAAGCAGATCACTTGAGGCCAGGAGTTGGAAACTAGCCTAGACAATATGGTGAAACCCTGTCTCTATTAAAAATAAAAAAATTAGCCAGGCGTGGTAGTCTGCACCTGTAATTCCAGCTACTCAGGAGGCTGAGGGAGGAGAATTGTTTGAACCCGGGAAGTGAAGGTTGCAGTGAGCTGAGATTGTACCACTGCACTCCAGCCTGGGCAACACAGCAAGACTCTGTCTCAAAAAAAAAAAACACACACAGTCCAAACTCCTTGTCCTGAATGATCTGGCAGCGGCCTAAATATCCAACTCTTCCTTCTACCTGTCTACCCCTTACCACAAAATGACGTCTGACAATTCCTTATATATGCCAAGCTTTTGCCTGCCTTAGGACATTGTTGCTACTCTCCAGAGTGTTCCACATGGCCTTCCCAGTGCCATTTCTCATCTCCCAGATCACCACTACAAAGAAGCCAGCTCCTATACCCTATCTAACGAAATATCCCCCTCCCCAAGACTCTCTTATCCCATTGCCCTGTGTGCTTGCTTTATAGCATGTATCACAGTTTGTAACTACTTTGTTTGTCTATGTTTCCCATCTATTATTATTCTCCTGCCAGTGGAATATCAACTCCATGAGAACAGAGACTACACATGCCTTCTTCTCTTTGTTTTCCTGGCACTCATTAGCGATTAGCATGTGCTCAATAAATGTTCTTTGGGAGTACTACTTTTTGAAAGAAAAATGATGAAAATGATTTATTATTCTCTGGCCGGGTGCAGTGGCTCACACCTGTAATCCCAGCACTTTGGGAGGCTGAGGCAGGTGGATCACGAGGTCAGGAGATCAAGACCATCCTGGCCAACATGGTGAAACCCCGTCTCTACTAAAAATACAAAATTAGCCAGGTATGGTGGCAGGCACCTGTGGTCCCAGCTACTTAGGAGGCTGAGGCAGGAGAATCACTTGAACCCAGGAGGCAGAGGTTGCAGTAAGCTGAGATCATGCCATTGCACCCCAGCCTGGGTGACAGAGCAAGACTCTGTCTCAAAAAAAAAAAAAAAAGATTCATTATTCTCAAGGAACTTACAGTCTGAAGGCAAGGGGATATAGAAACACAACCAGAATGCAGAGAGGAATGTAAAAATGTTAAAACTACAGAACGAAAGCAAAACACTATAGGAACAGAAACTGGATAGTAATGATCTAAACAGGGTTATTACGAAGATTAAATGGGAAAAAAAAGATGAAATTTGAAAGGAGTCATTTAATGTGATAAGAATATCAGAACGGCCAGGTGCAGTGGCTTATGCCTATAATCCCAGCACTTTAGGAGGCCAAGGTGGGCGGATCACTTAAGGTCAGGAGTTCAAGACCAGCCTGACCAACATGGTGAAACCTCGTCTCTACTAAAAATACAAAAATTAGCTGGGCGTGGTGGTGGGCACCTGTAATCCCAGCTACTCAGGAGGCTGAGGCAGGAGAATCGCTTGAACCTGGGAGGTGGAGGTTGCAATGAGCCAAGATCGCGCCACTGCACTCCAGCCTGGCGACAGAGCAAGACTCTGTCTAAAATAAATAAATAAATAAATAAAATTTTAAAAATAAAAATAAAAATCAGGAACAAAGACATAGAAAGGGACAAGAAGTTCAAGAAAATTTGCAGAATGATGGAAAGTTTGGGATGGGTACGACATAGGGTATATGTGATGGAAGTGAGGTGGGAAAGACAAAGTGGGCTGTGGCTGAGGGCAGGGAACCTGCAGGCTTTGCTGAGGTGTCCCGACTGAACTTTAAGGGCATGTGAGGAAGCATAACTTCACCAGAGAAAATGAGCGTGATCCCCACAGAAGCACATGCTCTAAGGGAGCCGGAGCAAAGGTAAGCCAACAGAAGTTCTCGCCGCAGCATGTGCCTTGATGAAACCCTTTTCGCATCTCTTAATCTCTGCTTGCTTCAGCATCTCAGACTCTTGATTGAATAAGCCCTCCAGGGATAATGCTTCTATCAACTGTGCCTCAAAAGTGAAATCTAACATTTTACCCTCTTTAAGTGCATTTCATTACAAGTAGTTACCTTACTCCCCTCCAATTCTCAAAGGCACTGGCGAATGATAAAGGAAGAGAAGTAAGGACTTAGGTATTTGAGGTTTATGTTTCTAAGTGATGTTTTTAAACCCATGTCTAGTTTTATCAAGAGAAGAAATCAGGCAATTTTTCACAGAGTGAAGATAATGGCTTATGCCTGTGGCAGTTAAAGTATCTCCCAGCGCCCCTCTCTCTTTCTGGCTTTAATACCGACAACAGCAGCACTAAACCTCCACCAGACAAAGGGTGACACCATCAGCAGACTGTTTTACCAAGATAAGAATAAAAGTGAAAATAAGTCTTTATGCTCTAAGCACCTATGTTTTATTCGATGATAGCAAGAATCCCAGCTATTAGCTTTTTGGAAAGTGGGTTTCTAGTTGACGTAATGGAAGCAGATTTTTAAGTAATCAGAAATAACACCAAAAATCCCCTTGGGTAAGACCTGTGTTCTCCTAGATTCCTTTTTTAAATCTGCTAATAGTTTAACTCTGTAATGCTATATGACTCAACATTTTTAATGTGGGGAGTTTGGATTCCCATGTATCTTCCTACTACACATAATGACATCATTTCTGTGATATTATTTCATTTTCTTTCTTTTTTATTTATTTATTTATTTTTAGACAGGGTCTCGCTCTTTCTCCCAGCTGGAGTGCAGTGGTGCAATTATGGCTCACTGCAGCCTTGACCTCCTGGATTCACATAATCCTCCCACCTCAGCCTCCTGTGTAGCTGGGACCACAGGGGCATGCCACCATGACAGGCTATTTTTTAAAAAAAATTTTGTAGAGATGGGGTTTCCCCATGTTGCCCAAGCTGGTCTCCAACTCCTGAGCTTAAGCAGTCTTCCCATCTGGCCTCCCTGCCAGACAGAGCAACCTCCTCAAGGAGTTTTTTTGTTGTCCAAAAAAAAAGATATCTTTATTATTAACGGATCTCCTCCCACCTTATAAATTCATATCTCAGTTGTCTATAAGTTGATACATTTGGTTAGGGTTCCTTTTCACTTCCTGATCGTTGCTCAAAGAAATTTTCATAACCTCTGGGTTCAAAGACTTGCTTCTCTTTGAACTCCTAGTCTCTGAACTTCAGGTTGGGGACACATGGGTCATATGTATGAAGATTTTTTATTTTTGTGTTGTGCCTTTCCCCTTAAACAGTAGATTTTTATCTTCTCCATGTGTCCAAAGATACTACATAGCAAACATTAGACACAGTAAATATTAGAATGAATTGTATAAGAGGAAGAAAAATTTAAATCTGTGAACTTACAACAGTATCGGTTTTCTGAAGAACTCCAAGTTATATCAATATGCCAAGCATATTTAGAAAGGCAAAGAAAATGGTCATGCCGTCCAAAACACTAGTCTGATCCTATCTCCCCCAGCTTAGAAACTTTCAGTAGCTTAACATTGCACTTAGAATAAATCCAAATGTCTTCCCATGACTAGGAATGCCCTGCCTGCTCAGATCTTCTGTCCATTACACATCACTCTTTCCTTCTGCCCGTACACAGTCCGCACACTCGAGTACATTTTCAGTTCTTCCAATATATCCAGGTTTTCTCCACTGTCAGGTTATTGTGCCCATTGCTTGGAAGGCTCCCACCTTCCCTGAGGCCAATATTTTCATAACCAACTCCTTTTATTTTAGGTGTCAACAAAAAGTTCACCTTCTCAGAGACCTTTTCTTATTACCTAAATTAAGTAAAACACTGTGTTTGTTGTTTGATGATTTTCTTGTTGTATAATCTCAGCCTCTTACTGGGTTCCTCCCTGGGCCTTAAATGCATCTTTTCCATCCATCTATTTCTGTATAGCCTTACTGTGCACAAGTGCGTGTGTGTTTCTGTCTCTCATAGAATGTCTGCTCCATGAAGACAGCACCCCTTTCTGTTTTGCTCACTACTCTCTATCCTTAGCAACTAGCACAGGGCCTGTAAAATGTCTGTTGATTTTAAAATTGAAGAGTAGGTGCCAGGCCACTGGAACTCTACTGTTTCCTTCTAAACTCCATCTCTGGGGGAACATGTCTAATAAAAACATTTTAAAACATCTTCTGACCTAGGTTTTTCACACTATTCTTGGAGCAATGAGTCATTAACTTCTCTAGCATGAGGGTCAAATGACTGGCTACTTGGACCAGTTGAGCCATTTAAGTATAATCCATCTGTAAGTACAATTGCAGGTCATTTGGTGAGTATAAAATTGCATACTTAAAGGGAGCACTCCCTTTTGGAAATCTGGCTCATTAGTAAGTAGAGGAGTAATGGAGTGTGATCACAGCTTCAATGCTTTCCTTGGAGTCAGTGGCACCTTGGGAATGCTCTCTAATAACTAATCCCAACTTGCTAGCAGCAGGACCCGCCCCCACTTTAGGAACTGAAAACCCCTGCCTGAGGGCAACAGCCATATGCCTTGCTCCAGGCCTGCTTTGTTTCACAGAATTACAGACCTTTCTTTCAGCCTCCAAAGCACATTGCTGCTTATTTAGATAATAAAGAACAATCTAAATACCAACCACATGGAATGTTCAGTGCCAGATGCATGCTCTCAAGCTGTCAAAAAAGAGATCTCTTTATTATTAACGGATCTCCTCCCACCTTATAAATTCATATCTCAGTTCTGTACGTTGATACATTTGGTTAGGGCTCATTTTCAGTTCTCAACAGTTGCTTTCCTTGTTTAAAATCCTCAGAAGTTCATACTATATGGAGATGAAATGCACAAAGTCCCTAGAAAATTTAACTGAAAAGGCAATGGCTATGTCTGTCAGTTTTTATCAGAAACCTCAGTTCCTATTCCTAGTGCTGCATGTCTTGCTTTGAGAAGTACACCAAAGGTCAGCTGGAATTCAAGTCTCATCAAGTTACCCCTAATCCTAAAGAAGGCACACTCTAGATTTTGAACAACTAACAAGTGTTTTGGCACTTCTCGAGTTGCTCGCAAGGCAGGTCATGTTTGTTGACAGTGTAATAACCACATAAATGTACTTTAGTTGTCCAATTGAAACTTTACTGAATCGATGCCTTTCTGAGTCGAGTCAGTACTCTTGGAAAGTTTGACATTGCTAAAAACTGAAATAAAGTGTTAGTGTAATTACAGTCTTGAAAGGGCAGCCACACAGGTTTTACAAAAATATTAGCAGCACCAACAGTAAATATTTGAAGCAACTACAAAAATTGAACGCTCTAGTTTAGGCAAAAGATGTGTACATTAAAAGTTAGAAGACAATATAAGGTAAGAGCTCATAAGCAAGTGAAAGTATGTACCTTCCATTCCTTAAACTTTACAGTGGCATCCTATTACACCTAAAAAAGCAACTAAGTTCATTATCAGGGCCTATACAACCCCCACGTGATTATTCAACACCTCTTCTCCAACCTCTTGTTCTCCTGCTCTCTCTTCATCCACTCCATGCCAAGCTTGTTTCTGCCCCAGAGCCTTTGCACTTGCTGTTCTCCCTGACTGAAAGTTTATTACTTCAGATGGAAGAAAAGACCTAAGCTCACACAGTGTCCTCTTTTCTCACCACCCCCCACCTCTGTTTCATTTCCTTCATAGTGTTTATCATAGTCTGAAATGATCTTATTTACTTATCTGTTATTAGTTTATTATTTGTCTCTTTGCTCCAGAATGCAAGCTCCATGAGGGCAGAGACTTTGCATGTACTATTGTCTGCTATATATGTAGAACCTATATCTGCCACACTGTGTTTGTGTGGTTTTTGTTTGTTTTTGAGACAGGGTCTCACTGTCACCCAGGCTGGAGTACAGTGGCATGATTATAGCTCAATGCAGCCTCAAACTTCTGGCTCAAGCAATCCTCCTGCCTTAGCCTTCCAAGTAGCTGGAACTACACGCACACACCACCATACCTAGCTAATTTAAAAAAATTTTTTTAGAGATGGGGTCTTGCTGTGTTGGCCAGGCTAGTCTCAAACTCCTGAGCTCAAGCAATCTTCCCACCTCAAACTCCCCAAGAGCTGGGATTACAGGCATAAGCCACTGCACCCAGCCACACTGTGTGTTTAATAGATGTTTGTCAAATGCATAAATTAATAATAAATGAAATATTGATAATAGTAGCAAATACCTTAACACTTTTATGTATTAAAGAATAGCATTAAACCATGATGTGAGAAAAGTATAAAATAGATGGAATAGATACAAGGACTAGAGCAGTTCAGGGGAGAAGGAAACCTTATGGGACAAACCCACCAGAAAAGCAACCTGTAAAGAAAGGGTAAATGTGGGGAGAGAAGGCTTGGACAAAGGGATTTACTGGAATAAATGGGAAGGAAGAAGCAATACATACAGCATGTTGGGGGTCACATAAATCAACCAGAAGTTGTAGAAGAGGGTTCAAGTAGCAAAATAATGGGAAAAAAGATCAGAGCCTATAGCACAGAAGGCACTGAATGTTAGGTCACAAAAAATGATAGCATTGTTGAGGGTTATGAACATAGATAATGAAATGACAGATGATGAAGAAAATGGTCCCCATAATTATCAAAAAGTGTAAGTGTTGCCTTCTTCTGATGTCACAAGGGAACTTAATCATAGCAGGCTGCACAGGAAGTTTCTAGAGCACTGGCAACCCTGTTTTTGTTGATTGGATTAGTGCTTATACACGTGTCTGTCTTACAAGTATTCTTTAAATTATGTGTGTGTGTGTGTGTATGTATGCTTTTTTATGTGTATGCTATCTTTCAGAAGAAGTCATATAATTTTTTTAAAGGCACTAAAACAAAATAAGAAGGACAGGCATTGGTGTCAGACTGCCTGGGCCTAAATGTCAGTTTTGCCACTTATAAGTTCTGTGTTCTATAGCTTACTACTTAATTCATCTGAGCCTCAGTTTTCCCCTGAAAAACAGTTATCCCTGAAAATGGGGATAATATACCACTACCTCCATGGGTTTTCATGAGAATTAAATTAAATAATATAGGTAAATCATCCAGTAGAGTGCCTGGTAGGTTATTTGTTCATATTAATTTTGTGGGATTTTTTTATCCTAAATTGCATTTATTGGAATCATATCTTCACTATGTTGTCTATCCATAAACCAAAGAATGTGCCATGTTACTGCTGAAAAGGCACTGATATACCTAAGGAGATTTGGTTGACAACACTCCATCCCAGAAATCTGCCTATGTCCCAGCAATATATCACAGATGCTCCAGTGACTTAAAGTTTGAAGATTCATGAGCATGCAGAGAGGCCTCTAAGATGCAATGTATTCTAAAGTGGATTATTACCAAACCATGGTGGAACTGAAACCGGCCCACTACTCTCATAGACTGTTCTTTTAGATCAACATAGAAATTGGCCCTTCTGCTGTTAAAGCTTGAAACCTGTATTTGTTTTATCTTGAGTTCCTTCTTCAGGAAAGGACCTTCAAGCCTCTCAAAAAAAGTATCAAAGAACTGAAGCTCACTAGATCAGGGCACCAGATGTCTCCTTTTCCCTCCCTAGTTCTTGATTTCTTACACTTTGTTACATTTCTTCCCTGCTATCTAAACCCCTAGTTTTAGTCAGTCAGGGAGATGAATCTGAGACTGAGCTCCCATCCTCTCAACTGCAGCACCCAACTAAAGCCTTCTTCCCTGGTAATACTTGCAGTTTTGGTGATTGGCTTTCTGTGCAGTGAGCAGACAGATCTAGACTGAATCCCTGGTGTTTTGGTAACATAACTTCAAACTAAATTTGAAAAACTGTGAGATTGATGTGTCAATTATACTATTGTTAATAATTTATTTTTATGTCTATACCATCTAAAATCATATCATGATATACACACACACCAATGTTGCTTCTTTCCACAGTAAGGATTTTGAAAAATTTAATGTGTAGATAGCATTTACTATGGGCCAAGCCTGTTTTAGGCATTTTATAAATATTAATTCATTTAGTCCTCATAATGGCCCTTTGAGATATTGAAGGTTTTAACGTAAAGGAGTGGTAAGAGTCCAGGTCAAAAATCATGTCAATGTATCAGGATCACCTGGTATACTAGTTTTCTAGGGCTATTGTATCACAGTGAGACAAACTAGATGTCTTAACACAACTTACTGTCTCACAGTTCTAGAGATTAGATATGCAAGGCCAAGTTGTTGGCAGGGCTAGTTCTTTCTGAGGGCTGTGAAGAAGAATTTCTTACATGCCCCTCCCATAGCTTCTGTTGATCTCTGGCAATTTTTGGCATTCCTTGCCTTATAGAAGCATCATCTTGATCTCTGCCTTCACATAGTATTCTCCCTATGCACATGTATGTGTCCAAATATCCACTTTTTATAAGAACACCAAACATATTGGACTAAGGACCTATCCTACTCTAGCATGAACTCATCTAAATCTACCCAATTACATCTATAATGACCCTATTTCCAGATGAGTTCACATTATAAGGTACTAGGGGTTAGGACATCATCATATGAATCTGGAGAGATACAATTCATCCTATAACACCTGGTAAACTGTTAAAAATAAAGAATCCAATGTGATACCTATTCAATCAGAAACTATGGGGTTGGGGCCTGTTTTGTAATAAACTCCTTGGGTAATTATGGTGCAGCCATCCTGTGGCAAGTCCATACAGTTATACTTGGAAACAATCAATATAGCCAAGGGGATAATATGCAGAGTTTCTTAGCAATGCAAAGGGAGGTATGACTGTGAAGAATGCATGAACCAGACTTAATGAATATTTGAGTGGATGGAAAAGTAAAGAATAGGGTCCAGTAATGTTTGAGGATTCAAGTCTTAGTGGGAGGAAAGGATTACAAAAATGTTGAATAATTCCAGAAGAGAAAATGATTTCCTCCTTCAACAACTGAAATCAGTATGTATGAAGTGCTCAGTGAGTGAAGTCATTGCCCTAGGTACCAGAAATCCAAAGACGAATGAGATGCCATGCCTTACCCCAAGGAGTTCACAACCTATTGGGGAAGGGGGCAGATAAAAAATTAAAATACAGGCCAGGTGCGGTGGCTCACGCCTATAATCCCAGCACCTTGGGAGGCCAAGGCGGGTGGATCACAAGGTCAGGAGTTCAAGACCAGCCTGGCCGAGATGGTGGAACCCCATCTCTACTAAAAATACAAAAATTAGCTGGGTATGGTGGTGGGCACCTGTAATTTCAGCTACTCAAGAGGCTGAGGCAGAGAATTGCTTGCACCTGGGAGGTTGAGGTTGTAGTGAGCCGAGATCGTGCTACTGCACTCCAGCCTGAGTGACAGAGCGAGACTCCGTCTCAAAAATAAAATAAAATAAAATACAATTTGATAAGGACTATAATCCAGATGACCAAGCTCCTATGGAGGAATCCAGGGAAAGATGGTGGGTTTCTTTAGAGTCACTCGGAGGTGACTTCAGGCTCCGGCATTCAGGAGGCTTAGACTGAAGAGAAATACAATCTATTGACATCTTGTCCTACAGAATAAAGGTGAATCAAAAGTGGGACCCACATTCAGTCTTGGTACAAACAGGACCCAGATGGAGGACTGCTGCTCTTGCTTCTGCTTATTGTACAGGAATGTGCAGAAGTAATGGAAAATATTCAGCGCACCAGGTGGCTGTCATCCCTGTGATGATTCTTCCCTTTTACACGTTAAATGCTTTTGTTTTTGTTTGTTTTTCCCAGTTTCTGTTCTCTCTGATATCTTTCCGCTAAGATATTCAACATCAAGTAGAAACTTACTGAGTTTTTGTAAAGAAACAAATATAATAGATGGCAAAGGAATTCATGGAACTTCAGGAATTATCTGCCAAGTCATTGTCATCCCTACTCCTCCAGAATGGTGTGTTTGCTATGGAAACAAGTCATATTAAAATCAGAAGTTAGTACTCCAGTAATATTCAATGGAGACTTTTCTAGGATTTTTTTTTTATCTTTGGAAGTCTGTCTACAAGTTGGCAAGAGGAGATTATATGTGCTTATCTCTTGTAGTTTCCCAATTTATTTAGAAAAGGGATATAGATCTGAGCAAAACTTAGGTGGCTGCAGAGAGCAGGAGAAGCATCTTTCCACATTTTTCCTCTTGTTCCTTGTTCCTCTTGAGTAAAGCTGTTGCTGGTCTATGCAGATGGACCACATAGACCTGCCGGAGTTGGGAAAGAATAATTATTGCTATTCCACAGCTTTTATATACTTAAGTTTACATTTTCCTTCTGGAAGATCTTACAGTACTTATTTATGGATTTATTATTGTACTAGCTTTCTATTGCTGCAGTAAATAAATTACCCAAACAGGGGCTTATCACAACACAAGCTTATTATCTTATATTTCTGTAGGTTAGAAATCTGACCAGCCACACTGGATAAAAGTGTATTTGTCAAGGTGCTGCCAGGGCTGTGTTCCCTTCTGGAGCCTCTAGGGGAGGATTAGTTTCCTTGCTTTATCTACCAAGCTACCTGCATTCCTTGGTTTACAGCCCCGTCCTCCATCCTCAAAACATATCACTCAAATCTCTGCTTGTATAGTCATACCTTTTCTGATTCAGTTCCTCCTGTTTTCTTCTTATAAGAACCCTTGTGATTATATTGAGCTCACTCAATAATACAGAATAATCTTCCTATCTCAAGATCCTTAATTTACTAACATCAGCAAAAGTCCTTTTGCCATAAAAAATAATATAATCACAAATTCTGGGGATTAGGACATGGGAATCTTTGGAGAATGAGGGGAAATTATTCATATACCACCCTAAGGAGCTGTTTACAAGTTTTTGATTCTCTTGATTTTCAACCTTACTCTACTCCAAGAAGAGCATATCTTCATCTCATGAAGAGAACCTATTAGCCATCCCTGAATAACACATTTGACTCCAGTTTGCACAGGCTTCAGAAAGCCAGACTCCAAGCAACCACCAAATGGATGTTTCAGCTAAGATACCTAGTTTCTTAAAGGAGGAAGGCAGATATGATTAATAACTTACTGAAATTAAGTATGTCTTTGCACCATTAAACTTCAGTGTAAATTTCTTGCGTCTCCAGCAGAGCTTAGCATATTGTCTTGTACATAGTAGGTACAGAGTAACTTTAATTAATATTAATTTTAAGAGTGAAATAGCTTGTTACAAAAATAAGTGCAATTTTACACGCCAATATCTTTGCATGGCAGTATCGCAATTAATTTTTTAAAAGGATTTTAGTCAGATTGCAGGGACATTAAAACACTCATTTGCAGTTATTACTGGAAAAGTGGGAGAAACTCCCACTTCAACATGGTCCTCTAAACTTCTTAAATAACAAATTGAAACAAAAAACAAATAGAAACGTTCATTTATAAAAAATGCACACCTTTAGAAGTATTTTATATAGGCATATTTTTCTAAATATTTACTTAAATGCTTGATAGTGACAAGTGAAGGTAAAATATTTTAAGGTGAATTGACCATTTTCCTGGCACAGGAAAGTGTAGCCTGTGAAACTAGAGGTGTTAACTCAATGCTACTCAAACAACGTTTTATCTTTTGCTTGCCATCCCCTCCTACTCTTTCTAAAATAAATGTGTGGTAATTGAGCCTTGTTCAGGTTTTGTTTCATTTTCTATGAAAATCAAGTCCCATTCATACCTCTACATCCTACAAGTTAGTTGTAAATCTAGACATAGCTAAGAGCAAACTCATTTCCAATAATATACTTAAATTTTCCCCCACAAAGCAATGAAAATAATAATAATAATAAATACAGATTCAAAATTTTCCTCAACCACTCCATCTCACACCACATAGGAAAGTAGCAGCCATTCTCACCACCACCAAACATTTCTGGGTCTAGCAATCTCTTCATACAATCTTAAGGGGAAAAAAAACATTTTTCTTACATACTCTTTAAAATTAATAGTATACAATACATTTTCTTTCTGAGAGTAGGAAAATGAAATTTTAAAAAATGCTTATTTGTTCTCTCTGCTGAAAATATCTAACATTAGAAGAAGAAACTTTGGTTTCCACAGAAAATATTGGCTTCCCCATTAGCCATCTGCTAGATGGTGGGAATGTTCTGTGTGGCTTTCTCAGCTGGAACATTTGGAAAATGAATACATTGTTGCAAAAACTCACATTGTTGGCCATAATGTTTGTGATAATGTTGTTGACTTACCAGATGTCCTGGAAATTCCTGGGGTGGAAGTATCCCCAGTCCTTCCAAATCCCTCTGTCATGTTGCAGAATAGTGTTTGATATATACAATTCTAGCTATTTCTCATTGTTTACTATGGAAATTTTCATTCAGTCAATCATTCTGTAGACTAACACAAGATGGAAATAGATACCGTGGAACATGTTATCCCCACTTGTACACCTGTACATAAAAGACCTATTATTTAACATTTTTCAAAATAATTTCTTCTCCAACCCTAATTATATACATACATCTATCCATATTTAAGATTAGATAGTGAGAGGTGACAGCGTGCTGGCAGTCCTCACAGCCCTCGCTCGCTCTTGGCGCCTCCTCTGCCTGGGCTCCCACTTTGGCGGCACTTGAGGAGCCCTTCGGCCCGCCGCTGCACTGTGGGAGCCCCTTTCTGGGCTGGCCAAGGCTGGAGCCCACTCCCTCAGCTTGCAGGGAGGTGTGGAGGGAGAGGCGCGAGCGGGAACCGGGGCTGCGTGCGGCTCTTGCGGGCCAGCTGGAGTTCCGGGTGGGCATGGACTTGGCGGGCCCCGCACTCGGAGCAACCAGCCAGCCCTGCTGGCCAGGGCAATGAGGGACTTAGCACCCGGGCCAGTGGCTGTGGAGGGTGTACTGGGTCCCCCAGCAGTGCCAGCCCACTGGCGCTGCTCTCGATTTCTAACGAGCCTTAGCTGCCTTCCCGCCAGGCAGGGCTCGGGACCTGCAGCCCGCCATGCCTGAGCCTCCCACCCACTCCATGGGCTCCTGTGCGACCGAAGCCTCCCCAGCCAGCACCACCCCCTGCTCCACGGTGCCCAGTCCCATCGACCACCCAAGGGCTGAGGAATGCGAGCGCGCAGCGCGGGACTGGCAGGCAGCTCCACCTGTAGCCCTGGTGCGGGATCCACTAGGTGAAGCCAGCTGGGCTCCTGAGTCTGGTGGGGACGTGGAGAGTCTTTATATCTAGCTCAGGGATTGTAAACACACCAATCAGCACCCTGTGTTTAGCTCAAGGTTTGTGAGTGCACCAATCGACACTCTGTATCTAGCTGCTCTGGTGGGGCCTTGGAGAACCTTTATGTCTAGCTCAGGGATTGTAAATACACCAATCAGCACCCTGTGTTTAGCTCAAGGTTTGTGAGTGCACCAATTGACACTCTGTATCTAGCTGCTCTGGTGGGGCCTTGGAGAACCTGTGTGTCAAAACTCTGTATCTAATCTGATGGGGACGTGGAGAACCTTTGTATCTAGCTCAGGGATTGTAAACGCACCAATCAGCGCCCTGTCAAAACAGGCCACTGGGCTCTACCAGTCAGCAAGATGTGGGTGGGGCCAGATAAGAGAATAAAAGCAGGCTGCCCGAGCCAGCATTGGCAACCCGCTCGGGTCCCCTTCCACACTGTGGAAGGTTTGTTCTTTCGCTCTTTGCAATAAATCTTGCAAGTGCTCACTCTTTGCGTCCACGCTGCTTTTATGAGCTGTAACACTCACCGCGAAGATCTGCAGCTTCACTCCTGAGCCCAGCAAGACCACGAGCCCACCGGGAGGAACGCACAACTCCAGACGCGCCACCTTAAGAGCTGTAACACTCACCGCGAGGGTCCGCGGCTTCATTCTTGAAGTCAGTGAGACCAAGAACCCACCAATTCCGGACACAATAGCGTGACCCTCATTGTGCTTATCTCCAGCTGGTAAAGAAGCAACAAAGTCTAACAGTTGAATGCTCTGCTCACTCATGCCTGAGAAGTTTGTTCAAAATGTGAATAACCCCTGTTTTCAGTCTGGGCCTTCCCTTTTGAAATTAGATTAATGAAGTGATGAATAAAGTAAAAAAGTCTTCTACACTTTTCATGCAAATAGATTAGACTTTGCCTCTTGCAAATGGAATTATCTCTTACCAGTCTGTTTCTCTGTTTTCTTTTAAAGCAAGAGAATACTCTGAACAGAATGAGAACGTGTTCTAAGTGGGGATTCATTTTAATACTCTATAGAATTCTGACTCCCATATGTATGATTATTCTGACATAATCGTACATGACTATATGTACTTGCCAAACTACACTTCATGATTAATTTTAACTTTTACTTCTGTCAAAAGGATATAACATGAGGGTTTATATCTCCAGAGGTTTTTAAAGGACAACAATTTATCTTTGAGGCCCCTGTTCCACCACACAACTCCATTTCATTTTCTTCTTGGATTTTGCATACTGCCACAGCAAGTAGGTGGCTCATCCACTCCTATATCACTCATTTTTACCAGCATCCTCTGACTTGTCCATCCTCTGGCCTGGTGCTCTGCCATCAGTGTGCCCAATTGCTACTGAGATAACTCTGTCCCAAAGGCGTCTTTGGGTCTGGTGGTTCTTGCTGTTGCTTACAGACAGGGGAATACCTGATAAGCTATTTATGGCATATATTCTTAAATAGACCTCACAGCCATCTTACTGTTACCAAAACACCAGGGGTTCTGTCTAGGTCCTGCTGCTCACCAAAGAGAAAGCCAGTCACTGAGACGAGTATTGCCAGGGAAGAAGGCTTTCATTGTGTGTGCTGCAGCGAAGGAGATGGGAGATCAGTCTCAAAAGCATCTCCCTGACTGACTAAAATTAGGGTTTAAATAGCAGGGAAGATATGTAATGACATGGAGGAAAACAGGAATTAGGGAGAGGTAAGGAAGAAGAGTTGGTAAACAGGAAGAGCAGGTGGTCACTTAGGCAATCATGACAGGTGAGGGGTCTGGTGTCTCATTGTCCAGATGTGGCAATATGATAAGTTTCAGTTTCTTTATACTATCTGGATGGCCTGATGGTTGATTTCCTAAGAAAGGAACTCAGATAAGACAAATACAACTTTCTTAAGTTTTAAGACTGGGAGTATTATCTTCTATGTTTATTGAAAAGAAACCATTAAATATCAGTTGTATGGGACAATTAGGTTGGTTTCACCTCACTGGGCTTCTCCATTGTAGGAGTGATATGTTTTGGCTCTGGGTCCCCACCCAAATCTTATGTTGAATTGTAATCCCCAGTGTTGGGGGAGGGACCTTGTGGGAGGTGATTGAATCATGCGAGCAGATTTCCCCTTTGCTGTTCTCATGACAGTGAGTGAGTTCTCATGAGATCTTGTTGTTGCTGGGCACAGTGGCTCACGTCTGTAATCCCAGCATTTTGGGAGGCAGAGGCGGGTGAATCACCTGAGGTCAGGAGTTGGAGACCAGCCTGGCCAACATGGTGAAACCCTGTTTCTACTAAAAATACAAAAATTAGCCAGGCATTGTGGTGCGCACCTGTAACCCCAGCTACTCTGGAGGCTGAGACAGGAGAATCACTTGATCCTGGGGGGTGGAGGTTGCAGTGAGCTGAGATCATGCCATTGTCCTCCAGCCTGGGTGACAGAGCAAGACTCCATCTCCAAAAAAACAAAACAAAAAAACAGAACATGTGTAGCACTTCCCCTTCACTCTCTCTCTCTCTCTCTCTCTTTTTCTCCTGATGCCATGTGAAGACATGTTTGATTCTCCTTCACCCTTCTGCCACGATTGTAAGTTTCCTGAGGCCTCCCCAGCCATACCTTCTGTACAGCCTGTGGAACTGTTAGTCCTTAAACCATTTTTCTTTATAAATTACCCAGTTTCAGGTAGTTCTTTATAGAAGTCTGAGAACAGACTAATACAGGGAGTCTCCATTATAGAAAATGGGCTTAATCACCCTTTTCCTTAGTTTTATATGCCCTTCTTAGGTTGTACTGCCTCCTCATCACCCCTCCTGCAAACAAAGCCCACAACATATCTCCTGGGCCCACTGAGGTACCTTTTCTCACTTCCTCTTCATCCCTTTTCATTCCCCTTTATTACCTTTCATTCCACCTTGGAGAATTCACTAATCTGGAGGGCATTGCCTATATAAGAACAATCTCCTTAAACAGACAAGGTTTGAGAACCTAAACACTTATATGGCTTTTTTTTTTCCTCATCCTTCCCCTGAGGTGAAAATTACAAAGCCAACTATTTGCTTGAATGCAGGAATGGAGTTGGGAAAGAAAATACAGGAAGGAGAAATTTTAGATCATGTTCATATCTAAAAAATATTATGCCACCACTTAACTGTAATCAGAACAGAGAAATAAAAGAAAAGGCCAAAATGGAGGAAGGAGAGTTGATAAGTTTAATCAGCAATTTTCTGCTGTTGAATGAACTTTGTTCGAACTACCTTTTATAGAGGTTGCTATCACTATAACACACTTCCGGATTCATGGTCCCTGCCACACCATGTTCAAGTAAATCCAGGCCCCCTACTTAAAACTTTGAATTTGATAAGAATTGTCAAGAGTTATTTAACCTATGATTGACTTAATGAATAAATACAAATTGGTGGCAAGAAAAATATTAATCACCCTATATTTTTGTCCTTCAACACCATATGTTGTTCTTATGAAAAGCTTTTTTTAATTAATAAGTGTCCTCTTTTGTTTGGGAATATCTACATAAAAAGAAATATTATGGAAATGTAAGAATAAAGAATATACATATCTGTCACCTGGGGAGATTTCACAGCTATATATACCCCTCCCCAGACAAACTGGATCAGAATCTCTAAGGTAAGCATCTATACCATTGGTATGTTTTAAAGCTCCTCGGGTGATTCTAGCACACTCTTTCCTACCTACATCTCCCATTTATACAGGTAGGTTGTGACTTCTCTAAAATACATCATCATAAGTAAAAGAGACAGCTTAAAGCCACTTCTCCTGACCCTTTGTTATAGAGTTCATTCATTTCACCATACCCCACCAAATCTCAACACAAAAAGGTTCTTCTGGAGTTTATTTCAATGTCGAAGAGAACACATGGAAATACTGTCAAATTTTACTCACGTGGTTTCCCACTTTAAAAGCTGTAACTTTTGTTCTTATTTCCCCAAAGAATGACTCCATAGCCCACCAACCCCACCCCATCCACGTTTGATAAATGTTAACCAACACATTTATGAGGTGGCATTCCATTCTAAAATGACATTTAAAAGCTCTGAAGCTTAATTGCTGTGGATAGCCATCAATCATCACTGGGATGCCCTGGGATGGTGGACTTTGAGGTATGCCATCCATTTCGTGGAGCTATTGTGGCTGGCTGGCTGCCTCCCTCTCTTTGTCTCTGGGTGATGGGGCTGATGGAGATCGGCTGCTGCACTTTTGAAGTGCCGCCTGTTCTCTCACCTGTTCTGCATGACTACTGAACTGAGCCGTGTTGTGACAGTCTGCCTGCTCTTCCCTGTTCAGATTAATGAATACAGCTTTAGCTGTTAATTCAAAGCTATTCAAGCTTATATCCAACAATTAGAGACCAATTTTCATATTCAGCTTGAGTGTATGTGTAGAACGGTGTGGGAGAGGAATGCAATTTGGCATAATTTTTTATATCTAGGGCAAACCCGAAGAGGAAGGAAGAGTAAGGGACTCTGAAGATAGTACCTGAAATTCTCATTGAGCCTGGCTACAATGAAATATTTCAAGCCTCAACATCTTTGCAAGCTACAACAATGTGACCCTGGGGGTTTGAGCTTCCTGCCCTGCAGCCAGACTATAATCCATCAAAAATAATAAGCACACACGGCAGGCCCCTGTGCACATCTACCTTCAAGAAGGGTCAGCAGCTAAGCTGGCATTTCAAGAAGCTCTAGAGTCAGAATCCATACTCTCCTACTCCTCCTTTCCGCCACAATAAGAAATGAAATACTTACTTATACATAGAATTATGTACGTGACCTCATATGCCTCTGTTCAAGATCATCCAGGGCAATGGAGACTTAGTACTTAATTCTCAACCCTGGATTATCCTCCCTGATAAAGCAAAGGCTACTCATGCCCCCATCTTGCATGGAAAAGCTATGTATGGACCCCAGATGCTAAATCTGTCAAAATACATTCTTACTAGAATTTGTACCTACAGAAAGGAGAAAACAAACCTGGCCAGAGTATTCCTGCCCCTGGTTACTGGTGGGAGGGGAGGTTCAGAGGAGCATATGTCTATTCAAGGTATATAATACCTTTGTCCTGGGATTTGAAATCTCCCCTTCACCATTTTGACTGATATTCTTAAAGTGAGGGGCCTGTGATTGGAGCACAATACGCAGCAGCTGATAGTACCAATATTGGTAGCCTTGATGACTCTAGTTGCTTTCCTTATTAAATTTCTTTTTGTTACATTTTATTTAGCAGTCATCTCTAGTGTTAGACTAGCTCAGCCATGCAATGGAATTGTTGTCCTTCTTTAGGCAGTGTACCCATGGGGACCATGTGGAAATGGTAGTGGTCATTGCAGTTTGAATATCTCCACTCGGGAGGCAAAACACAGGCAGAGTCAGGGTTAGCACATGCAATAGCTATTTTTCTGGATCTCTATTTTGCTCAAATGTTTGCTGTTTCTGTTTAGTGTTTTTAAAGGGTGTCTATTATCTTGTCTGTAACCTAGTAATTAAAAAGACCTAACTTACAGACTGGATGCTAGGAATAAATGAGATAAATGTAAAGCACTTAGTACAATGTAGAGTGCATAGACAGAATTTAATAAATGATAGAGTGGAAAATATGTCAATAATTGTTCCTGTGTTTTTCAAAGGTGGTATCTAATTGGGGACATATATACAAAACAATTGAATTGGTAAATAGACGCTTGTAGACTAAGAGCTAGCTATGATCACAGTTGAAAATCAAAGTTACTTTAGTAGAGAATAACTGGGAGTGAGGGGGCTGTTTTGGATAGGGCAGTCAGGGTAAGCTATGCTGAGAAGATGCCATTTAAGCTGAGACCAGAGAAGGAAGAGCCAGAAGAGCTGGGTGAGTGGCATTCCATGCACAGCAAACAGAAATTACAAAGCCTATGAGGTGGGAAATGGATGAGAGTGGCTGGGATTTGGAGAGAGATGGGTGAGAATGGGGTGAGATGAGGCCATTTTGATTGTACTCCAAGTACCTGCTACTCAAATTGTGGTCCACACACCACCTTGGAGCTTGTTGGAAGTGCAAAAACTTGAATGCCACCCCAGACCACCAAGTCGGAATTTGCACTTTAACAAAAACCCCTGGGTGATCTCTTTGCAATTTTGAGATTAATAAGACTGGCTTAGGAAGTCACTGAAAACTTTACACAGCATAGTGGTGCGATCTGCTTTATATTTTTTAAAGAATCATTTCAGATGTTATGGCAAACATGGATTAGAGGGCAGTGTTTTTATTGCTATTTTATTACTCCTTTTGAAGTCTTCTGCCTAGTTTACTGCTCCTTCCAAGACTGGATCCTGCTGCAATCTGGCCATCTTCCACCTGAAATCTAGCCCAGTTGGCTCCAGCCCTGTGTTTCTGCTTATGCATTGCTCAGTGCCCCTGCCTACCTCCCTTGTACTTTTGAGGGTCATGTGCTCTTGTATTCACCATATCCAAGCTCTGCCCACATTAGAAACCTCCACCCTTGTACATCCTGATGAATGCCTCTGAGGCCAGAGACAGTGTCTGCCTTTGACTGTGCACACCACACCTTCAGCTGGTTCTTCCAGACCCAGTCTCTGCCTCTGAGGTGGTTTCATGCCACATCCTTCTGTTCCCACTGCATGCTTCTTCCATGCCCCAGAAATTCAGGGACCACGTAAAAGAATGAGCATTCCAAGTGACTTCAATTAGATTCCAAAGATGAGAAAGGAGTTCATACATAAATGCTAGCCATCCTTATATTAAAAAATAAAACTTTTTAATCGATTGTTGGGGGGAGCTGTTAATGAGCTAACTATTTTTAATTTAATATTTGACAGTAATTGCAACAGAATTACATTTAACAAGACAGGAACCTCTATGGGTTTTTAGCAGGCAAATGAGGTAACAGAACAGTTTCTGTTAAGGAACTGAAATATAATCAAAGGAGACTTCGTGCCTGTGGCTGAGTCTGAGTGACAAGACTACCAACAGTAACCCCCAAAGACGGATGATACTGGTTGTCTAGAATAAGAAACAAAATACAAGATTTCCCTGTGCTTGGCATAGAACAATCTAAACGCAGGGCCTGATGGAGCATGTAGGTTGTTGAGGATGGTTGGATTTCTTGTTCATCTAAAGCTGTCAAGGAGGCTGGGAGCCAAGGGAATAAAAGGCACTGCTTAATGAGTTCTAATAGAAGTTAACAGGTAACTTTCACAGTGATGCTAGAAGTAGATGTAATCCCTCTCCATTATATGGCAATAATAAGGAATACTTTTTTCTCATTCCGTGTGTGCTCTGGAGAGGGAAAAAAAGCAGTTGATGTTGCTGCTCAGCATCCTCTCAGAGCGGCATCATAAAACTCAGTCCTTATATTAGCAAGGTTCAATCAGACCCATGAAATGAGGGCAGCATTAAAAGAGGTGTTTCGATGAGGGATAGAGGCGGGACAGTGGGAGCATTGTAAGCGTTTAATCAGGTCACAATTGCACTTCATCCTAGGGCTGCCATGGGAGATCTGAGTTAGGCAGCTGGGAGTACCAAAGAGGCATGGCTCCAAAATTGTCTTCATTATGCACTTTCTTGAAACCCTCTGAAGAAGCTCACCTTTCTCACCTCAAATGGCTATGTCATCACCTTTATTTCGGCTCTAACTCTGTCTTTAATGGATTTTCTGAGCTTCCAGCTTTGAAACCATGTAGCAAGAACGACCTCAACTGAGTACCATAGCTGTTACTCAGATCAAATGTCATCAGTCCTCAGGGACAGCTTTAACTTCAGAATGACATTCAAATTTGTACAGTTTAAAGCCAAGCAGATAGATTCTATATATTTTCAATGGTCTCTAGAAGAGGCATCAGAAAGAAGAATCTTATTTTTTCTCAGTTTAACACTATATTTGTTATTAAAAAAACAAATAGGTCAAATGCCATTTTTATACAATTTTATGGGGGGAAAGAAAGTGAGAAGAAAGAAAAATAGTTAACAAAATATTCACTTTGCTATATAAGGAAAAGGAACCTTTGGATACAAAGTTCATATTTGACAGGTAATGTGACAATAAAAGAGGGAAAAACATGAATTAAAATGCAATGAAAAGTTCACACTCTCCGTGCACAGAGAAATAAGTGAATGTCCTTAAATTGATCAGTTCTCTAGCTGGAAGAAGGGCTTCAAATGATTGATGGATGTCTGATGCTGTTTTTTTTGAAGATATATGTTGAACTATAGTGAGATTAATCTAAGTCATTTTTCCAAGACTGTATAAATGAATTTCTAATATACTGTGCTTTGCATACAGTAAGAAGTTAAAAGTCCTTTTAAGATTAATTCAAAACTAAGGTATAGGTTGATAATAGAGAACTATGTACTGTACATATTTAGTATGAGGAAAAAATGCTCTAAATAGAGGAGTTAACTTGAGAGTTAAACCTAAAAGATGGTGTCAGACTGAGGCACATTGTGCAGAGAGCCAGTAACAGTCATCACAGTGACAAACCACTGGGTGAGTCCTCAAATTCTTATCAATGAAACCTAGCAGACCCATCACCAATTATACATGGCAAGATATAGGTTTTTATAAAATGTTGAAACAGACCCAAATTGCATGCAAAAATGTAATTCTCCAAATCAACTGCTCATGAAAATTACATGGGAAGTTTCTGAGAGAAGAGACGTTAAGATCCACTCTACAGGCTGGGCGCGGTGGCTCACGCCTGTAATCCCAGCACTTTGAGAGGCTGAGGCAGGCAGATCATGAGGTCTGGAGATCAAGAACATCCTGGCTAACACGGCGAAACCCTGTCTCTACTAAAAAAAAATACAAAAAAATTAGCCAGGTGTGGTGGTGGGCACCTGTAGTCCCAGCTACTTGGGAGGCTGAGGCAGGAGAATGGCATGAACCCAGGAGGTGGAGCTTGCAGTGAGCCAAGATCACGCCACTGCACTCTAGCCTGGGCGACAGAGCAAGACTCCATCTCAAAAAAATAAATAAATAAAAGATCCACTCTACACTGACTGAATCAGAACCATAGTTTGGACCCCGGAATATTTCCTGTAGTTCAAAGCCTCTGCTTCTTTTTCAGCCGAATCAGCATATTTTTTGATGCCAAAAAAAAAAAAAAAAAAGGAAGGGGCACCATGTTTATAGTTGTAGTGCCTGCTACAGCTACTGAATGAAAAACTTTGCAAGCATATCTGGACTGTGCTGACGATCAGTGATTGGGAATGACTGATGTAGAACATAAGCTTCATGAAGACAGAAACTATCTTCTCCACCATTGTTTTCAGATGCTTACAAGGTACCTGCCAAATAATGGGTGATCACAAAACATTCATTGAACTAACTAGGGGATTGGGGGACCTGCAACTATCTATTGCTGTTTTTTTCTCTCTTTCATGTAAAATTGAATATTTATGAATGCCACATCCAGAGGCAATACAGGCCAGGCACAGTGGCTCAGGCCTGTAATCCCAGCACTTTGGGAGGCCGAGGCGGGTGGATCACCTGAGGTCAGGAGTTCGAGACCAGCCTGGCCAACATGGTGAAGCCCCATCTCTACTAAAAATACAAAAATTAGCCAGGCGTGGTGGCAGACACCTGTAATCCTAGCTACATGGGAGGCTGAGGCAGGAGAATGGCGTGAGCTGAGGAGGCAGAGGTTGCAGTGAGCCCAGATTGCTCCACTGCACTCCAGCCTGGGGGAAGAGCGAGACTCTGTCTCAACAAAACAAAATAACAAAACAAAACAAAGGCAGAGGCAATACAAAAAGGATCAGAGTGGAAAGTCTTTCATACCCACATTTTGTAAGGTGTCAGAATATCTGGACCCAGGAAACTTGCCTGCAATGACTTTTGAGACCTATGCAAATTATTCAGCTTTGTATCTTCCCTTGTGTTTACAACAACCACAGGCTCATAGGAGGTGTACAATGAATAGCATTCATTGAACTAATCAATGTATTCACTTTCACAGTCATTAAGGTAATTTAGATTCATTAGTTACAAGGACAAATTTTGTAGTAGACCTCTTCTAATTTTTTTCAAATAAATGGACACTAAAAAGAACCTATGAACTATATTTAAGCTATACGAATCTCACATTAATTCACACAACTCATAGATCAAGAGAAAGCTATTTTAGGTTTCTTAAAAGGCTTAACATTTTAAATTTTTTATCAGTCCTTCATTAAATCAATAGAAATGAAGGCACGCAAAAGCCCAAGGAGTTTCTCCATAATATCCAATGTGATTTACCCATTTCTGTGGATTTGCCAGCCAGGCAGAGTAAGAAGTAGAATTATATATTCTATCTTAGGATTTCTGTCAGCTTTCATTATCCACAGACCTCTCTATCCACGTGACAGAGTTCTTCTGATCAATGGGATATGAGCACAAGTATTGTAGCCAATTTCTGCATCATCATCTTAAAAATAAAGCTGCCTGTCTTGACTTCTTCTCTTTTTTTTGTTTCTACTGGATGGCATCTGGACTTGTCAATGACCTAGCCTCGACTAAATAGACACGGACAACATTCTGAAGAAGGATGGAGCCACATGATTGAAGGAATTTGGGACTCTGAATGACTATTTAAGCAGAGTCTTACCTACAATCCTGAACTGCTCGCCCTTGGTCTACATGTCAACAAAATAATCTTCTGCCTTGATTGAGTCTCTGTATATGTGGGGTTAAGTAGAGCATTACTAAATATTATACTTCCTATTCCAAGATTCCATAATTTCATATATACCTGACAGGCCAAACATCTCATGTTTCTTCTACAATGAGTACGGGTTGCCAGTTTTCCCCAAAGTATACTGTATGGCTTAAAGCAAGTATTCTACTTTGTTATCCTACACAGCTGACAACCAGCAATAGAAAATGTTCTCAGGCAATTGCGCCAAATACAGTAGTGAAAAAGGTGAGACCAGGAAGCTAAAAATATTATGATACACAACATTTTCACCTGGATATATCATCTGAAGGTGCATTTTGTTTGGCATACTGTAAAGACATCCTCAGTGACAAGACACAATATTTGTGAGCCTATTTCTGGTCATGTGCATAGAGTTAATTAGCAAACTTCCAACTTACCGTGCGTGCAAATTTCAAAGTTCACAAAGTGGCAATTTGCCCACATAAACCTTATGCAGCTTTCATTGTTTTGTCAGATCTGCTTATTTAAATGCACAAATTAAGTCCTATGTGTTGTACCTACTTAAAAATATGGTAGGATTCCTTGGAAGAAGTGAAAATTAAAATGTCAGAAAGAAAAAAGTTTTGCCATCTTACCCTCAAAGGGTGCCATGGGATAAAAGTCAGTTTTGCAAATGTGTTGGCTACTAGGCCAAATGTGGCAACAAAATCTAATGCTTCCGTTAGATTCATCCCACCCCAACTCTCTCTCTCTCGTCCCCAGATGCCCTGCAAAAAAAGTCTATGTTTGTTGGGCATTGAGAACACATGAGCTTCAGGGATACAATTGTGTCCAGAATTGGTGGGTTCTTGGTCTCCCTGACTTCAAGAATGAAGCCACAGACCCTCACGGTGAGTGTTACAGTTCTTAAACATGGTGTGTCCAGAGTTTGTTCCTTCAGATGTGTCCAGAGTTTCTTCCTTCTGGTGGGTTCATGGTCTTGCTGACTTTAGGAGTGAAGCTGCAGACCTTTGCAGTGAGCGTTACAGCTCACAAAGGCAGCGCGGACCCAAAGAGTGAGCAGCAGCAAGATTTATTGCGAATGGTGAAAGAACCAAGCTTCCAGAGCATGGAAGGGGACCCAAGCGGGTTACCACTGCAGCCTCTGGCAGCCTGTTTTTATTCCCTTATCTGACCCCCACCCACATCCTGCTGATTGGTCCATTTTACAGAGAGCTGATTGGCCCATTTTACAGAGAGCTGATTGGTCCGTTTTACAAAGAGCTGATTGGTCTGTTTTGACAGGGTGCTGCTTGGTGAGTTTACAATCCCCGAGCTAGACACAGAGTGCTGACTGGTGCATTTACAATCCTCTAGCTAGACACAAAAGTTCTCCAAGTCCCCACCAGGTTAGCTAGATACAGAGTGCTGATTGGTGTATCCACAAACCCCAAGCTAGACACAGAGTGCTGATTGGAGCATTTACAATCCTCCAGCTAGACATAAAAGTTCTGCAAGTCCCCACCTGACTCAGGAGCCCAGCTGGCTTCACCTAGTGGATCCTGCACAGGGGCCATGGGCAAAGCTGCCTACCAGTCCCACACTGCAGGCCTGCACTCCTCAGCCCTTGGGTGGTCGATGGGACTGGTCGCAGCGGAGCAGGGGGTGGCACCTGTCAGGGAGGCTCAGGCCATGCGGGAGTCTGAGGTCGGGGGAGGTGTGGGGGAGGGGCAAGGGAGGGGGAGGGATGGGGAGGGGGAGGGGTGGGGGATGGGGGAAGGTGGGGATGGGGGAGGGGGATAAGGGGGGAGGGGGATGGGGGAGGGGAGGGGCGAGGCGGGTTTGGGGACTCAGGCATGGCAGGCTGCAGGTCCCAAGCCCTGCCCCGCCAGGAGGCAGCTGAGGCCCAGCAAGAATTCAAGCGCAGCCCCACACCGGCAGTGCTGGGGAACACCGCACACCCTCCGCAACTGCTGGCCCTGGTGCTCGGGGCCGCAAGCAGAGGCAGCCGGCTCCTGTCTCAGTCAGCCCAGAGAGGGGCTCCCACAGTGCAGCCACAGGCTGAAGGCTCCTCAAGCGCAGCCAGAGTGGACGCAGAGGCCGAGGAGGCGCCAAGAGTGAGTGAGGGCTGCTAGCACGTTGTCACCTCTCACAATCAAAGAGCTCACCTCTCCTTTTCCAAATGTTCCATTTAACATTTCAGAACCAAAAACTGATCCAAGATTCTTTGATCAAGATTATTCCTTTTTGTTGTTTTACATAGAACAGGCCTCTTCATTATTTTTTTCCAAATTTGTTTATGCATTACTGCTGGAAGGCTATTTTTCCCTTTGCCCTGGCTCCTTAATGACTGGGACTATCCCCTACTAAAAAAGATAAAGTTTTCCTCCACAGTAGCCTATGAAATTGTTTTAAACCATAGTTATTCTCTCAGTATTTTTAAATGCTTTGTGTGAGACTACTTTGAAATACATGACTTATTCCTGTATTTACTGAAATTGTTCAATGGTTTCCATCATAAATTTAAGTCACTTAGACATCCTCAAAGATTACGATGGAACTCCTCCAATTATTTTTGGCATTTCAAAAAGATACAAACATGTGCACACACACACACACTTACTCTTGATAATGCTGCCCAGGTTAGCAGACATAAATTGTTTTGCTTTAGGCTGAAATTATTTTAATTCAATATAGCTATACCAGTTGTCTTGTTGCAAGCTGGTCAGAAACTCAATCAAAAGGTATATATCCATATGTGTGTGTGTGTGTGTGTGTGTGTGTGTGTGTGTGTACAATTACCCATCTATCTGAGGGTTTCTGCATCTACAGATTCAACCAACTGCTGATTGAAACCCCCAGATACCGAGGGCCAACCATACTATGTCATTTTATGTGAGGGACTTGAGCACTTGTGGATTTTGGTATCCACAGGGGTCCTGAAACCTCTCCCCCGTGGACATGGAGAACTGAATAGATATATACACATATATATCCATTAAAAATTGCATTAATCATTCTCTTTCATAATTTCATATATACATGTAATTTCTTTCTGGTAAATATATTTTTTTAAATAATGGGCCTACTGGAGAGTGAAAAATAATACATTTTTGTGGCACTTAAAATTTAGGATAAATCTATCATCTTCTCTGAGGATTTTAAAATTCTATCCCTAAGTGATTTAAACAATTTATTCTTTTGCTGTGCAGAAGCTCTTTAGTTTAATTAGATCCCATTTGTCAATTTTGTCTTTTGTTGCCATTGCTTTTGGTGTTTTGGACATGAAGTCCTTGACCATGCCTATGTCCTGAATGGTAATGCCTAGGTTTTCTTCTAGGGTTTTTATGGTTTTAGGTCTAACGTTTAAGTCTTTAATCCATCTTGAATTGATTTTTGTATAAGGTGTAAGGAAGGGATCCAGTTTCAGCTTTCTACATATGGCTAGCCAGTTTTCCCAGCACCATCAGAGTGAACAGGCAACCTACAAAATGGGAGAAAATTTTCGCAACCTACTCATCTGACAAAGGGCTAATATCCAGAATCTACAATGAACTCAAACAAATTTACAAGAAAAAAACAAACAACCCCATCAAAAAGTGGGCAAAGGACATGAACAGACACTTCTCAAAAGAAGACATTTATGTAGCCAAAAAACACATGAAAAAATGCTCATCATCACTGGCCATCAGAGAAATGCAAATCAAAACCACAATGAGATACCATCTCACACCAGTTAGAATGGCAATCATTAAAAAGTCAGGAAACAACAGGTGCTAGAGAGGATGTGGAGAAATAGGAACACTTTTACACTGTTGGTGGGACTGTAAACTAGTTCAACCATTGTGGAAGTCAGTGTGGCGATACCTCAGGGATCTAGAACTAGAAATACCATTTGACCCAGCCATCCCATTACTGGGTATATACCCAAAGGACTATAAATCATGCTGCTATAAAGACACATGCACACGTATGTTTATTGCGGCATTATTCACGATAGCAAAGACTTGGAACCAACCCAAATGTCCAACAATGACAGACTGGATTAAGAAAATGTGGCACATATACACCATGGAATACTATGCAGCCATAAAAAATGATGAGTTCATGTCCTTTGTAGGGACATGGATGAAATTGGAAATCATCATTCTCAGTAAACTATCGCAAGAACAAAAAACCAAACACCGCATATTCTCACTCATAGGTGGGAATTGAACAATGAGAGCACATGGACACAGGAAGGGGAATATCACACTCTGGGGACTGTGGTGGGGTGGGGGAAGGGGGGAGGGATAGCATTGGGAGATATACCTAATGCTAGATGACGAGTTAGTGGGTGCAGCGCACCAGCATGGCACATGTATACATATGTAACTAACCTGCACAATGTGCACATGTACCCTAAAACTTAAAGTATAATTAAAAAAAAAACAATTTATTCATAATACTGTCAAACTATCAAATAGAATAATCATGGAAAGTTCTGCTTGTGTTCCACACATCCCTACTTAATTTTGTTATTAGAGCAGGTGGCAATGCCCTGTGAACAACCAAAAGGAAAAGAAATCTCTCCTATTTCCCAATCTTTTACTATTCAGAAAAATCAGCAAAATAGAACTTATGCCAATTTTGTTCTCCTGACATTTTCCTATGGGGAAAAAATCCTCATCACTGCCCACTCTACCCTCCCTTGTTTTTTGTTTTAATTTTTAATTTCAAAGTGCATTTTTGACTGAATATTTCCCACCCTATTTGCATTTCTGGAGGCAGTTTAAAAGAACATAAAAGAAAAAGAATGTGGCATCATATTCTGTTGTCACTGTTGCTCTCTGCACCAAGCTCAGCCATCTGAAAGATATCCACATCTCTGGGTCTCATGTCGAGTGTTTACTTTTTATCATTTCAAAGTGTTTCTCTCTGATAGCACCCTGTCAAATTTATGAATAAGTCTAGAAATTTTCAAGATAAGCTGAAATCGGTCTTATTTGTTGGCTTTCTGACTCAAATTCCCTCTACCTCTTCAGGGAGGAAACTTCTGATTTTAGAATCCAACTGCTGTATGTTTCTTTGCCCCAACTCTCTCTGTAAATCACACTTGGTTTCACAGATTTGATAAAGCCTGCAAGCTTATAATGTCCCTGCCAGAGCTAGCCAAGAGTTACTTCCTGGGGAAATGAAGCCAGTCGGCAGCCCTTCTAGCAACATAAATATGACCCTATTAGATGGAAGTCAGTGGGCCTGTCTAACTGTGGGGATTTGCCCAAACAACTCCACAAAGTAGCATGATCAAAGTGATAAAAGAAATTTCCTAAAATGACAGGGGGGAAAAAAACAACAGAGGGTTCTGTTTTGATTTTGTCATCTACGCTTCAACTCTGCTTGGATTCCACGGCAAGAAGGATTTCCTACCAATACATGACCTGTTTCTATATAAAAATGAAAGCTTATCCACTAATACAGACCATCTCTCACCCTTCAGACCCCACATCACATCACAAGCTGCTGTTTTGAGAAGTTTAAGCACAGAGACTTGTATCGAGTTTGACCGTAGTGGAAGAGGTACCAGTAGTTATAGAAATGCAGATATCAAGTTTATGCAATTCACGTCTTTCCAATTTTAAAATATACTAATGCCCTTTGGTGGTGCTAGTGAAAACCAATGGTGATGGCAGAGAATTGTGCTGTCACATTGACATGTGTTTTATCCATGAATAAAAAGGGTATATATGATAGAGCTGATAATGTGTTATTATCATAAGAACTGCCTTGCTCAGTTGGTTCTTATTTGACTTTATCAAAGGCCATCAGCTAACATGGAAATATGTTGCCTTAATATTTGCTACTACATACACACAGTACATGCATTTGCTTCTATTACTGACACAAAGACTGTCCATGCATTGTTTGGGACAGGAGGGGAAGAGCTACACAAGCCATTCAAAATCTAAAAGACAAAAGGGCTGTTTGGGGTTTTTTCCCCCCCAGCATAGATGCATATTATTACAGTTTACTCCCAAATAAGGGTATTTGTATTTCACTAAATTCATGAGTTAGAGTTCATAAGTATTAACAGTAAAGTCTGAGAATAAAGAACGCCAAGCTTTAAGTACTAAATTCAGATATGATGGTTAGACAAATTAGATTGAATAAACAATAATGATGCCATTGTTTTTACATCTAACATTGTCTTTAATAAAATAATGTTTTTAAAAAAGATAATTTTAAAAATCTGACAGGACCTTAAAGATCAATTAGTCCAATATTATGATTTTATAGATGAGCAGACTGAAATCCACAGGGTTGAATTTCTTAACACTGCACAAATAATCGTGGGATATAGGAATTACTAATTGTATAAAGATGTTGAGATTGCATCCAGTATGACTTGCAGCTATCTGGAATAAGAATTCATGTTCAGACTCATGCCTGTGTTATGGGCTCCTTGTTCAGGTGCTTAGAAAAAGTCTAATAAAATGTGATTAAGAGAGATTTTTTTCCTCAAGGCCCTGAAAGGGTTTTTCTGACAGGGAGAACTTGCTTTCAAGTTTCTCTCTCAACATTGTCTTGACAAATTAATGGATGAAACGAAGATTAAAGTGTCTCAAATTAGACACTAAATTCTGTGAGTTGTTTTTACTGTGTAATCAGAATTAAAATAAAAATTGGGAATCTGCCAGTTCCCGGAGCTTCTCAGGTCTTTACAAAGGAGGAACTCACTGTCCCTTCATCTTGTTATTAGGAACAAAACTCACCAAATAAGCATTGCCACCCTTGGATAGTCAGTAATGGGTTGCATTTCATCATGAGTGAGGCCGCTACAAAGAGTCCAATCATCTGACCATTTTAAGGAGACACCGTAAAAAAAAAATAAAATAAAATAAAAAATAGTCAGTATTGGATGGAATGTCCCTCATTTCATCCTCAGTAAGCTAACGGACGGCAGCCACTGTGTCGCTTGACAACCAGCTTGTGCCAACTTGCTTGACACAGAAAAGGCCGTTCTAAACCTGTCATTTAAGGCGCACCTGCTCTGGCACAACCTCATACGAGGAATCCCTTCATAAAAAGATCCCTCTGAAGATAATATAAACCTGCTGCAAATAAAAATAACCATGTCAGTCCAAAGAATTAATACAAATGGTGATATAGTGCATTCTTGCTTTCTTCCCACAACCTATACCAAGTAAAAAACAAGAAGTTGTTCATCGAGATAATTTTAGTACAGTCTCACAAGAATCACACCAAGAGAAGTATTCTGAGGAAGCTCCTGTGCAGATTCCCTTTTTCCAGGAGTAGTGTTTGAATTAGGTCAGCATAACACACAATGCCTCATTTCATTTCCATTCTGAATCCTCTTCCAAATATTTACTCTTGTGACTTTGTTGAAGAAGACAGTGATACTTCTCTAACTGCCTTCCATTGAACAACCGTGAAAAATAGAAAAATCTGTTCAATCTCTCATTCAGCTTACAAAGTCAATTAGTAGAACCCACCAACTAGTGAGACTAGCCCTCATATCTCATGTTCGGAGATATTGGAGAACATGTAATAAAGTTCTGAAATGGTTGGTTTGAGCTGCCATTTTCAGACCTTGTGAATTTAAGTTTATGGTGTCCTACCCAAGAGATGACAGAAATATTTCTCTTGATTAATCATTATTTCTACATTTTTGTAGCCCTCTCCAGTTTTCAAATAATTTTTAGACTTACCACTTCATTTAATCTTCACAACATCATGAACTATCAATTTTAAAGAAGAAGAGAATGAGGCTAAGAACATTTAAGTGGTTTCCTACAAGTCACACAGCTGGGAAATGTATATATTTGAACCCATGTGCAATGGACTCTTGTCATGTTTTGCTCAGCAGCATTCAAAGGCACCCCTAAATGGAGAGAACGCACTATTGTGTGTTCCTTGACAATAGACTCCAATTCCCCAACTTTGTGTAGTATAGTGGAGCCAGTCGACATTCTATAGGTATATGCTCCATAAATAACAATGTCCTTTTCAGAACTTAGAATTCCAATCAGCCATTGCTTCTCATTACTGACACTTTTCTTCTGCACTATCTTTCTGGTCAAAGCATGCCCACTCTTCTTTAAGTAAACGTCTATAGTCATAAATATCAAGGAAGCAGGAAAAATTTGATCTTCCTCTCCCAAGTCTCTCATAATTAGGGTACAGAGCCGCAAAATGGAATTATCTATTCAGAAGTTCATCCTCTGGTCCCTAAAACTTGAGGGAGGAATGAAAGGTACAAGGAGCAGCAAATCCTGAGAGAAGTGGTAGAGAGATGTGGCACCTAGCACAGTGAATGTTTGGCAGGAATAGCTCTGAGTGCAGACATCTAACCACTCAGTTCTTTAATAAATATTTGAAATTCAATGGTTGATTGGTCCAGAAGATTCTTGACATCTATGATTGCCCAATATTATTTAACCAAAAGTTGACAGGAAATGATCAGAGAGAAAGGAGTGTAGGAAGAGGATGACAATAATTATAGGTTGTATATACAATTCTTATAATAGGACTTTAGTGAATATAAATACACACACATACATATATAAATTATGCTTATATATTTGAAATACTCAATAAGTTTACATTCTACATGAAGAGACCTCCTTCTTCCTGTCCCCTTGCCCCTGACTAAAAAAATCGTACTATGGAGCTCTTGGTAATTGTCAATTTTTTGCCACAGACTCAGTCTTTTGCCACAGACTCAATCTTTTCTAGCCATAACTACATCTAACAAAACAAAACAAAAAGCCTTTGGTAAACACACACAGTAAAAGAGAGAATCACTCGTGGGAAATTGGTAATGGCACATGCATATTTTTAAAACATTTCTTTCAACTGCCAGTAGCCTTGTCTAATCAGGGCACCTCTATTCTGAGGGAGCAAATATCAAAGTCAAGATGAAATGTAAATGCAACATTATAATATATGGCATGTAGAATGAAGATATGGCAAAGGTTGACATTGATGATGATTAAACCGTTTGGGATTTGGTCTTAGAGACATGAGGATGGAATCCATAATCACCAGCCTTCCTCTCATCTTTATACAGTACCTGCTAATATACACCAGCTTTGTAATTACCTACTAAAAGATAGGTGGGGAGTTCATTAACCACGCTAATTACAAGAACAATTTATGCTAAATCATCAGCAGGAATGTTAAAAACACTCCTTGAAAGCCAAAACAATGTAAAACCAACCTTAGTGGATGCAGAACATCTGTTCTCTGGGGCAGGATCAAAGAGGAAATCACCAGAAAACAGAGTAGAAGAGAGCAGAAAAATATTTTCTTTGTCATTCCCAACTGAAAGACAGGTGCAAGTCTGTTATGTGAAGAGAAGGATATGTGTTCGAGATGCTGACCTCATGGGTAAAGGGGACCACTGGCAGCTGCTGGCTCCTGGATGCTTCACCACTTGTCACCCAGTAGCCCCGTCTGTCATCACTCGGAGAGATTCCATCGTCTGCTTTCTTCTCTATGAAGTGTGAGTCAGACAGAGAAGAGCAATATTCCATAAGTATTTTGAGATGTTTTAAATGTCATGTCCATTTTTACATAACTCTACCACATGTTCAGAAGTCAAAGAACAAAAGATGATGGCTGACTAATGACTTGATGGTGCATGATAGAGAAGTTTAATTGTAAAATTAGCAGAAAAAATTACTGCCAAATATACTTTAGGACATCACTTAGTAAGTATATATATAGGCATCAGGAGCCAAATTTTACTGAAGGGTTTCTTTGAACCTTAGAGTTTTAGGACTATTATTATTTCATGATTATGAAATAATTCCTTGTGATTAGGTGGTGTCAACTAAAAATTATTTTTTACAAAAGCTATCTATACCTAAATACATATAATTACTTTTTTCCCTGCAGGAATAGAATTTTTGAAGGGGGAGCTGATTCAGGTTATGCTTTAGGTTCTCTTTAAAATGGAAATGCGTCTTTGGAAATTTTCCACATAATCGTCATCAGAAGCCTCCTTGGTTCCAGCTGCACTAATTAGAGGTATGCACATGGAGGTTGCAATGTAAGGAGAGGGGAAAGGAACATTAATGACCCAGACTGTGATATCACTTGTGAGAACTTCTTTCCACTGATCTGACACCAATTTAAGTTCAGCTTTCAATTCTGTCTTTGAAGCCTGGATCAAGCAGTGTCATGGACCCATGTCTTTTGTGTTACATAGTCATGTTTTCTCCTAAATTGTTATGGACTACCTGTGAAAGAAGGCATCCGCCCTACAACTGTCAATGAACCCTGTTTTAAACTAATTTTTCATCTGATGTAAAATCTACTGCAGAAACTTTTGTGCCTTTTTAGTAGCTTGGGACAGGACACATCATAAGGGGAAAATACTGCCTTGGAACTAATAAACAATGACTAGAAAATTCATTTCTACCAAACTCGTTCTTTCTTACTTCAACTCATGGTCTACTTGTGGAACTGACCAAGAGGGGAGTTCAAGATTTGGTAACCTCTGCTAAGCCATCTCTATGATTTCAATGACAGCAGATCACTATAAAATTTCTTTGCAGCATTAATACACTGCTGTTCTTTCCACTATAGGAAAAAGAAACTGGTCAGTCTTGGAAAAACAAAATTGTTAGTCATTGGCAAGCCCTTGCCTTCTTAGTTGGCACCACTTCTCTCCATTACAACATCCACCTAATGCCTAGACCCCTCTTACTGGCTTTTCTTCCTGTCTCTTCTTATTTTGGTAAAAGAACCTTTGACGTAGAGCAGATGTTTTCAACCACTCAGATGGGAGCTATTTAAAAGTACCATTGGCTGGGCATTAACCTTTATAAAAAACTGTGCCAGGCGTGGTGGCTCACGCCTGTAATCCCACCACTTTGGGATGCCAAGGTGGATGGACCACCTGAGGTCAGGAGTTTGAGACCAGCCTGGCCAACATGGTGAAGCCCTGTCTCTACTGAAAATACAAAAATTAGCTGGGCGTGGTAGCAGGCACCTATAATCCCAGCTACTCGGGAGGCTGAGGCAGGAGAATCACTTGAACCTGGGAGGCAGAGGTTGCAGTGAGCCAAGAGTGCACCATTGCACTCCAGACTTGGCGACAAGAGCAAAATTCCATCTCAAAGAAAAACTGTCTCTAGAGATCTAATATCCAAAGAAAATTTAAGAACCACCATAACCTTGCTACTCAAAGTGTGACCCCCGAACCAACAATGTTAACATCACTTGAAAGCTCGTTAGAAATACACAATCTCAGAAACCTCCCAGCCCTACTGAATCTGAATCTTCATTTAGCAGGAAAAACTGCTCAGGAGTAAAGGATCTTATTAAACTTAGTTGCAAGCAAGACTTCAAAGAAATCTCTTGTTGAAATATTCTATGTTTGTGTTCTTACATTTCTAGAGTAGTGTCCAGTAGTTTTCATAATATTCTTTAAAGACTTTGTGACCCAAATAAGGCAAAAAGCCAGCACTAGAGTCTAGACCAGTTCTCATAAACTTAAATCCTTTTTGGAGACAGCCAAATGAAATAAATGTGTGGAGTATGTCAGGAATTGCCAAATAAGTATGTAGACATCTGTAGACACATTTGGCACAAAACAGTGCTCTTTATCACTTTTTGAAACTTATTCCTTTATGTATCTTTAATTTTATCTCTTTTAATAGGAGAATGGGTTCAATACAATAACTCTTTCCTGTAAGGAAAAAAAAATCACCTGAACAGTGCTACATGACAATTGATACAGCCTTGGTAGGCCAAATAGGACAAGATGAGAATGCAGTAGTTGTGTCTCAGCTCCAGCCAATTGCTGGTAGGGAGGAATATGGGGCCATTGTTATCAGATCTTCTGCCTTTTTTTTTCTTTTTGAGATGGAGTCTCACTCTATTGCCCAGGCTGGAGTGCAGTGGCTTGATCTCCACTCACTGCAAGCTCCGCCTCCTGGGTTCAGGCCATTCTCCTGCCTCAGCCTCTCAAGCAGCTGGGACTACAGGTGCCTACCACCACACCCTGCTAATTTTTTGTATTTTTAGTAGAGACAGGGTTTCACCGTGTTAGCCAGGATGTTCTCAATCTCCTGACCTCGTGATCCGCTCACCTCAGCCTCCCAAAGTGCTGGGATTACAGGCGTGAGCCACCGCACCTGACCAGATCTTCTGAATTTTAAAGACAGTTCACAACTCCACACTGGTATGTGAAATTAAATCTTGAAATATTGCATCAGTGTTTTTTGATACTAAGACTGAGTAGGCCAAACAACACTTACACATAAGCATATCTAACAGTTAACATCCACTGGTACAGAACTATCTCTTGTCTCTTACTTCCAAGGAAACATCTTCCTAGAGCACATTCTGGCCAGAATCAAAATTCTATAAAAAGGTTATGCAACCTCATCTTCTCATTTTAAGAATGATAGGACAGAAAGTTGAGATGTCTTGGCAAAGGTCATAGTGAAATAATCTTGGTTAATATCAGTGTCACAGTGAGAGTTTTGTCAGCAAAGGCAAAAGCAAATTAAACTTTTATAGTAAGAAGAGATTGAATACAGGGACATGAGTGATAAGAAGGGTGAAAGAGTAAGTATCTGGGAAAGCTGCTTCTGCTTGTCAGGGTTGTTGCTTACCTTCCCAGTCAGGAAACTGCAGAACTGTGAGAAACTCCTAGCAAGAGAACAGCTGCCTGCAGCAATAGGGTAAGCAACTCATAGAAAATGAAGCCTATCTGCCAGCCCTCTGCTACTTGAGGAGCAACTGGGGGCTCCCACTTTTTGAAATTTTGCACTCATGCTTCTTTTTGGCAAAATCTAACCTTGAATTCTATCAGCAAGAGATTCTGAAAACAAATGTAGACTTTGAACCCCTGCAATACAAAGCAGAGGACACAAGAGGAGCGGGGACATGCTGACTTAACTGAGAACCAGGCAATCAGCTAACTAATCTAATATTTAATCTATGCCGATGCCTACTTTGGTCCAATTTGTTACAAACTCATTGTCACATAGACCTGCATGAGATAGCTTTATTACCTTCATGAGAGGACTAACAAATCTATTGTCAAGAATAAACTTTATTCTTTTATTCTACTGGGAGAAGAGCTTAGGAAGAAATGGAAAACTTTATCTATTGGAAGTTCACTCTAGAGTAAAAAAGATATGATGGCGCAATAAGAAATAGGTGGCAAAAACAAGTTAATCTATATGAAAAATCTGAGCATGCGTAACTATTTCCACCCTAACTTTAATCATGTTACTAAGCTTCACCTTATTGGCAGCACATATTTAAAATAAAATAAAATAAAATAAAATAAAATAAAATAAAATAAAATAAAATAAAATAAGATGTGTAATAATGCCAATGAGATACAAGTAAGAGTACAAGTGTTTAGATCCAGAGCAGGTACAAATCAAACTCAAAACAGTCAAAACACAGAAGCAGAATTTGAATGTATTAATAAGTTGTATTTTTCTTTGTCTTTTTTTACTTCTTGAAAGCAACTTTTAATGTATTAGTATGGTAAATACCTTCCAAAGGTATAAATTGCTCAGTATTTGATAATGAGAATCATTGTATACAAATTTTATATCATATAAATTATGAACTCAGAAAACACAAAGAGGGATACTTTTTAGTTCTATCATAGAGTTTCCAGAAGAACATTTCTTTTTTTCTCTGCCAAAAAATAAAGAGAGAAACTCTAAAATAAGTCACTAGATTAGAGATTTTAAATGTGAGACTTCAAACTATCAGTCCTAGAAGAAAACCTACGAAATACCATTCTAGACATCAGCCTTGGGAAAGTATTTATGACTAAGTCCTCAAAAGCAATTTCAACAAGAACAAAATCTGACAAGTTGGACCTAATTAAACCAAAGAACTTCTGCAGAGCAAAACAAACTATCAATAGAGTAAACAGACAACCTATAGAATGAGAGGAAATATTCACAAACTCTGTATCCAACAAAGGTCTAATATCCAGAAGCTAAAAGGAACTTAAACAATTCAACAAGCAAAAAGCAGATAAGCCCATTAAAAGTGGGCAAAAGACATGAACAGACACTTCTCAAAAGAAGACATACAATTGGCCAATAAACATATGAAAAAATGTTGACATTTGTAATCAGAGAAATGCAAGTCAAAACCACGATGAGATATCATTTCACATCAGTCATAATGGCTGTTATTAAAAAGTAAAAAAACTAGGCCAGGCACAGTGGCTCACGGCTGTAATCCTAGCACTTTGGGAGGCAGAGAGGGGCGGACTGCCTGAGCTCAGGAGTTCAAGACCAGCCTGGTCAACATGGTGAAACTCTGTCTCTACTAAAAATACAAAAATTAGCCAAGTGTGGTGGTGGGTGCCTATAATCCCAGCTACTTGGGAGGCTGAGGCAGGGAACTGCTTGAAACCAGAGGCGGAGGTTGCAGTGAGCCAAGATTGCACCACTTCACTCCAGCCTGGGCAAAAGAGTGAAACTCCCTCTCAAAAAAAAAAAAAAAAAAAAAAGTCAAAAACTACCAGATGCTGAAGTGGCTGCAGAGAAAAGACAACGTTTATATACTGTTGTATGCTGTTGATGGGAATGTAAATTAGCTCAGCCACTGTGAAAATAAGTTGGCAGATTTCTTAAACAACTTAATACAAAACTACTATTTGACCCAGCAATCCCATTACGGGGTATATAGCGAAAGGAAAATAAATAAGTCTACCAAAAAAAACATAGGCACTCATATGTTCATCACAGCATTATTCAAAGACATGGAATCAACCTACGTGCCCATCAACAGTGGATTGGATAAAGAGAATGTACTACATAGACACCATAGAATACTACATAGCTATAAAAAAAGAACTAAATCATGTCCTTTGTAGCAACATGGATGCAACTGGATGCCATTATCCTAAGCAAATTAATGTACAAACAGAAAAACAAATGCCATATGTTCTCACTTATAAGTGAGAGCTAAGCACTGAGTACTTATGAACATAATGATGGGAACAACAGACACTGGAGACTACTAGAGGGGAAAGAGAGAGGAGGGGGCAAAAGCTAAAAACCTACCTATTGGGTACTATGCTCACTACCTGGGTGATGGGATCATTCATACTCCAAACCTCAGCATCATGCAACATAGCCACATAATAAATCTGACCACGTACCTTCTGAATCTAAAATTAAAAATAAAAAATAAAGGCTGGGCGTAGTGGCTCAAGTCTGTAATCCCAGCACTTTGGGAGGCCGAGGCAGGTGGATCACGATGTCAGGAGATCGAGACCATCCTAGCTAACATAGTGAAACCTCATCTCTACTAAAAATACAAAAAATTAGCTGGGTGTGGCAGTGCATGCCTGTAGTCCCAGATACTCTGCAGGCTGAGGCAGGAGAATTGCTTGAACCCAGGAGACAGAGGTTGCAATGAGCCAAGATTCCGCCACTGCACTCCAGCCTGGGCAAGAGAGCGAAACTCCGTCTAAAAAAAATAATAAAATAAAAATAAAAAAATAAGTTACTGACCCTTACATCAAAGATCAGTTTGTGACCAGTGGGAAGTTTACCCCTCTGAGCCCCAATCTTTTCAACTGTAAAATAGCAATATGGTTTGCAAAGCTGCACTAAGATTAAAGGAGATGATGCCTGATACCTAGAAGAAATGCAGTAAATATTTATTTTCTTTTCATCTCGTTTGTAAAATTATTTCAGTAGCATGCCATGAAAGAAAATGTTCATAGCAGTGTTTCCCAAAGATGAAGTACCCACAAACATTGCCTAAGCAACAGTTTCCATAAGTATTTAAGGAAAGCTGGAAAAATTACATTTTCATTCAAATATTTCCAGTGCATGTTTAAAACAGTTAAGCACTGGTAAATTCTACTTAGATATTTAGAGTTATTGATTTGTAAGTCTTCTCTACAATAGGCCTGCTGATGAAAAGTCCAAGTTCTTTTCTCCATTCTGGCACTAATTCACTTTGTATCTCTGAACTTCAGTTCCCCACAGGTAATATAAGAACTTACAACAGCTTAGTTATAGAATTATTATAAAACATGCCTCTCTAATAAAAAGGTAATAGGAACAGACATTCATAAGAGTGCCAGTCGGCATAAGCCCATGGTAAAACTGCTTCAGAGAGACAATGAAGCACATAAATTAGCTTCTCCGTTTTCTTATTGATTCAGCTCTTTTCTACTGAATCACGATTCAGAGAGTGAGTGGGGATGAAGGACAGTTTGATCTGATGTCAAGCAAACACAGTATAGTTGGGCCGTTGCATAATAATAGCTAACGTTTTCTGCAGTTTACCATGTTCCCGGCATTGTTCAACATGTATAAACACAGTATTAATTCATTTAAACCTTAAGACCAATTCTCTGTTCTTCGGATTACTGAGTTTGGAAGCTTGGAAAAAAACAACCTTGTGGAGAGTCTACTATGACCTCCATTTTACAGGTGAGGAAACTGGGGCACCAAAAGGTTAAGCAAACTGCCCAAGTTACACAGCAAGACAGTGACAGAACCAGGTTTTGAACCAAGTCTGTCTATCTTCTTAACCACTCAGCCATTCTGTCACTGAATATGGTTTTCAATAGAGTTGTATCAGTTTGGCCGTTATGGAACTTTCCCTAAGTTTTAGCAAATGTGTGTCTTAATTCTTAATGTTACTGTGGATTTCAATTTTTCAAATGTTTGTATAAGAATTAGGAGAAACTACTAGCCAGAAACCATTTTAAATAGGAATTTAACATTTAAACTTTATAAGTTGTATTCCAGGCCAAACCTTTGGCCTCCCCTACTTTCTTTCAGGGAGTTCAATCCACCTGTGGAGCTGTAAGTATCTTACAAAGAATAATACCTACAGACTCAATCAGACACCGTTTTAAAAATATGTAAAATATCTGTCCTAGGGATTGTATGAGGCCCCCACTCATCAGATGTAAGTGTCCCTTTGTTTTCAGAAACACATAATTAGTTTTATACAAATAATTAGTTGTCATACAAATCCTAACAGAAGAACATAATGAACCATTTGGGACCATAAGTTCCATGGTCAGTATGGAGAACAAACGAATACACAGAAAGAAATAAAAATAGGCATAGGATTGGAAACACCCTTGGAAATGTTAGGAACATCAATTCTAGGTACTCAGATCAACTTGCCCTCAAGCACTTTCAAAGTGGAAAGATAAGGACTCCTGACTATTTATTTTTTGTCTTACTAAACTAAAGTCATCCTGATTTTCAGACTGTGTTCCAAACACGAAAATGCTTTAAATCAATGTTCCACATCAGAGATATTTTACTATGATACGCTCATTCAAAATGGATTTTTTATTGTTATCTTTTATTTTTTTGTGGAGTGCAGTAGCGCGATCTTGGCTCACTGGAACCTCTGCCTCCCGGGTTCAAGCAATTCTCCTGCCTCAGCCTCCTGAGTTGCTGGGGCCACAGTTGCTTGCCACCATGCCTGGCTAATTTTTGTATTTTTAGTAGAGACAGGGTTTCGCTATGTTGGCCAGGCTGATCTCGAACTCCTTACCTCAGGTGATCTACCCGCCTCAGCCTCCCAAAGTGTTGGGATTACAGACGTGAGCCACTGTGCCCAGCCAAAATTAATTTTTAAAATAGCAAGAGTATCTATATGCATGTATATACAATTAAAGTTTGCATATTTGGCATACGTTTAGTGTGCATTTTAAAGGAAGTACATTTATTCACATATACTATTAGAAATTCTGAGGATGTCTACTTTCTGAAGTTTAGCAGGCTGTTGCTTTCAACCACCACTTTAAAGCATTGCACAAAGCTTTAGCTGAAATTTCCAAGAATCTCAGGTCACTCACAGAAAACTGCTTCTTTGGTCCTCAAAGTGGGAATCTTTTAAATCTTTTAAATCAGGGGTAAATTATAAGAGGAAGAATTTTTACCCATATGTCATGTATTTTCTAGAAAACTCTTTACAAGGCCAACAGTTATCTGCCTGACCCTTTCATCAGCACCAAATTCATATTCAGAGGAAAAAATAAAGTTATTTGTGTTTGGAAGACTCTCCAATCCTAACTATACAAGTAAAAGCCACTTCAAGCTTTTTGCTTGCTCTGACACCCATCTGCTAAAAATCATTAGAGAAGGCTAAGCGACAGCGCATGTAAAACCAACATTTCCAGTTGAAAGAACCCTACTTTTGAGGACATGTTTTTCCAAGCTTCCAAAATCAGTAATCCAAAGAACAGAGAATTGGTCTTGAGTAAAAATGATTGGATTTAAATTATAAAGCTCCAAATTTACTAAACCCTCGGATACCAGTCCTGATAATACTGAGAGCAATAGAAAAGCAGTTATATAAAAACTGTTTTGGTAATATTGTTGCTGAAGAAGTCACTGTTTTCATTTTCACATGTTGAAGTAAAAGATCGTTTTTTATTTAGCACAAACGTGTATAGAATATCTCAAGCTTGTATAAGTGAATGAGTAACAAAATAACCCAAAAGTCATAATTTCATTAAAGAGCTTTTCGGAGAAACATATTTTAAATGAAAAAATTAATAAATATTAAAGAGTCTTAAACAATAAACATTTTTTAATGTGAGCATATACTAGTATCTTGATGTCAAATGATATTCTGGAAAAAATTTTAAGTTGAGCTCAATACACATTTTCAAACCTACATAACAGTTAACTCTAGATGAACCTTTAATTAAATTATATATATATATATATAATTTACCTTAAACAGTCTGCATAAAAGAAGAGCATAGCAAAAAAGGAGATGAAGATGATGAAGGAAGAGGAAAGGGGGAGGAAAAGAGAAGGGGAAGGATCTGTTTGAAGCCTTGAGTCATCCCATATCTCTAACACAACACCAACGCTGTACAGAGAAAAAAGTAAAGTTTGTTAGCTACCTAATTTAATTAAACTATGTTTAAAACACAACCAAGGATTTCAATTACAAAATTAAAAAGCTCCCAAAATTTATTGTATATTATTAAATAATTTTTAAATATTAAAATTTTTTAAAATTATTAAATTAAATTAATAGAATTTAATTAATAGAATTATTAGATTATTAAAATTATTAAATAATTTTTTCAAAATTAGATTAACTATCTAGAAGTATCAAATAAAATGACTAAACAACATCATCACATTCTATTTGTGAGATTTGCAAGTGGAGAGGGATTAATTGAAAAAAAAGAAAACTGAAAAACACAGTTTGATGCACAACAAATTAAAAACTCTACTTTTATGCATCCACAAGCATGAAAATGTAGGTATTATATTCTTCAGGAGAAACCAGAGCCAACTTTATATCCATGAAGTGAATCCTCAATCAGTCCACTGTCTAGGGCCATGCCAACAATGTAATTTTACCTTACATGAACAATTTTTAGGGAAGATTTTTTTATTCCATTTTTCTCCATAAGTTCTCAAGTCTCCATTCTGGTTTACCTTTGTAGACCTCAAATGTTAGGGTATAGGGAGGAATTCTTAAATAAAGGTGCATGAAACCATCTGCCAAAACGTATTATTTTTTAATGTGGCTAAATTTGTTGGCAGTAGGCTTTATTTTTCTGGAGAATTAAAAAATGTTTACTTTTCTTCATTTTTATGTGTCAACTCTGACTTAAGAGATAGAAAAAAATAGCTTATTGATCAGTTAATGAATGTTCATCACAGGCTGAACGTGCCAAGAAAATGATTAAAATTCTATTCTCTTCTATTGGCTCTGATTCCTTTGTTTAGATCTACTGTTTTCTTCCTGAAAGCAGAGCCATTATTTAGAGAGAAATTTCCTGAATTTTTGTGAGAAATTTACATATTGTTCTTTTCTATTATTCATGGTGTAATGGCTCAAATGTATTAATATTACCAAAGCATCCATTTATTCCCAAACCATAGCTACTACACACAATCCCAAGCCTGGTTGCCTCTTAACATTATTTGAATGATTTGTATTGCTCCCAACCAATACAAAATTAATTCCATTTTTAAGATTTCACAAATAATGAGGAAAAAAAAAGATCTTCTTTCCCCTTGTCTCAGCCTCAGAGTGGATGCCAATTTATAATGGTGAAAAGACTCCCAAGCTGCCCAGACAAGCTCAAAGAAACTTCCATTAAATCCTGTTATCTAGAATTACCTTTTTCTGGTTTCTGGGGAAAGAGACTTTTCATAAGCTGTATGCTCCTTTTACTCTTTCTGCCCACTAATGAGAAGGACAGACCTGATAGTTACCTCTGGGAAAAAGTAATAAGTTTGTTCAGCTTGGTTCCACCAATATTCTTCTTGGGAGCTTAAAACTGGGAGGGAGTTGACTTTCCACAGCTGTTCCAGACACTCCATCCTGTAGAAGTTGGGAGGCTCAATTGGGCCTGTGCATGGGGCCATTGAGTATCTGAGTCTGCCTAATTCCACTAGCTAATTCGTTTGACTAACTGACCTAAGGCCACATCCTTCGGCCACTACCAGTTATAAATGGCTATTTTAGCCTCTACTTGCCATTCTTGGATATACATCTGTTTGTTCAGGGGAAGATGAAGATTCTCTTTTTGAAGAGTTGTTTCGAAGCATCCTCCTCCAACATCACCTACAACCAATAGTTCTTTCTCCATCTGGGACCACCTATAGCACTTCTCCATCTCTCATGCAGGGAACTCCGTGTCCTCTGCATCATCTCACAAGCACCATCACACAGTGGTTTAAGAACATGCATGTTGTGCACATGTACCGTAAAACTTAAAGCATAATTAAAAAAAAAAAAAAAACCCAGGCTCTGGCAAAGGTCTGCTGCCCTCACTTGTTCTTTACAAATTTGGGTATGTGTCAGTTTCCCTCCATTTGTTTCCTTCCTTGTAAAATGAGGAATCTAATTTCTTATTTAGTGCTACTATATAGGTTAAATAGATTAATCTATTTAAAACACTTAGCATCAGGCTCAACACATAGGAAGCACTAAATTGGTATTTATTATCACTGTTATGCATGAATTGTGTCCCCATACCAAATTTACATGTTAAAATCTTGACCTCCAATGTGACTGTATTTAGAGAAAGGGCCTACAAAGACATGATTAAGGTTAAATATGGTTATAAGGATGGGCCCCTAATCCAATAAGACTGGGGTCTTCGTGAGAAAAGAAAGAGACCCCAGGGGTATGCTCATGCAAGGAAAGGTCATGTGAAGACACAGCAAGAATGTGGCTGTCTGCAAGCAAAAGAGAAACCAAACCTGCTAACATTTGATCTTGGACTTCCAGCCTCCAGAACTGTGAAAAATAACTTTCTTTTCTGTAATCCACCTAGTCTGTGGTATTTTGATATGGCAGCCTTAGCAGACTAATATAATCATTACTGCCATTGACATTATTATAACTCTGTATTTATTATACAAATAACTGGGAAGAATACAGGTAAACTCATTTATTTAAAGCAAATAATCCATGATCACTTTTGTAAGCAAGGTCATTATCTTAAATTTTGTGAAGATGGTCAGCCTTCAAAGAGGAACATGACCCAGTAATTTCAGGATCCTCAAGTAGTCAATGTATTAATATTACTACTCTTATTTATTCTTACCCTTTATTGATTCCATTTATACAGCCACAATAACTCTGGTTGATGAAGACCCTACAATGCAAAGATGGTTAGGTGCCAATATCCCATTCTCCCTATCATTCATACTAATAAAACCACCTTTTCAGTTAGACACATGGCAACCTGCAGTCAAGGTTGTATTTCTCAATGTGTTTTATAGCAAGATGTGATCCTGTCATTGAATTCTAACTGATGTGATATAGGCAGAAATATTTTATTGTGTTTCCAGAATATCTCCTTAAATGAGAAGGACAGGCCTTCTGTGCCCCTTCCTAAGTTCTACCACCTTGGATATAGATATCATTACCATATGATGGCAGCCATTTTAAATTTTGAAGGTGAACCCACCATAATGATAGCAAAATAGCAGGCTGGGAAGAGTTTTGGGATCTGAAGATTGTAAAGATGACAAAATTAGTCTGGACTATCTACCTCCGGATTTATCTTATGTGAAAGAAGTAGCCCTCTACTCTTCAAAGGCACCATTATTTCTGAGTTTATTGTTTGTAGCAGATATTTTTGATATCCATCTTCATAGTTTCTCAGCTCACCTCTGAGTTCACCTGCAGTTTCAGGACATAGTTTTCTAGCCTAAGATCCTGTGTCTCTCCATTCCCTGCTTGAGGCTTTTCTCTAGCCCTATAGAAACTTGGTGAGTAGGGCACAGCTGCAACTTGGTACTATGCACTACGGGGCAGTTGGCATCTTTGAGGGCAACCTTCCGCTACTGAAAAATAATCCCTGTCCTTCTGGTAGACAATTCTCACTAATCCTCTTGATTTTTTAAAGGGTGCTCACTGTACTTGAGTCCCTAGTTTCCCAAAGAGGTAATTTACCCTTCAAAATACACTTAGTGGCTTTTCTCCCTTTCTTGTCTCACTTTCTTCATCACCTCACTCGTCCTCACTCGTCCTCTGAGAATCGCTAAAGTCCTGGTCTCAAGGTGTACTCTTGGAAAACGTCAGCCAAGATATGATGGCTTGCAGTCTAACCAAATTCTAACTACACATCTTGGCCAAGAATAGTTCAGATATGTTTGCACAAATTCCAGACCCAACTTGGCTGGATATTAGATTCTCAGCTAAGGAACAATTAGAAATGGATGCAAAGGGCTTGGCTATTAAGAGGCTCAACCTAAGAGCCACGGCAACTAGATCATCTGTGTGAGAGACAAACATCATTCTTGGTTAAGTCTGGTCTTAGTTCTTGGCCAGTTCTTTACAATATATAACCAAAGCAGAATGGAGCAAAGTCTAAATGACCTTCTCTCTCCTCTTCTGTGGGAACCATCACATCTTCTCAGATGAATTTAATTCATTCTCATCCAGACATTGTAGGTAAGTAAAGCATTTTTATTTGCCTCTCAAGTGGAAAGGGGACTATAACACTCAGTGTAACCTAAAGGAATATTCTATACAATGGCAGTATTCTGATAGAAATTGGAGATGTCTATCCAGGTTTTCCAAATAAATTAAACTTTAATTCAATATGGTGAAACATCATAATGCATTTCAATAATCAAGCTCTCTTTTTCAATCATAAATTTTCTTTACTATTAAAACTCAACTTTTTTATGCCCTGGCTGATAGTTTTGACATACGCAAAAGGTTTTTGAGAAAAATGCTGTTATGAATCCAGTGATTCATTGGAACATCAATTCTAAGAATTAGTTCTTTCAAAATTGGGTCTTTCAAGGAAATATATATTTTTCAAAATAATTGTCCTTGGATCACTAAACCCGGGTATGTAACATCCTCCCTGCCACAAGGCTGAAAAGATTTTAATGTTGTGGAAGAAACTGGTGACAGTGGTAAAGTTAATAGGTTTCTACTTAAGAAATAACTGGACATTTCTCTTGTTTTATGAGGCAATAATTTTACTCCCTAGTGAATAAAGACTGGAAAAAATTGGATCCCTTCCAAAGATATAACCTATACTATATCAAATAGTGCCATTACATTTCTCTTAACTACTTCCTGGAGGTCATATGGCTGCTTATAGGGAAAGCTTTTCTGATAACTTTTTCTGAAAAATCACATTAAACAAATACCAGCCTAACAATGCAAAGACCTGGTGCTCAGTCTTCCAAAGATGACTTATGTAGCTGACTTTCCAGCCTCCAAAATGTATTGCCCCCATTATTACCATAGTGTAACATTGCCTTTTATGTAAATAATCCAGGAAACATTTAAGTCATTTATACCACTGTTTAAGTCATTTATACCAATTTTATGGGAGGCTCAAGATTCTCAGCCTGAAAAAAATCTCTGTTAAAAAGGGGATTACTGTGCATTTGTTCTGTCTTGCTCAAAATGAGTAAGTATTGAAAAGAAATATTTCAAAAGGCAGTGAATCAAGTGTATTTGCACATATATTGCCTACCCAAATGCAAATCCTAAGAGAATCCTTGAAAATCAGCCATTGAATATGTTTCTGCTTATCTGACTTAAAATAGTTAACCTGACATATAAAATATATGTTCATAATACCTTAACAGGCCTTACAAAAATATGCAGTAAAATGATGTGATCTACTAAAGTCAGTAGCCAAGTCAGTTCTCTAGAAGAGCAGTCTTTTGTGTTCACTATTAACAAATTTCACCTTGGAGACCTCCTCAAGTCACTGATTTAAGTTTTCTGTTTTAAGTTGTTGACCATGGCCTAAGAAAGATCGGCACCTAGTTTCTAAAATAGCAGAAAATTCCGTCTCTAAAGGAAGTCTATGTTATATGTAGGTATCCCATCATGCTGAGAATAAAGGAATCAACTCATTTGAACCAGGCTATACCCGAAATTAAAACAACTTCTAACAATTTTCAGTATGCTTTAATTTTGCCCACATGGATATTCTACGGGTAATTGTGAGTTTCTAATTATAGTGCTGTGCTTTGAATTTGCTGATTGATGTGAATTTAAAATCTTATAGTTTTAACTCATTTGCCCTATTAAATAGGTCGGTGGTTAATATTATCCACCTACATGTCTAAATACTTAGCTCAGCTGAAAGGTTAAGCAACTTTACCACCAGCATATGATGAACTCTTGTTTCATTCAAGCTCATTTTCCTTCTGCTCTGGAGATTGTTTCTTCAATGCCCATTCTCAACCTGGACTCAAAGACGACTCTGGTCTGTGTCTATACTGCTATACTGAAGAAGGATCTGGGAATTTCTTTGGACTTATCTAGGATGCTTGCAGAGAATCACAACAGGCCTTGCCTCACTCAGCCCATGACACCCCTGTTTTGTAGCAGGGAAGTTCCCTAATATTGTGCATTGAGGGAGCCTATCCTTTCTATGTTTTCCCTCCAACCCACAACTCTCAGTACTACTGTAAAAGTCATGGAGAATTAGCAGAAGCTGGCCAAACCAGGAAGACAGTTGCATCATCTTTGGGGTGCTCTCACCTCTCCTTCTTCTAACCTTAGTTCCAAAATCAGCACAAACCTTCTTTTTCTTTCTCTTATTCAAAACTGCACTGTATCTTGTTCTCAAGACGTCTTGCTGTTTATGTTCATTAAAAGAATTCGGTGAGTTCATAAAACTGAGATCTTGAAATTGAAGTAATAAAACACCTCTGGTTTCTTGATAGATCCCTACTTCCCTTTACATGTGGGAAAGGAGGAGTTAAAATAAAGGTGTGATGGTTAATTTTATGTGTCAACTTGTTCGAGCTATGGTGCTCACTTGTTTGGTCCAGCATTAGTCTGGATGTTGTTGTGAAGGTATTTTGTTGATGTGATTAACATCCACAGTCATTTGACTTTAGGTAAAGGAGATTACATTTTATAAGATAGAGGTGCTTCATATAATCCATTGAAGGCCTTGAAGGCAAAAACCAAGGTTCCCTAGAGTAAAAGGAATTCTGCCTCAAGACTGAAACATAGAAATCCTGCCTGACTTTCCAATCTAAGCCCACTGTATGGATTTCAGACTCAAGACTGCAACATCAACTCTTATCTGAATTTGTAGCTGGTTGGCCTACAAATTTCAAACACCTCCCTCCACATTCACTGGAGCCAATTTCAAGTCACTTAAAATAAATCTCTTATGTATTTGTGTGCACATTTAAAGTCCTGTTGGTCTTGTTCCCTGATTGATAAACAGAAAGGAAATAACATATTTGATATATATCTGCTATGTGTCAGGAATCATGCTAAGCAAGCTACACATATTAACTCATGTGTGGAGGTAAAGATTTTTATAACCACCATGCGAAAGTGTCTAATGTGTATTCTTCAGTTGTCATAAAAGACTCTTCCAAATATCCCTTAGCCATCTCTCATCCTTCCTCACCAAAGACTGCATAATGTGGTGACCAATCATAAACATTACTTCTACCCTAGGAGAGGAGTTCAAACACAGCAGAAGGCAAATGAATGAACACAGGCCTACAGGAGTTTGAAGCCTACTATAAAAATGAAAAAGAAAACTCCTTGATAGTCTTCTATAAAACACAATATTCAAGAATGAAACATAGAAAGTAAACACTGTGTACTGCTAAATATTTAAAAATATAAAAAACTGCTGCACAGATTCCATTTTAAGATATGCAATTTCACACTTTCTAGAGGGGAAAAAATAGGAATAATGTAAAATGCTATATAAGAAAAGGAAGCACTTTGCAATTTATGTATTATCTGAGGTCAATTCCCATAAATTTCCAAAAAAAGAAAGAATCCGGTGCCTAGTTAGAGAGGAAACGAAAGAGGTGGAGTGGTTTGCATGCCATTATACATTTGCCTGAAGCATAAACCACATTTTACTTTATTCCAGGGAGAATAGAGCCTGGCTAAAAGATGCAGATGAAAAATTTTAAAATCAACAGCATAATTGGGATATGCTTTGGTGCATTTTTCCCAAAGAAATATAGATATATTTTACCCTCTGATCAACCTAGCATAGGCTATTAGACCCTAGCATAGGCTATTGAACTCCAGGCTGTGATCTCTTTGTAGTTTCTTGCTAAATAGCAGTAAGTACCTGGCAGCGGCACAATAATATCAACAACTACAACAAAACAAACAACAATATTAATAATAACAATACCCATCATTTATTGAGGAATGGTTTTGTGGATTCTATTTTATTTTTTAAGAAATTCTACAAATCAATAGCATATAAACTTCAGTTAAAAAGTGATAAATGGCAATTAAAACAGCATAAAAATACAATTCACATCAAATTTAAGGAAAACAAGTGCAACCTTGCTAATAAATAAGGTGAATTAAAACAGGACTCCATTTCCATCATGTTTTTTTGTTTTGTTTTGTTTTTTGTTTTTTTGAGATGGAGTTTCACTCTTGTTGCCCAGGCTGGAGTGCAATGGCACAATCTCCCAGCTCACTGCAACCTCGGCCTCCTGAGTTCAAGTGATTCTCCTGCCTCAGCCTCCTGGAGTAGCTGAGATTATAGGCACCCATCACCATGCCCAGCTAATTTTTGTATTTTTAGTAGAGATGAGGTTTCGTCACATTGGCCAGGCTGGTCTCAAACTCCTGACCTCAGGTGATTCACCTGCCTCAGCCTTCCAAAGTGCTGGGATTACAGGTGTGAGCCACCATGCCTGGCCATTTGTTTGTTTTTTAATGAAAATATTCAAAGGAGAGGGAAACAGGCTCCCATCCATCACTGAGTATTAGAAATTGGTAAAACCTCTCTGGAGGACAATTTGGCAACTGGGATTAAATCCTTCATAGTGTGCATACTGTTTGACCTAGAAATTTCTTTTCATTAAACTTATCTTCAGGAATGATAAATGTGTACAAAGACTTATGTATAAAGATATTTATCCCAGTATTTACAGAAGTGAAAACATGAATATAACTTAAATGCACTAAACAGATATTTAATAAAATTATTCTGGCACAACCAAATGATGGAATATTGTCCAGGCCAAAACAACATGCTTTAGCAAAATATTTAGCAATAAAGAAAAATATTAAAAGATTTTCAAGTGAAAAAACAAATATAAAAGGATGTTATAATTCCAGTGACTGTGGCTTTGCACAACACAGTTTTCCCTGGGCCTCTATTTCATTATATTTGAAATAAAAAGTCCGGTCTGAATGATGGCTGAGATCTCTTGCAAATCCCCAGTGCTAAGGTTCAAAATTTTTTGGTTTTGACCGGAAAAGTTTCCCTCTACATTTAAGAGATAGCTGATGGCTTCTGGCACATTCAGCTCTAGGCCAGATCTAGTATTACTCCATCAGTAGGTGCCACTAATTCTAATTACACAAATTTTATTCCAAGTGAAAGCCAGTTTAAACAGGTAGGGGGGATAGGCAGCATCACCCTTTGAGCTATACTATGAAGGCAAATTTTGTTTTTCAAAATAGTTGGTACCATTTCACAAATGGTGCTGACACTCCCATTTAAGTTTCAGTGTTGGTCAGTCACACCACCATGCAAATAACTTCAAAGAACTTGTTTCAGTGAGGGTTATCCAGGAACACAGAACCAGTAGAATTGAGAGGGGGAGAGAGAAAGAGAGAGAGAGAGAGAGGAATTGGCTTATGTGATTGTGGGGCTGGCAAGTCTAAAATCTGTTGAGCAGGCCAACATGCTGGAAACTTGACAGCAGGAGTTGATGTTGTGGTCTGGAGGCAGAATTTCCTCCTTGTCTAGGTAATCTCAATTTTTAATCCTAAGGACTTTCAACTGATTAGATGGGGCCTGCCTGTATTATCTACAGTAATCTCCTCTACTTAATGTCAACTAATCGTAAATGTTGACCACATCTATAAAATAGCTTCCCGGTAACACCTAAATTAGACTTTGATTAAATAATTAGGTGCTGTAGCCCAGCCAAGTTGACACATATGAGTATTTTTCTCCTGACACCAGGCTGCAATCAGTCCCTCTAAAGCAACACGAATTTTGCTTGGACTTGCAAGTAAAAAAGAAAATGGATTGAAGAGGAGTAGAAAGAGAAGCGATTTTTTTAAATGGGTAGGTCTTGAGAGAGGTAAATTTATTCAAAAATGTGCAATGGGACATATGGAACTGAGAGTTTTGGGGGTGGGAGGGACAGGGTTGTACTCTGAATAATTTGAATCACCAGGAAGGCAATGTGCATGTACCAAGAGACTGGAGATGTCATGTGAGAAGATGGAACCTGGAGGAGGTAAAAGAAGGACTAACAGCCTACTGGCATTTTGTTTGATGGTTAGAATGGTAACATTAAGCACTGGTGATCATCTCCTGCTGCCTTGGCCTGTCTACTGTGGGTTGCCAATGCCTGCCCTAGGCTAATGAAGTACATGTTGCCTCCATTAACAGGAAAAATCAGAGTTTCTTTTAAAATAAACTTACCAGTTTAATAAGAAAGAAAATGATAGTCCATGATCACCATTCAGGTTTCAGATACACAGATAAATGTCATTTGAGTTTTGAATCCTAGGAATTGATTAGGAATATGCTCTTTTTTACAGTTTCAAAATTAACTGATTTAGCATATCCTTGGCTGCTCAGCAAAACACATTCTCTTCTTCTATATCCAACAATCTGCCAGCAGAACTCCCCTATTTATCTAGTTAACCAGCCTTTCAAAACCATTTATCAAGGGCCTACTATTTCATTAAACAGTGAAAAACTTAAAATTTTAGAATCAATCTTGACGTTTGCCTCCTGTCTATTCTACACCACATATAATAAGACTTCCTATTCACTGCCAAAGTGATTGATTATTGATTATCATGTTTTTCTCTTTTATTATAAACTCCTAAATCTCCCCTTCCAAATATTTCTCCTTTGAGTACCAGGAAACTCTTCAGAAAGCAAAGTTTGTGCATTTCACTGCCCTACTCAAAAACTTTCCACAGTTCCTCATTTTTTTTATAGAGTACATTTTATTTTCTTTATCAGGAAATTCAAAGCACTTCTTATCTAGACCTACCTCCCATTTTTTCCATTTAATGTATACTCCAGTTTGAATACATTCTGAGATTTTCTGCCTAGATGCCTTTGCTCAAGCTGTTTCCTACCAGAATGGCTATTTAACCTTAGCCCAGTAATCCGTATTCTGTATATAAGTCAGTCATTTTTTTCAACGCAAGTGGAAGAAATTGAGCCAAAACTATCCTAAACATAAAAGCAAAATTGTTGGCTTATGTGCTAGAAAACTCCAGAAGTACAAAACAGCTTCAGGCCTAAGCAGAGATCTGGATTTAGGTTCCCAATCTATCTCATTTCTTTATATGAGCTTTACTTTCAGGCAGTTTCCCTGAATGTGGTGACTGATTAGTAAAATTATTATGTAAGAAGACAGAGGAGGGAGATCAGAGTAGACATCTAAGCAGATGAATGTGGGTAAGTGGAGCCTTTCCTTTGCTTGTGTCTGTAGCCACTTTGCAGAGCCTAGAGGCTGTTTTCCACTCAGCTTCTATTACCAATTATCAGCCTTTGTGTAAAGAGCTCTGCCCTGACTGTGGCACAGCAGGCCTAGGCATTTGCTCTGGCCTTTCCTTGCTGTGTTAAATCCACATACCCTAGTGTATGAACCAATATGTTTACTTTAGAAAGTAATGATTTGAGAAGGTTATACATAGTTTAAAATGCAAGTTAGAACAAAGCAAATCGTCTGAATTATTTAAAACAAGCCTTACCAAGACAATTGCTGTCACTTATTTCTGTAGTTTTTCTAACTCAACTGATGAAAAATCATTCAGCTTTCAAAAATTTCATGCTGTCATTTGGTTACCTTGCCACTAGGTGAAAGACATTTATAAGGATTATGACCATACTGTGCAAACCATAAAACATAAGCCCTAGGTGTATTTCACTGACAACTTAAAAAGAGACTCACTGCCTGAACTTTGAAGTGAGCCATTCAGTGTCTTCTCTTGTTGGGGGGAGTTTATATATATACGTGTGTGTGTGTGTGTGTGTGTGTGTGTGTGTGTGTGTGTGTGTGCGCGCGCGCTTACTTTAAGTAATCACTAAATCACCACTAAAAAAATTAAAGGTAGAAGAGTCTAGATTTGATAATTTCCTCACTATTTCTTACCTGCCTTTGAACTCGTATTGGAGCCCAAGGTCCACCTCAGTAGTTTATCCTTGCTATCTCTCCTGGCTCAGCACCAGTGCCCCTCTGTTGCTTATCTCTCCACTGCTGGATTATGTTTCCCTGGGCATACATGGCCTGTGTTGCCTACTTGGTCAGTGCAAGATAATCAAAAGAGAAGGATTTATTTTTGCCTTTTCATGAATCATAAAATTTTCATTTGGAGGTCTCTTAAAGTTATCCTAATCCATCTATTTACCGTTGATAAAATTAGGCCTGGAGAGGTCAGGGAATTCTTCTATCAGCATTTACCTAGCTAGAGGCCAGGCAGGAACTAGGACCAACAATTTTAGGAAACAAAGTTACACATAGCTCAAGCTGAAAGTGCTAAATAGCTGATGGGAGGAGGAAATGAAAACAGTAAAAAGGAAAGTGACATCCTACTGGTTAAAGGAAATTAACCCCAGCACCATTGTGGTTGTCATTCACCTGTTCCACCTTATCAGTCTCTCTTCTCCTTCTAGGCCAAGGGTTCCCAATGCCTGCGCCACACACCTGTACTGGTTTGTGGCCTGTTAGGAACCGGGCTGCACAGTAGGAGGTGAGCATTACTGCCTGAGCTCCGCCTCCTGTCAGGTCAGTGGCAGCATTAGATTTTCATGGGAGTGTGAACCCTACCATGAACTGCTCTTAAGAGGGGTCTAGGTTATGTGCTCCTTATGAGAATATAACCAATGCCTGATGATCTGAGGTGAACAGTTTCTATGCCAAAAAGGTTGGGGACCGCTGTTCTATGCTCTTGTAAGGATCGTGCTTCTTGCTTTCCCAGTGGCTGGGTGAGGCCACGTGACTGTTTCTCTGCATTGAGCTGGGAGTGGAAGTGATACTTAGCCCATCGCCTGGGCCAATGATTGAATGTGATATACCATAATACTTGTTCTTCCTATTGACTTCCCACTGAGTTGCAAGTGACATGCAACCCCTAAACCTGAGTCCCCAAGAAGGATGATGAGGCTATGGAGTGAAGGTCCTCAGCTGACTCATGTTGGATCTGTAGGGTAAAAAGAAATGCCTTTGTTATTTTAAATATTGATATTTGGGGAATGTTTGTTAATTGCATTACAATTTAACTCTGTCCAGTATAGGCATGTGCCACATAACAACATTTTGGCCAAGGACAGGTGGGTGGCCAGGAGGTGGGGGACTGGGGAATCACAATGTAGGCTGGGTTCCTCAGTTCCTGACCAGGCCAGAGGAGCCAGATGACAGTGTCCCCAGGAGTCCTTGGCATGCCAGTGACAGCCAGCTCAATGGACCTAGTCTGAGTCACATGGATAGCTGGATCAATGGAGACAATAGCTCTCAGCTGCAGCCAGGGAGCCACTCCTCCTGCAGCCAATGTGGCGAGACTTACTGCCAGCCAGGTGACCTCTTGAACCACAACACTCACAAGACAGACCAACACTATTGCCTGCTCTGATCCAAGGAGTTCTTGAATCCTGTGGCCACGAAGAGCCACAACCACAACCACACAGATGCCCAGACCTTTGCCTGCCCTGACTGTGGCAAGGCCTTTGAGTCCCACTACAAACTGGCCAGCCACCTCTGCAGGCTCATGCCAGGGGCCACAGCCAGGTGCCGGCCCAGATCGAGGAGGCCAGATGTCCCAAGCCCGGGACTGGGGAGGACGAGGTGGGCCTCCGTGGTCAAGGGAAACCCTGGGAGGCTCCATTAGAAACACCAGGAGGCCCAGGAGAGAGTGCGGAGAGAGCTAGAAGAGGATAAGGGGTGACGTCCACAGTAGCTGAGGACAAGGAGCAGCCCTTCCGCTGCGCCCAGTGCAGGCCCTTCTACTGCCAAGCCGGCAGCCTGCTGACACACCAGAAGACCCACACCACAGGGCTGTACCCCTGCTCCCGCTGCCCCCAACCTGCTGTCTTTTAAGAACCACAGCAGGATCCACGCGAACCGCAAGCACCACCACTGCAGCATCTGTGGCAAGGCCTTCCGGTCAGCTGCCCGGCTGGAGGGCCACGGGCGGGTCCACGCACCCCACCCCGGGAGGGGCCTTTCACCTGCCCCCATGGTCCCTGCCACTTCTGCCACAGAATCGGCTTCGTGCAGCACCAGCAGCAGCTCCAGGAGGAGAGGACAGTGGCAGGCTCTGGAGCCCCAGTGGCACCAGCGGCAGGCAGAGGGGACTTGTCATTGCCCCCTCCACCCACTCCCACGACCCCACTTCTGGGCCCTTAACCCCAGTGGCCTGCAGACCTCAGCTTCTCCCTCAGAACTTCAAGTTTCCAAAGATCAGAATCTGGGGGAGGGGGCGCGTGCAGGGAGGGGCTTGATCTCCACGTTTTCTCAGGAGCAGTTTGGGCTCCCCATCTCTTCTCCCCTCCCCTTGTGAAGAGGACCCAGATCTGGCTTCTTTCCCAAGAAGAGGGTGGTGTGCTCTTCGCGTCCCTGTCCTTGAAGGACCTCCTTCCCCCAGCCTTTGTCACCGTACTCTTCCCAGTGCCCGCCTCTGCCGAGATGCCAGGCCACCCTCACCAGCCAGATTGCAACACGAGGGAGCCGGGATGCAGAGTGCTATGGGTGGGAAAGTTGCCTGTGGAAGGAAGCCTTTTGCTACAATTTGTAACTTATTTTTCTAAAGTCTATTTTGTAACAATTTATTTAAGTTTGAAAAAAAAACAAAAATTGCTGCCCTCCCAAAAAAGAAATTTTCAAAACAAAACAACAACAAATATATATATATCTCAAGGTAGTCCCATAAGAATATAATGGACCTCAAAATTCTTATTATCTAGTGTCATTTTAGCCCTCATTAACATTTTAGCGCAATACATTACTCATGCATTTGTGGTGATGCTGGTGTAAACAAACCTACTGTACTGCCAGTCATATAAAAGTCTAGCACATACTATTGTGTACAATACAATTG